>NC_000005.10:109484807-110109807 GCF_000001405.40 Homo sapiens | reverse complement strand
GTAACAGCTAAATGAAACCCAAGGGAAATCTCACATCCAGAAAACAGCAATACACTCTGACCTGCAGTTGATATTTCAAACATAAAATACAATTAAATCTGCTAAAGATCTCTGCTTAGCCTGGGAGAAGCTTGCAACCATGGAAGAAGAGAGATGTGCAAATCAATTTACATTGTGGCAACTTAAGATTCAAAAATATTGTATACTTTAAGGTATATGTATAAGAATATTCATTCCAACATTGTAGTGGCAAATTAATCAAAACAGGCTAAATTGGTATTGGAGCAGCTGGTTAAAAAAATTACAATATCTGCCTCAGTGAACTTCTTACAACTATTAAAATGAAGAAGATTGGTCTCTATGTCCTAATATAAAATTACCTCTCAGACAACTTCTTCAGTGACTAGCACAAGGGGCAGGATAATGTGTGTAGAATGCAACTATTTATGTTAAATGAAGGAAGAAAGGGCCATGTGAATCTGTGCATACACACACACATATACACACACATACACACACACACACACGCACACTTTGCTATGCAAAGAATATCTCTGAAAAGATTCACAAGAACTAACATCAGAGGTTGCCTCAGCGAAGGGGAACTGGAGTACCTGGATAAAGCTAGGAGGGAGAATAACTTTCCAATGTATTTCCTTTTGCACCATTTGAATCTGTGTTGCATGCCTCCACATTGCCTAATAAAAATAAAACACAATATTCTAAAGCCACACTTTGATTTAGAGTTTAAAAATGAAAACACTAAGATTTCATATTTCTTTTTTCCTTTAAGGCAAAAGCAGGACCCTTCCACCTTTGTTACTTGCTTTTGAACAAATAGGAGGTAGTATTTTTAGACTTTCTCCCTGGAGCCGAAAGCTCACAGGATTAAAGCAACCAAGGAAATATAGAGAAGTAGGAGCCCAAGTTCTATGTTCTAAATATTTTTCAGTCATGAAGAAACTAGCTTTTTCCCTAATGCTTCTGTTTATACCGGTAGGAGCATGCACTAAGGTAATTTCTTCTTTTTTCTTGCTGGATTAAAGAATGTGCTTAATTCTCTCTCTCTCTCTCTCTCTCTCTCTCTCTCTCCCTCTCTCTCTCGCTCTCTCTCTCTCTCTCTCTCTCTCTCTCTCTCACTCTCCCCCTCTCCCAGAGAAGTTTCTGTTGTTCTTTCCCTCAAAGTGGACACACATCTGAACACAGCTCTAGTGCATTTCTGCTGGAAGAAGCAAGAAGCTATTAACGGTGGCACTTGAGGCCGCTGTGCAAGTCCATTACCCCAGAAATAGATTAAACCGAGTTTCCAGAAATGCCTTCCTCCAGCATTACATTCTTACCTAAAAGAACGTGGGCCCTATTTAGCAGGAGATAGATGTTCTTATCTCATTTCACTGACAAACTAAAGTGAAATAAATAAAGACAAATAAAAAGGCCACCTCCTGAGAATTTGCTTTGCGTCTTTTATTTCAAATCACATATTTGGGATGGGGTTATTTTCTTTCTCTTCCTCCCTCCAACTGCCACCTGCTCTGAGGTTCTTTTTTTTTTTTTTTTTTTTTTGAGACAGAGTGTTGCTGACTCTCAGGCTGGAGTGCAATGGCACAATCTCGGCTCACTGCAAGCTCTGCCTCCCAGGTTCAAGCCATTTTCCTGCCTCAGCCTCCCGAGTACCTGGGACTACAGGCACCCGCCACCACACCTGGCTAATGTATTTTTAGTAGAGACGGGGTTTCACCATATTCGCCAGGATCGTCTCGATCTCCTGACCTCGTGATCCGCCCTCCTCAGCCTCCCAAAGTGCTGGGATTACAGGCGTGAGCCACCGCTCCCAGCCTGCTCTGAGGTTCTTAATGGCACTGCTTAGTACTATGGCTCTGAAATATCTAGCATGAGTTTACTCTCTGACATGGTGGAACCAGAGCAGAACAGTAAAGAGAAAGATTTAGCCTAAGCCTTTGTTACCTGGAAGCAGTTTGCATAAACTCCAGATACTCATTCCCACAGCTGTTCCTTAGGCACAGAACTGAACCAGTGGCCAGTTCTAAACAGGCTCTAACTGGTAACAAAAGTATATAAGTAGAAACCCATTTGTTTTGCTTTCTCTTTCCCTATCGTCTTCTACTACTTTGGTTTTCCAAACGGCGAAAGATAAAGTTCAATTGTGCCCTAGTTACTACTTAAAAGAGGGGCTTAGACGGGGCTAAATATAGTTCAAGCTGAACCTCGCCTCATTCCCAAAAGACACACAGTGCTCAGAAAGTTCATTTCCAATAGTAGTGTGAGAGATTCCTTCCATTCAATATATGGGGAAGAAAACCATGAAATAAGACTAGAAGGTATATTTGTCAAGTTTAATAAGAAGGCTACAGCAGGGCAGTCCCCCGCAGACTCTGTTCTGTCTTACACAACACCTCAGGCATCAGATGTGATAAGGGACATCCTGTCACATACGATGAATATCAGGATTTGAGACTGAGGGGGTGGTAAGATTTCCTTGTCTTTAGATCACTTGTTCTCAAACCTGGCTGCACATGCATTTTTTTTTACACCTGAGACTTCCCCTAGAAATTCTGATTGGGTGGTGTTGAGGTGCAGTCCAGGCATCTTCATCTCTAAAGGATTCTCCTATGGAACTAGACTGAGCACTGCAGCTGCTGCTAGTGAGGATACTTGTGGGTTGGGACTAGCTTGATGCCATCTCCCTAGTTAAAAGGACTGGTCAGACAAACCTGGATAATTTATCATCCTCTGCACCATATAGCACTTTACTCACTGCAATACACTCTCTCATCACAGCCCTGCAGGACAGGCAAGAAACTCTATTTATCTCCATTTTACAGAGGAGAAAACTGAAGATCCAACAGACTTGCCAAAGGTCAGTTGCACATTAACTCAGAGGCAGCTCTGGAACTCCAAATAAAGCCTCTATTGTCACCATAGTTTTCGCTACAGCCCTACAGGTTCCTCCAAGCTTAAAGTCCAAGATGAGCAGTTTTGGTGCTAGCAACTATTTTGCTTCCTAGAACTAAAGGAAAAAGAAGCATGAAACCCAGGATACACCTAAGGAGTATAATCCCTTAATTTTAGAGATGAGGAGATTGAAGCACAGTGACTTGCCCAAGATCACATAGCTAGCTAGCGAGAAGAAAAGTAAACAACAGTGGGACCGTTATCGGAAAAGGGTCCCAATTCAGACCCCAGGAAAGGGTTCTTGGATCTCACATAAGAAAGAATTCAGGGCGAGTCTCTAGAGTAAAGTGAAAGCAAGTTTATTAAGAAAGCAGAGGAATAAAAGAATGGCTACTCCATGGTCAGAGCAGCCCCCCAAGAGCTGCTGGTTGCCTATTTTTATGGTTATTTATTGATGATAATGTTAAATAAGGGGTGGATAATTCATGCCTCCCTTTTTTGGACCATATAATATAACTTCCTCACATTGCCATGGCATCTGTAAATTCATGATGCTGGTGGGAGCGTAACAATGAGGATGACCAGAGTTCACTCTCGTGGCCATCTGGGTTTTGGTGGGTATTAGCCGACTTCTTTATTGCAACCTGTTTTATCAGCAAGGTCTTTATGACCTGTATCTTGTGCCAACCTCCTATCTCATCCTGTGACTTGGAATGCCTTAACCATCTTGGAATGCAGCCCAGTAGGTCTCAGCCTCATTTTACCCAGCTCCTATCCAAGTTGGAGTTGCTGTGGTTCCACACCTCTTATAGGATCATAGTTAATGTAGACCAAAAGCAGAGCAATATGTAGGGGAACTGTATACCTCTTTCTTGGGGTTTCAATAGAAGGCAAAGTGATTACTGCACAAAGAGCTGCTGTGTATTTGGAAGAATGCCCACTGCATTGAGAAATGGACCACGGGGAGGAGTAGCCATACAAATCACTGAGGTCACCTTGCATGGTCTCTATGAGTGTGCCAGCCAGTCTGTGCCTATTTTTATAAGAGAGAGAGAGAGTGTGTGTGTGTGTGTGTGTGTGTGTGTGTGTGTTGGTTGGTTGGTTGCTGAGAAAATGCTCAAGCAAGCAGGAGCCTGTGTACATTTGGCAAAGATAGAGAACAAAAAATAAATTCCCTGGAAAGCGTTAGCATAATTATATAGCCAGCCTGTTTCTTACCTGGAGGTAAATGCAGGCTGCACAATCACTGTCAATTTTGACAATCATTCATGATATAGAAATGTGCAGGGGAGAGGTCCCCCCTCTCTCATTCTGTCTAATTTCTCTAACCCTCTAGCATAGCTAGAGATTAACCCAACTCCTATAAAACAGAAACAAACTTCAAATCCATGTCAGAGCCTGCCGGAGAGAATGATTTACAAACTGCCAACAGAACACTGGTGTAAACAAGATAATGCACATTAATTCCCAGCAAGTCAATTAGCATTCAGTTATTCTGAACAGAGCCTGACCTTGATGCTTGAGGATCTGAACAGAATGCAACCTGTAGCTTAAAGGAAAATGTCACCTCTTCCACTCAAACTGGCAAGTCTATAGGGTTAAAAGGTTCAAGAAGCACTTCCTCATAAAGACACACAGAGACAAAAAACCGTCTCAACATAACTCTTGTATTTCAGAACTGGTATATTTTTTTACTTTGAACCTACAAACACTTTGATGATTCTCACCTTTGATCTAAATTTCTAAAGGATCTAAGTGTTATGCCACATTCCAGAGGCATTTTTACTTCAAGATGTCTGAGGATTTAAAAGATTTCAAAATGAAGAATTGCATACTTTTTTGCATATTTCTTCAATTACCAATTCAAAACAAAGGCTTTATTTGTAATTGCCATGCTCATTACCATTCTATCTACTTTCTGGAAATCCTTCTCCTTGTACATGGGGAAATGTTCAACCACAGCCTCTCATGATGTTTTACCACACCAGCGTGGTGAGTTAGGCACCCCAAGAAGTGTGAAACCCGTTAGAGTCCCCTGAAGCAAAGCTTTTCAAATTTGAATGTACACATGAAGCACATGTAAAGGAAGCCTCTGATAGAGGAGGTCTGGAGTGGAACCCAAGATCCTGTATTTCTTATGAACTCCCAGGTGATCCTGATCCTACAGTGTTTCAAGGACAGCACTGTGTAGTCCTGCACCAGACTGTTCATCTAAGAAGCTTCTTCTACGGAACAAGTAGTTTTTTCAAAAAAAGTTCTTCTACCATCTGAAGAGTGCTAATGTAACAGGAGTCTAAATTTTTCTGATTCAGGCACCCTTGACTTCCAGGTTTAGAAAAATTCCTCCAACACTAATCCTAATCGCAATGCCTAGGGGGCCTGTATTTCCAGACAGGTATTCTGGAATTTTTTGTTTCTTCATTGTTTGTTTTGCAGCGTTCATAGTTGTTCGCGCTAGGTTAATTTCATAGAGAAAAACAAAATTCCCATGACATTAACAAGTTTTGCTTTTGTTGTTTATCAACTGATTTTTAAAAAAAAACACTGAGGTAGAGATAATAATGAGACATCCAAGTGTAAGGGGGTCCCCGGGAAAACCCCAACTGGCCTGCACACCCGGGTGGAGCCACAGAAGTTAGCACCGTTTGCAGCAGGAAGGAACCTGGCCCCTCTTCTTCCTGCGTGGTACCTGGGATTCAATCTGCGAGGCAGGAAGCGCACTACCAGAACTCTAGCTTCGCAGAGGGTCCTTGTTTCTCTTTTTTTCCCTTTTCTCCAATAAAGTCCATTTATTCTCACCCTTCAAAGTGTCTGCGAGCCTAATCTCTCTCATGGCTGTGTAACAAGAAACCGGCTCTTAGCTGAACTAAGGAGAGAGTCCTACAACAATAATAAAATCCCCCTCAGAGGTTTCAGGAACAATTGGCTGGGCACCGGGCACAGGCAAATGCAGGTTCTTCATTATGTATACACAGTTAGATGCTGGAGATAAATCCGATTGTTTGGGTACAAAAAAACAAAAATCCTTCATGGGGTCCTTCTCTAGTGTACTCAGCAGACATTCTCCAAGGAACAGTTTACCTGATCCCAGTTTATTCTTCCCTAAAACACGCACACAGACACACACAAACACCCCACATTTCCTAAGCAATTTCCCTAGGATCATTTAGAAAGCCCTGGTATCCCATCTGTCCATACCATCTATTCTTCATCTCTTCCCAGTGTTCCAAGCCAATAATAATATAACAATAATAACAACAGTAACAATAACCACTGTTTCAATCTTTACTCTCATTACAATGTTTTAGATAGGTACCAGTTTTTTTTCTCATTTTAAGGATGAGGACTTAGGCATAGAGAGGATAAGCAATTGGCTGAAGGTCACACACCTAATAGGCAGGGGTACAAACACAGCCTGCACCGGAATCCATGATCTTAACTTCTACATGCTACTCTTCCATACCCTTTTAATTACTTTACCAAAAAAAGAGAGAAAAGCCTGTTTATCCTCTTTATCTTTTACAGCTGATGGCTCATTAAAACCAGAGCCAAAATAATTAGCAACCAAATAAATTAGTTTCCTTTCCAAGAGAGTGTTTTCAAACACTCCCCTGAGGTGAGGGAAAATATTTGCATCTGTCCCTGTTGGTGGGGTGTGTGCAGTGAAGTGCATTCCCCTAGAATGGGTTGGATGCTGGTAAGGAAGCAAATAAGAAGAAAAACAAAACTGTTTCCACAGTAAAATATGTTGGCTCTTCTTACCCCCTTACATTTGAATGAGTTCTGTTTTCTCTTTGGGAGTTCAGTTCTCACTGCCTCGGGAAACTTTCTTCATTACACCACCCCCAGTCAGTTCACATCTTCTGAATAACTGTGGCCAGTATTATTAGAATCTCTCTGCATGCCATTTTACTATATGTATGATGTTTCTCTTTGTTTCACATATGTTATGCTAGTCTCATTCACTTGATTCTAAGCATTTTGGTTTAAACGCTTATTTTTAGAATACTGTATAATAATTTTGACCCTTTACAGACACTTGAGTGACGGAGATGCACATGCTTTATTGGACAAACATTCCCACAGTCCTTTCCTAACTCAGCTTTGCATTGCTATTGTGATTACATTAGATGGTCAGTGCATCAATCTAGCTGTGAAAGCAAAGACTAGGTCTCAGGCTGTCTTCTATGCAGCCTGATACCTGTATCATGACAGTTACCCATGACACCTCAAAGACCAGCTAATCATCTCACACCAATGCGTGATAATCACAAGTGTACTGAGCAAAAAATGTAGTCTAGATGAGAGCAAATTTAGGAACCGCCTAAATTTGAGAATTTACTCCTGAGAAAACAAACTCAGAGTTCAGGCTCCACAGATAAAGGTTCAGCAGAGTCATTTTTGTAGATGAAGGGCAGTATTTATTTTTAAAGTTTTGATTTAGGAACTGAGGAAATTCCACCCATTTTCTTGTCTGAGAGCCAATAGAAGAAATTGCAAGAAAAGCTATGCTAAATCTCATCTTTTCTAGGTTAGCAATTCACTCCCAGGTCCCCTCAGTTGAATGAAGCCTCAGGTATTTAAAAGATAAAGTAAGTTGTATTTGCATGATGGTCTAGGCTGAAAAGATACTGACAAAGATCTTCATAGGACCCATTTTTGGACATCTTAAAGAAAAACAAGGTCTAGGATAATGTTTAGAATATGTTTGGTGAAGCTAACCTAATTTCTCAGACAGAAGGACACATCCTGAGATAATATATCTTGACTTTACTGAGACTTTGATGCCAGTATGGTATACTCATCAATAAACTGGTAAAATGGAGCCTGAATTATGCAACCATTGGTTGGACAAACAGAAACCTGAAAACAACTCCAAATTGTTATCAGTAGGTCAGTATCAACCTAGGAGAGCCACTAACTAATGAATTTATATTGATATTGGTAACATATTATTGGATATAGTGTTTTGTCATTTACTCAAGTGTTGACGTCAGAGTATTATTTGGCTTTCCCACACACAGAGTCATGGGAACAAATTGTTGTTCATTCCAAGCAAGTCACTTCTCTCCACCACTCATAAGAGCTTCCCTAGAGAGCTTCAAAATTGAATACCTTACTATCAGTTGAGAAAAGTAGGTTATATAAGATTTTAAAATGAAAGCAAGTTGATAGATTTGGCTGCTTTTTGCAATTTTTCCTCTTTGACTTCCAGTTTTTATGAAACACCAATAAAATCCATTACCATATTAATATTTACGTCTAATCTCTTAATGCTTATACAAAGACCAGGCTAAGAAATAAACTATGAAGCAGGCCATACATCACCCTGGGAAACAAGAATCCCCTGACACTTAACGCTTCCAGAAGTCTAGGTGTGAAGAGTACAAGTAATCGCAGCATCACTACAGAAATGCTATTTGGTTACAAGGGAGCCTGAGCCACGAAAGCCAAGAGCCTTTTGGAGTCTATGGTCTGTTGAGATACAGTTAGATTGATACATTCTCCTCTCTGACCACTGCTGTCACATCTCTCTCCCACAACTTTCTTCCCTGTCTTCACTATGACTTTTAGTCTAAGTTGCTCTCAATGATCCCAGGTCATCCCTCTGGTTCTGGTTTTAACTTGCATCCCTCTCCAGATTGATCCCTCAAGATAATATTTTTAATACTGACCTCACTATAATCTCAGAAGTCCCTGCTTCCCCTTCGCTAGTTGTAGTGAGGATCAAACAAGTTCATTTATGTAGAAAAAATTCTAAAATGTTAAAGTGCTGTATTGACATTGTTTTTATTTTTACTATTTTTTCTGGCACTCATGATAGTATCTCTCATATGGTAGGTACTCATTAAACATGTGTCAAATAAACAAGTAATTAAAGGAAATACATCCCATTTTACACATCAAAGTCAGACCAATCTTCCTGAAGTTCAGTAACTGGAGGGAAAAGAAAAAGTGACTTCAATTAAGTGACTTGTATACAACAAGTATTATATTAAGAATGTTCAAATAGATTATTTGATGTAATAATCAAAACAACCCTCCAAGACAGCTAATATTAGCATCACTACTTTACATATAAAGAGACTGAGGCAGAGTCAAAAGCCCAAGGGCAATCAGAGAGCAAGTGGCAGAGCCAGGATTGAAACCCAGGGAGTCTGACTCCATAGTTAGCACTTCCAGCCACTAGGTCACTATGTTATCCTTCACTTGGTTAAAAATAATAATAATAATAAATGTTAAAAAAATTGAAGGATTCCTTCTGTTTATAAAACAAAGCCCAATCTTAAGAGTCTTCTATGTAATTCCTTCTAGCATATGATCCTAATTCATAATTTCAAAAATTTTTCTCTTTCCCATATTCTAAAATGGTTAGTTTTCCCCTTTGTTGCACATTAGACTTATCTGAAGATGTTTTAAAAATCCTGATGTCCTGGTTGTCCCTCAGAAGAATTTCACTCTAATCTCTCACAGGTGGGGGCCTGGAAGTAATATTTAAAAAATAATAAACACTTCATGTAACTTCAGTCCAGCTGAGTTTGAGAATATCTGCTCTAACCTCTTATAGCCAGATTGACTACTTGTAATTTTCTTCCTCCAGCCTTCGTTCATGTTATTCTCCACTATTTAAAGTATCTCATTCCCATCCTACCCATCCCTCTAGGAAAAGCTCAAATGCATCCTTTCCCATAAAACCTGTAATATGTGAACAATGGCTATAACCTCTTCATCCTTTCATTCTTTGAAATTCTTTACCTTTGTTTTGACATCCATCACTCTTAAATTAGCTGATGGTCAGATTTAAGTAAGTCAAATTTCCTCCATTGTACGGTAACCTCGTAAAAGGAGTATCTGTGCATATACCTTTCTACCTCTCATCTGTCCTTCTGTTTGTCCTATTAATTGACTTCATTTTCTCACTGGGAGAAACTACCATGAGCAACTCCAGAATCACTTGTGAAAAGAGAAACAGACTGTTTTCCACATGCTGTAGTTAGAAAAGTCAAAGAGAAGGATGCTGATGGCTCTGCTCAGACAATATGTTTATCTCAGGAAAAAAATCACTGGGACTTAAGGAATTTAATACTTGAGGCCTGGTCTGGATCAGATGTCCATGCCTGTGGCTGAGAAAGCAGGCATCACCATCAGAAGAAAGGGTGAAATATGTGCTGTGCAGACAGAAACATGTGTCTAACTTTGCTGAGGGCAAATCAAAGCTTTGACAGAATTTGCCTCCATTTCTGCCATTTCCAGCTCATCATCTGTTTATGTACTCACTTATGCTATCTCTCTTCTCTTCTACTCCACTCTGTAAAAGATATGTATGTAACTCTTTGCTTAAGCTATCTTTTTCTCTTTCTCATCTACAGTTTTTCAACATACACCCACTACTCTGCCTAAAATTATGCTCATATTTTTCCCATTTATGTAATACTTTGCATTAATACTGCTCTTCCCTTAAACATCATTTCTTCCCCTTTACCTCAAACTTTTGCAAGTACAGCATGCTTACCACCATCTAATCTCTTTGTTACTTAGGCTAGCTAATTGCTATAATATTTGATTCAAAACTATATAATGGTTCAAGCGTAATAGAAGTTTATTTCCTGCTTCAACAATAGTAAAGAGCAGGTAAATAGGTCAATGTGGCATACTTTCTACAAACAGTCATTCAGGGACTCAGGCTATATTAGTCAAAATAAAGTAGATTATGCTCTGGTAACAAATAGCTCCAAAATCATACTGGCTTAAAACTACAATGGCTTGTTTCTTATTTAATCTATATGTAGCATGTGGAGCAGGACAGTTATGCTATTACAGTCACTCAGGGACTTAGGTGAATGGAAATACCACCCTATTATGACAACACGATGCCCACAAAAAGCTGCAGAAAAAACAAAAAAGATCATGGAGAAATGTGCAATGACTTTTAAATGTTTTCACTCAGAAAAGATATATGTAACTTTTATGAATATTTCTTTGGCCAAAAGAAAATCACATTCTCAGACCTAACTTCAAGAGTCCTAGTAGAGTTTAGCTGTCACAGAGAAGAGGAAGAAGAGCACTAAGAAAACCCCATTGCCAAGGCTAGGTACACAAGGCACGTCAAAGCCTGAGGCTAGACCAAGACAACTGAGAACACCCCCTGAACCCCACCATCAGGCAAGCAAGCACCAAGCAACAAACAAAGGCAATCCACCCCTGTGGAAGGCAAGAGCACAGAAAGAGACATCCCTGTAGTACAGGCAGGCAGGAAAATCTGAAAGCCAAAACTGGAGCAGGAACACAGAGGAAAGAGCCCCAACATCCAACTCTATATTCTATTTTTTTTTTTAAGACAATCTTGCTCTGTCGCCCAGGCTGGAGTACAGTAGTATGATCTCGGCTCACTGCAACCTCCACCTCCCAGGTTCAAGAGATTCCCGTGCCTCAGCCTCCCAGGCAGCTGCAGTTACAGGCCTGCGACACCACGACTGGCTAATGTTTTGTATTTTTAGTAAAGATGGGGTTTCACTGTATTGGCCAGGCTGGTCTTGAACTCCTGAGCTCAGGTGATCTGCCCATCTTGGCCTCCCAAAGAGTTGGGATTACAGGCATGAGCCACCACACTCAGCTGCTACCCCATAGTCTAAGCACAAGGGGAATTTGAAGCTGGTTATCACACAAGGTGACTATAGCAACAACTAAATTCACACTCAGTTCAACTTCTAACTACATTGCCTCAACCTCACATGCTAGTGGTCTACTAGTAGATAATGCATGCCAATTTCTAAACATAAGTACCCAGACTCTAGCTGGAACTATACAAAAGATTCCAATCAAAATGTAAGAAATGCAAAACATACTAAAAGAAATGAATATTTGAATGGGTTCGTCAGTTGATTCAACACAGCCAAGGAAGTAATCATAGAACTTGAAAATAGGTCACTAGAAATTACCCAAAGTAAAAGATAAAAAAGAAAAGAAAGAACAGAACATACAGAAACCAGAAAAATATCAAAATATGGCCTGACATACATGAAATTAGATTCACAGTAGGATAAGAAAGACAGACAACTCGGTGGAAGTGATAATAGCTCAGAGTTTCCCTAAATTAATATTAATAAAAGACACCAAACCACATATCCAAGAAACTTAGAGAGCCTACAACAGAAAATCATCAAAAGAAACACACCTAGGAAAATCATATTAAACCAAATATAAAGAAAAAAACTTGAAGGCAGTCAAAGAAAAAAACACATTGCACACAGAGGAATTAATATGAGAATTACATCAGAAACTATGTCAGCTAGAAGACAATGGAATGACATTCTTAATATGAAAGAAAAAGATTATACACTGAAAGAAAAAAAAAATTTCAACCCCAGAAATCTATACTAAGCAAAGTTATCTTTCAAAAAAACACCTTGATATTTTGATGAGCGCCTGTGATATCTACCACACAGACTAATAGAAACTGTGTCATTTTTGAGATGTGACTTCCAGAATTATTCCTGGGGTTTTCTGTCTTCCAACCCACCATAAAGTAATAAATGTGAGGTGGAGCATGCATGGGATGTTAGGATGCACAAGACCTGAGAACAGTATATATTACTTTTGTTCACATTTTGTCTGTTTACCTGATTGACTGCTCTCAGTGGTAACACCTAACTACATGGGAAACTGCGAACATTAGTCCAACTGTGAGCCCAAATGTAAGACAATAGTATAGATTTTGCCTGGCAGTCAGCGTTATCTGCCACAAGCCCTAACTACCGTTCAGATGCCTCCAGTCACTTCTCTCCATCAGATTCAATAGTCTTTTTTCCCCTGTTACCTTGCATAATCTCTCAGAAACACTGCATATTTTCAAGCAAGTCTTATCCTTTCATCTCCTGGTTTGGTTCCTGTGAACCCCTTTGGCATGCCTCCTACCTCTTCGATGATAACTCAACTCTCTCTTTACTCTCTTTATTCTCTTTCTTTTTTGCTGTTTTCAGCTCCTCTCTCACCTCTAAAAGTAGCACATCTTCAAGGTCTGTTTTTTAGACCTACTCTCTCCATTTCTACATTTTTTCCCTTGATAATTTCATTCCTTTCTTTGTAGATGATTCTGACATCTCACTCCAGCCCTAAATACATAAAGCACCAAACCTACTCCTGGAGGAGATTATTTGGATATAAACAAGGTATTATTCTTATTATATACATAACTTCTCCAACCACTTCCTGTTCTCCAGACACTACAATCTTCTTTCACTTCTCTGAAGACACCACAGACTTCTGGCTGCAAGACCTTTAAACATACTGTTCCTCTGCATGGAATATTCTTCTTCATCTTCCCCTGCCCACACTAGTTAACTCCTCCCACATCTCAGCTCAAAAGCGATGTTTCCAGGGAAGCTTTGTGCTAACAGAGCAGTTCAGATCTCCTCCTCATACTCTTAGAGCATCATGAAACTTTTCTTCTAAACTTGTGTTGTAATATTCTTTCATGTATTTAGTGATTTTTTATTTATACAAAAGTTATTATATATCCTCAAAGCTATAATTTTCATTGATTTCTATACTTTTGTTAATAATACCATTGTTTCCTCAAGCATACAAGCTCAAAAATTTGAAGTCATATTTAACAGCCACCTGTTATCAGGCCCTAATCAAGTAACCAATTGATACAGTTTGGATGTTTGTCCCCTCCAAATCTCATGTTGAATTGTGATCAGTTTTGGAGGTGGGGCCTAGTGGGAGGGGTTTGGGTCATGGAGGTAGATCCCTGATGAATGGCTTGGTGCCTGCCTCACGGTAACGAGTAAGTGCTTGCTGTATTAGCTCACGTAAGAGCTGGTTGTTTAAAGAGCCTGGTACCTCCTTCCTTCCCTCTTGCTTCCCTTCTTGCCATGTGACATACCTGCTCCCCTTCACCTTCCACCGTAATTGTAAGCTTCCCGAAGCCTTCACCAGAAGCTGATTTTGGTGCCATGCTTCTTGTACAGTCTGCAGAACCATCAGCCAAAATAAACCTCTTTTCCATATAAATTACCCAGCCCCAGGTATTTCTTTATAGCGACACAAAACAGATTAGCACACTAACCAAACAAACAAAATTTAGTAACCCCCTTCCCAGTCTCTTTAACATCAGTCTCTCCATCTTGGATTACTACCATAAGCATATTTTAAGCCTCTAGTACTTTTGTTCTAAAGTATTGTTGTATTTTCTAATTGGTCTCCTTGGCTCCAAAGTTTTCTGTTTACAGACAAACCATCTTCAGGTGCACGGTCTTCATTTCTGTCCTCAAAGACTCAAAATAAATACTTACCGTCTGTCACATAAGCCCACTCTTTGAATACCTTGACCCTAAGACATGACTCTAGAGCTATCCCTTTTTGCACTCTAAATCTTACTATGGAACTGCTTAAACTCTTCATGTTATAGCCATTTCTGCATTTAACTTAGTTCTGTCATTGGGCTATAAGCTTTATGATAATGTGGATGTTTTTGAAATCCATCTTCTTACTTCCTCCTTATCAGCAAAGAGCCTGTAGCACAGCAAAGGATACAATCAACAAAATGAAGAGACAACCTACAGAATGAGAGAAAATATTTGCAAACTACCCATCTGTCAAGGGATTAATAATGAGAATACATGAGAAAAATCTAATAATCCAAATAAAAGATAGGCAAAAGACATTTCTCAAAAAAGACATACAAATGGCAAATCGGCATATAAAAAGGTATGTAATATCACTGATCATCAGACAAATGCAAATCAAAACTACAATGAGATATTTATTCAATAATGTTTATTGCACATTTACTTTGTGCCTGTACTATGGTATGGATATACAATGTTGAGCAAAACAAACATGATACCTGCCCTCATGGACTTATAGGAAAAGTAAATAGAAAAATCACTAAATACACGAAAGAATATTACAACACTCATAAGTTCAGAAGAAAAGGTTCATGATGCTCTAAGAGTATGAGGAGGGGATCTGAACTGCTCTGTTAGCACAAAACTTCCCTGGAAACATAGCTTTTGAGCTGAGATGTGGGAGGAGTTAACTAGTGTGGGCAGGGGAAGATGAAGAAGAATATTCCATGCAGAGGAACACTATGTTTAAAAGTCTTGCAGCCAGAAGTCTGTGGTGTCTTCAGAGAAGTGAAAGAAGATTGTAGTGTCTGGAGAACAGGAAGTGGTTGGAGATGTTGGTAGGATTCAGATCACAACAGCCTTGTTGGCTGTGTTAAGAACTATGCTCTTTATCCATAGAAAAATGAGAGCACCTTGAAAGATTTTAAGCAGGGATGACATGGAGCAGAATTGCAATTTGTTAGGAAAACAAGGCTGGAGTGTGGAAAAAGAGTTTAAGGACAAGCAAGGGCAGAAGTAGGAGACCAATTGGGATGCTATGACAGAGTGCAGTGAAGAAGAGATGAGAACTTGGATCACCAAAGCAGCCATGAGATAAAAAGAAGAGGCTGACATGGACAGATATATTTATAAGAATCAGTACATGATCACTGGATGGTATTAGCTTAATGCAAAATTGCCATTAGACATTATTTGAAGCACATCTATCCTTGCTTCGCAATTCTTGGAGAAACGTAGCCCTGACAGCTGAGTCATCAATTGCAGTTCACCTTTTTAGGCAAATGGTGTGATTATATGTAGATTGATTATGAACATATCTTGCCCATTTTGTTATTAAAAATATTTCATGCTTCTAAATTCAAGATAATGTAGGGAAAAAAGTATTTTCTCCCTCAAGCTTAAAACTAAATCTCATTTAAATAGGGATTTATGACCTTTCTTTCCCCACTCGAAAGGAATAACTTCTAAAAATTTTATTTTAGTTGATTAAAAATGTCACAGCCATAAGATTCTCAAACGAGTTTCTCTTTGAGAAAAAATAAAATAAAGCCAAATAAATGATTTACTGAACAGATGTAAAATGTATTTTACAACCCTTTCTCTCACCCAATGTCAACACACTGTCGATTTCGGGGGCAGATTAGTCCTCAAAGGTGCCGTAGAGAAGCAGCATTTATAATGCTCTCACTAGGTCTTTGATACCTAAAGGAGTTTGAAAATGAGAATGCACTGCACTTTGAAAAGCAGAGGCAGAGCACTTAAAGCCACTTTTTCAATAGTACCCAGAGGTTTTGGAAATTAATCAGCTCCAAAAATACATTATGTGCCCTCTGAAGGAAAATTAAAACACAAATCAAAATTGTTGTGGGAAACATTAGTGCCCTCCAGCAGCTGAGGAGTTGCACATACACACTGTGCTCACAGCCCCTACAGGCTGAAGGCCAGTAACTCAGAAAGGACATTTCCACACAAGTCAGCATACAACGGAAAGGGCAGCGGGTCAACTCCCTATAGAGGTATCAACATCTCCTCCCTTCAAGCCCTTCTCCCTCTAGTAACTCCCTCTCTCCTTGCCCACACAGAGAGGTTTAGAGATCTTTCTATTTGAGCTCTGGAAGCTCATATCAGTTCTTCCTTTCCCTCCAGCTTCCTTACATGGAGCTTTGTTGAAATGGGCAGCTGTGTTAGTTACCTGGCTGCCAGCCATATGCCAAAGATTGTGTTGGGAGCAAATATGATTAGGGTGAAACGTAGATTAAGAAAACACACAAACGTCTGTAAATAATTTTAATTATTTATATTTAATTATTTAATAATTTTAATTCCAGAGCTGACCAAAGAAATAACTCAGTATAGACTCATCTTTGGAATGCACCCTGCTAACAAAAAACACAATTATTGTGTAATACATGTTGCAATAAATCTTCATCAAAGTATAATTCTGATATAAGTAACTTCTGATTATCTTCTCCATCCCTTACAATCACAATTATACATTTTTATCCTAAAATTTAATATTTATTCCTTCATCTATTCAGCTAATATATATCAGAGCCATACTATGTACAAGGCACTTTGCAGGATTCTGTGAGAAAATTCAGGATTAATAAAACCATAACTCTTACTCAAGGGGCTTACTCTTGTAGAGGCTAAATCCCTTGGCTTCAGTCAGTTAAACTAACTTTAAACATCAGGTCTGGTTAATTAATCTTTCTGAGCTCTGGTTTACCTGTCTATAAAATGGAGATGATGATAATAACATTTATCATTCAGGGCAGGTTTGAGGAAGAAGAGACTGAGAACCACACAGGGCCACGCAGAGAACACAAAAGTGAGATCAGTCGGCCTCCAGAGTGAAGAGTTGTCTGGAAATGTGGACCAAACTATGCATGGCCTTGGATGCCTGGCTAAGGAATGTAGAATTTACTTAATACGCAAGGGGCAACCCTAAATGTACTTTTGTGCAGGTGTAGGGACATGGATAAATCTATACTTCAAAAGGATATCTTCACATACAATGTGATAGAGAACCTGGGAGAAAACTGGAAGTGAAGAAGCCTTTTAAAGGATGACTGCAAAAGTACAGGCCAGAAAACAATGAATACCCACAGTGAAGTCATGAAAAAAAATTAGACAAATCCAAATGAGGGAACATTCTACAAAATAATCAGCCCCTATTCCTGAAAAGTGTCAAGGTCACAAAAGTCAAGGAAACACTGAGAAAGTGTCACAGATTGCTGATAGTTAAGGATTAATGACAACTAAATGCAATGTGAGATTCTGGATTGGATATTGCAACAGATAAAGAACATTACTGGGAAAATTAGTAAAATTCAAACAAAGGCTATAGTTTCCTTAATAATATTATAACGATATTAATTTTCATAAGTGTTTCACAGGCAAGATGTCAACATTAGGAAAGCTGAGTGAAGAGTATTTAAGAATTATCTGCACTGTATCATTTTTGTAACTTTTCTCTAAGTCTAAAATTATTTCAAAATAAAAAGTTTTTTTAAAAAGTCCATGCAAAAGAAGATGAGGGCCTGAACCAGAGTAGTCACTCTGAGAAATAATGGGGTTAAGGGGAAGCAGAATTGATAAGGGTTGGAAACTGACGGGGGTTTGTAGAGTGAGAGGAGTCAATGAGAATCTGGCCAAAGCCTCAGTGACTGAGCAATTTGCAGAGTTTAACCTGAAGAAGTTAAGGGAAGGAGTAGATATTAGAGGAGGAGTAGTGAGTTCTATCTTGCACATGTTGAGTTGTAGATGCTAATAGAGTATTCCAGGAGTGATGCACAGGAACTGGATATGAAAGACAGGAAAAAAGTGGGGTTAGATTTAAAGGCTTGGGAGTCATCCAATACAGGTGACACTGGAGCTATAGAGTGAATACATTTACCAAAGGAGAAGAAAAAAAGGATGAAAACAGACACAGGGAATATTCACGTTTAGGAGGAAGGTGAAAAAGGGGCAATCACCTTATAACCCCATTTCTTTCATTAAGAGAAAGCTCATTTTAAAAAATGTAACAGATTCGGAGTAAATTGAGGCTCCTAAAAACAGCAGTTTTTGCTACTATAATAGAAATATTAATGATGGAAATTAAAAACAAAAAAAGGAGAAAGAAAAGGAGGGTCATTTGTGTAAAATTTTAAATAAATAGAAAAATTTTAAGAACTGCCTTATGGAATCGATTCAGTTTTAGATTTGAAGTTTCAGTGACATGTAAACAAATTTTAACTGTGCTTTTTACCATTAACCCCAAACATTAAAGTACCTCCCAAAATATCCTTGTTCTTATAGAACTCCACATTTACCTAGAAGAATGGAAAAATGCAAGATGAAATGAGAATGGATGGTCTGATTCTTACGCATTTTGGGAAAATCTGCCTAAAATTAAATTTTCCTAGAGAAGAGTGCCTCACATACGCTTGAAACATATATGCCCATATTTAAGCCTCATGAATCATAAGTTCACACCCTGATGAACCTCTTTTGAAAAAAAAAAGATCTTATGGTCTAAGTTTTTCAAGCTTCCTGATGTTGCTGGAGTTATCTACCTATAATTTTTTTCCTTATTAGAGTTGCTCCTCTCCCAATTCTAAGGGTTCTGCTGTGTTTCCACAGCCCATATATTTTGGGCCTCCATGGACTTAATTAGAACTCTTCCTTGGGATTTGAAATGGTAACTGAGGAAGTTATTCAGACTCTGTGCAATTGAAGCTGGAAACTGTCAGTAGCCATATTCTCTGCAAGTCTATTTAATAACCTAAAAGAGCTCAGGTGTCATTTGATTATCTAGTTCAGTTGTTGCTAGAGCTTGGAAGTACCACTACCCTTTTCAGCTCCACAAATGAGCACATTATTTACCCCCCAAAAGACTCCTTTTTTTGCCCAGGGTAGTCAGAAGTAGATGTCTGTTCATTCCAACTATAAGAGTCAAGATTAATATTTCTAAGGATTCTGTCTATTTGAAAGGCCTCTGCTTTGGGTTATTCTTTTATAGTCATTTCTTCTCCCATCCTACCTTGCAGGAATTTTTTTCCTTTGGTCTTGTGCCTGGAATAAGTGAAAATTAAAACCCTTCTTTCCAGCACTCAATATCAAATGCTTTCTCCCTATGCTCAGATCTCTGGTTGCACATTTCACCTGTTGCTTGATTTCAAACACAAAAGCTATCTATATTTCTCTTTCTAAAGAAATAAGAGGGGAAAATGTAATTACAGGGTCTGTCACAGCATCTGCAGTATATTAGCTCACTGTAAATGTCACTTAAGTGCCTTTACATTTCAGTGGTGACCACAAAGATGGTGGAATAGATTCAGGGCAAAAAGATCCCTTATTCTTCTGGCCTTTTAAAAAGAAAATAACTTGAAGAGGTTACTTTTCATTAAAATAATTCATCTATTTTTCAACTATTCTGTGTCAAATGAGCACTGTAATTTAACAATAATATTTTTGGCTAATCTGCTATGGATTTGGACAAACTAGTTAAATAAAAATTAATTGCAGAAATTACTTATATAGTACTATCATTTATTCCGAGATCAATTCTAATGAAAGGCTGGAATGTAAATTAAGATTTCTTTGTCATCACATTACCCATAGGTGTGCTTACATGCATATGTCTACATCAGACAACATATTTAGTTCCTGAGGTAGCAAAAGCAGACTAAAATACCATACTAGGTCTAGGGCATATTATCTAATTTTCATGAGACACAGTTTCTTCATTTGTAAAATTGGGATACTAATGTCTTCCCAATTTGATATCAAGATTAGAGGTCATGAATATAATGTATCTAGAGGCATTTAGTATTCAGTGAATGTTAACTCTTGTTATATGGCGTTTGTTTGTTAATACTACCTAGACACACATACAATCACACACACATAAACATGCCTACATGCACAAAAATGAAATTATCTAAAGGGCATACTGAGATACTCAAAGGTGGAATTATTGACTCTACCAAATCTCAGAAAATTATTCAAAGTCATTCAAGAGATGCTACTGTGTCACTACCTTCTGCAAACAGCAACCTTCTTAGAAGGTAGTGGGAAAATTCAATGAGACTTTGATGACTTTGGGTTGATGACTTAGGAAAAGAATAGCAGCAGAGATACTTGCCAACTTTATTCTATTTATCTCCAGTGAGAACTAATAGTGCTATTCATTTTGAGTGACCCTAAATAGTTCTTTGCACTTGGATAATGCTTGTGCAGCCATTAAATTGACTGTTTGGGAACAAATGGGCAAACAAATGCCAGCAACGGGCCTCACCTTTGTCAGATCCTATCAGTTTCAGCTGGCACTGCCTTTCTATCACTGGCCTTCAAGAGAACATGTGACCCAACAGGCAGATAACTAATTTGAGAGTCACAGCAGTTAACTGCACTTTTTCAGCATCTTGTTCAAACTTGCCCACAGAAGCATGCCATGGGTAATGTGATGAGTTTTCAAATCAAAAAGACTTAAATTGGAAGCCCAGGTGGATATCTCATGGACTGAGTAACTTTAGATAAGTTGTACAACCTTCTGAATGTGTTTCCTCATCTGGAATATTTTCTACCACAAAAACCTGTTTTTACAAGTTTGTGTTCATGTATGTAAATTACCTACTAGAGGGCCTGGCAAGCCATAGTTGGTAGCAGTTCATTTCCTATAAAGTACTGTCAGCATTTCCATTCACCCTATGATGCTATGTTAGATAAATGCCAAATCTAGAAACACTTTCATCTAACAGAACAAAGCCATGAAAAGGTGAATGTCCTTAACAATGAACAATGACTGCTCATTAGTCAAAAATTGTGTTCATACAGCTTTTGAAAACTCATGATTTTTGCATGCACTAAAGCTATCTGTCTTTAAAACAGCAGATAAAATACTGAGCAAATGTTAAATTTAGACTTCACAAACAAGAGGACTTTCTGCATATCTGCTTTGTTTACCTTATATTCACACACATCTAAAAATTTCAAACAAGGTAGATTGCAATTAAGACAGAGTTTTTCTTAGTATCAGTTTTTATATCTTTAAAATGGGGATAGTGCAAATCTAATATGTTAGTCATGACACTTAATAATGTCAATAAAAGTGCTAAGTAAAATTTAGGATATTTTATGAGTTGTGAGCTCTTTGTACTACCAAGTCAAAAACAATTATTCTTTGTAATAGCAGTACCCAACTCAGAAATGTGGTAACTGTCTTTCTAAATTACATTGATTGTTTATACTGCAAAATTTAAAACACATGATATTTTAAGTAGCACAAAGAAATTACATCTATAAATATCCCTAAAATGGTAAAATGTAGCAAAATACTTTCTCATACTACAGAGAATATCCTAGTTTATAAAAAGTCGAAGTAAGGTTGTACAATGAACAAAAATAGCCAGATTTGTTTTATGTTTTTTTAAAGTTAACCAGCAGCTGACGGCGAATCAAATTCTTTTGTTTTGCAGCATTTAAGTGTGCAATGTGTTGAGCAATCACTTGTACAAAGCCCCAGATGCCCGATGAAATGTGCTAACAAGATTCTGTCTGCTCTGCAGAAGTTAGAAACTCTTGCACAACTGTTTGTTTTATTCCCTCGGCTCTAAAGTTTGTCAACTTTTGGTTCCCAGGTATAATCTACGTCTAAAATCTGCCAGTTTTACCATAATTAAACACATTCCCGTATCTATTCAAAGTACCAGGAGCAATAATTATAAAAGATTTATTCCTAATATAAAAATTATATAAAAATTATAATTATAATAATTATAAAAGATTTATTCATTTCATTGCAAATGTAATGAAAGATATGGGTCTTCTCTATATATACAGACACACACATATGCACAATCTTACCTGATACTTCAGGATTTGGCCATCCACATAATATAATTTAAGCATCCTTGATACAGAAGAAGCAGGTGTGTGTGGTTGTGAATTCGGAAAGGGCAAATAGTGAGTTCTATTTGTATAATATTCATCTTCTATATCCTATGACTAGCACAGTGGTCTGACAAGAGTAGATTTTCTGTAAATGTTGAATCAATAAAAGAATAATTGAAAACTAAAGTATAAAGAATAAGTGGAAGACAACTGAGAAGCCCTGATTGTCTATTACATAGAGAAATAACCAAATCCTCCCTTAAAAAACACTCACACAATATAAAATAGGTAATCTGTGAAGCTCTACTGATACTCTGTTAGCACTGCCGGCTTACTCCAGGGGCCAGGAGGAATTAACATAGTTTCACATAGTGACTGATTTACAGCAAAGAAAGAAATTGTGCCTGGAATCTATGAGTCTTTAGAGAGCACAGCTTTTACGTGGTTGCGCTGAGTGATGTGTCAATCCTTGACTCATTCACAAGTAACATTCTCATTTACTAGGCAATGACATCACAGCTGTTTTCTGCAAACCACAGAGGACTGAATGTGCCTCCCTGCCCACTTTGGCTGTCTGACAGCCTGTAGAATGTGTGCAGAGAAAGGCATTCACTAACTTACCATCCTCTCTTTTGGGCAGCAACATTATCTGAGACAATATTTTAACCACGTAGATTGTGACACCTACCTAATTGTTTGTGTCTGTTAATAGAAACCAGCCCAGAAATCTGTGTCAGTATTACCTATTCCCCTGACACCATTGGTATTCCAAGGAAACCCCAAATCTCCAGAGAAGATGTAGACATGCTCTTGTTCACAAATTTCTACTGTGCACAGCTGTGAACGTGAGGCAAACATACAAGACACTGACGTCTCTGGAAAGTAGAAGAGAAAGTAAAGTTTCTCCAGAGACTGGCCACCATGCAAGCTTCTTTTATTCTTTACCTTTCCCCTCATTTCTAATACAAAAGAGTATCATATATTTTAACTTACCCAATTCCTTTGGCTATCAGAAATCACAAGCAACAGCAACAGATGCAAATAAGAAGGTAATTTGTCATGATTATCTAAATTGTACGTATCAATCTGGTGCGAGAGTAGCCATAGTCCTTTCATACCTCCACAAATGATATGGGAAGGGTGTACAAAATTTGAGCAGATATAAACCATGTGTTGAAAATTTTTGTAATCAAACATTAACACCATGAATTACCTCTCTCTCTTCACTGATTCTTCATATATATACATATATATATATGTATATATATATTTGGAAATAGAAATACTTATATATATAAGTATATATATATATAAGTATATATATTTATATATATATATACTTATATATATATATATATATATAAAATATACATTTGGAAATACTCAGTCATTTAGTTTTCTCCAGGGGTTAATATCTACCCACCTGATGATTAAAATCCAATAGGACTGGAAATGTTTAGCTCTTCCTGCCTCTGTGTCCTCTAGTCTCCATCACCACTCTCACTTGCCTAACTTCAAAATGGCCCCAGGCTAAAAAAATGAAGAAGTCAAAGGATTAGACCATTTCTTTAGCAAGCACCATTTTCCCTTTCATTGAAGATGAAATTTAACAGGTGAAAGTGAAAACTGAGAAGAATGAGAAATTCCTTTATTTAGAACTCTGTAGAAACTTAACAGTACTAGGCAGCTGCTTTGAGGAGACATAGCAAGCTTATTTATTGTAAGTAAGAGGCAGCACAGAGAGGGTTGGGTAAAAACAACAAAACCTGTGTGCTCTTCCAGCCTCTTAGATTATTATGGTTTTAATATAATAATATGCTCTTTCCTTCGTTATGTTCGCACACACATTCTTGTGTGGAATAAATGATGTCACTAAATTAAATTTCATCTGGTAGCCCAGTTCACAGGGTCCAAAGGGTTAATTTTGTTCTCTTTCTTTCAAAAACAGGAAGGTCTGATTAAGAGTTCAATAACTAAATGATCTGAACTGTATTAGATATCACATCATTACTCCAACAATGACAGTTTTGAAGTTTCCTAGGCTTAGATATCACCAACAGCAGGCAGGGACATGGTGAAAATTAGCTTGGATTAGATTTTGGCTAAAAGCACATGTCTTCAGGGGACTCTTTCAGGTTTGTCAGCCTTTGGTCACTAGTGTCCCTGACATAGTACATGGGCTATATAACCTTGGCCAGGCCTTCAGTCTGTCTATGAAGGTAGAAGGGGATTCTGTCAATAAATCTCACCATACAAATACCTGAAGATGCCCCAACAGATCGCTGAAGAGCAAGTTCTGAATTTTAAAGATGTGCTTCCTTACTCTATAATTACAGAGCTGATGGTTAAGTCACAGAATGCTCCTGGGGAGCAACGAGGAACTTAAATAAGAAGATACGCTTCTTGTTACAAAACAATGTTGACTGCAGCTGTGTAATATAAACTTTCAAGACAAAAAGACATTTTATGAAAGCACAGACTCCTGGCTTCACATTCAGCATGTCCAGAGAAACAAATTTAAAAGCTACTAGACCATCCAAAGTAGAGAAAGCAAATCATTCAGAAAAGACCTATCTGACTTTTCACACAGCTAGTGATAAACATGTATTTTTAAATGAATCTATTTTGCTGGATGTATACCAGGTGCCAGATGCCATACTAAGCATTAAGCATATAGAAATAAAAAGCAAAGTCCAGCCCTTAAGAAATTCAGTGTATACTTAGAAAACGAATAAATGAAAAATTACAACATAACATTTATCAAATTTGCCCAAAATTCTGAAAAGTCATCTCCAGTAACTGACCATGTAAATTTTACTATATCCATAAAGAGAGGATCCATAAAGGGAGGATGTATTGACCTGAATTATTTATGGAAAAGCTGTGATAATGAGGATAAATGAATTCACCAGCCTTCTGATACCACAGAAGTCAAAGAATAGAATATATCCTAAGAAAAATATTAGTTTCTAAACATATTCCTGGTGCTATTTTAAAATTTTGGCTAAGTCTCTTAATATTTCTGGCTCTCGGTTTCTTCAGCCCTTAAAATGGTCTAAAATATCTCTAAAGTTTATTATAGTACTAAAATGATGTCATATGTGTTAAATGTGGAATATCATAAAATACCTCACATCTTAAACTTTTACCATACATAATCTAATCTTTTTGATGATTCAGAAGGGCAGTTATCATTACAATGTCAATATATGGATAAATGGGAGTAAATGCTCACAGAGCTTTTGACTCCTTTTTTTTTTTTTTTTTTTTTGTCACTGTATTGTTACAGTAAGCAATTTTATCAGTCAGGGTCCTAACCAGAAACAAATTTTACACATTCACATTTGGATACACCAGGGAAGGTCAAAATTAAAGAAGGTCAAATCTGTAAGTCAGTATTGAAGACCCACAGAAGACAGCACAATAACAAGGAGGAATGATTACTAGAACCCGGAAAAACAGAGTTGTGTAAAAGAGGCTACCCTCAGTCAAGGGACACAGACAGCCTAAAACAACCCTATGGGGACTCCCCATGACCAAATCCAACTGGAATGCACAGACTATTGATTTAATCACATAGGTCAGCCTTCTAGGGTGGAGAGCAGGATGGAGAATGGTAAAGAGGATCTGGAGTGCTATCAGAAGGTATCTAGTATGCCGCCACTATCTTTCCCTTTAGTATATACTATTGTCCTTATCCAGATAAAGAATTTGTGTCCCTAATACAGAGGCTATATTATGTCTCACCAGTTAATGGTTTAGAACAGGGTGATGTCAATTTGATCATCTCCCACTGAAGCCTGAAACATTGGTCATATTTGTGTCCACCATATGAGGAAGAAGAGGGAAGGTGGAGGAGAAAAATCATAAAACAAAACTGCTGGAGTACCTGCTTCTGCAGTTAATAGTGATACATTCGTTGATAATCTTCTGCCACCCTATTCTATGTTCCTATCATCTCTCCCCAAGACTTCAGCTAGAGAAAGCACTTCACCTGATAGAGTATTCCAAACTTTTATTTCTACACTATCTAAGACTTTTATGGTCTTATGTCTATTGGGTTTTTGCAGTTTTCCATTGACCAGAACTATTGAGTACAGACTATTGACTATATAATTAAAAAATTCCCCCATTAAATCCCTTGAGTTCCTTTGTACTTTTTGCTCCCATTGAGTAGCAGAAATCATATTTCTTCCTGGTAATTGGAATAAGACACCTCACATACAAGAGCGACCCTCTTCTCTGCCACGAGGAACCCAAAATGGCTAGAGTGTTCAGTACATCAGAACAATGACTGCTTAATGGGAAAATTATTCATTCTTTTTACTCTAGGTCCTTCCAAACCACTGAACCCAAAATTGCAGAGATAGAGAACAAATGTTTCCCAAGTAGAGTGTTAAATATAATCATGACTTTGGCTCACTTTTTTGATCCAGGAGCTATGTATTCTAGCTAAGAAAGAAATTACCTAAGACAGCTGTTTGCTTATGGTATCAACCACATTTTATCAGACAGCAACTCAGCTTCACAAGATATTTCCCACCAGAAACATAACTGAAGCTTTCAGCAGGCCCTTTCACCCTTGATCAAGCCAAGTGCTTCTCAGCAATGAGGCACATGACAAGACCATGGGTGTGTGCCTGTGTTTCTGCACTTACTTTGTGGTAAAATGTGCCCCCCCGACCACAGGCGATATTATGTAGTATATTGTGACAATGAAGAAAACATTTTTAGATACATGAATGTTGGTTTCAGCATAACTGGAGTACAAATCTACCACTATAAAAACAAAGCTATGCCTATCTAGGGAATGGTAAAATACAGTTAGGTAGCTGGCTACCCCTGAACCACCTTGAAAGTGGTGCTGTAACAGGATTTCAGTTTTGGTCTATGTTGTTGGTAGTCTGAGCAGTCAGCAATGGCACCAGCCAATTGAGGGGAAGACCATGATTTTGAAACCATGCATAGTTATAACCCTGCCACTCTGGATTCTTTGTACTCGGACCTATTGAAATAGAGGTAGGTGGCTGGGGAAGAGAGACTGCTATCCAGTGGAAAGAACATTTTGCCCATTTCTGCAGTAGATATCCTCTGATAGGCATTATGTGAGACATGAGTAACTTCATATGCTGTACCCACTCTGAGAGGTCCATTCACACATCTCTCTCTCAGACGTCCCTGCCATCAATTTTTCAACTTTGTTATTTCCAAATTCCTGACCAATCAGCCAGCCCTTTAGTTACAGCCCATGATTCGCTGTAGGTCCATAGTTCAGTTTGTCTCTGTTTCCACACAAAATATTCAACCAGCTGTTCTATGTAAAGTTCTGCTCACAAGGAGGGTTTCTACCCACCAGTGTTTTCAAGCTACTCTAAGTAGGACCGCAGTGAAGCAGCCAAACTCTTCCTGCTGGTATTGACATAGTGTACAGATAAATCTATAAACTGGGCTTGTGCTTATTTCTCCTCATTCCACAAGTCAGGGAACCAATATGAAAGATTTTCTAATTGCTAAGTATACTATATATCAAATATTTTACAACTGAAGAAATAACCTGAGGACGTTAGTATTCTCATTTGATGCACTTCTAGACTGTCACTGGCCAGGACTCCAATTATAATCTGAGCTCCCCAAGCTCCTTCCATGACTTGTGGATTACAGTGTCATTTGAGGTATCTGAGTATCATCTTAAGTTTCGAGCCAGTATTCAATAAGCCCTATAAGAGCTGAGTTCCTTTCTCCCCTGTGCACAATCACCCCAGTAAATGGCCTCAGGAACATTTGGAGAAGGCTTGGGGTTTTGTTACACAATTTTTTCCTCAAAGAGATCTTACTTCCCCGTACCTCCAGGGATTCAGGGTCTGGGCACTGATTTAGGTATAGGGACTGGATAAAAGGCTGTAAATCCCACTTAAGGCAATTCAAATTAGTTTTCTTTTCAGCCAACCTAATTTTTTTCTGCCCGTGTATTTCAAGAAGCATTTTACTAGACTGCCCATCTATTTCATTTCTAAGGAGCCATTGCCAGAGATCCCTGCAGGTCAAAATCCTCTAATTACCATTTAAAACATGATTTTATTGTAGTAATTGCATCACCACCTGTTCTCTATAACTCCACATGACATTATTCCCATTGAGATTGGAAACCAAATGGCACTGAAATTTCCCTACATTCTATCTGGCCTAAAGAGAACTGGCAACTCAGGGGTCTTCAAGGATGGTGGTGTCCTTACCACTGCTTTAATGAAGGGATTCCATGTTTTCCCAGAGTGTGTGATTGGAGGTGAATGAATAGGTTGCACATAATAAATCTATTCCAACATTCCCATTTCCTGAGGCATGAGACTCTTACATTTTCAGAATGCAGAGGGAATGATAGCCTTTTAACCTTATTAACCGTAAGCCAACTTTGGGTACAAGTTTAGATCAGCCAATCCAGAAAACTACTCCTGCCTCTACCAAGTGTTTACACCGACACATTAAATTCTGAATCCCAAACAAATGCATTCACTTCAATAAATTCAGGCTTATCTGATTACATTTCCATCTTCTTGCTTCAGCGCCCCAGAAAACCTCTCCTATGCTTACTTTTGGGATCCTAATGATGTAGAATGGTAAGGTCATTTACTCTTTTTTTAAGAATTGTGCTTCTTTAGCTTTTTATTTTAATACAATTTCAAAAATACAGTTGCATATATTTAAAATTGCATGAAAGGTATAAATGACAAGGCAAAAGTTAGTACTTATTGAATCTGGGTAAAGAGTATATTGGAGTTTATGTTTCTCTTTCTCTATATGCACACATCCTTATACACTTTTTTTACTGAATTACTTGTCAATTAAGAGTAAATTACAGCCATCATTCACTGTTACCCCCAAATACTTGAAAATGTATTTTCCAAGAACAAGGACATTCACTTCTGTAACCACCATAAAATTATCAAAATCAGAAGATCTAAGTGGAATACAATAGTGTTATATAATTCACTATTCTTATTTGAAATTTGCTGCTTGTCCCAATAATGTTCTCTAAAACTACTTTTCCCTGATAATGCACCATGTTTATTTGTAAATCAATTTTTCTATCTTTAAAATTATTGTGGTAAGTAAATGTAACATGAGATCTACCCTCTTAACAAACTTTAAACTGCACAATACGGTATCAACTCTAAGCAGTAAGGCACTATGTTGTACCGCAGATCTCCAGAACTTACACATCTTGAGTAAATGAAACTTTAGACCCACTGAATAGCCGCTCCTTATTTCTGCCGCCCCTCAGTCCCTGGCAACCACCATTCTGTTTCTATGAGGCTATTTTATATACCTTATATAAGTGGAATCATGCAGTTGTTGTTCCTCTATAACTGGCTTATTTTACTTAGTATAACGTCCTTCGGGTTTACCCATGTTGCATATGGCAAGATTTTCCTTTTTTTAAGGATGAATAATATTCTACACATATTGGAATATTACTGTGTGTATGTATCTGTGCATATGCATACACGTGTACATGTGTATATCTGCGTACGCACACATGCGTACGTGTATATCTGCATCGCACACATGTGTACATGTGTGTATCTGCGATGCACACATGCGTACATGTGTATACTGCATACGCATACATGCGTATATGTGTATATCTGCGTACACATACATGTGTATATGTGTATATCTGCATACGCATTCCTATGTGTGTATCTGCGTACGCATACGTGTGTATATGTGTATATATGCATACGTGTGTATGTGTGTACGCATACGTGTGTATATGTGTATATAGGTATATGCACATGTGTGTATATATGTATATATGTATATCTATGTATATATGTATATCAACATATATCATATCAACATATATCACATTTTCTTTTCTTTTTTTTTTTTGAGACAGAGTCTCGCTCTGTCGCCAGGCTGGAGTGCAGTGGTGCAATCTGGCCTCACTGCAACTTTCGCCTCCTGGGTTCAAGTGATTCCCCTGCCTCAGCCTCCCAAGTAGCTGGGACTGCAGGCACATGCCACCACGCCCTACCAATTTTTTGTGTGTATTTTAGTAGAGACGGAGTTTCACCATGTTGGCCAGGATGGTCTTGATCTCCTGACCTCGTGATCCGCCCATCTTAGCCTCCCAAATATTTTCTTTATTCGTTCTTCTATCAATAGACAGATTGTTTCCATATCTTTACTATTATAAATAATACTGCAAATAACTCAAGATCCCAATTTCAATCCTTTCACATATATACACAGAAGTGGGATTGCTGGATTATGTGGTAATTCTTTTAACTTTTACAAAACCTCAGTACTATTTTCCACAGTCACTGCCTATTTTCCACTCCCACCCACAACATACAAATTTGCAGTTTCTCCACATCCTTACCAACAATTGTCTTTTGTTTTTCTTTTATAATAGTCATCCTTACAGATGTGAGGTGATGTCTCATTGTAGTTTTATTTTGCATCTCCCTGATGATTAGTAATGTTGAACATCTTTTCATATACCTGTCGGCCATTTATATATCTTCTTTGCAGAAATATCTGTTCAACTTATTTGCCCATTTTTAACTGGGTTATTTGTTTTTCTTACTATTGAGTTGTAGGAGTTCCTTATATATATCAGATATTAACCCCTTTTCAGATATATGTTTTACAAATATTTTCTCTCATTTAATGTTACCTTTTACTCTGTTGATTATTCCCTTTACTGTACAGAAGCTTTTTAGTTTCATGTAGTCTCACTTACTTATTTTTGCTTTTTGCCTGTGCTTTTGGTGTCATAGCCAAGAAATCATTGCCCAGACTAATGTCAAGAAAATTTCCCCTATATTTTCTTTAGGAGTTTTCTGGTCTTATACTTAAATCTTTAATTCATTTTGCATTTCTTTTTGTTTATGGTATAAGATAAGGCTTTAACTTCATTCTTTTGCATATGGATACCCGATTTTCTCAACACCATTTGTGGGAGACTATCCTCTCCCTACTGTGAATTCTTGGCACCATTGTCAAAGATCAGTTGACCATACATGCATGGGTTTATTTCTGGACTGTTTAGTCTGTTTCATTGGTCTATATGCACCCTTGCCTTGTTCCTGATCTTACAGGAAAACCTTTTAGTTTTCCACCGCTGAATATGATATTAGCTTTTCATATATGCCCTTCATTATATTGAGACAAATTTCTTCCACACCACGTTTGTTGACAGTTTTTATCATGAAAGGGTGTTGGATTGAATCAAATGCTTTTTTCTGCATCTATTGAGATAATCGTGTGATTTTTGTTCATTCTGTCAATGTGGCATATCACATTAATTGATTTGTGTATGTTGGGCCATCCTTGCATCCCAGGGGTAAATCCTATGTGGTCTTGGTGCACGAGCCTTTTAATGTGCTGTTTCATTCAGTTCTAGTGTTTTGTTGAGGATTTTTTCATCTATGTTCATTGAGGATATTGACCTACAGTTCTTGTTTCTTGTAATGTTTTTACCTGGCTTTTATATCAGGATAACGCTGATACTACTATGAATATTTATATACTACCAAATTGGTTAAACTAGAAGGAATGAGTAAATTCCTAAAACATACATCTACAAAGACTGAACCATGAAGAAATGGAAAATCTAAACAGACCAACAACGAATAAAGAGATTGAGTTAGTAATCAAAAACCATTCAGCAAAGAAAAGTCCAGGATCAGATGACTTCATTGGTGAATTCTACCAAACATTTAAAGAAGAATTAACACAAATTCTTCTTAAATTTTTCCCAAAAAAAGAAGAGGGAACACTTCCGAACTCATTTTACGAGGTCATTTACTCTTGTAGCCCATAAGATACCTCCTACTGGAGCAGTCCTGGGCAATGTTGGGATCTGACTCTCTTCATGAGCCATGAGAACATGTGATGGGGGTGTATACTAAATACTTTGTCAACTTCCGAGGCAACTGCAGCAACAGTCTCAAGCAGTCATTGAGAGGCTTTAAGCAGAGGAGAGCTAGTTTCCTAACAGGGAAAAGAAGCAGGAACAGGCTCCTTTCCTATCAAGACAGGTTCAAGGGAATTCAGAAGTAAAAATTTCTCAGCCTTGTTCATATCTAACACCATTCAATTTCTCAGGGTCTCATGCCTTCTCCACCAATCCCATACCATGCCAAAAGAACATGGCACTGCCATATGTTTAATTAACATGGCAAGTGTTCATCCCCTACAATCAGAACTCAAGCCCAATTGACAGACAGCCAGTTAAACGTTCACCTTACCAGGAAGGGACCAAGAGATATGATCTCACTCTCCTCTTTCTCTGATCTCTCATGGGAATTTCCCTTATTCAAACCCAACCATAAATCATAGGGTGAGGAAAACCTGCTGACCTAGTCCATTCAGGTCAATCTCCTGGACAAAGAGTAGGGTGGAGATGGGTAGAAAATGGGTCTAGCATAGGAAACAACAGATTTTTTCTTTTTTTTTTTTTTGAGATGGAGTCTCGCTCTGTCACCCAGGCTAGAGTGTAGTGGCGCCATCTTGGCTCACTGCAAGCTCTACCTCCCAGGTTCACACCATTCTCCTCCTTCAGCCTCCCAAGCAGCTGGGACTACAGGTGCCTGCCACCACGCCTGGCTAATTTTTTGTATTTTTTGGTAGAGAGAGGGTTTCACCATGCTAGACAGGCTGGTCTCCTGACCTCGTGATCCACCTGCCTCGGCCTCCCAAAGTGCTGGGATTACAGGCATGAGCCACATCGCCTGGCCGGAAACAACAGATATTCCACAAGCATCCAAAACCCAACTCTGACTAACCTCCATACAGTAAAGATTTTGAAAAATATCTTGCCTCAGGGAAGTTGGAGAACCAAACTCCAAAATGAACAGGAAGCAAACCAAGAAATAGGAACTGCAGGAACAACCCAGTGAAGACAAACTCTGTCATTTTGCTCCAGATTCAACTTATAGCTTGGGACCAGAGGTTTATCTAGCTTTAATCACGTGCAAATTTGGTTTAAGAAGACAGGACTCCAGTTTCTGTACCATAAGACTAGTCCCAAAGAGAAAGAAGTAGTACTCCAAATGGAAATTAGAGTGCTATCTAAAGAAAAAACTATACTGCATAGGCCCAAAATAGCAATTGTCCAGGTAAATTGTGAAAGAATTCCCTGGGGGACTAAAAAGGCAGTCCTGAACTGGGCTCTCAGGAAGCTCTGTTATTTGCAGTGCAGCTGCTCTATCTGCACAGGCCAGAAGAAACAGAACACTGAGCAGCAGTTTCAAAGTCTGATCAAGGTAGGATTATTTGGATGCTCTTTCCCACATTGAACATCCATGGCACTTTAGTTGAACCTCTCTTATGTCATTGATCACATTCTTCTTGGATTATGTCCATTTAACAATGTGTTACAGCATTCCTAATCAACCACACACTTTTGTGAGGTGGGATGGGGTGCAATTTGTTTATGTATCCCCCTTGCAACTAGCTTGATGCCTTAAACACAGAGCTCAATAAATACGAATTAAGCAAATAAATAAATGAATGAAAAAGCAACTTTTTGAACCATCCCCCCAAAATTAAGCTAAGTTTGATTTCCTTTGAGAAGCAAGTACATTTCACATTCCCACCTCTTACCCATGGCATATGTGCTATTCTTTTAAAGTGGGAACATGGCTTATAAATAATCCAGTCCAGAAAATTAAGTGAAGAAAGGCTTCAGTCTATACTCCTGTAGCAAATGGAGACTCTGACTGAAGTGGCCATTTCATTTCTAATGTCTCTGGAGAAATTTTAGCCACAAGCTTCCTTCCGTTTTACCAGATCCCTCTGTAGTATTTCTCAAGGGAGCAAAAGCTGTTTGGATTTTTTTCCCTCTGCTGAAAAATTGCCTTATATGTGTCTCATTTCAGTGCTTACATGAAAAACAGTTGTCAGCTGATTAAAAAACAAGTTAGAATTAGTTACAATATGATTCAATTGATGACCCACAGCATCTGCTAGATGGATTTAAAATGATCAGATCTTAAAAACAGTCTTTTAACGGGACAAAATCAACTTTATGCTCATTCTAAATCTCTCAACTGCTATAAAACCACAAAGAAATTTGAAATAAAGTCAGAAAAGAGCAGAGCATTCCTGGGTGTAATACAAACAACTGACTTGAAAATATGTGCAGATCACTTTCTTACATACACTAGCTGTGCCATTTGGTACCTAAGAGAAAGGCTTACCTAACTAAAATACTAAGATTCTAACATACACATGTGGGTAAATGACCTAAACAAACAATTTTTATCCCCCACTCCTTGAACTCTGCTGCCTCTGCTGCTGTTGTAAATGCCTTCATGGAGACAGGCACCCCAGTACCCACTAGCACCCTGCTGCAGCCAACAAGCTTGCACCCCACCAAGCTGCTGCTGCTGCTAGCACATGCAAATAAGGATGGATCCCACTACCACCCCACTACAAAATACTTTGGCTGGTAGCACCCACTGGAGTGTACTGACCAGCAGTCAAGGAACACCTCAATCTCCGCAGTGCAGTGGATTTCTAACCTCAAGGAGTCAGAGAACAAAGTTGGGGCCTGATACAAGTCCCCTAGATTTACAGTATGAAGTCCAGGAGTCCTGAGCTGAGCCTTGGTCCTTTAAAAACTTCCAGTAATGAAGCCAGTTGACTGAACCCACCTTATACCACAATCAAACCCTCAAGGTCATCAAATAAGATAAAAGAAAAAAAGCCCATCCAAAGGTCAGCAACTTCAAAGATTGAAGAAAATTAGCCCACAAAGATGAAAAAGAAGTAGGGCAAGAACTCTAATAACTCAGAAAGCCAGAGTGCCTTCTTTAGTCCAAATTACCACACTACCTCTCCAGCAAGGGTTCTGAACTGGGCTGAGATGCTTGAATGAACAGAAATGAAATTCAGAACAGGGATAGAATCCAAGATCGTTGAGATCCAGAATTACCTTATGAAGTGAAGTTAAGAATCACAATAAAATGATACAGGGGCTGACAGACAAGATAATCAGTAAAGAAAAGAACATAACCAACCTGATAGAGCTGAAAAACACACTACAAAAATTTCACAATGCAATCACAAGTATTAATAGCAAAATAGACCAAGCTGAGGAAAGAACCTCAGAGCTTGAAGACTGGCTTTCTGAAATAAGACAATCTGACAAGAATACAGAAAAAAAGACTAAAAATGAACAAACAAAACCTCTGAGAAATATGGGATTACATAGAGAGAACAAATTAATGTCTCATCGATTTCCCAGAAAGAGATGGGGAGAGTGTAAGCAACTTGGAAATCACATTTCAGGATATCAACCATGAGAACTTCCCCAACTTAGCTATAGAGGCCAACATTCAAATTCAAGAAATGCAGAGAACCCCAGTAAGATACTTTATAAGAAGATCATCCCCAAGACACAAAATCAGATTCTCCAGGGTTGAAATGAAAGAAAAAATATTTAAAGGCAGCTAGAGAGAAATATCAGGTCACCTACAAAGGGAAGCCCATCAGACTAACAGTAGACCTCCCAGCTGAAACCTTACAAGCCAGAAGAGATTTGGGGCCAACATTCAACATTCTTTAAAAAAATCCAACCCAGAATTTCATATCTGGCCAAATTATGCTTCAGAAGCAAAGGAGAAATAAGTTCCTTTTCATACAAGCAAATGCTGAGGGAATTCATTACCACCAGGTTTGCCTTGCAAGCTCCTGAAGGAAGCACTAAATATCGAAAGGAAAGACCATCGCCAGCCACTACAAAAACACACTGAAGTACACAGATCAGTTACACTGTAAAGCAACCACACAAAAAACCCTGCATAATAATCAGCTAACATTATGATGACAGGATCAAATCCACACATATCAATACTAGCCTTGAACATAAAGGTACTAAATGCCTCAATTAAAAGGCACAGAGTGGCAAGCTGGATAAAGATCCAAGACCCAACTATATGCTGTCTTCAAGAGACTCATCTCACACATAATGACAACGATAGGTTCAAAGTAAAGAGTTGGAGATGAATCTACCAAGCAAATGGAAAGAAGAAAAAAGCAGGGTTTGCTATTCTAATTTCAGGAAAAAAAAAAACAGACTTTAAACCAACAAAGATTAGAAAAAAAAAAAAAGACAAAAAAGGGCATTACATAATGGTAAAAAGCTCAACTCAGCAAGAAGATCTAACTGTCCTAAATATATAAGCACCCAACACAGGAGCACTCAAATTCATAAAGCAAGTTTGTAGAGACCTTCAAAGAGACATAGACTTGGATGGGTCCAAGATGGCCTATTAGAAGCAGCTGTGGTCCACAGCTCTCACAGAGAGGAATGAAAATGGAAAGCAAATTATGCATCTTCAACTGAGGTATCCAGATTCTTGCATTGGGACTGAAGAGGTGGATGGCTCAACCCATGGAGAGTGAGGAAAAGCAGGGTGGAGCGACAGCTGACCTGGGAGTGGCACAGAGCCAGGGGAGCCCCCACCTCCAGTCAAGGGAGGTGGTAAGTGATTGTGCAACCCCACCTGGGAAACTACACTTTTCCCATGGATCTTTGCCACCCATGGGTCAGGAAATCCCCTCATGAGCCCACACCAGCAGGGCCTTAGGTCCAAAGCATAGAGCTGTGTGGTGTCTTGGCAGAGCAGCTCAGACATGCACAGAGACCCAGGAATTTGCATACTCTGGCCCTGGGAATTCCAGCAAGGTGGGAAATCTGTCCATGCATTCCCCTAGGAAGGAGACTGAATCCAGTGAACCATGTGGCATCATTCTGCAGGTCCCATTCCCATGGCACCTCTACAGTTAAGACTCACTGGCTTGGAATTTTAGTCAGCCAGTGGCAGCAGGCTAGAGACTGCCTGAGATGCACTGAGTTCCTAGGGGGTGGGTGACTGCCATCTCTGTGGTTCAAGTCAGCCATTCTAGCCTGCTAGCTCCAGGGAGTCCAGGTGGCCCATACCAGGAGGAGTTTCTCACAATGCAGAATGGGTGCTGTGCCAAGCTGTGGCAAGATTGCTTGTTTAAGTGGGAACCTGATCCGTCCCTCCTCACTGGACAGGCCCTTTCTGTGGGAATTTCAGCAACTCCAGCTAGGGTTTTATGAACAAAACTGTGATCTCTCCCTGGGATTGAGCTTCCCAGGTGGAGAGGTAGCCACTGTCTCTGTGGTTCAGTTGACTTACCAGCCTGCTGGCTCTGGAGAGTCTAGGCAGTCTGGACAAGAGGGGTTCCACCAAGTGTAGCACACCTGCTCTGCCAAGGAGCAGTCAGAATGCTTCTTTAAGTATGTCCCTGATTCTGTTCCTCCCAGAAGACATCTCCAGACACAAATAGGAGCATTCGAGCTGGCATCAGGTCAGTGCCCCCTGGGACAAAGCTCCCAGAGGAAGGAACAGGCTGCTATCTTTGCTGTTTTACAGCCTTCACTGCTGATACCTCCAGGTGCAGGAGGTACCAAGGCAACTGAGGTCTGGGGTGGACCCCCAGCAAACTGCAGCAACCCTGTGGAAGAGTGGACTGACTGTTAAAAGAAAAAAAAAAAAATAGAAAGCAACAACAACAACACTAACGAAAAAGACCCCACAAAAAAAACCATCCAAAGGTCAGCAGCCTCAAAGATTGAAGGTAGATAAGCCCACAAACATGAGATAGAATCAATGCAAAAACAATGGAAACTCAAAAAGCCAGAGTGCCTCTTCTCCTCCAAATGACCACAATGTGTCTCCAGCAAAGACACAGAACTGGGCTGAGGTTGAGGTAGCTGAATTGACAGAAGCAGCCTTCAGAAAGTGGGTAATAACAAACTTCACTGGGCTAAAGCAGCATATTTAAACCCATTGCAAAGAAGCTAAGGATCATAATAAAACAATACAAGAGCTGATAACCAGAATAGCCAGTTTAGAGAGGAATATAACTGACCTGATGGAACTGAAAAATAAAACATGAGAACTTCACAATGTAATTACAAGTATCAGTGGCAGAATAGACCAAGCAGAGGAAAGAATCTCAGAGCTTGAAGGCTATCTTTCTGAAATAAGACAGGCAGACAAGAATAGAGAAAAGAGAATGAAAAGAAACAAACAAAACTTCTAAGAAACATGGGATTATGAAAAAAAGACTGAACCTATGACTGATTAGGCTTACCTGAAAGAGATGAGGAGATTGGAACCAAGTTGGAAAACATACTTCAAGATATCATCCAGGAGAACTTTCCCAACCTAGCAAGACAGGCCAACATTCAAATTCAGAAAATCCAGAGAACCCCAGTATCATACCCCATGAGAAGATCAAACCCAACACATATAATCATCAGATTTTCCAAGGTTGAAATGAAAGAAAAAAATGTTAAGGGCCAGAGAGAAAAGCCAAGTCATCTATAAAATGAAGCCCATCAGACTAACATGGGACCTCTCAGCAGAAACCCTACAAGCTGAAGAGATGGGGGACCAATGCTCAACATCTTGAAGAAAAGAATTTCCAACCCAGAATTTCACATCTGGCAAAACTAAACTTCATAAACGTAGGAGAAATAAAATCCTTTTCAGACAAGCAAATGCTGAGGGAATACGTCACCACCAGTTCTGTCCTGCAAGAGCTCCTGAAGGAAGCACTAAATACGGGAAGGAAAAACCATTACCACCCACCACAAAAACTCACTGAAGTACACAGACCAGTGACCCTATGAATCAACCACATAAACAAGTCTGCAAAATAACCAGCTGACATCATGATAACAGGATCAAATTCACATATAACAACATTAACCTTAAATGTAAACGGGCTAAATGCCCCCAATTAAAAAACACAGAATGGCAAGCTGGATAAAGAGTCAAGCTCCATTGGTATGTCTTCAAGAGACCCATCTCAGGTGTGTGAAGATATACATAGGCTCAAAATAAAGAGGTGGAGGAAAATTTACCATGCAAATGGAAAACAGAAAAAAGCAGGAGCTGAAATCCTAATTTCTGACAAAACAGACATTAAACAAACAAAAATAAAAAAGACAAATAAAGGCATTACATAATGGTAAAGGGTTCAATTCAACAAGAAGAGCTAACTATCCTAAATATATATGCACCCAATACAGGAGCACCCACATTCATAAAGCAAGTTCTTAAAGATCTATAAAGAGATAGATTCCCACATGATAATAGTGCAGACAAAGATATTCAGGACCTGGACTCAGCTCTGGATCAAGTGAACCATACATATCTACAGAACTCTCTACCCAAAAACAGGAGAATATACATTTTTCTCATTGCCACATGGCGCTTACACTAAAATTGATCACATAATAGGAAGTAAAACACTCCTAAGCAGATGAAAAAGAACTGAAATCATAACAAACAGTCTCTGAGGCTACAGTGCAATCAAATTAGGACTGAAGATTAATAAACTCACTAAAAACTACACAACTACATAGACATTGAACATCTGCTCCTGAATGACTCCTGGGTAAATAATGAAATTTAGGCAGATATCAGGAAGTTCTTTGGAACCAATGACAAGAGACAACATACTAGAATCTCTGGGATGCAGCTAAAGCAGTTTTAAGAAGGAAATTTATAGCACTAAAGGCCCACATCAAAAAGCTAGAAAGAATCTCAAATCAACGACCTAATATCACTACAAAAAGAATGAGGAAACCAAGGCGGAACAGATCCCAAAACTACCAGAAGACAAGAAGTAAGCAAGATCAGAGATGAATTGAAGCAAATAGAGACACAAAAAACCCTTTTAAAAAAAATCAACAAATCCAGGAGCTGCTTTTTTGAGAAAATTAATAAAAGAGACAGACCACTAGCTAGACTAATAAAGAAGAACAGAGAGAAAAATCAAACAGACACAATAAAAAATGATAAGGAGGATATTGCCACTGACCCCACAGAAATACAAACAATCATTAAAGAATACTATAAATACCTCTATGCACATAAACTAGAAAATCTGGAAGATATAGATACATTTCTGGACAAATACACCTCCCAAGACTAAACCAGGAAGAAACTGAATCCCTGAATAGACCAATAACAAGTTCAGAAATTGAGGCAGTAATAAGTAGCCTACCAACCAAAAAAACCCCAGGACCAGATGGATTCACAGCTGAATTCTACCAGAGGTACAAAGAAGAGCTGGTACCACTTCTACTGACACTATTCCAAACAGCTGAAAAGGAGAGACACCTCCCTACTCATTTTATGAGGCCAGCATCATCCTCATACCAGAGATACAACAGAGATACAACAAAAAAAAGAAAACCTCAGGCCAATATCCCTGATGAACAGTGATGCAAAGATCCTCAATAAAATACTGGCAAACCGAATACAGCAGCACATCAAAAAGCTTATCCACTACAATCAAGTTGGTGCCATCCCAAGGATGCAAGGTTGGTTCAACATACACAAATCAATAAATGTAATTCATCACATAAAGAGAACTAAAGATAACAACCACGCGATCAACAGATGCGGAAAAGGCCTTTGACAAGATTTAACATCGCTTTATTGTTAAAAACTCTCAATAAACTAAGTATTGAAGGAACACACCTAAAACAGTAATAGCCATATATAACAAACCTGCAGCCGATATCATTCTATATGGGCAAAAGCTGGAAGCATTCTCCTTGAAAACAGCACAAGACAAGGATGTCCTCTCTCAACACTCCTATTCAACATAGTGTTGGAAGTTCTGGCCAAGGCAATCAGGCAAGAAAATAATAAAGAGTATTCACACAGGAAGAGAGGAAGTCAAATTATCTGTGTTTGCAGATGACATGATCCTGTATCTAGAAAACCCCATTGTCTCAGCCCAAAAGCTTCTTTGCCTGATAAGCCACTTCAGAAAAGCCTCAGGATACAAAATCAATGTGCTTAAATCCCTAGCATTTCTATGCACCAACAACAGGCAAACAGAGAGGCAAATCACATATGAACTCCCATCCACAATTGCTACAAAGAAAATAAAATACCTAGGAATACAGCTAACAAAGGAAGTGAAGGACGTCTTCAAAGAGAAGTACAAACCACTGCTCAAGGAAATAAGAGAGGACACTAACAGATGGAAAAAAACATTCTATACTCATCGATAGGAAGAATCAATATTGTGAAAATGGCCACATTGCCAAAGTAATGTATATTTTCAATGCTATTCCCGCTAAACTACCATTGGCATTCTTCACAGAATTAGAGAAAACTATTTTCAAATTAATATGGTACCAAAAAAGTGCCCATATAGCCAAGACAATCCTAAGCAAAAATAAAACAAAGCTGGAAGCATCACACTACTTCAACTTCAAACTATACTACAAGGATACAGTAACCAAAACAGCATGGTACTGGTACAAAAACAGACAAATAGACCAGTTGAACATAATAGAGAACTCAGAAATAAGACAGCACACCTACAACCATCTGATCTTTTACAAACCTAACAAAAGCAACGGGGAAGAGTCTTTATTTAGCCTGTAATCCCAGCACTTTGGGAGGCCAAGGCAGGTGGATAATTTGAGGTCAGGAGTTTGAGACCAGCCTGGCCAACATGGTGAAATCCCATCTCTACTAAAAGTACAAAAAAAAAAAAAAAAAAAAAAAAAAGCTGTGTGTGGTGGCAGGCACCTGTAATCCCAACTACTCAGGAGGCTGAGGCAGGAGAATTGCTTGAACCTGAGAGACTCACATTGCAGTGAACCTAGATTGCACCACTGCATTCAGCCTGGGTGACAGAGCTAGATTTTGTCTCAAAAAAAAAACAAAAAACAAAAAAAACCAAGATTCCCTATTTAGTAAATGCTGCTGGGAGAACTGGCTAGCCATGCTCAGAAAATTGAAGCTGAACCTCTTCCTTACACCTTATACAAAAATTAACTCAAGATGGATTCAAGACTTAAATGTAAAACTCAAAACTATAAAAACCCTAGAAGAAAATCTAGGCAATACCATTCAGGACATAGGCATGGGCAAAGATTCCATGATGAAAATGCCAAAAGCAAGTGCAACAAAAACAATTGCAGCAAAATAAATTGACAAATGGGATCTAATTAAACTAAAGAGCTTCTGCACAGCAAAAGAAACTATCATCAGAGTGAACAGACAACCTACAGAAAGGGAGAAAAATTTTGCAATCTATCCATCTGACAAGCATCTAATATCCAGAGTCTACAAGGAACTTGAACATATTTACAAGAAAAAAAAACAAATAACCTCTTTAAAAACTGGGCAAAGGACATGAAAAGACACTTCTCAAAAGAAAACATTCATGCCACCAACAAATATATGAAAAAAGTTCAGCATCACTATCGTTAGAGAAATGCAAATCAAAACCACGAACAGATAGCATCTCACACCAGTCAGAATGGTGATTATTAAAAAGTCAAGAAACAACAGATGCTGGCAAGGTTGCAAAGAAAAGGAACACTTTTATATTGTTGTTGGGAGTGTAAATTAGTTCAACCATTGGGGAAGACAGTATGGCAATTCCTAAAAGACCTAGAAGCAGAATACCATTTCTTCTACCCAGCAATCCCATTACTGGGTATATACCCAAAGGTATATAAATCATTCTATCATAAACACTCATGCATGCGTATTTTCATTGCAGCACTATTCACAGTAGCAAAGACAAGGAATCAACCTAAATGTCCATCAAATGACTGTATAAGGAAAACATGGTACCATACACAATAGAATACTATGCAGACATAAGAGGAATGAGATCATGTTCTTTGCAGGAACATGGATGGAGTGGGAGGCCACTATCCTTGGCATACTAATGCAGGAAAAGAAAACCAAATACCACATGTTCTCACTTGTAAGTGGGAGCTAAATGATGAGAACACATGGACACTTACAGGGGAACAACAGACAATGAGATTTATCAGAAGGTGGAGGCTAGGAGAAGGGAGAGGATCAGAAAAAGTAACTAATGGATACTAGGCCTAATACCTGGGTGACGAAATAATCTGTACAACAAACCCCCATGACACAAGTTTACCTATATAATAAACCAGCAGATGTACTCCTGAACTTAAAAGTAAAAAAAAACAAATCTCAATGAGGAAATATCAGGCAACAGACATATTGACAACCATTTGATTTCACTAATAATATACATTAAAATTAAAACAGTAACATAACATTTATTAATTAAGTATTTTTTAACAACAATAAAAAAGATTGCTAACACTGCCAAATATCCAGTAAATAAGGAACCCTTAGACATTTCTGGTGGGAGTGGATTACAATTTGTCATAGATATCAAGAGACCTAAAAATATTGATATCCTCTGACCCATCTATTTTCATTTTGGTGAATCTATCCTAAGAAATAATTCTAAGTGCCAATGATACAGTTTGTCAGTATTCATTGTGCCAAGCCTTTCCTTAATTAAATACCAATCTTTATACAGCATCTTGTCTGTACCTTTTACTTCTTCACTGATTCCTATTTCCTTCTCTCAAGCCCCTGGTGTCTTTCATTTCTTATTCCTTTGCCGTCCCTCTAGGCCCTTCCTAAGGCATAAGCTATGCTGGGGAAGTGTTAGACTGAAAGAGAACAGAACTTGCTAGTTTCTCTGAAAGTATGCCCAATGAGCTAAACCCACATCAGCTTCTCTGGCTACTCACTTCAAAGTCCTACTGCTGCTGGGCCTTGCCAGACTTATATATTTTATATAGAATAAAAGGAATAATTGATGTAAAATTGGAGGATATAAAAATCATTTCCAAGAAGCTGGAATAAAGCAGGCCGAGGGGCCATCAGTTACCTTAAAAAAGTCCCTCAACAAAATTTCACCCTGATCATTAAAACCATCTCTACTGGCATTTTCCTTAATTGTCTTATCTTTTTGTATAGATCATAATTTCCAAAATTATGTCCTTGATTGAATATATGTGTACCGCCTTTGGCATTCTTTGCCTCCACAAAAATTGAGAAGATTCAAAAGCAGGATGTAAACTGAGCATTGGCCTTTTGATTTTAACAAGAAGAACAAGGGACAGTGCTTTGTAGTAATTCAAGGAAAAATTTAAAAATTACTTTTATAGCCAGAAACCTAAGATTCACTATGTGGTTGTGTTGGTAGAAGTGAGATGATACTGGGAATGTTTTTGGTACCTACATAGACCCACATCTAACATTGCAAGGTGCAAGGAAAGAGTAAAATTAGCAGTCCCAGCTCACAAGGCAACCACTTCCCAATCTCATCCCTACTCATTATCACATAAGGAGGGACCTCACAAGCATACCTGGGACACACAGCACAGAGACCCAACCTCCATTCACACACCCCTGAAACAATTGTCCTTTGTCCTCAGACTTAGAGAGAACTGGTGGAAAAGACACACAAAATCACTGGAAGTTGTTTTGGGGCCAATGATTAGAAAATGTCCAGGTCTTGAGTACCTACCGTGTAGTCTCCCAGAGGAGAGTGGGTTCTATGTGGGCATGCTCCCTTGGTTCCCAAGGGACACCTCTCCTCAGGGGAGTGGAACAACCAGAAGGACAAAAGAAGCCTCTACTAAAGCGCTGGACCCAGGAGAAGGGCCCCAATTCTCTATGTCTAAGGTGGACCTAGGTCTATTGTACTTTTACTCATTTTGAATATGGAAGAAGAAGAAGTGAAATATCCTTATGCCTGTCGTGGTTACCCATAGTTATTATATATTTTTCTTTCCTTCGTTCTGACAGTAATGACAGTATAATTGGTAAGTTATACAATATGGTAATCAGTTTCCTAATTGCAGTTTCTTGAGGGTTTTATTGAGTTTTCTCACATATAAAAATAAGATTATTATCATTCTGCCTGTAAATGTCAGGCAAAGCTAATGATAGAGAGAAGTAATCATTGTCCATAGCCCATGTACCAAAAACACATAAGGAGGAAGTGAGACAGGGAAAGGGGACATCCTCAACATCATGTTTGTTTTCAATAAGCCTTTATTTATAAGACATTATTGTTAAGTGGAAAGCAAGACCACATGTTTTTCTGTACTGTGAAGACCCCATATGCTCCATAGCATGGCCAGTGAAAACATTGACACATCCAGAAAATACAGTGAGAAAAATTAAATACATGCCCCTCTGATATAGAGGTGTATTCCATTACCCCCAATAAATGTGCTAAATTGCTGAACTGGGAGGTTTGCCAGGTCGCAGATAGCTTGGATGCATATGATGTTCCTTTGGCCACAAATTTCTCCTGCCTCTGTTACAGTTTTCTCCTCCAAGTTGAGCTGTGGCATGATACAGATTTCAATAAGCATACTTCTTTTACTGTGTGTTGATGAGTCACTGGCACACAGGAAACAAATGGTGGTTGGAGAAAATCAACGAGTCAGAAAATCTTTCTCTGATAACTGGCCTCTTATTTCTTAGTAATAATCCATAATGCCAAGCTATTTTTTAAAATGTTACCAGCCATGACCACTCTATTCCTTGAGCTTAATTTTATGTTTAATATGGCTCTGGAGACAAAGTCCTCTCTGATGACCAGCCCAAGCTTCCTTGCCTTTAATTCGTCATGCAGCATTGCACTTAAAAGTTCAAGCCTGGAGCTGGATTTCCAAGTACCATTCTGTTTTCTCACTTGGGGAATGCAGTTATGGCTGGACTTGCACAGCGGTCACCCAGTCGCTGCAGGGGCTTGGGAGATGTAATCCAGGAGTAATGTTGTGTGTCAGCACTGTGAGGTCCCTGGAGCCAGGTGCTACATAAATACAAGGTATTCAAATATTTTTTCCTGCGGGGGTGGATGGTGCTTTGATACATCTTCATCGCATTGTATTGTGACAGGCCTCAGCAAAAAAATCATAAGACAATCAGCAGTGGGGTTTATCTTGCTGTGTAAACCTCAGTAAAAGGCAGTCATACCTGGACTGCAAGCCAAAACAGCTTTCAAAGAAGCCATGGTTATCTCCCTTTTTGATTAATTTCCTTTCTTCACAACTGAAAATATGCAGCCCCAACTGCCTCTCTTCATTAAATAGATCCTAATATGCTTCAAATGAACAATAAACTCTGTCCTGTATTTTTTTCACAATAAATGAACATTTAGGAAGAAAAAATTGACAGATCCTTTTGTAGATTAGATCTTATTAGTTCAAAAGATGATTCTTGATTGTGTTCACTTTGAATGCTGGGACATTCAGAGATCTTTGTAAGAGCAGAAAATGTAAAGCAAAAACATCTAAGTGAACTAGCCAAGTATTTTGCACCTGCATAATAGCTAGGTGATAGGAATCTATATACAACTCCAGCCAATAATGAATCCATAATAACAGAAGCACCATAATTCTATCTGCTATGAATGAATTTTCAGATGATAGTGGCACACAGCAGAGTTATTTTTGTTTATTTTTTCATCTTAAACCATGGAAATTTTTAAAGGGAAAAAACCTTGGATTGTTTATATTTGTAGAAAACATAGTAGGCTAGGCTTTTTGTATATGTTAGCTAATAGCAACAGAAACTGCTTCGAAGCCCATCTCTGTGTTCATCAATTACTCACCTTGGTGAAGAAAGCTGGGGTAAATGAACGCTATACCTAGTGTTTTGTTCTCACTCAATATAGAGACCGCATTGGCATCAGACAATAGGACCAGAACTGCAATCTCTCAGACCGAGGCAAGGAGAAGAAAGGGATCTATAGACAGATCTACACTGCACGACTCCTACACTATTTTTGCCTCTCACATATCTGGGTGCACATGCACACTTTTATACACAAGCCCATATTCCATCTGGAGACTAAAATGTAAGTAAAGTCTTATCTTCAGCCAGAACTTGGGGGAAAATTAGTCATGCACTCATGTGATAACAGAGTTATCAGCAACTCTAATTCAAAGGTAAATGTGAACCCAGAGTTATCATTTAATGTCAATAACAAGATAACCTATTTTCAAGAGAAGGTAGAAATACGAGCACTGGCCTAGATAGAAGATCTACAGAGATGCATTTTGGTAACATGTCATGACATTTAGTAATGGTGAATAGGTGATTTTTATCCTTGGGGCTCCAAAGTAACCCCCATAGAAATGTGTCTTTCCAAAAGCCTCCTTAATTTAAAATGTTAGCTCCCACCAGATAGCAAAGCTTTGAGTTGAAACTCTAATTACCTACTTCTTCTTTTAAATGAATGAAAGTTCATAATAAATGATTCCAATAGGAGATGCAACGTGACTGAATAGCTGCATTTCCCAGAATGTTGTCCTGACTAAAAGTTCAATGTTCAGTCCTTAATAAGAAATATGACCCACAGATAAATGTGTTAGCTTTCAACATGACCCTCTATTGATTAAATTTTGCCCAAACTCAGAGAATTAAATGGAAAGAAGAAAGAGAATAAAATTGTTTTTTCTTTGTTTTCAGTCTAAGTGTCTTATTTGCTGAGATTACTTTGAATAAGAATTTACATATTATAGTATAGACTATATCTGAAAGTTTATTTGTTGTCCAAATGGATTTTAGTTTTTGGATTGCCAATTGCTTACATTCATTCAATCAGTAATTGTTATGTGTTGTATAGTTTATTTGGTAATGATTACTAGATACAATAACATAAGTAAAATAAAACTGATTATTTAATCATAGACAGCTTCAACCATTATATTTAGGAATTATATTTGTGTGCACATTAGATTCTAAGAAATTTGTATATGCCAAGGACAGCTTGTGGGAGAAAATGCTATAGATTTTGAACCATTAAAGTAGAACCTATAAATAGTCTTTAATTTTAAAGATGAGAGAGTTGGACCATATAAAAAGACTGTGGCTTTTTCAGTCACATCATTAGTTAATAATGCATGCAGGACTAGGACCTGGTCTTTTAAAAAGTAGATTTGATAAGGGGGTTTATCTATGGAATGCACATTCAACAAATATTCTTTGAATCAATAAATGATGCACAATACCTTTCAAATAAATCTTTGCCCTGCCATTAGGAAATTAAATTTTATTCTCCTAAATAATAGGCAGAAATTGCCACCTATACTAAAAATTAGATAGATCAGAGAGAGAGAGAGAGAGAGGGATGACAGAGAAGAAGAGAGAGAGATTCCCAATCCCTAACTTTGGTAATTATATTTATTATTTTCCCACTAGGAAATAGGGAATATTTTTGCTATCTCTTTGAAAATTTTTGTGTTCAAAAGCAAATACTCTGGATAGAAATAATGTATGAGTAATGTCTAGCCAAATATCTGTGTAAAATGTTTCCAATTATCTAATCCAATTTTCCCCTTGACAATGAATTACAAAGGAAAAATTATATGTAGATCTCCTTGCTTCCTTATGGGGATTCCAAAGGCCTCTGGTATTAGTCTGTTTGCATTGCTGTAAATGAATACCTGAGAGTGGGTAATTTATAAGGAAAAGAGGCTTATTTGGCTTATGGTTCTGCAGACTGTACAGGAAGCATGACACTGGCATCTGCTCCTGGCAAGGGCCTCAGGAAGCTTCCAATCATGGTGGAAGGCTAAGCGGGGAGCAGACACATCAGATGGTGAGGGCAAAAGTAAGCGAGAAAGGGAGGAGGTGCCAGGCTCTTTTAAACAACGAGATACCATGTACATTCATAGAATGAGAACTTATCCACGAGGACAGCACCAAGCCATTCATGAGAGATTTGTCCCCATGACATAAATACCTTGCAATAGGCCCACCTCCAACATTAGAGGTCACATTTCAACATGCGATTTGTAGGGGACAAATATCCAAACCATATCGCCTCTCTTCCCATAGTAATTCAGAGGGAAAAAATGTATACATCAAGGAAGGGAGATTATTAGGCATACACAACAGACGCAGACTTTTCACACATTCAGATCATCTTCTATGAAAGAATGAGAATGCAGACCATCTAGGCTTTCCTTCCTTCCTTCTTAATTATCTTCTTTTTTAAGCAGCAAATTAAAGTTTAAAAGGACATTGAAACTACAAGGATTAATCCTAAAATCCACTACCCATTGTGCCAATGGTACTCCTATCATTAGGAAAGGCTAGTTGTTGCTGGATTATAAAGAAGTCAATTCTTATATTTAGAGTTTTGAAATTCACATCAGAGTTAATAGCTGAAAAAATGAAGATTTTCTATTAAAACAGCCAAGATTTTGAAAGAATAAAGGATTCATTGAAATGGCAGTTTTGATAAAAATAAAAATATTAATTTTATACTATATACACTAAGGTTAGAAAGAATGTCAGATTTTGTAGATGCCATTTTCCACCCTTAAAAGAAGATAAATTTCGATCAGCTGGGAGAAGGAAAGAGTGGCAAAGCGGATATCAATAGAGCAAGCTGCTGGTAGGAGTCTCTGCAAAAGAGATCTAGGATTGGGAGGCCTGAGAGCAGGAAAGAAATGTGTCATCGGGAGTGCCAGAGAACCTCTCAAAAGGGTGCACCTTTCCAGTATAGGACTTCAACTGTGAATAGAAATAGTGTCAGGTCAGGTATAGAGAGGGTCTAACAGAGCCATACCCTGAGATTCCACAGCCTAGAGGGATTAAGAAGCATATATGAAAATTTCCAATGACTCCAAAATGGGAACACAAATGGCCAAGGGAGAGAACCAGAGGCCTTGTTACAGCTGTGATTAGAGCACACTATTGCAGTTGTGGCAGGACAAGAGCAGTAAGAATAAAAACTGGTGAACAAAGACCAGCAGAGAGGGATGCATGGCTGCAGACAACAGCGGAGGCTTGAGGGTAGAGCAAACCTGGACCTCAACTTCCCCTCAATACCAAGATGGTGTTTAAGAGTCGCCAAGGTAGATTCAGTCCTGAAGAGGAAAAGAAAGGACACTGTAACCTGGAAGTATCTGTATGTCAGCTCTGAAGCAACTGAAAAACATAGTGGGGAAATTAACACATAATTTATGCTGAATTATAGAAAATAAAATTTATACACTTGAGTTATCACCTGTCAAATTTATGCTGGCTACATCCAGAAAATAAAGGTGGATCTACTTTGGTGTTAGTAGATTAGGGATCACAGGGGCCCAACAAGCTCAGCCTCATGTCTGTCTTCTACAGCAGTGTTTCTCAACCTGGGTACTACTGACATTTTAGATTACATAAATCTTTGTATAGATGGTTGTGGCAGACCGTCTTGTGCATTGTAGGATATTTAGCAATATTCATGACCTCCACCCACCAGATCCAGTGGCAAACACTGCCCCTCCTAACATTTTTTCCAGACATTACTAAATGTCCTCTGGGCATAAATAAGGGGGTACAAAATTGCCCCTGGTTGAGAACCACTGGTCTAGAATATCCCCATGTCATCCTGAGAAAGAAATCACAGAACTCCAGAGGGCACAGTTCATAAACAACACATGTAGCCAGTTTTTCATTCACAAATGTGAAATAAAAACCAAGGTAAGTAAATTGACTTTATTCTGCCTCACTGTAAATAAAGAAGAGAGCCATGATTATAACCTAGGTTTTCTAATACCAAATTCTGTCCTTAATCTACCTAGAATTTGAAATATCTTATAAAGTTAGAATAGAATCTGGCACATAGTAGCAACTGCTAATTATTTAATTATTGGATGAATGAATGAATGATTGGTTTAGCCAATTGAGCATTGCATTTTGGGGGGTATTCAGGAAAAACAATGATCCAAGCCTCCCAGCTAGTGGCAAAGCCATTTCTAGCAGTCCAGTATACCTTTCAGAGCAGATTCTAACACCCATCTGCATATCTACGAATCCAAAGTCAATGCAGCAAAATATTGCTAGCCAATTATCTACTTAATCCTGGCAGACCTGCTGCATTTCAAGGCTTTGAGATGGTGAACCTGAACTGACATTTTACATTTCACAGGTCTCGGGGATAATGGAGATGAAGCAGCTACATGAACTACCTGTGTTAGGTCTGGTCCATTCTGCAATAGAAACCTCCTCTAACACTTATTGTCTGAATTGCACACCTTAAACCTTGCTTAAATATGTCATGTACTGTTCATTAGTTTCCCCTATAAAATTGCTGGCCATCTAAAACTGATGAGAGATTTTCCTGCTTCTTTTATGTTTTCCATTATGTCTACCTAGCACAGTGTTGGGTACAAAATAGCAGATGCCCAGATTTGAACTGCTGACCATAATGCTATAGAAATTTATTTGGTTTCTTCAGAAACTAGAATCCCTAAGGGCCATAGTCTGTCTCCCATAGATAGGCCGAAAGCTGTGATTCTACTTTCTGTCCTTATTTATTAGTGTGTAGTTGGATGGTACATTATCTAACATCAGAAGCCAGTGGGCAACTTTCCAATCTGTGCTACTAATAGAGATAAATGTGTAGCAGAGGTGGCAAACTGGCTAAGCGCCTACCAAAGGCAGCCCGAGGGTAAGTTCTGTTTAGCCATTTATTAAAGGCAACATAGCTAGGTGCAGGTTGTACTCTGTCAATACAAGCAACTTGGCACCAGACTCACATCACTAAATCATACCACCACGATTTGAGTTTGTGACCCCTGGCAGACACTATAAGTAAATTAATATGAGTGATTAGCATAAGGACAACCAGAGCTCAGGTAGGTATGGAGCTAGCCAGATCCTACAGCTCCAGCCCTTGCGAGCCCTAGCCATTGTACTCTTTAGAAGAAGCCTCTTCTTTTGGTGGTGTGAAGCCATTGCTGAAAATCTGAATGAGACTGAACATGTAAGTTAAATGTTTCTCCTGTCCTCTGGTCCAGTCAATCTTAGCACATTTGGGGCTTGGTCATATATAGCATAGGTATCCTATTTTTGATAGTTTGGGGGCAGTAATACAGGAGGGAGGTGTGCAGGCTTAAGCTAGCCAATTGTAATCAAAATTCAATTTATTTAATAGAAAATGATCCCAGCAGTAACAATGTAAAGTAGTAGTTAAGAGTGTGGGCTTTGAAAAGAGGATGCTTATGGTTAAATCTTGACTTCACCACTCAGCACTGTGAGCTCAGGCCAGCTCTTTAACTTCTCTGTGCCTCTACTCCTTTATATGAAAAATGGAAATACAGTATGTTCCTGCATAATGGGATTGTTATGAATATTAAATTATTTAACACATGTAAAGTTCTTGAACACATCTGGCACAAATTAAGCTCTCCATAAATATTAGGTACCATCATAATCATCATCACCATCATCACCACCATCATCGCTACCATCACCACAAAGCTATTGAAGTGGGTCAGAACATGAAACACTTACCTGTCAGCATTTTCAGGGACTCCTGAAACCATTTGGCAACCAAATAACTAAACACACAAGCTTAACGTATAAATTCAGCTGACTGTTAAACTCTTATGTATGAAGATAGTCACAGAGCTATCCAGCAATAAAAAAAAATTTAACATTTTTTATTATTAAATGACATGAAAAGCCTTTATTCTTTCTAAGTTTCTTTGTTAACCCCAACTCGGCTTATGTCTTAAAGGTCTCCATAGACACATTTCACCATGACAAAATACCTGACAATAACCCCAGGCCTCATCGACTTTTGGTGCCCCACAGCTCCTTTGAAAGGCAGAAGACAGAATTTTTTAATATATTTTTAGAAGAAAATCATGGATACCTAGGGACAAGAATATAGCCATTAAAAATTATTAAAATATGCATATTCTTAGCCTTCCTTTTTCTCTCCTGTTAAAGAGCAAATTCTGGTTTTGCCTGTTCAGCTTCTCCTGCTCCTCTGCCCACTAAGCAGAGAAGCAAGGATAGTTCCTGGAATTCATGCTGCAAAACTCTGCCAGTAGTTAAGAGACAGAACTGAAAAATACTGGGGGAAAGAGGATTTGCATTTGAAAAGGTACATTCCTAATTAAAACAAAAAAATGACTGAATGACAACAGAACAGAAAAGGGGGCTGATGTGGGGAGAAGAAAGGAAAATCTAGCAGCTCAGGTGTGCTGGGTGTGTTGGGGACAGAATCCCACTGGGCGATGAGACTTCATAAGGAGAGGATTGGGGTGACAGCAGTCTCTTTAGAATACGAAGATTGGGAACAGTGTTGAATATTTTGCATGTGAATTAACTTCCCTCTCCCTCTTGTTAGAAGAGTACCTAAATTTGGCCTTCTTCCAAATGAATTTTTCTTTCAGACCATTTGTTTTTAATTCAACACCTAGCAAATACCTAGGCCATGTAAGACCTTTCTGGTAGGGTTACACAAAATATCAAACATAAAAGAGTGATGGGGGAGGAGTAACATTTGACTTGTATAAATGTCCAGGAGTACATCTTCAATCAAATTTCGAAGAAGATGGCACTGTGGCTGACTTTTAAATTGTAGAGGGCCACTGTTTTAGAAATAGTTGCTCTGTCATTGCATTGAAGTTTCCAACACTGCACAGCAAGAACATGGACTCACTGGAGAAGGGCTGACATGGTTTCACCCAAAACCTTGGGGAAAAGCAAAGTTTGAGCTTTCATATGAAGCAATGGAAGCAGCAACTTAATTAGCAAATACAGCTACTGTAGCTTCATGGGCTAGAGCCCAGCTGCTCTCTCCCTTCTCTGAAGTGCAATACAAATTAATTTGCCAAAACATCCAAGAGTCATCTTTGTACTAAATGATGCATGATTAAAAACACACACACGCTGGCTATGTCCGCCCTTGCCACATTCATTGCCATGATTTGCTAAACGTTTATGAGATCGCCACTATTTTGGGGTGGCAACAGCTTGGTAAAAGCCAGGAGGACCCTGGAAATTCACTGTGTTGCTGCTCTGGAAGGCAGAGCTTCAGATTTATCTGTTGCTATTTTGAAGCAAAATATTTCAAAGCAATCTAAAAGCTTGGGAGAGCAGACTTCTCTAATGACCGTATCAATCCTCAACTCCACAGTTTGCCATGGTCTCAAGTGATTTAAAAAATAATAATAAAAGTGCAGAGAAGTAGTACCTAAATATCAGCAAATACAAAAACAAAAATCTCATCAGTAGGAAAAGAGAGAGAGAGACTATGTAGAGGATTAGTCACAGTTTATAAAACATTGATGACTTTTGGCTACTGTGCTTTACTCCAAATGGGAGAAATTCATGCATAACCTATTGAGTAGGATGGCTTCAGAGTGAATAATACAGAGCTGAATAACACAGTTTCATTCGACTTTGAGACTCCTTTCATCTTACATAACTACCAGGCAAAGCATTGCGGCTCATGCTCCTTGAATTGATTAAGTTGTTAAAGGAGGCTTGTCCAGGCCCTGTGTATTGCTCAGAAATTCTCAGGAGAAAGATTCACCACATCTCTGCCAGTCCCCAGAGGGATAAAGTCTGAACAGGAACAGACATTGCCCAAACACTTCCTCCTGATATAAACATCTCAGGCTCCTATTTTTGGGAGGACCAAAATACCCTTGTTTCTCTGCCTGCACTCTTGCCTGCTTTCTGAAAGGAAAAGCATTAGTTGGTTTTTGCTCATGAGGCCATGGAAGTCTTCACTGTAATTAAATAGTACAATTTCAAAGTTGGCTCTGCCTCTAGCAAAACAGAAGCTATGTTAGTCAAAGGTCTTTATTTCCTTTATTATAGATCATCAAATTATATTTTTTAAAAAATGCAAAGAAGAAAAACCCTTACAAGGCAGAATAAGAACTATGTTGAAGAAAAGTCAATGAAACAATTTGCTCTTCAAGGGACCAGCAGAGGTAATTTCCACTTTGATCCTTCACATCTGCATCCTGGTTTGTACCTTATTTACATAATTTCTAAAGAAAAATCTGCACATTCAATTTTTGATTAAAACCTGTTTAGTTGGTTGAGGGCAGAGGCCTTTAATTATCTCCAAGAAGAACATTCTTATTGGATTCCAAAAACGAAGCTGCTCCTAAGCCCAGGGACAAAAAGAGTATGTAATGGTGTATTAATTCATAAGAATGACAAGGAACCCCTTGTAAATTGCTTGAACCTTGAGTCAGTGAGTACATTAAAAGTCACAATGAAAACAACAGAGGCCGAAGTGCATGACTTTACAAAAAGTTGTTCATAAGGTCCTGAAGATTTTCCTTGCCAATTAGACAGCTCCACATTTACAAAATTTTTTATCAATTTAACATGCAGTTTGCAAAAGGCGAAATTGAGACCCACACAAATAAACTTACCCAAGATTATCCAGTTTACCCCAACTTATCTGCTTAGTGGTGGAGCCAGCATTGCCTCCTGACTCCCAGCCATTCATCCAGGCACCATAAGACAGCAGTAGAGAGCTCTCTTAAAAAGCACAGCACACTGAGGCTGTTGGCAAGATGCCAAAACATCAGGAGGATGTGGTCAAGTGTTTTAAAAATGAAATCAATCATCTGCATGTTTAAGTGGCATAATGCCAAATAACCAACTCACTAAATGCTTAAATGTTGAAAGCTTGGCCATCACCTAAGTCTTTACTGCTACTAAGGTAGCTTTAAATGAATTGCAATTTCCTTGTATTAAATGATGTTCCTCTTGACGTTTGGGGAATTCTTCCTTCTTACTAGTTCAAAAGAGTTTGTGCCTTCAAAAAGTGAAACATCACTTCCTTTTTCATGATCACTAACCAGATTAAATTAATTACAAACATCTTACTGGTTGAAACTAGAAAAACACAACTGCATATTTGAGGATTTCTTGAGGAAAGAGAAAACTACTGACTTCAGTGCCATATTCTACATCAGTGATTGTCACTAAGTGACTCTATTATTCTGTATACATATACATAGTAAAAAGCATGTCTTGTATGTATGGCTGCAATCAAGATGTATGAGACAGAGGAAGTTGGTGATCAGAGGACTGATGAGAAAAAGAAACCCTCAGAGGCTTCCTGAGGGGGCTGAGGGAACTATAAAGGGGATCAGAATGGACCCTGGAAAGTAAAGGAAAGGCATCTGGGGAAAATGAGAAAGATGATGGTGATAATAAGCAAAGGGAAGGAAGCTCTCCTCTACCTACAACCCACACCTGCAGTGGTGAATACCTACTACCATCAGCAAATTAACCCTGGAGATTTGGAGAATCAAACCCAAGTATCAGGAAGACATGCCTTTGGTTGAGGGAAGTAGAATAGAAAAGCTCCCCTTTTATTCACCCTGGATACAGACTGGATAAATCCAGCAGAACTTCTAGAATTTGAGAGAATACCTGAAGAAAAGCCTAGCCAGCGTAATTACTATTGCTTTATGTTCATTAAACTTAAGTCTGTGTTAAAAGTGCTTTTCAGATATTCCCAGGAGGGCTGGCAAAGAAGAGTGGGAAATGCTGAGACATCAATATTTATGAAGCTAATTATCTAGGGGAATCTGTGGAGCAATCCACTCACCCTGGTATGACACACATCTCTCTCTACATGGCTAGGGCATTCTGCTCTTAGACAATTCAGTTATTCATTGTCAGCCAAGGTTTACTGAGAACCTGCTATGTTCCAGGATTTGCAAGGTGCTGAGGTTAAAATGTTGAAATACTATCAAGTTAAAATGTGATTATAATCACCTTCCAACTGTTTCAATAATCCTTAAGACCAGAGACAGATAAATTCCAGGATCAGGAATAACTTCCAATTTCTGGCCCTTATTTGCTTACATAATGAATTTTTAGACTTTAACCATTTCAGTAAACTGAATAAGAAATCAATTGAAAAATCAATAAGAAAAAAAAAACACTGAAGTGCAGTCTTCTTGAGTTGAAAATTTTTTGCACCTTTGAGATTCTTAAATCTGTTATCTGTGTGAGGACAAATCATTTTTTTTTTTTTGAAGACACTTCATTCTCCCTGTTGAAAATAGGGGAAGGAATTATACTGCTCTACTTTTTCTCAGACTATTTACTTTAGAAAACTTATATAAATACTTTCTCCTCTCTTTGAAATGTATATAAATTCTTTTGAAAATTAAATAGCTTGATAGCCCAGGAAAATCAACCTCAAAAACCTGGAAGCCATCTCTTTGAAATGTAAACATCAAGGGAAATCAGCACCCCTATGTCTCAGTTTCTATGGGAGGGTAGCACCCTAACTTAGGTGAGAACCATGCCCCAAATTGCAAAATTCCCTCCTTCTTATAAAAGTATCAGAATTTTCTTCTGAATAAAATAAATATGTTAGCATTGATAGTAATGCCCATTACCAGGTAAAGTTAGGATGAATTATGTGACAAATGATGCTGTCAAGTCCTCTTATTTTAGGACTAGGTGTTGTTTTTTGTTTTGTTTTGTTTTGTTTTGTTTGTTTTTGAGATGGAGTTTCACTCTTGTTGCCCAGGCTGGAGTGCAGTGGCGCAATCTCGGCTCACTGCAACATCCAACTCCCGGACTCAAGCAATTCTCCTGCCTCATCCTCCCTGAGTAGCTGGGATTACAGGTACCCATCACCATGCCCGGCTAATTTTTTTTTTTTTATTACAGACAGGGTTTCACCATGTTGGCTAGGCTGGTCTTGAACTCCTGACCTCAGGTGATCTGCCTGCCTTGGCCTCCCAAAGTGCTGGGATTACAGGCGTGAGCTACTGCGCCCAGAAAGGACTAGGTATTGTTTTTATTGAGAACATGTGCATAATGGGTTGTGTCAGCTTGGCTATATAAATGGGTGAAATTTCTTTCTGTCTTTGCAATCTCTTACTGAATTGTCTGTGATGCACATTGCATACTGGTTTAATGCTTGTTTAATAAAAACTGTTTTCTGTTTCTACTACCTTTGTGGAGAAATGTCCTGGGTTGAAGAAGATTTTGTTTTTAATTATATTTCCTCAACATCTGCAATTGTTTTTCTCCATTTTCTCCAGTAGAAGATGAACTCAGTAAACCCAAAGGCTGTGTCTGTTTTGTTCACCATTGCACTTCTGTGGTCTGGCTCATTCGCACACTGAAGGTATTCAGTAAATATCTGTTAATGGACAGACCATTAGGAATTCTGAGAGAAGAAGCTTCAGATGATGAAGAAAATTGAAGGTCACTGAAGAAAATTGTGACTTGCCAACAACGCAAGGCTTGTCCACAAAATAAAATCAAGTAAAGCCATGCTGTGAGAAGACCACTGGTTTCTACATTCCTCTCACATCCCTTCCCTTCTCCTTGCCTTCTCAACAAAAAGTAAAATCCCCACAACAGGAGTTACCACCACCTGCTGCGGTGCAAACGTGAACTATTCTCTGGAATTGTTAAGTTGGGTAAAATTCTACTTTTCAAAGAGAAAAGCTAGCTTGTAGTAACATTCTCTCTAAAAAGAATACAGCAAAGTGGGAAATCTGCATAATTACCTCCGTAAATCAGAGAACTAGGTAAAAATACCATAGCCTTTATAAAACAAGAGTAAGAATGGTAACCCCTCACACTGGTGAACAAATTAACAGTGTGCAGTAGATTGTGTAGCCCTCATTTGGTCCTTGGAACAATTCTATGAGGTAAAAAGGGTAAGTATAATTATTCCACAGCAGAGATACAGAAACCAAGGCTCATGGGACTCATGGCTTCCTCAAAGTCTGGCATGTAAGCAGAAAAAAGAAATTGACACTGGGACTCTGTCCTTTAGATTTCTATTCTCTTGCCCTTTCTATTTGCTCTCATTATTTCCTAACCCTTAACAGTAGATTAAGTGATAACCATAAAGTCTTTCCCCAAATAACCCTGCTACCCACAGTGTCAAGCTAGGGACTGACTCAAATCTATCCCGGCTTTCTGAGGCCCCTGTGCTGTGCCATGAGACCTGCTTAGTCTTCATGTGCATCTCATTGACATGAAGCGGCCATGCTTTTGCCACCTGGGATTTCTGCCACTTACCTTGCACTTGGCTGCCCCTGCCCTCCAATTAAGACCCACTGATAGTGGAGGCATCCCAAGCAGTAGCAAACCCTTCTCCTGGTGGCTACTTTTCCTAGTTGGAGGAAAGGTGGTAATTGCGAAATCAGGGACTCTTAAAAGGTACTGAAAGATGAAGCCCAAGAATATGAAGAAAAAAGGAGAGATCATTTTCAGAGGCATGAGGCCAGTCAGAACCAGAGGATATATATTTGTATTTATTCAATAAACATTCACTGAGTACTTTCCGTGTGCCAGGATTGGCTGCGCAATAATGAATAGAATGTGGACCCTGCCTCTGAGACTTCACAATAGAGTGAAAGAGATAGAGAAAAGCAAATGAATCATTAATATAATTCAATTTTATAAGTGTTTCAATAGTAGCATCAACCAACAAGAATAATCATCCAACTAGATACAGGATATTTATCTAAATAGAAATAAAGAGAAAGTTTCACAAAATTTTAGAATCGAATAATAAATTTGTCCAATATAAACACTTCTAAAAGTGAAGTAGGTAAATAAATAAAGTATTTACTTTGGATTTAATAGAGGAGCCTGAAAAGTGCTAGAAGTTAAATTCTTTAAAGCTACCAAGTTCCTACTGCATACCAGGCCCCAGCCTGTACAGTGGATGCAAAAACCGATTAAGACAGAAAAAGCACAAGCACACAGCAAAATGAAGGCAGACATGTAAACTCACCATTATGGAGGCTGTGACAAACTGAACCATATTATGCTACAAAAACAGAGAGGGGATTTTTAAATAAAACAGGGAAGTCAAGAGACCGTCTCAAGATATGTGATCTTTAAACTGAGGTAAAGAGTGGAAAGGCATTTACTAAGTTAAAATGAAGAAAAGAAACCATTTTAGAAAGAAAAAATAGAACGTGAAGAAACCACAGATGCTCAAAAAGCCTGCCAGGTTTGAAAACTAAAAGAAGACTTCATGATTAAAGGGTGGGCATGCATGTGGCTTAGTGCAAGATGCTTCAGAAACAGGCAGCTCAGGAAAGCCTTCTATGCTAAACTGGGCACTTGAACTTGATGCTGAAAGCTATTGAAGGATGTGAAACAAAATAGAACCTGTTTGGAATTGCAACTTAGTCTACTCTAAAGGAGGCTACAGGACTAGGGATAGGGAAGAGTTAAGTAGAGGATGCAGTGGACACTGTTCTTTGCTTTAGGGGCTACTTTTTACCTATTTCATAATGATAAGGCAGCATGGTTCCGGCTGGTAGGTCCTTCCCCAGCCCCAGGGATGGAGAAGTGGCTTCATTCCCAAGGGTCCAGTTAGAATGCTCCTTCCTCACAACCTATCCCTACTATTTAGGCAAGGGCTGGATATACAGGATATGCTTCAAAAATATTATTGAATATTATTAAAAATAGCTTTGTGGATGCTATTCCAGAGAGTCTCTAGAATTCCTGAAATTTAGGGGTTGTAGTTTATGGCATTATAATAAGCGTTACTAAAACAGGAAAGGATAAGAGGCAGGTGTTGTCATTGTGTTCAAATTAACATTTATTAAGCATACTCTGCATGCCAAGTGCAAAATGAGGAGCTGAAGTAGGGCTGGTAGAAATGCAAACATGAATAAAACACAGTTCTTCTAAATATTTCACAGTTCTTTTCCCTAAATATCTCACCTTTCATTATTATTCTATATAAAATTTTCAAAATGCATAAAATAAAATAAAGGAATATGGTTGTCCAGAAAAAAAGTAGGTAACTTGTAGTTGTTGCTCTAAGGAACAGGAAAGGCTCTGAAGAGGATAGTTTTGAGTTGGACCTCGGGTGAATGAGATTGGATGGATGAAGATGAGGACAAAATTGATATACACTCCAGTCCAAAAGGAGGAGATTAAAGCTCATTAACACTAATCTCAGGATGGCAGAAGAGAAGGAATTTTACAAGACATTAAAATTACTTAGGAAAGGAAAGCAAGCAGAGGCGTTGGAGACAATAGCTTAATCATTTGAAGTATTCAAACAATAAGAAACAGCCAATGGTTTAGAAGTGGCTCTGGAAAGCAAGGGGACACAAACATAGAGTAAGGGGCGCAGGGTTTCTCTAAAACTGGGAAAAGGGAATGGAGCTACTGAATGAAGGATGGCTTCTCCATATTGTGATGAATGTCCCTAGGGGCCATAGCAGAGAGAGATGCAGAAGAGATTAAGTGGAGCCTGAGAGCTGCTGGTATACAGGATCCACACTGGCCTCAGACTAGAGAAGGCAAGAGTGAGCAAACTGCCGCTGTAAAGAGAATGAGGTCAGCAGAGAGGTGGGGGATGGAGCAGAAACACCTCAGCCAATGGGGAGAGTTCAGCTTACAGAAATACAATCATCTGTCTTCTTGTTAATGCTCCCTCCATCACTCTGGTTTCTAAGTTCAGAATTCACACTGGAAAGCAATCATATACACAGTGGGGTAGGATTTAGGCTTTTTCTGCTGCTTTTCTTTTGCCCTTATTTTAGCTTTAATGTATTGGAATCAAACAGAAGTTAAGCTTACCATGAGATTCTAATACTTGATGGCACAAGGTCCTTGGCATAGTATCTGCAGGCAGCAATATCTTCTCCAGGCTTCCCTAGCTCCTAAGTCACCCTGTAACTGCATCCACCCTGACCAACCTTATTATTCCCAGATTGAACCATTCCCATCTCCCCTGAAGCTTGTCTCTTGGTATTCCATCCTAAAGCTCCCAGCTTATAGCCCTACCTGCTTGGTATTTTGCAACTCTGACAAGCACCTGCAGAATATAAGAAATGTGAAACCCAGGGAGGGAAACCAACATTATGGTGTCCCTGCTAAGCACACTGATACACATTCTTTTTCTCACAAAAACTCCTTAAGCTAAACATTGCTAGTTCTATTTTTTCTGAATACTGCTAAATGCTATAGCAGGAATTACAGAATAAAAGTAGTGTAGGGTCCTCGAACTGAAGAAGGAAATGGGGAACATAAGATCCAATCTGATCCTGTTTAGGAGAGCGAAATGAAAAAGATGTGAAGAGAGGGGTGAGTCTTGAAGCCTGCACAGTTTGCATCCCTCTTGGGAAGTGGTGTCCAAGGAATGATCTGAAGTTGAAACATTTCAAGTGAAAGTGTGTGAGGGAGAATGAACTGGTTAGTCCAAGCCATAGAGCTTCTAAGAGAGTCCTTCATGATGGTTTTTCTCAGAGGGCGTGAGGACAAGCAATTGCCTTGATAACCAAAGGAAAAGCCAAAGAAACACTGATTTCAGTGTGTAAATGTGTCCATGGCCCAGCCCAACAGAGTGGACCTAAAGGAAGCAATGTATAAAAAGCAGAGAGGCAGAGTAGGAGATAAGGCATCATGGTACTGTTGTTTTCTGGTCATTCATGGCTGAGCACTTTAGATATTCTTACTCTCTTAGAAGACACACCAGATTACTCACTGGATGCTAAAAGCAGTGCACGGAGTGGATGTGCTCCCATTATTGCCATGCTGTTATCATACTGAAGTCAATGTTAGAAGTTAGGTCGTCATAGCTTGATGAAAGGCAATGTCACACTATCACTTCTGTAATTATCAAAGGAGACACTTGAGTGAATTCAGTTTTCTTAAGACATATTTATGAATTCAGTAATACTACATCAACAACCCCACCAAAATATTTCTAAGTCCATATATATTTATTTTTGCTATCGTAATTGATTTGCAAGCATTTTTCTTCTCCAGTTACCTTAGAGGATTCTGTAACATTTTTTAAATCCCTGATAAATTTTCTCATATGAATTTATGCCAAAAACTAGAATTCAGGAATTATTCCCAATAATTGCTGCTGATGACAAGATATTGGTAAAGAGAGAAAGATGAAGTTTTTATCTATTTTCTTCATATAAATGAGCACAGAAACAAAAATGGATCAGTTCAAGCCAAGCAATTATCCAGAGAACCAATCTAATTTATTTTATAATTTTTAATTACACAAGTAATTCAAGCAATATTCTTCTCATAAAAAATTCCAATAATAAAAGCAAAAGTCCCCAGTTACCACAATACTCAATCCTACTTCCCTCTTTGGAGGTACTCACTATTAGTTTAATGGTTATCCTTCCAGAACTTTTTCTCTTTGTTTAACATATACAGGCATAGTCTGAGTGTTGTTTGATGTACATGACATCACACGCTTTCCTAACTTGACATACCCTCAAGATACAGGTAAGTTCAAGCATTCCAATTGACTTCCTCCTTCTTAACTTCTACATATCATTTGTATTAGGGTAACGTTAGCTACTTCAACAAGTAAATCTCAAAATATCAATGGATTAAAACAGGAGAAGCTTATGTCTTATTCACGTACCCGTCCAGTGAGGGTGATGCAGGTCCACAGGTAGTTTTCCTTCATTCAAGAACCCAACTCCTTCTGTATGGTTTTTGGCCACTTTCTAGGGTCTTCCGATTATCTGCATTCAGTCAGCAGAAGAGGATGGAGAAGGTACTTCTACTTTTTAAAAGCTATGGCCTAGAAGTGACACACATTACTTACACTAATCTTATACTAATAATTTCAAGGGAGATTTAGAGATTGCTCATTTAATTATTCTGCCACTGATGGGTTATCTTTAGTCTTTGTCCTTATGAGTAATGCTACAATGAATGTTTTTGTACCTGCCTTTGTAAGAACATGGACAAGTACTTCTCTGGGGTAGAAAATGAGATATATGAATGATGGCTTAAAGAATGTGCACATTTCTTATTTTAATGTGCACTGCCAGATTGTTCTCAAGACTATACCAATGTATACTCCATCAACAATATATCTCATTAATACTAGCTATCAATCATTTATATTTTCACTAATACAATAAAGATGATATTTAATTGCTCTAATTGCATTTCTAAGATTTCATAGTGATGTTGAGCATCTTCTAATATGTGTAATATCTATTTATATGAATGCATCTCACATTGATTAGTCATAACTTTTGCACATCTTCTGTTTGGTTGCAGGTATAACAAAATGTCCAAATAGAACTATGGCAGTACAGTTTTAACTGAGGCCATAGAACATGAGATAAACCTCATCAACATTACAAAATGAGCTATGAGAAGGCAAAACCAGGACTTTCAAAGCAGATGGCTAGGAACCAGTTTGGGGACACTTTGCTAAACACCTACCTCCAATCCATAAACTAATATTGAGGGGCTGAGAAAGACAACAGATACTGGAAAGGAATTCAGGAGAGAGGTAGAAGGAGTATAGAGATAGAAGGGGGTTAGAAGTTGGAGATACATTTCTCTTTATCAAAATCAGAGAAATGGACATTAAAGATGACCCCTCCCAACCTATAACTTGAACTATGTTGTATGGAGCTTGGGAAAAAAGGAGCCTGAAGTCTGAATCACTACTGAGAAATCTAAACAGTATTTACTATGGATAGCCAGCCACTCTTCAGGCAGAAGATAAGTTTAATGGTAAAAAGAATGCATGTGATTTCCCTTGACCAGAAGTTGTCCATGTAAAAGGAAGAGCTGGCTTAAGTTTATCCCAAATCGTATTCTAAAGGCCAGTTGGAGGGGTAAAGTGATCTTAGTAGTGAGAAGCTGGAAGTATATTACTGCTGCCTAGTGGCTAAAGAAAGAATAAGAAGTAATTTCTTCTGAAGAATCCATTTACCATTATCATGGTTGTATTAGTTTTCATGCTGCTGATGAAGACATACCCAAGACTGGGTAATTTAAAAATAAAAAGGGGTTTAATGGCCTCATAGTTCCACATGGCTAGGGAGGCCTCACAATTATGGCAGAAGACAGAAGGCACACCTTACATGGTGGCCGGCAAGAAAGAATGAGACCCAAGCGGAAGGGGAAACCCCTTATAAAACCACCAGATCACATGAGATTTATTCACTATCATGAGAACAGTATGGGGGAAATTGTCCCCAGCATTTAATTGTCTCCCACCAGGTCCCTTCCATAACACATGGGAATAATGGGAGCTACAATTCAAGATGAGATTTTGGAGACACAGCCAAACCATATCAATGGTGAACTGCAGGAGAGGAGACTCCAGTGATGGGGTGAAAGAAGTATCCAAAAACTCTACAAATGAAGAAGAACATAACTGACCTGATGGAGCTGAAAAATACAACATAAGAATTCCACAATGCAATCACAAGTATCAATAGCAGAATAGACCACACAGAGGAAAGAATCTCAGAGCTTGAACACTATCTTTCTGAAATAAGAGAGGCAGACAAGAATAGAGAAAAAAATGAAAATGAATGAATAAAATCTCCGAGTAATATAGAATTATGTAAAAAGACTGAACCTATGACTGATTAGGGTACCTAAAAGAGATGGGGAGAACAGAACTAAGTTGGAAAACATACTTTAGGATATCATTCAGGAGAACTTCCCCAATCTACAAAAACAGGTTAGCATTCAAATTCAGGAAATCCAGAGAACCCCCATAAGATACTCCATGAGAAGTTCAAGACATGAATCATCAGATTCTCCAAGGTCAAAATGAAAGAAAAAATGTTAATGGCAGCAAGAGAGAAAGGCCAAATCACCTACAAAGAAAAGCCTATCAGATTAACAGCAGACCTCTCAGTGGAAACCATACAAGCCAGAAGAGATTGAGGGCCAATATTCAACATTCTTAAAGAAAATAATTTCCAAACCATAATTTTATATCCAGCCAAAGTAAGTTTCATAAGTGAAGGAGAAATAAGATATCCTTTTCAGACAAGTAAATGCTGAGCAAATCCATCACTCTCAGGCAGGCCTTTCAAGAGCTCCTGAAAGAAGCTCTAAATATGGAAAGGAAAAACTGTGACAAAAAGCACACTGAAGTACACAGATCAGTGAAACTATGAAGCAACCACACAAACAAGTCTGCAAAATAACCAGTTAACATCATGATGACAGGATCAAATTCACACATAGCAGTATTAACCTTAAGTGTAAATAGGCTAAATGCAGAAGAATCGCTTGAACCCGGGTGGTGGTCATATGAGCCATGATCACACCACTGCACTCCAGCCTGGGCAACAGAGCGAGATTCCATCTCAAAAAAAAACTAATAAATAAATGTCTAATTAAAACACACAGAATGGCAAGTTGGATAGAGTGGAGACCCACTGGTATGCTGTCTTCAAGAGACCCATCTCAGGTGCAAAGACACATCTGACTCAAAATAAAGGGATGGAGGAAAATTTAACAAGAAGTGGAAAACAGAAAAACGCAGGGGTTGCAATCCTAGTTTATGACAAACAGACTTTAAACCAACAAAGACCAAAAAAAAGACAAAGAAGGGCATTACATAATGGTTAAGGGTTCAATTCAACAAGAACTAACTATCTTAAATATATATGCACGTAATACAGCAGGAGCACCTAGATTCATAAATCAAGTTCTTAGAGACCCACAAAGAGACTTAGTCTCCCACAGAATAATAGTGGGAGATTTTAACACCCTACTAACAATATTGGACAGATCATTGAGACAGAAAATTAATAAAGATATTCAGGACCCGAACTCAGCTCTGTATCAAGTGGACCTGATAAATATCTACAGAACTCTCCTCTCCAAAACAACAGAATATACATTCTTCTCATCATCACATGGCATTTACTGTAAAATTGATGACATAATTGGAAGTAAAACGCTCATCAGCAATTCTTTGAAGCTCATGACAACAAAGAAACAATGTACCAGAATCTCTGGGACACAGCCAAAGCAGTGTTAAGAAGGAAATTTATAGAACTAAATGCCCACATCAAAGAGCCAGAAAGATCTCAAATCAACAACCTAACATCACAACTAAAAGAACCAAAGAACCAAAAGCAAACAAGCCCCAGTGCTACAAAGACAAGAAATGACCAAGATTGGAGTAAAGCTGAAGGAGATTGAGACACAACAAACCCTTCAAAAAATGAACGAATCAAGGGGCTGTTTTTTTCAAGAAAATTAATAAAATAGACCACTAGCAAGACTAATAAAGAAGAAAAGCAAAAGCTGGAACCAAATAGATAAAAGGGGCGTATCACCACTGACCCCACACAAATACAAACAATCATCAGAGAATATTATAAACACCTCTATATACATGAACTACTAAATCTAGAAGAAATAGATAAATTTCTGGACACATACACCCTCCTGAGACTGAACCAGGAGGAAATTGAATCCCTGAATAAGCCAATAACAAGGACAGAAATTGAGGCAGTAATAAAAAGCCTACCAACCAAAAAATAAAATTAAAAAATTAAAAAATTAAAACAGCACGAGATGAATTTACAGCTGAATTCTACCAGAGGTACAAAGAAGAACTGGTACCACTTCTACTGAAACTACTCCCTAACTCCTCCCTAATTCATTTGATGAGGCCAGCATCATCCTAATACCAAAACCTGGCAGAGACACAATAAAAAAAGAAAACTTCAGGCCAATATCCCTGATGAATGGTAATGCAAAAATCCTCAATAAAATACTGGCAAACCGAATCCAGCAGCACATCAAAAAGTTTACCTGTCATGATAAACTTAGCTTCAGCCTGGTATGCAAGGTAGTTCAACATATGCAAATCAATAAACGTAATTCATCACATAAACAGAACTAAAGACAGAAACCATATGATTATCTCAATTGATGCAGAAAAAGGCCTTTGATGAAATTCAATATCCCTTTATGTTTTTATGTTAAAAACTCTCAATAAACTAGGTATTAATGAAACATACCTCAAAACAATAAGCCATATATGACAAACTCACAGCCAATATCATACTGAATTAGCAAAAGCTGGAAGCGTTACCCTTGAAAACCAGCACAAGACAAGGGTGCCCTCTCTCAGCACTCCTATTCAACATAGTATTGGAAGATCTGGCCAGGGCAATCAGGCAAGAGAAACAAAAATAAAGAATATTCAAATAAGAAGAGAGGAAGTCAAATTATCTGTGTTTGCAGATGACATGATCCTATATCTAGAAAACCCCATTGTCTCAGCCCAATAGCTTCTTAAGCTGATTAACAACTTCAGCAAAGTCTCAGGATACAAAATCAATGTGCAAAAACTGCTAGCATTCCTATGCACCAACAACAGGCAAGCAGAAAGCCAAATCATGAATGAACTCTCATTCAAAATTGCTACAAAGAGAATAAAATACCTAGGAATATAGCTAACAAAGGAAGTGAGGGACCTCTTCAAGAAGAACTACAAATCACTGCTCAAAGAAATAAGAGAGGACAGAAATAAATAGAAAAACATTCCATGCTCATGGATAAAAAGAATCAATATCATAAAAATGGCCATACTGACCAAAGTAGTTTATAAATTCCACGCTATTCCCATTAAACTACCTTTGACATTCTCCACAGAATTAGAAGAAAACTATTTTAAAATTCATATTATACCAAAAAAGAGCCCATATAGCCAAGACCATCCTAAGCAAAAAAAAAACAAAAACAAGAAAACAAAAAAAACCCAAATTTGGAAGCATCATGTGACCTGACTTCAAACTATACTACAAGGCTACAGTAACCAAAACAGCATGGCAAAAAAAAACAGACACATAGACCAATGGAACAGAATAGAGAACTCAAAAATAAGACTGCACACCTACAACCATCTGATCTTTAACAACCTTGACAAAAACAAGCAAGGGGGAAAGCATGCCTTATTGGCATGGGCAAAGATTTCATGACAAAATCTCCAAAAGCAATAGTAACAAAAGCAAAAATTGACAAGTGGGGTCTAATTAAACTAAAGAGCTCCTACACGGCAAAAGAAACTATCATCAACGTGAACAGACAACCTACTGAACGGAAGAAAATTCTTACAATCTAATCATCTGATGAAGGTATAATATCCAGTGTCTACAACGAACTTAAACAAATTTACAAGAAAAAACAAACAAACAAACAACCCCATTAAAAAGTGGGCAAAGGACATGAACAGACACTTCTCCAGAGAAAACATTTATGCGGCCAAGAAACATATGAAGAAAAAGCTCAACGTCGCTGATCACTAGAGAAATGGAAATCAAAACTACAATGAGATACCATCTCACACCAGTCAGAATGGAGATTATTAAAAAGTCAAGAAACAGGATGCTGGTGAGGTTTGGGGAAAAATGAACACTTTTACACTATTGGTGGGAGTTCAACCATTTGGAAGATAATGTAGCAATTTCTCAAAGACCTAGAGGCAGAAATACCATTTGAACCAGCAATCCCATTACTGGGTGTATACCCAAAGGAATATAAATTGTTCTATTATAAACATACATGCATGCATATGTTCATTACAGTACTATTCACAATAGCAAGGACATGGAATCAACCCAAATGCTCATCAATGATAGACTGGATAAAGAATATGTGGTATATATACACCATGGAATACTATGCAGCCATAAAAATGAAGGAGATCATGTCTTTTGCAGGGACATGGATGGAGCTGGAGGCCATTATCGTCAGCAAATTAACACATGAACAGAAAACCAAACATCACATGTTCTTTCTCACTTATAAGTGGGAGCTGAATGAGAACACATGGACACATGGTGGTAACAACACACACTATGGCCAGTAGGAGGAGCTGGGAGAGGGAGAGCACCAGGAAAAATAGTTAATGGATGCTGGGCCTAATTCCTGGCTGATGGGTTGATGTGTGCAGCAAACCACCATGGCACACGTTTACCTATGTAACAAACCTGCACATCCTGCAAATATACCCAGGAACTTAAAAGGTGAAAAAAAAAAAAAAAAAAAAAAAAACTCAACAAATGTGCCCCACACAGGGTGGATATCAACAACTGATACCACCAGTCAAATAACGTATCATATATGCCTCTCACTTCTCATCTCCCAACCTTTTCCTAACTTCAACCCTGGAAGAACCACATGCATCCTAGTAAGTAGAAGAAGAAGAGAAAAACACAGGTTGGGAATATTGGAGTTATGGGGAAGGATTGTCTACACATTAATTCCTACGTAGGCCAACTCAGAAGTTCACATCTTCCACGTGATCTGCCCAGGTTAAAAACTTCAAGGACAGCGGCCATGTCAGACCAGAAGAACAAAACAGGAGACTCTTCCAAACTTGAGAAATCAAATTGTATCACTCAATTTATACCAAGCTTTGAGTTTGCTGGGATTTTGGCAAGAGGAATGAGGGATGTGAAAAGAACCAAGATCAGCTGAACCCTCTCAGGAAAAGACAGGACCAGAATGCCGTATTTTCTTCTTAAGGAGGCTCTTTCTGCCTATCTATCTCTAGGTCCTATGAAACAAAGAAAACTAATTTACCCTAAACAACCTAACAGACATGAATTACCAAACAGGTACAGTATAGCTGATTATCTGAATTCGGTAGACACACAGTGTCTGACAATATTAAATATCCTTTCAGCCTGATTTAGTGTGTCTTTAGAGGAATTAATACATTTTAAATGCTTAGAAATGTGTCTGACAAAGGGTACATTCTCAATAAGTATTATGATTATTATGAAAAAATAATCAAGTTCTGTATAAAAATTTAAATTATCTGGTGGTTGATTTTGTTCACTGCTTATATTGACACTGAGGTGTGATGCAATTTCTATTTTGTTAAACAATAATTGCCTTTGTTTCAGTCTCCTAACAGTGTGTGTGAATGTGTATGTGTGTGATTGTGTGTGTGTGTGTGACTGTGTGTGTGTAGTGTAAAATTTCAAATAATTACTGAAATAAAAAAATTAAACCATATTATCACAACAGAACCTATAACTCTGCAAGGTAGGGGCTGTTGTATTACTGTGAAAGCCATGTGAGATGTGGACATTAACATCATAGCTCAAAGCCATCTATTTTTTCCCTAGTAATTGCACATTTAAAATAGCCGTGAAAGAGTGGATATAAACTAAGGCAAGCTGGAAAGAGCTTGACTATCTGCAATGGGAAGCCCGAGCATAATAACCTTAGGCAGTGAGAAGTGATCTGAAACAAGAAAACTACAGCATTGCCGAAATAGACTTGGCTGCAGGTGATTGACAGTCTACAGCTAATCACAAGTTTTCAGCAACTAAACCCAACTCTATTTAGAGTCTCCCTTCCCCAGGAAGGATCTAAACAGAGAAACTTCTAATGGCTGCCTGCTCTTGTAGGGGCAGCTTCCAGCAGATGGGCAGTGCCAGGACAAAAAGCCTAACAGAGATGCATTATGGACTCATTCATGTGGATTTGCTCTTCCACTTTGTTTGCCAGAACTGGTAAGAAAAAACCTCTTGGAAACCTCGTTTATCCTTGCAATTGAGATTAGTTTATCTAAATAAAGGAAAAAATGGCACTGATTTATTTAGTACTACTCATTTTTAGAAAAGTTACATAATAATCAGCATAGTCACCTCTTCTTGGCAGTTTGGAAAAATTTCTAAGATGCCAGAAACTCAAGTTCACAGAAACAGAACTTCCTAGAAACCTCACATTCAGGAAACTAAATATCTCCCACTGCGGTCTAGGAGGTGAGTAATGTGGGACTAGAGAAGGGTCTAAGGTGCCAGCCACTGCTAGACTTAACTCTGGCAGGCCTCACTGGGCCTCACCAGTAGCACATAGTAGATGTTTCCTCGATGTTTGTCCCATTCCTTAATAGTAAAATTTGTCCCATAAAGATTATAATTTCTTAATTTTAAAATAATTTCAACTTTTATTTTAGATATAGGGAGTACAAGTGCAGGTTTTTGTTACGTGGGTATATTGTGTGACACTGAGTTTTGGGTACGAGTGATCCCATCACCCAAGTAGTAAGCGTAGTACCCAATAGGCAATTTTTCAGTTTTGCCTCCCTCCCTCTCACCCCCGTATAGTAGTTCTCACTGTCTATTATTCTCATCTTTATGTCCATATGTACTCAGTGTTTATCTCCCACTTATAAGAACGAATATGCAGTATTTGGTTTTCTGTTTCTGTTAATTTTGTTAAGATGATGGCCTCCAGCTGAACCCACATTGCTGCAAAAGACATGATTTCCTCCTTTTTATGGCTGCATAGTATTCCTGGTATATATGTACCACATTTTCTTTAACCAGTCCTTTGTGGAGCAGCACTTAGGTTGATTCCATGTCTTTGTCCTTGTGAATAGTGCTACAATCAACAGACTTGTGTGTCATTTTTGTAGAATGATTTATTTTCCTTTGGGTTTATACCCTGTAATTGGATTGCTGCTGGGTTGAATGGCAGTTCTGTTTAATGCCTTCCACAGTGGCTGAACTAATTTACATTACCGCCAACAATGCGTAAGCATTCACTTTTCTCTGCAGCCTCATGAGCATCTGTTTTGGGGGGCTTTTGCTGTTGTTGTTGTTCTTTTTACTTTTTAATAATAGCCGTTCTGACTGATGTGAGATTGTATCTCACTGTGGTTTTGATTTGCCTTTCTCTGATAATTAGTGATATTGTGCATTTTTTTCATATGTTTGTCAGCTGCTTGTATGTCTTCTTTTGAGAAGTGTCTGTTCATGATGAAATATTTTATAGTCATTGGCATAAACTTGCCATCAGAGAATGAATAGGTAGGTGGTGGATAATTAATATGTAGGTGGAGAAACTGAATATTCCCTCTCAGTGAGAACACACAGACCATCAGAAGAGACGCTGTGTCTCCCAATCTACAAATGCAAAGTGTACAGAAAAGGTCTCTTCCACCATCTTCTTCATGGCCTAGACAAAAATTATGCCCTGTCAGAGACCCAGAAGGAGTAAGGTGGAGGGATAGAAGGTGAGGACAAAGAAGAAAATGGGCCTAGCAACCTTTGCATATGAACTGGAGGTGATCAGAAAGAGAAGCCAGATGAAAGTTTGTTGGTCAGTTCACGTACTGGGTTGGATAATATATTCCATAGGAATTAATATCCACTCAGAATCTATGAGAAACTATTCAGAAATATGGTCTTTGCAGATGTAAACACATTAAGATGAGGTCATACTGGATAAGGGGGTCCTGAAATCCAATTTGGCTGATATCCTTATAAGAAGAGGGAAATTTGGGCACAGAGACACAGAGAGGAGAATGCTGTGTGGAGACAGATGCAGAGATTGGAGTAATTGTCCTTTCCACAAGCTGTATTTTGTGTTATCAAGTACCAAGAAGTTAACATGGCAGTGTTATCACAACATGTATCACATAATATCAGTACATTTTTTGACTCTTCAGCAAACATTTCATTTTAATTTCCAACTTTCATTTTAAGTTCAGGGGTACATGTGCAGAATGTGCAGGTTTATTACATAGGTAAACGTGTGCCAGGGTAATTTGCTGCACAAATCATCCCATCACCTAGGTATTAAGCCCAACATCCATTAGCTATTCTTCCTGATACTTTCCTTCCTCCCATCCCCACCCTCTGACAGATCCCAGTGTGTGTTGTTCCCCCCGATGTGTCCATGTGTTCTTATCATTCAGCTCCCACTTATAAGTGAGAACACATGGTGTTTGGTTTTCTGCTCCTGCAAACATTTTTTGAAAGAAAGAAGGAGGAAGCAAGAGAGAGAGAGAGAAGGGAAGGGGGGAAAGAAGAAGAGGGGGAAGAGGAAGAAAGGGAACAGACTGCCTTTGAAATCATCTAGTGTTATGCTCCCATTTTGCAAATGAGGCAACTGAGGCTCAAAGAAGTAAATTGACCAGAGGGAGCAAAGAAGTCACTGTTACTCCAGGTTGCTGTTGTGCAACTCCAAAACATGTAGAATAGAGTGGCGGTTTCTTAAAAGGAAGCTAGAAACAGATGGAAGGACAAAAAGTATAGTAAATAATATATTTACTGTATGATATTCTACATTATTCTATGTAAGATATTAGAGAAAGGTATATTAAAATATAAAGAAATTGGTGTCTCTGAACCACACTGCTATGGACTGAATGTTTGTGTTCTCTCAAAATTCATATGTTGAAGCTCTAATCTCCAGCATAATGGCTTTTGGAAATGGGGCCTTTGAGAGGTAACTAGGGTAAGGTGAGATCTTGAGGGCAAGACTCTGGTCTGACAGAATTAGTGCCTTTATAAGAGACACCAGAAAGCTGTTGCTCTCACTCCCTCTCTCCCTGTCTCTCATCCCCCTTTCCACCCTCATCCCACCATGTGACAACAGAGGGACAAAGTGGCTGTCTACAACCCAGAAAGACAGTCCTCATCACCAGGGTCCAACCACGCTAACACCCTGATCCTGAACTTCCAGACTCCAAAACAGTGAGAAATAAATATCTATTGTTTAACCTACCCAGTCTATGGTATTTTGTTATAGCTACCTGAGCTGAATAAGACACACACATGTGTGGAATAAATCCTAGACAAATACACCAGTCTCCTTTCTTCATTTCCCATCTGGAGTATCCTTTCTTTCTCATATTAACCCCCTCCCTACCACATGCACACACATACACATACACACACACACACACACACACTCCTGTTACAATTATACACAACTATAACTCTCCCACGGCTGTGAGCCCCACAAAGGTGAGGATCTGGATCCCATTAATCTTTTAACCCTTGTCCTGTCTAGCATCATATCTGACTCCAAGCAGCCTCTCATTAAATATCTGTTGAATTAAATAGAATTGACTGCTGAGCACTTATCAGTCCCTAGATGGGCTCTTTCCAGCCAGAAAAGAGATTGGCAGGTCCCAAAAGGGTTAGTATGTAGTTTCTCCTCCACTAAGATTTAAGAAACTGCGTGCAGATTCCACCAGCCTTCTGAGCACCCAGAAATCGATGACAACAAATGGTATTGTCAAAGGGCCAGGTCATGGGGGAGTGCACACATTGGAAGCGCCAATGGATGGTCCACTGATGATGCAGTCCCCACAGAAGCATATCAAAGCTGCCTCCACCTGGCCTCCCACATGGAGCCAGGTCAGACTCTCAGGCAAAGGGCAGCTTGCTGATTTCTGTCCTCAATGCCTTGAGTGATGTCTGTGTCTGTCAATAGAGGAGGAAGGATGAATTATCTCAGAGCTGGGCTGCAATGCATAGAGAGGAACAAATAGCCACTTGTACTCCTGCAAGATAAGGGAGGAAGAGAAATGGCAAAGGAAGAATGAAAGACTGGCAGTCCAGGGGCACACAAATGAGCTGTGCTCCAACTGTGCAGAGCAGGAGGATGGAGAACTACTCACTGCATGTGGAATTCATCATCATTTTAATTCCCAGAGGCAGGTAGAACTATCCTGAATTAAAATGTGAGGTGGGCCTAACATCACTAACCTTGCAGTATACATATACATTAGCACACTGGGTAAGAATTAACCCTGGATGCAATTAAAAACTCAGAAATGCTCTAATCAGTGCTTATAATGAGGAGCTGTGACACATGATAAAACTGTTTCCGTCAGCACCCCACTGCTTTGTCTACTCACCCCTGTCTCTGCCTCCAAGCTCTCCCCCCACCAACCCTCTAATCTACCCTCCTTCGAGGGCCACTATCCATCTACCGGAGCAGTCAACTCAGTCAATATAGCAAAATAGATCAAAGTCTTGAGGAAGATGCTGGGAACCCTGGGGTGGAAAATTGAATGGAAAAGGAGAGAAAAAGAAGAGCAACAAGAAAGGTTAATTTAAGTTCAGATATAGCCACTTTGACATTCTCATTCCTGCATTATCTTTTGCCTGGCAGCTGCAGCTGTTCATCCACTTTCATCACTGGCATAAACAGTCCATATCTGCAATTACAAGTGCCCAGGGAGCAAGCATTAGTATGCCGCATACAGTCTGGGGAAAGGTGTAATGCTGGGCTTCTTCCTGCCTTAGAAGTTCCTAGCAGACATGCCCAGGAACAAAGAGAAAAGAAACACAGACAAGCCGAGCCTCTGTTGGATGTCAGAACCCATGTCTGAAGAATGGGGTTAGATGGTTGTGTCAGAATCAACAGAGAAGTGAACAGTAGAGACAAGATGCCACTAGAGAATGAGACTGATGTTTTTAATCCATCTTAAAGAATTAACTACCCACTAAGATCTTTGGGCTAATTTTAGGGGTAAGTAAAACAATAATAATAGGAAAAGGCAGCTCAACCCAAAGCCAGGCACATAGGGACGCACAATAAAGGAAAATTGAAAAGAAAAACTATTGAATATTCTCTCCTCTAGCCTCTCATATTATCTGTCAGTTGATATTTTGTCATCATTCTCTAGCCTAGTCAAAAGAGCATGTCATTACACCCAGAATAGAACAATTCAATGTATCCTACCCAGTTTTAGATCAGTCTTAATAACACCAAGCCCTCTAAACATCTCAGCTTCATCCATCAACTTAGCCCTGTAGGACTAAGAAAAACTTCATTTTTAAGATCACACAATTAAAAAATTATATTGAAGAAAATGAATAAATATATCAGAAACTAAATGTTCAGTAATAGGGAGTTGGTTAAATAAATCATAAAATATACATTTACTAGAATACTATGCAACCAGGAATTTAGCTTTGGATTTTCTGAGCTAGTAACTTATACACATGAAACCCAGCCTCATATGGAAGCTGCTGTAGCACAGGAGTGTCTAAAGCTTACAAAACAAGGCAGATGCAGTGGCTCATGCCTGTAATCCCAGCACTTTGGGAGGCCGAGGCAGGCAGATCATCTGAGGTTAGGAGTTCGAGACCAGCCTGGACAACACGGTGAAACCCCATCTCTACTAAAAATACAAAAATTAGCTGGGTGTGGTGCTGCATGCCTGTAGTCCCAGCTACTCAGGGAGGCTGAGGCAGGAGACTCGCTTGAACGCAGGAGGCAAAAGTTGTAGGGAGCCAAGATCGTGCCACTGCACTCCACCTGGGCAACAGAGTCAGACTGTCTCAAAAAATAAATAAATAAATAAAATAAAATAAAGCTTATAAAACAAGCTTTTGTTTGATAGCAGGTAGAAGCATTTCAGGGCAGGATCGGAAGAATCAGTCCTTGGATCTATGTTGTAAGTGTGTGTGCCTGCACGAACACCAGTATTGATTGGTCACTTAAAACAATTGACCCTAATTCCTCACTGAGAATGAGTCCTGATTCTGATAAACTTTGGGAGATTCAGCAGAAGGTACTAGTTTACTTTTGCAATATCTATTTTCCTTCTTTCCTTACTAACTAAAATCTAGTCTGCTCTAGTGCAGCAATTTTTCCTGCTTAAAAAAATTAATAATAAAAAATCTTTTTTCCCACTTACCTGGCATATAAGATGGCTCTGACCAACAAGGTTTACATGGAAGGCACTGAAAAGGACTTCCAGGAAAGCTGTGTAAAAAAGGAGCAATCAGTCAGCATATCCCTTTTGCCCAAATGTGATGCGGAAGTGGAGTGGCCATCTTGTGTCCATGAGGCAGCAAGCATAGGTCAAAATCCACACGCTAAGGGTGAGTGCACAGGAAGACATAGCAGCTGGCTCCCAGTTGGCACTGTGAGCCACAGTATCTGCCCTCCACCATCTGTCTCCAGATTTCTTATCACATTAAAAAAAAAAAAGGAATAAGAAAAAAATGTTCTTTTGGTTTTCTGTGACTTCATCCAATTTATTTCCAACTTATATAGGAAGGTATCCATTAAAAACTGGGAGGAGTAAAATCCTCTCCTTTTCCTTCAACCCCACCCCACCAAAAAAAAAAAAAAAAAAATAGAAGCCCAATGAAAGTTTGTTGGTCAGTTTTCATGCTGGATTGGATAATGTTCCACAGGAATTCACATCCATTCAGACTCTATGAGACCTTGTTTACAGATGTAAACATGTTAAGATGAGGTCATACTCAATAAGGGGGGTCCCTAAATCCAATTTGACTGATAAACTTCTAAGAAGAGGCAAATTTAGACACAGAGAGGAGAATGCTGTGTGGAGACAGATGCAGAGATTGGAGTAATTGGAAATCTACAAGCCAACAATTGCCAAGTATTACAGGCAACCACCAGAAACTAGGAGAGGGGCATGGAACAGAATCTCCTGCAGGGCTTCCCACAGGAACCAACCCCACTGACAACTTGATTTCAGACTTCTGGCCTCCAGAACTGTGAGAGAGTAGATTTCTGCTCTTTTAAACCACACAGTTGTGGTGCTTTGTTATAGCAGCCACAGGAAACCAACACAATTGGTTTGTCTCCTATTGATTTGCAAAGATGTATTTTTACACTCCATGTAGGAAGAATGGGAAACTGTCTGATGAACACTAAGAAAATTTAGTTTCCATTTCTAGCTTTAGAGATATGTCAGAATTCAAGCCTTCCTGAAAAATGTTCACTACTTGTGGGCTTCCCTCTTAAGGAGGTGACCAAGAAAGGAAAAGAATCTCATGTTGTGAGGCAGGAGCTCTGCCTGTCACCAGAAGATGGCTTTGTGCTATAAAAGTGATGGCACTGGGCCAGCTGAGGCTGGTAAGATGGTAAGATGATACAGCTCAGGATGTTTGGTGAGCCAAAGTCAATCAAACACAAGAACAACAAAATATAAATAATATAAATGACCAAACTATGGCACCTTGTTTATTGGATACCCTCCATCTGGAAAATTGTATATCTGAATATAGATTTTATGATACACTAGTACTTAAATGATCCACAATCAAGAATTTGGTTAATAAATACAGAAACTCCATTCAATAGACTATTATGATAATTTACACTGAAAATTGTTAGAAGGAAGTTATATCAATGTGAAAAATCAAGTTGGCTACAAAATACTATTTACAGTACATTACCATTTGTTGGAAAGAAAAACATTAGCTGATAGATAAGAAATAAAGAAAATGAAAAATGAAGAAATTGATAAAAGTACCAATAAATCTCCTTATTTCAAAGCAGAGCTTAAAATTAAAATAATTTAACTAGAACTGTGAGATTTTGCTGATACCTCCAGATTCAACACGAGCATGCAATAAACCAATATCCTCAGAACAATAACCAGAGATCAAAATCTCTAAAGAACTCTGGTAAGAGGACAAAAAAAAATCTTTAGCATATATTTCAATTATATGATCTATAAAAAAAAATGTTTGTTTTCAGATGTACTTAGTTAATAAGTCCCCTAATTCAAGAAGCAGCAGTTCTCCCTGGTCGAACAGTTGATTGAACTAGAATAGGAGGAATTATTCTCATCTTTATTTTGAGGACTGAAGCCCTTCTTCAGGCCCATGAATCTGATTCTTAAGAAACATGCACTTCCATCTGCCTGAAGCCAAGGCCAAATTCTAGGTTGCTATGCTCAGGAGCAAACCAAAATGTGAAAGTCTGCCTGTGGCTGGATGGCAATTTCTGAAGGTAGGTGGTGGGCTTCTTGAACTGATAGAACTAAAGAGATAGCCACAGGGACCCAGGAGGACTCAAACAAGGTAAGCATCCTCCAAATGGTCTGACAGTGCAGAGTTCAAATGTGTGAGCAGTGAGAAGTCTGCTTTAGCTGGGAAGCCAACAGGCAGAAAGTATTCTATTAAAGGGATGTCAAAGGAGGAAAGCAGGTCAGCAATGGAGAGGGGAAAGGTATGAAAAACTAGGTTGAGTAAGATTTTTTTCTGCAGATAGAAGTTGTAGGGGAAGTCAGCTGAAATAACCAGACTTGCCTGAACCACTTAACCCTGCAGAAATCCTCCAGCCCTGGACCAACTGATTCAGCCTCTTCCTCCACCAGATATGCATCAGGCCTTCCTCACTCTTCTGTGTTTGTTTGCTTGTTTGTTGAGTTACTGAAATATCTGCCCTGACCTTCACATCACCACAGAGTGTTTGTCTGCTCTCCTTGCTTGATTACATTCTGTTCATCACCTTTATTGGTGTGAGTCTGAGACCCAAGGAGTCACGGAAGAGCCAGGAACGACATGAGCTCTCCTACCATTGCAAACTATATCCAGAAGAAGAGCTCCTTTTTTGAAATATGGAGGCATTGCTAGTGGCAGTTAAATTGAAGTTTGTATATGAAGGTAAGTCTACAGATGTTTGGTTTCTTATAGAGTAATCATAAGGCTGAAAGATAAAAGTAGGTTTGAGAAAATATAACCCAATTCAGGCAAAAATATTGAGGCAATAAATGCTTTTGCTCTCCCAGATTTAACATATTCATTCACCAATATAAGCTCACTTAATGAATACCTAGAAGCCATCTCATATAACACAAAATATTAATAATGATCTTATGTATCACCAAAAACTGAAAACTGAGAGGATCACAAAAGTAGAATATAAAAGAGGAGTAATTAACATCAATAGTTTGTACTACTTCCAGATGGTCAAATTAAAGGGCCTCTTTTACAAGTCAAACTATAAACTATGTAAATTGGTCAGTAAAACACATTGCTAAAGATTGAGATAAGAGACCGTATCCAGTGTAAAACTTCAAATAATTCAGAAGCAAGTCCTTAGCTGACAGAGAACAATGACACACCTGACTTTCTCAGGCCTCAGCAACCTATGGATATAAAGAGAATAACATAAAAAAAAATTACAAACCCTCTAATTCCACTGCTTTATACTCCACATGCACAAATTGGCATCCACAGGCCTCTGGGATCTGTTATTTCTGCCTTAGGCTCTTATAAAAGCACATACGTTTTTTGTTTCCTCTAGCTCCTCTTTATTGTTGATGATTGACAGAAAAAGCCACCCGAGAGCAGTGCCTGGCAAGTGACAAAGGGAATGACATCAAAGAGGGAATACTGAGGTTCAGGCACAGGGTGCCCTGAATTCCACTCTGTGCCATTCGGTCACCCCGCACCAAAAGTGCCACGCTGGATTCTGCAGGGGTGGGGAAATCTTTCCCCACCTCTAACTTGTATGACATTGTCACCCAGACCACAAAGCAGTATATCTTATACACCTGAACTTTTCTCATGGAAAGGACTCCTTTTCTCTCTGCCTGTACACCTACTTTTAGACTCAGAAGTAAGTCCGTGAGCTGGGAAAGCAGAGCAGTACATGTAACGAGCATCATGCTGTCTTCCCCATCCCCATCTGTCCTGCAAGGGCCCATGGAAACCTCTGAACAGGCCATGTCCCCCTTGCACAGGCAAGCAGGTAACAGAGTGGGCTGTGCATCCCCTACCAGCCCATCAGACGTGCTTCTTGCATCCTGAATTCCAGCAGTGCTCATGGTTCACTCAATCATTCAGTCAGTCAGCAAATACTCACTGGAAATCTACCCTATTCCGCATAGTAGAGATGCAATGATAAACAAAAGCAAATCTGGCCCCTACTCTCATAGAGCTTACAGTCCAGTGGGAGAAGCACATATTATTCAAAGAATGATACAAATTGAGGTAAGCGTACCATGGCAGTAAGAGCAATAGATGCTGCTAGGAAAAAGTGCATAGAGAGGGAATCCTTCTGCTCATGGAGTGAGGAACGTGCCTGAGAAAGTCATTAGAGAGTGAACTAGGTGAGGTCAGTGGGAGGGGCACCCTACTGAGAGTACATGAGGCAGTGAAGAAATTTAGGTTCAAAATGATACTTTCTGCTTACATGTTGATTTACCTAACATTATCAAGTTCCTATAAAGCACAGTGATAAATACTGGGTAGCATTGTGTAACTTCAAAAAATACGTATATAATCTTTGATTCCAAAGAGTTTAAGGTCTAATAGAGAAGACAGGGAAATGGACTTTTATGGGAATGTGATAACTACCATGAGAAAGTTATGCATAAGGGACTAAGGGAGTCTCAGCCTAGAGGATCAGGCAAGACTTCCTAGCTAGAGGCCAGTGAGGGGAAGGCTGGGAGGATGGGATTTCCAGGAAGAGCAAAGGGCCTGGACAAAGGCACAGAGACATGAAACAGCATGACCTGCTCAGGGATCCACAGGAAGTTGAGTTTGGCTTATGAGCAGGATGTGAGCAGATGGAGGTCAAGAATGTGACAGGAGATGAGGCTAGACAGGCAGAAAAACTAGAGATTCTAAGAGGAGATGCCTTGTTTGTAAAGCTGAGGACTGGAACCTTATCCAAAAAGGAACAGGGAGATAATCAAAGATTAAAAAGAGAGATAGAGAATGATTTCCTTTTTTATTTTGCTTTCTCTCTCACTGCCTCTAACAGTGAAATGTACTAAGATTTCAAAAGAAATCCAAAAACTCATAGTGACTGATCCCAACTCTGTTTTATCATTTTTGCAGGTGTATTTCCCCTGTTGGATGTTATCACATAAAATCCCCAGGTGCTTTTCAAAGTATGTTACATTTCCTCCAGTTTAGTAAACCAGCGAGTTTATTTGCTTTCATTACACTGCCTTTTGTTTTAGTGGGCAGTAAGCCATTCTGGCACTGAGTGAAAATTAATGTTTTTAGCAATAGTGTGGTCACATGTGTGATAAAGATGCTAGAGAAGAGGGGTTTTTTTTTAGTATCATGACATTTACTGAACATAAAAAATGAAACAGCTGTTGAAAAATGATAGTGCTTACTCTTGAATAAGCTGAGCATCTTAGGTCATTATATATATATTTTTTAAGATTATCTCTGACACATACAATAGATTTATTAACATATATTTATGTTGTAAAGTGTAATAATAAATTCCCATGAACCTACTATCCAATGAACACATCATGAATAAGATACATCTACCTATGTATTCATTCCTTTCCTATCTCATGTCACCACCTCCACATAAACAGGAGAGTAGCACCATTCTGAGTTTTGTGTTAATCTTTACTTTTTAAAAATGGCTTTGGTAAAAGGGTATGCTGCCTAAATATACTGCTTAATTTTTGTGCATTAAACATTATCCTAATGGTGTCATATTACTTATGGTCTTTTGGGACCTTTTTTTTTTTTATAACTCTGCATTAGATTTCTGAAATTCATATATTCCTGAGTGTTGCTATGGATCATTAGTTTTCACTGCTGTATAATATTCCATTGTGTAAATGTAACAAATTTTAAGCTCTTTGCTGTGAGCCTGTCTCCTAGATACATGTTCAAGAATTTCTCTGGGGGTATATATTGGGTACGGAATCGCTGAGTTATGGTGTGTCTCCATGTTCAGACTTCCAAGATGATGCCAAATTGTTTTCCTAAGTCCTCTTTAATTTACACTTCAAAGATTACTATTGAATAATTCCTATTGATCCATACTCTCTCCAAAACTTTGTGAACTAAAACAATGACAACAAGAATGAAAATGGAAGACAAAAACAGATTCAGGCTATACTTTGGAGCTAAAACATTGAAAGACATGGTAGGTAAGGAGAAGTCAGAGGTGACTGAATATTTACTTCTTAATATTGACCAATATTATAATATTTCAATTTGATTATAATTGCTGATTTTATTCTCCTGATTGCTGCAGAGATTAAACATGTTTTTATGTTTATTGGCCATACACTTACGTGTTACTTGCCTGTTTTTCTATTTTGTTTTTGTGTGTGTTTTTCTGTAGAAAGGTAGGAATTGTTTATACATTCTGGATATTAAACCTCTGTTGACTACATACATGACAAATAAGTTCTATTTTGTTGTTTGTCTTTTCACTTTCTTTACAATGTTTTTTGATAAACAGAAGTTATTAATTTTAATATAGTTGACTTAGTCAAGCATTTCTTTTATGGTTAGAAGTTGTTGTATTTTGCTTTTTTTTCTAACTTTTATCTTAGATTCAGGGGTACATGTGCAGGTTTGTTCTATAATTGTGTGTCACAGGGATTTAGTGAACAGATTATTTTGTCATCCAGGTAATAATCATAGTATCCAATAGGTAGTTTTTCAGTTCTCCCTCTCCTTCTACCCTTCACCCTCAAGTAGGCTGTGGTGTCTGTTGTTCCCATCCTTATGCCCATGTGTTCTCAATGTTTAGCTTCCCCTTATAAGTGAGAACATGTAGTATTTGGTTTTCTGTTCCTGTGTTACTTCACTTTGGGTAACGGCCTCCAGCTTCATCCAAGTTGTTGCAAAGGACATAATTTCATTCATTTTGTGGCTGTGTAGTATTCCGTGGTGCATATGTACCACATTTGCTTCATCTAGTCTACCATTGATGGGCATTTAGGTTGATTGCATGTCATTACTATTGTGAATAGTACTGCAACGAACATACGCATACGTGAGTCTTTATGATAGAATAGTTTATATTTCTTTTGGCATATACCCAGTAATGGGATTGCTGGGTTAAATGGTAACTCTGTTTTAAGTTTTTTGAGGAACTGCCACATGGCTTTCTACAATAGCTGAACTATTTATATTCCCACCACCAGTCTATAAGTGTCCTTTTGCTCTGCAAACTCTCCAGCATCTGTTATTTTTTGACTTTCATTAATAGCTATTCTGACTGGTGTGAGATGGTATCTCATTGTGGTTTTGATTTGCATTTCTCTAATAATTACTGATGTTGAGCATTTTTTCATATGCTTATTGGTCATGTGTATGTCTTTTGCAAAGTGTCTGTTCATGTCCTTTGCCCATTTTTTAATGGGGTTGTATATTAGGCTGTTCTCACATTGCAAAGAAATACCTAAGACTGGGTAATTTATAAAGAAAAGAGGTTTAATTGGCTCATAGTTCTGCAGGAGGTATAGCAAGCATGATGCTGGCATCCACTTGGCTTCTAGAGAGGACTCAAAAAACTTACAATCAGCACAAAGGAGATGATGTTAAACCATTCATGAGAAACCGCCCCCATGACGCAATCACCTCCCACCAGGCCCCACCTCCAGCATTGGGGATGACACTTCAACATGAGATTTGGATGGGGACACAGATCCAAACCATAGCAGGTTGCTTGGTTTTTTATTGTTAATTTATTTATAGATTCTGGATATACCTTTGTCACACGCATAGTTTGCAAATATGTTCTCACATTCTGTGGGTTGTCTGTTAACTCTGTTAATAGTTTCTCTTGCAATACAAGAGCTCTTTAGTTTAATTCGTCAAATTTTGCTTTTGTTGCAATTGCTTTTGGCATCTTTGTCATGAAATTTTTGCCAAGGCCAATGTCCAGAATGGTATTGTCTATGTTATCTTCCAAGGTGTTTATAGTTTTAAGTTTTACATTTATGTCTTTATTCATCTTGAGTTGATTTTTTTATGTCATGTAAGGGTCCAATTTCAATCTTCTGCAGCACCATTTATTGAATAGGGAATCCTCTCCCCATTTCTTACTTTCGTCAACTTTTTCAAAGATAAGATGGTCTTTGGTGTGTGGCATTATTTCTGGTTCTCTATTTTGTTCCATGGCCTATGTGTCTGTTTTTGTACCAGTGCCATGCTGTTTTGGTTACTATTGCCCCGTAGCACAGTTTGAAGTTGGAAAATATGATGTCTCCAGCTTTGTTCTTTATGCTTAGGATTGCTTTGGCTATTTGGGCTCTTTTTTAAGTTCTATATGAATTTTAAAATAGTTTTTCCTAAGTCTGTGAAGAATGTCATTAGTAGTTTGATAGGAATAACATTATATCTGTAAATTGCTTTGGGCAGCATGGCCATTTTAACAATATTGATTTTTCCTATCCGTAAGCATGGAATGTTTTTCCATTTGTTTGTGTCATCTCTGATTTTTTTGAGCAGTGTTTTGTAATTCTCATTATAGAGATATTTTACCTTCCTGTTTAGCATTATTGCTAGGTGTTTTATTCTTTTTGTGTCTATTGTGAATGAGACTGCAACCTTGATTTGGCTCTTAGTTTGGATGCTATTGATATATAGAAATGCTACTGATTTTTGTATATTGAGTTTGTACACTGAAACTTTACTAAGTTGTTTATCAGATCTAGGAGCTTTTGAGCAGACTATGGGGTTTTCTAGATATAGAATCATACAATCTGCAGAGATAGTTTGACTTCCTCCCTTCCCATTTGGATAACTTTTATTTCTTTCTCCTGCCTGTTTGCTCTGTCCAGGAGTTCTAGTACTATGTTGAATAGGAGTAGTGAGAATGGGCATCTTAGTCTTATTCTAGTTCTCAAGGAGAATGCTTTCAGATTTCACCCATTCAGTATAATGTTGACTGTGGTTTTTTCATAGATGGCTCTTATTATTTCGAGGTATGTTCCTTCAATGCCTAATTTGTTGAGAATTTCTAACATAAAGGGATATTGAATTTTACTAGAAGCCTTTTCTGCAACTGTTGAGATGGTCATGTGGTTAGATCAGTTTGTATGATGTATCACATTTATTGGTTTGTATATGTTGAACCAACCTTGCGTCCCGGAGATAAAACCTACTTGATTGTGCTAGATTAGCTTTTTGATATGCTACTGGATTTGGTTTTCTAGTATTTTGTTAAGGATTTTTGCATCTGTGTTCATCAAGGATATTGGCTGTAAATTTTCTTTTCTTTTCTTTTTTTTTTTTTTTTGAGATAGGGTCTCGCTCTGTCACCCAGGCTGGAGTGCAGTGCCGTGAGTTCCACTCACTGCAAGCTCCACCTCCCAGGTTCACACCATTCTCCTGCCTCAGCCTCGCAGGCAGCTGGGACTACAGGTGCCCACCACTATGCCCAGCTAATTTTTTGGGTTTTTTTTAGTAGAGATGGGGTTTCACCGTGTTAACCAGGGTGGTCTCGATCTCCTGACCTCATGATCAGCCCGCCTCGGCCTTCCATAGTGCTGGGATTACAGGTGTGAGCCACCGCGCCCAGCCAAGTTTTTTTTTTGCATTGTATCTCTGCCAGGTTTTGGTATCAGAATGATGCTGCACTTATAGAATCAATTAGGGGGAGTCCTTCTCCTCAGTTTTTTGGAATAGTTTCAGCAGGAGTGGCACCAGCTTGTCTTTATACATCTGGTAGAATTCAGCTATGAATCCATCTGGTCCAGGGCCTTTTCTGGTTGGTAGGGTTTTTGTTACTGATTCGATTTCAGAACTCATTATTGGTCTGTAAAAAGATTCAATCTTTTCCTGGTTCAATCCTGGGAGTTTGTATATTTCTAGCAATTTATCCATTTCTTTTAGAGTTTCTAGTTTGTGTGCAGAGAGGTGTTTGTAGTAGTCTGAGAGTTTTTTTGTAATTCTGTGAGGTTGCTAGTAATGTCCCCTTTGTCTTTTCTGAGTATGTTTATTGGATCTTCCCTCTTTATCTTTATTAGTACAGCTAGCTGACAAACAATCTTATTTATTCTTTCATAGAACCAACCCCTAAATTCACTTATTTGTATGATTTTTCACATCTCAACTTCCTTCAGTTCAGCCCTGATTTTGGTTATTCCTTGTCTTCTGCTAGCTTTGGGGTTGGTTTGCTTTTGTTTCTCTAGTTCCTCTAGAGGAGATATTAGGTTGTTAAATTAAGAACTTCCTCATGTTTTGATGTGGACATTTAGTGCTATAAATTCCCCCTCTTAACGCTGCTTTGGTTGTCTCCCAGAGAATCTCGCATGTTATATCATTTTTCTCATTAGTTTCAAAGAATTTCTTGATTTCTGCTTTAATTTCATTGTTTACCCAAAAGTCATTCAGGATCAGGTTGTTTAATTTCCATGTAATTTTATAGTTTTGAGTAATTTTCTTAGTATTGATTTCTACTTTTATTGTGCTGTGGTCTGAGAGTGTTTAGTATGATTTTGGTTTTTATGAATTTTCCAAAGATTGTTTTATGGTCAATTGTGTGGTCAATTTTAGAGTATGTGACATATGCAGATGAGAACATTGTATATTCTGTTGTTTGGGTACAGAGAGCTCTGCAGATATCTCTTAGTCTCATTTGTCCAAGTGTCAGATTCAGGTCCTGAATATCTTTGTTACTTTTCTTCCTCGATGATCTGTGTAATACTGTCAGTAGGTTGTTAAAATCTCCCACTACTATTATTTGGTTATTTAAGTCTTTTTGTAGGTCTCTAAGAACTCGCTTTAGCAATCCAGGTGCTCCTGTGTTAGGTACATATAGACTTAGGTTAGTTAGGTCCTCTCGTTGAATTGAACCCTTTACCATTATGCAATGCCCTTCATTGTCTTTTTTGATCGTTGTTGGTTTAAAGTCTGTTTTGTCGGAAATTAAAATAGCAAACCATGCTTTTTTTTTCTGTTTTCTGTTTGCTTGGTAGATTTTTTTTCATCTCTTTACTTTGAGCCTATGGGTCTCATTGAATGTGAGATGGGTCTCTTGAAGATAGCATACCAGTAGGCTTTGCTTCTTTATCCAACTTGGCATCCCTAAAAGAGAGAGAGAGAAATCAAGCAACTTGTAAAACATATTTGAGCATATTGTCCATGAAAATTTCCCCAACCTCATTAGAGAGGCCAACATTCAAATTCAAAAAATGCAGAGAATGTCTGCAAGATACTACACAAAATGACCATCCCTAAGACCCATGATCTTCAGATTCTCCAAGAATGACACGAAGGAAAAAAATATTAAAGGCAGCTAGAGAGAAGGGGCAGGTCAATCGGTGCATTTAGCCCATTTATATTTAAGGTTACTTATTGATATGTGTGAATTTGATCCTGTCATCATGATGTTAACTGGTTATTTTGCAGATTTCATTGTGTGGTTGCAGTGTCACTGGTCTCTAGACTTAAGTGTGTTTCTGTGGTGGCCAGTAATGGCCTTTTGTTTCCATATTTAGCACTCCCTTAAGGACCTCTTGTAGGCAGATCTAGTGTTAACCAATTTTCTTAGCACTTGCTTGGCTGAAAAGGATCTTATTTCTCCTTTGCTTATGAAGCTCAGTTCAGCTGGATATGAAATTCTTGGCTGGAGTTTCTTTTCTTTAAGAATGCTGAATATGCCGGGCACAGTGGCTCATGCCTGTAATCCCACCACTTTGGGAGGCCGAGGCAGGCGGATCACCAGGTCAGGAGATCGAGACCACGGTGAAACCCCGTCTCTACTAAAAATACAAAAAAAAAATTAGTCAGGCGCGGTGGCGGGCGCCTGTAGTCCCAGCTACTCAGGAGGCTGAGGCAGGAGAATGGCGTGAACTCGGGAGGCGGAGCTTGCAGTGAGCCGAGATCGCGCCACTGCACTGCAGTCTGGGCGACAGAGCAAGACTCAGTCTCAAGAAAAACAAAAACAAAAACAAACAAACAAACAAAAGAATGCTGAATATATAGGACCCCAATCTCTTCTGGCTTGTAGGGTTTATGCGGAAAGCTCTATTAGCCTAATGGGTTTCCCTTTATAGGTGATCTGCCCTTTCTCTCTAGCTCCCTTTAATTTTTTTTTATTTCATGCCATCCTTGAAGAATCTAAAGATCTTGTATCTTAGGGATGGTCATTTGTGTAGTATCTCACAGACATTCTCTGCATTTCTTGAATTTGAATGTTGGCCTCTCTAGTGAGGTTGGGGAAATTTTCATGGACAATAGGCTGAAGTATGTTTTTCAAGTTGCTTGACTTCTGTCTCTCTTTTTAGGATCTCAGTGAGTGTAGATTTGGTCTCTACATAATCCCATGTTTCTCCATGTTTCTTGGAGGCTTATTTCATTCTATCTTCTTTCTTTCCCCCCCTCCCCCCATTTTTGTCTGGCTGAGTTAATTTGGAGAACCAGTCTTCAAGCTCTGAGATTCTTTCTACAGCTTGGTGTATTCTGCTGTTTATAATTGCAATTGCATTATGAAATTCTTGTAGTGTGTTTTTCAGCTCTATCAGATCATTTTCATTCTTTCTTATAATGGCCATTTTGTCTTTCAGCTCCTGTATCATTTTACTGTAATCCTTAGAATCCTTGGATTGGGTTTTGACTTTCTCCTGAATCTCAGTAACATTCATTCCTGTCCATATTTTGAACTCTATGTCTGTCATTTTAGCCATTTCAGCCTTGGTAAGGACACTTGCTGGGGAACTAGTGTGGTCATTTGGAGGTAAGAAACCACTCTGACTTTTTGAATTGCCAGAGTTCTTGTGCTGGTTCCTTCTCATCTATGTGGGCTGATGTTTTGCTAACTGAGGTATAATTTAAGTATAGTCAGTTGACTTCGTTTTTGGATATTTTCAGAGGGCTAAGGCTTTCTGCAAGGTTTTTGTTATTTGTAGCTGAATTCTTGTCCTTGGTTTCACAAGTGGGTATATTAGCAAAGTACTTTTGGTGTTGAAGTTTGGACTATGATCCTGTAGATGACGCTTGAGCATAATGACCAGTAGGTCGGCTCTTCCTCTGCTACATGGCTCCTCTGTCTTTCTACAAAGTCGCAGCCATACTCCTTCTCAGTGCTCTGAAAGTGGGGGCTCCTCTCCCACTCTAGTGCTGGCTGCAGATCTCAGAATGTTACCCCCAGCCTACACACTACAGCTTTGGGGTGAGCTCAGGCTTTATGTTGCCTCCCCAGCTTGCAGGCAGCAGAAGGGTCCTTCACAGTGGCTGGGGCAGAAAGCCTTTCACTTGCCTTTTGGACTGTCACCCCAGAGAAATCCAGAGCCACTACCAATCTATGCAACCAGCCCAGAGTTGAGTGGCTGTGTTGTGGGCCAGTCTAGGGGGCCCTACCTTTTGACAAGCAGGCGGGGTCGGGGATCACAGGGAAGACCCACTGACCTCTTTTCCTTATGGCATCTGTAGCTTTCTGGAAGTGTGGATAAAGTGCTCAAGGTCTTTGTTCTTTCCCTAGTCCGATGGCTACAAGGGAGGTACCACTGAACTGGCAGCGGCGGAGGGGCTTTCAGTTGCCTCTAGGAGCTCCACCGCACAGGAACACAGCGCTACTACTGGAAATGTTCAGTGGAGGGGGTGGGGCAGCTGTGCTGCTGGCCCAAGCCAGGGACTTTGCTTGCTGAATAGTGGAGGATCATGGGCTCACAGGGAAGAGAGACTGGGCTCCTCCCAGTCTGACTGGGAGGTGGTGACTGTGGTGACTGTGGCATACTGGAAGGGCAAATGAAGCCTTCAGGCTCTGTGTTCTTTCCCCAGTCCAAGGGCAGCAAGGGCAGAACTGCTGCAGTGGCAGTGGCAGAGGGGCCGTCACTTGTCCCTGGGAGCTCCACCTCTGGGAAACCCAGAGCCACTACCAGTGGGTGTGCTCAGCCAGGGGTGGGGCAGCTGCTCTGTGGTCCCAAGCCAGTGAAAAGTTGGGTGGTATGGACTGACAGGGAAGAGACGCTGAGCTCCTCTCCATATGATGAATCCAGAGCAGCAAAAATGGTGGTGTACCTGCTACCTCTAGGAGCTACATCCCAGGGAAGTGCAGAGATGATGCTGGCCAGAGAGCCCAGATGGTATTGTGGTGGCCACGCTAGGGTCCCAGGCCAATGGGCCTTGTTCAGTGAGGTACAGTGAAGACAAAGCCTGCCATCCTTCCACAGCTCAGCCCCATAGATTTGGCCCCTATCCTGGGTGTGTGCGAGGGAGTCCGGCCTCCCCCATTGCCAGAGCTGTAGCTGCTGGTCCTGGGGTGCCTGGGGATCCAAGCCCCCTGGGACTCTGTGTGTGCCTCTGCAGCAGCTCTGCCCAGACTCTGTGTAGCTTTGTGTGTCAGACTGGAGGCCCCAGTGGTGGACGGGGGAGGGGGTGAGAGATAGCACAGGTGATCTCCTGAGCCCAGGATTGCAAAGGTCCATGGCAGAAATGTGGGTGCCCGGGGACTCTCACTCACTCACCATTTCCCTGCCTTAGGAGGCCTCCCTTGACCCCATGCCACTCCCAAGTGGGCAGTTTTCCTGTTTCACTCTTCTCCATTCTCCGTGGGTCATGTTGCTTCCTTGATGAATCCCAATGTGACCACCTGGATGATCCAGTTGAAGAGCTAGTGTTAACTCCCCACTTTTCCTTCTCTCCATGACAGCAGGGCATACCAGCTGCTTCTAGTCAGCCATCTTGGCCCCTCTCCTGTTACCTTGTTTTAATAAAATCTTCCTTATTCCAAAACTAGAACAATATTTTTCTATATTTTCTTCCTGAAGTTTTCCTTTTAGCAAAAGTCCTTATCTGTTTAAGTTGACTCTAGGGTATAGCATAAGACAGGAATTCAATTTCAGTTTTTTGAATGAATGCCCAGTTGTCCCAGCACTGTTTATTTAACAATTCTTCCTTTCTTTATTGATCTTTAACACCCCTGTGCCACATGTTTTCTGTGGCCTTTGGGACACATTGATTTCCCCTTCTTGGTCTCCTTTGTATCACAAGAGCTAGAAACCCAGGGGCTGAATTTTCCAAACTTCTTTGCCGGTAAGGTTTAAGATACAGTGCTGTCAAAGAAATGCACTTACGCAAATTTGGAAGATAGTAGGGAGGCAGAAACAATTCACTCCCAGCAATAATTGCAGAGGAAATACAGACCTCGGTAGGTGTGAGATTTTACAGGTATGGTAGTCACAGTCTTGGAGCTGCAGTTTGGGGATGCTGTGACTTCACCAGGCGTGTCCTACAGTTTGCTGACCTCTGAGTAGCCTCTTTGGATGGCTGTGTCAGTGGATCATACAGCTAATGGCACCTTCTTTTTACCACATCTTTGCCTTTCCAGACCTTCAATAATTTGTGCATATCTTCCTGTTTTAAATCCGTCCTACTTAAAATACTGAGTGATTTCTGGTTTCTTCACTGCACCTAAAAAATAGACCACTTCTGTCAAAGATCATAATTTCATTTGTGAACGGGTCTATCCCTGGGTTTTCTATTATGTATCATTGGTTGCTTTGACTGTGCCTGGGGCCATACAGAGCTTTAGTTATGGCTTTAAATAAATCTTGGAATCAGTAAGGTAAGTCTACTTAGGGCACATGTTATGGTTTGGATATGATTTGTCCCCGCCAAAACTCATGTTGAAATCAACTCATGTTCATCCCCAGTGTGGCAGTGTTGGGAGGTGGAGCCTAATGGGAAGCGTTCTGGTCATAGGGGTGGATCCCTCATAAATGACCTCGTGTCTTCTAGCAGTAATGAGTTCTCACTCTCAAGACTAGATTAGCTGTCTCGGAAATGTATCAGTTCCTGCTTGCCAAGAAGATGCTGGGGCCATGCCTCTTGAACTTCCCAGCCTGCATAAGTAAGAGATAAATAAACTTCTTTCCTTTATAAATTACCCACTCTCGGGTATGCTGTCATAGCAGCCAGTGACCCTATTCTTCTTCTTTGTAAATACTTTGGTTGTTCTGAGCGCTTTGCTATTCTGTACCTACTTCAGAGTCACCTTGTCAAATTCATTTAAAAACAGTCATAATTTTTATTACACTTGCATCAAATCAATTGATCCATTTTTTGAAAATTAACATGAGTTCACATTTTAGAAGAATCATTTCAGTAACCGTGAATGCATTCGGTTTGGTGAGGTCAAATTGAAGGATAAAAATACTAAGTAGAAAGTTGTACATGCTATTAGGTGAAATAAGGCAATGAGAATGAAGAGATTTATGCTCTGTTTATGAGATAAAATGATATAAAGATATACTGACTAAAACGGAAAAATTAGGGATAATAACACCTTCTGGGCCCCAGTGTGCTATGCGTTAACATAAATACCAAAGCAGTCTGCATAGGGCCAAGCGTAATGAGACCAGTTTAGGACATGTTGAGTTCTGGTGACTAAGAGATCGCCAAGTGAATACAAGTGTGAAATTCTCAGAAAGGAATGAGCTGTATTTGTAGAGTTAATAGTCATGCAAATATAAGTGATTGTAGAAGCCAGTGTAGAAAAATATACCCACCCTTGGGAAGAAACTAGGAGAACCCTCATTTTATTTTATATATATTTTTTTAAATATGTGGAAGCCATTACATTTTTAAAATTTTAGATTTGGGGGTACATGTGCAGATTTATTATGTGGATATATTCAGTGATGCTGAGGTTTGGGTTCTAATGATCACATTGCCCAAGTATTGAGCACATTACCTGACAGGTAGTTTTTCAGCCCTTGTTCCTTTCCCTCCTTCCCCACTTTCGGAGTCCACAATGTCTGTTGTTCCTATCTTTGTGTCCATGTGTACCCAGTGTTTAGCTCCCACTTACAAGTAAGAACCTGCCTTATTTGGCTTTTTTTCTATGTTAGTCCACTTAACATAGTGGCATCCAGCTGCATCCATGTTGCTGCAAAGGACATGATTTCATTCTTTTTAATGACTACATAGCATTCTATGGTGTATATGTACCACATTTTCTTTATCCAGTCCACCATTGATGGCCACCTGGGTTGATTCCATGTCTTTGCTATTTTGAATAGTGTTGTGATAAACATGTGAGTGCAGGTATCTTTTTGGTAAAACGATCTATTTTCCTTTGGGTATATACCTAGTAATGGAATTGTTGGGTTGAATAGCAATTCTATTTTTAGTTCTTTGAGAAATCTCCAAACTGTTTTCCACAGGGGCTGAACTATTAATAATTTGCATTACTGCCACAGTTTATAAGGATTATCTTTTCTTCTCAACCTCACCAATATCTGGTATTTTTCCTTTATTTATTTATTTAGAGACGGAGTCTCACTCTGTCACCCAGACTGGAGTGCAGTGGCACCGTATCGGTTCACTGCAGCCTCCGCCTCCTGGCTTCAAGCAATTCTTTTGCCTCAGCCTCCTGAGTAGCTGGGACTACAGGCACATGCCACCATACCTGGCTAATTTTTATATTTTTAGTAGAAACGGGGTTTCACCATATTGGCCAGGCTGGTCTCGAACTCCTGACCCCATGATCCACCCACCTCGGCCTCCCAAAGTGCTAGGATTACAGGTGTGAGCCACTGTGCCTGGCCTGTTATGTTTAAATTTTTTAATAATAGCCATTCTGACTGGTGGTATCTCATTGTGGTTACGATTTGCATCTTTCTCATGATTAGTGATGTTGAACATTTTTTATATGTTTTTGGCTGCTGTATGTCTTCTTCTGAGAAGTGTCTATGTCCTTTGGCCATTTTTTAATGGGACTTTTGTTTTTCTCTTGTTAAGTTCCTCATAGACTCTGGATATTAATCTGTTGTTGGATCCATAGTTTGCAAATATTTTATCCCATTCTGTAGGTTGTGTTTACTCTGTTCACAGTTTCTTTTGCTGTGCAGAAACTCTTTAATTTAATTAAGTCCTGTTCGTTTATTTTTTATTTTGTGGCATTTGCTTTGGGGATCTTCATCATAAATTTTTTGCCTAGGCCAGTGTCTAGAAGAGTATTTCTTGGTTGTCTTCTAGGATTTTTTTATAGTTTCAGGTCTTACGTTTAAGTCTTTAATTCATCTTGAGTTAATGTTTGTACATGGTAAGAAGTAGGAGTCCAATATTTCCTTCTTCCCCATGTGGCTAGCCAGTTTTCTTAGCACTATTTCTTCCTTTTTTTTTTTTTCTTTTTGGCTGTCCTAGTTGTTTTTTGTTTTTTTTTATACTTCAAGTTCTAGGGTACATGTGCACAATGTGCAGGTTTGTTACATTGGTATACATGTGCCGTGTTGGTGTGCTGCACCCATTAATTTGTCATTTACATTAGGTATAACTCCTAATGCTATCCTTCCCCACTCCCCCGACCCCAGGATAGGCCCTGGTGTGTGATGTTCCCCACCCTGTGTCCAAGTGTTCTCATTGTTCAGTTCCCACCTATGAGTGAGAACATGAAGTGTTTGGTTTTCTGTCCTTGCGATAGTTTGCTGAGAATGATGGTTTCCAGCTTCATCCATGTCCCTACAAAGGACATGAACTCATCCTTTTTTATGGCTGCATAGTATTCCATGGTATATATGTGCCACATTTTCTTAATCCAGTCTATCACTGATGGACATTTGGGTTGGTTCCAAGTCTTTGCTATTGTGAATAGTGCCACAATAAACATACGTGTGCATGTGTCTTTATAGAAGCATGATTTATAATCCTTTGGGTATACAACCAGTGATGGGATGGCTGGGTCAAATGGTATTTCCAGTCCTAGATCCCTGAGGAATCGCCACATGGTCTTCCACAATGGTTGAACTAGTTTACAGTCCCACCAACAGTGTAAAAGTGTTGCTCTTTCTCCACATCCTCTCCAGCACCTGTTGTTTCCTGACTTTTTAATGATCACCATTCTAACTGGTGTGAGATGGTATCTCATTGTGGTTTTGATTTGCATTTCTCTGATGACCAGTGATGATGAGCATTTTTTCATGTGTCTGTTGGCTGCATAAATGCCGTCTTTTGAGAAGTGTCTGGAGAACCCTCATTTTAAAGAGATCACAAGAAAAGGAGCCAGTGAGAGATACTGAGAGAAGTGTCCAGAGACAGAGCAGAAAGTCCAGCTAAGAAAACCTTTGTGAAAGTCAAAAGAGCAGTTTTAAAAAGGAGGAAATTGTTATCAGTGTTAAACAATTAAAGAAAAAAATATATATCCACTCTATTTAGTAATATACAGGTAATTGTTGGAAATAATTTCATTGCTTTTTGCGGGACAGAAGGCAAAGTATTACCAGTTGAGCAGTAAATGGCAAATGAGGAAGGAAGATAGTATAAGTATAGACAAGTCTTCTCAAGAAGTTTGGCTGCAAAGAGAAAGAGATACAGAACAGTAGCTAAAGGGCGATGGGGCATCAGAGGAGATTTTTCTAAAAACATGTTTGTATGTAGAAGGGATCAAACAAAACATAGAGAAAGGAAAATGGATGGCTAATGGTCCAAGGTCTCTGTAAAGTCAGGAGACAAACTCCAATGCAGGTAGTTGGATGGATGGATTAGACTTTGGCAGCAAGAGGGACAATCTTTTATGTAAAACAGAAAAGACTGTGAAATCCTTGGTCCTGATGGAAATACATTTTGTAAGTGGTTTGAGGTTGTAGGCATGAGGAATTTATTATTTTTGTTTGTTTGTTTTCTGGTGAATTTGAAGGCATGATCATATGCTGAGAGTAAGAGAGGATATGGCAGAGGAAGGGATTTGAAGAGTGTTAGTCAAAGTTGAGAATAGCTATTGAGATAAAAAAGAGAAGCAGCTGACTAGCTGCATGGAGAATGATTCCAGGCAGCACTGAGAGTCTGCCTAATGTGGAAGGGTTTGTCCAAACTGCTGAATGATTTTCCCCAGTAGATCACTGAAATTTGAGGCAGCATGTTTCAGTTTGTCCCAAAACTTGTATACATGGTTTTCACTATGGTGACATTGGATACATGCCATGAAATCTTACTTGACTTTCATTGCAAACTGGTATGGGCTGAGTGGCAGATAGATAAGATTGACACAGTTAGACCCGTAGGAAGAAACAGAAGAAAAATTGAACCATAGTATGTGGCAGGCTAAAAAGACAAAAGAATGAATAAGAAAATAGTCTTTAACTTTGGCTGCTTTGGGGCTATACCAAAAGATATTGATATGTGGCTAGGAGCAACAATTATTCTCTAAATAGGGGTAAGAAATGAGATAGCATTCCACTACTAATGACAACTGAAAAACATGTGGGAAAGTCACCATTCAAAGATGAATTTGTAAGGATGGTGATTAACCAACTCCAGCCAACAGATCAGATATCTTGTTCTTAAAGAAACTTAATAAAACTGTAGGACATATTGATTTTGCTCTTCCTCTAGGCAGAAATATGTCAAGGATTTCCACCAAGAAAATAAATAATCTTGAGCTTTCCTAAAAAAGCAAATGTGGAGTTATAGAGTCTCAAAATGAATCCAGGGATAGGGCTAGTTCAGCACGCAGCTAATATTATAAAGATTCATTACCAAGTGCTGTGTTAACAAAGATGAAACACCTATCATATGACCTGGAGATTTTTTTTCCCATAAAATATACACAGGAGAAATGGAGACAGAAGAGCAAGTAATAACTTGATGAACTGATAAGCCATCTGTGAAGTAGAAATCCATCAGGTGCCCCATGAGAGGCAGTTCTGGAGAGTTCCAGGGAAATGGTTTGATAAGTTGTTAATCACTGAGACTCCAACAGCACAGCTGTTACTTGAAAATGTGAGGGGTTGGGGCAGAATGTTCCAGAGGGGAGCTGTGAAGCATCAGAGCTTACCTTGTTCCCTTGGATGTGAGGTCAACAGGCATCTGCCACAGTGGCTCATGAAACAGCATTGGCTGAGCTGGTCACCAATCACACACACCGCCAATTAAAAGTGGTTTCTTAACTAAAACAGACTATCAAATGGCTACAAGAATGCTTCTCTATTCAATATATCAAGGGTACAAGTGAGCTGCAATCTACAGTGGAAATCGAGAAAAAAGTTGATGGTAGGAGAAAGGTAACTCAGGAAAGAAAAAGAAAGAGCAGAAATCCCTCTGTCCATCCCTCTCATCTTTTCTTCTACTTTTTTGTAGAGAAATTCACTGTTTTCCCATGTGCCACTGTCCAGGTGGGAGCTATATTGAAATAACATTTCCAGAAATTCTTGCCAACTTTTATCTGCTCCTCCTAAAAGGAGGAGGGGTCATTTATCTACCTTGTAGGTATGCTACTTTTAGCAAACTAGAAATAGAATAGCATATCTTTAATCTGATTACAGGCTATGGAAAACTTCTATAGCAAATGTCATGTTTAATAGGAATTTAATAGGAGTTTAATGGTGACATATTAAAAGGTTTCACTTTGCCTAAGCTCAAGAACAAAACAAGGATATCAGTTATTACTGACTCTTTAAATTATACTGGAGGTCCTAAGTAGTACAATAGAAAATACAAATAAATAAAATACATAAATACAAATAAAATATCTTGGAAAGTAAGAAAAGAAATCAACTGTTCTTATTCACAGATGATATAATTATGAGCACTGAAAAATTCCTAAACTACAATTAACAAATTAATAAATAAATCTAACAATGTTTCTGGATATAAACTCAGTATTTAAATCAATAAAATATATGTATACAATAGTGCATATAATTAGGAAGTAATTTTTTAATCAGAGATTTTACAATAGCATAAAAAAATCTTCAAATGTCTAGGAATAAATTAAAGATATATAAAACCTCTACACAAAAAAACAAAAGACACAGAAAGAGTAATTTAAGAATAGCTAAATACATGGAGGGATATATCTCATTTATGGACTGGAGTATTTATTATTCTAAAGTTTCCTTTTTCTGACTCAGTACAATTCCAAATAAAATTCCAGCTTTTCTGTGGAAATGGCAAGGGCCAAGAATAAGAAAAACTATCTTGAAGAAGATAACAAAATAAGAGGTTTTATAGCACCAGATATTAAGACATAATAAAGTTTCAGTAGTTAAAGGAGCATTGTTTTGTCATCTGAATAGACAATTAGAAACCAATGAAACAGAGTAGAAAATTCATAATTATACTCATATTTACCTGGTCTCCTGAAATTTGATAAAAGCTCCACTACAATAGGGAAAGGATGACCTTTTCAATAAACAGCACCAGGTCAATTGAGCATCCATATGGGGGGAAAAAGTGCATTTTCACCCCACTATATATCATATACAAAAATTCATTTCAGATAGATTATAGACCTCTATTTGAAAGATAAAACAAAAATAATTCTAGAAGAATATATAGGAGAATATATTCATGACCTTGGAACAAGCAAAGATTGATTAAACAAGACACAAAGAAAATACTATTTATAATAATAGACACTGAGTAATTGGACTGAATTGAAAACCATGTGGCAGTAATCACTAAAGCTGAATATTTGCATATTCTATAAACTCTAAATTCTACTTCTAGAGGTATACCCAAAAGCATGTGCATATATGTGCACCAAAGACCTGCACAAATTGTCTTACAACAGTGATTCATCATAGACCCATAGTGGAAACAACCTAAAGCTTTATAGATAATAGAATATATAAGTTGTGGTATATTCCTACAATGGAATATTATAGAACAATGATGAACATCAGACTACTGCTACATGCTGTGACTTGGGTGAATAATTTTGAGAAAAAGAAGCCCAACACAAGAGATACATATGATTCCATTTTTATAAAACTCTAAAAACATGTTAAACTAATTTATTGAGATAGAAGATATTAGAATAGTAGTTAATTTGTAGGAGCTATAATTACTATGCATGAGGGAGGCTGTGAAGGAGTTTGTGTTCTATTTCTTGATCATAGGTATCTTCAATTTGTAAGGCTAATACTTTATAATATTTTATTTATACTTCAGAAAAATAATATGCAAAATAAAAAACACAAATGCAAACTGGATTTTCACTCCCTAAGACTTCAATGCCTTTTCATACTTAAGATGAAGGAATGAATACACTACTCTTGCTCTTATAGAATATATTAAAGAAAATTTGAAAAATCAATCTAATGAGTTGCTGATTGGTATAGCCGGGTGTAACAAAAACAGCATGAACATATCTCAGTTCAAGCACTTGCATTTACATGTGGCAGCTTTGTGGCCTTGTTAACTTTGGTTTCTTTATCTATAAAGCAACGGCAACAGTACTCCTCTTCCCCTACTTTGATATCCTCACTTACTCAACCTGGAAAACATTTTCCTTTTCACATTTTACCCTAAATTCTTGCTTCTTGGTGAAACCTTTTTCTATTCCTCATACTGACTTTAATAAACCTTCCCTGCTTCTCTGTCTACACTTTCAACATACTTACTGCTTTGTTCTGAGTGTTGGTGCCCTCCCAGAATTCCTGTGCTAGAACTTAATCTCCAATGTGATAGTACTAAGAAGTGGGGCCTTTGGGAGGTGATTAGGTCCTGAGGGCTCTGTCCTCCTGAATGGAATTAGTGTCCTTATAAAAAGGATTGAACATAAAACCAAACACTGCATGTTCTCACTCATAAGTTGGAGTTGAACAATGAGAACACATGGACCCAGGGAGGAGAACATCACACACTGGGGCCTGTTGGGGTGGGGTGGGTGGCTAGGGGAGGGATAGCATTAGGAGAAATACCTAATGTAAATGATGGGTTGATGGGTGCAGCAAACCACCACGGCACTTGTATGCCTATGTAACAAACCTGTATGTTCTGCATATGTATCCCAGAACTTAAAGTGTGTGTATATATATATATACGTGTATATATACGTGTATATATAAGTATATATATACGTGTGTGTGTGTGTATACATATATATATATATGTATATATGATTGAAAGAGCTTGCTTGTCTCTTCCTTGTCTTCTGCCATGTAGAGACAAGGTCTTCCCTCTCTTCCTGTTCCTCCCAGTAGCAAAGCTAAGGCCCACCTTGGAAGCAGAGAGCAAGCCCTCACCAGACACTTAATCTGCTGGCACCTTGATCTTAGACTTCCCAGCATCCAGAACTGTGAAAATAAATTTCTATTGTTTATAAATGACACAGTCTAAGGTATTTTGTTATAGCAGCATAAACAGACTGAGTCACTTACATTACAGTACAGATGCTCCTCAACTTATAATGGGATCACATCCTCATAAACCCATTGCAAGTTGAAAATATCATGTCAAAATGCATTTAATCCGCCTAACGTACTGAACATCAGAGCTTATCCTAGCTTACTTTAAATGTGCTCAAAACACCTACATTAGCTTACAGTTGGGCAAAATCATCCAACATAAAGCCTATTTTATGAGAAAAGTGTTAAATATCTCTTATAATTTACTGAATACTATACTGAAAGTGAAAAACAAAATGGTTGTATGAGTACTCAAAGTAGTTTCCGCTGAATGAGTATCGCTTTTGCACCATCATAAAGCCAAAAAATCTTAAAGTCAAACTATCATAAGTCAGAGACCATCTATATTAGATTTTGTTATCTCCCACTAGAAGAGAACTTCTAGAAGCTTCTAGAACACAAGGACTGATGTTTTTTATACCTGGAACCGAGCCCAATGCCTGACACATCAGTGCTCAATAAATATATGCATGAATAAATAAACGAGTGAATGAAAGTCAGCCTTACCTAACCGAGAGACTGTAACAATCCTGTGGGTTCATATGCATGAAAGGAAAACGCTACACAGATGTAAATGATTGCAGAATGATGCACAGGAATAAGCCACAGAATAGTTCCCAGTTTATCTTCTTCACTCATGAAGGAATACAGAATACACTAGCTGATTTTTGAAGAGTCATGATAACTGAAGGGTTTAAAAAATATTCACAGAACCTTCACTGAAACTCACGAACCCTGAAAAGACAGACAACTGACAACCAAAATAGGAATCTAGTCAGAAGTGACAATAAAACACTTGTCATGGAGACAGAGGCAATGTTTAAAACAAGCAGCCCTCAGGATTGAAATGCATTCTCCCTGTCTACTCCAAAACTCAGTGGATGGGTAAATAATGTGAAAGGAAATCAGTATGTCCTACTACTATAAATGAGGCAATTAGACTATCTGTTGCACACACATTTATGAATAGTGGTGCTGGCAAGCCTCTTCAAAAAGATGCATCTGCTTCTTTCGTGCAGAAATATATAATCAAACTCTCCCCTCTTTTAACAGATCATGGCCTACCTTTTTGAGTTTGTGTTATACAAGCTAATTTTCACTCTTTATTTTACTAAAATAAAAGAACTCTAGTCAAACGACAACACATCAATATCCCCATTGATGCCAACATTATGTTTTTCCTCAGGAACCCTTAACATTGCTTCTCCCAACCCCGCACAACAGAAGATGTATAAGGAAGCAGCTTGACTGACTCTAGGGATTGGGTTTGGGCTGTAGAACACTTCACCTCGAAGTCAGCTGTTCAAATCCAGCCTCCAGTGAAGAGGATAAAAATATTTTCAGGTGTGGGCTTAAATCAGGTTAAAGCCTTGATTCAGCTCCCTGAGGCAAAGGATCAGCAATATATTTTAGCATCTTATTCACAGCTCTACAGCAAGAAAAAGGTCTGCAGACACCCAGAGACTGAACTAGCCCTTTATCCAACATCCAGCTGCATTCTGTGGGCCCTACCCATTGTCCTATCAGGCCCCTCCCCTGAGGTAACAGGAAGATTTTCACTTCACATCTCTTACTGACACCTAAAGTGTTACCTCCCACCTTCTTTAAAAAAAAAAAAAAAAAAAAAAGCTATTCAATGCTTTCCTTCTCAAACAAGATGATTCAGAAAGAACAAGAAGAAAAACAAGAAAATTAAATATGGAATTACAAACTTTCCTGTACATGGCTCTGAATACACAGTAATTTCCCTGATAAACTTTAAGATTTGGCCCAGGGAAAATATTCACCCCATTATGAATGTAATGGAGTTCCTATAAATATGATACACAACCTACTAACTTGCATACCAAATTAGATGCTGGAGACATTGCTGAATCAGAAACACCTGTTCCTGAATTTCTGTAAATACATAAGCTATTGAATCAAAATGATCACCAGTAGTAGTAAATCATATCAAAATCAAGCCAGATACCCCTTATGGGTGAACAGATACATCACCAGGCAAATTAAAATACTGATATATTGCCACTGCTAAAATTTTCCAAACACAATTACACAGAGCCTTACATTTTCAATATCACCTCATTCAATTCCTGATTTTATTTGGTTCTGAGATGGCCTTATTACTTGACCAAAGTGAAACAAAGACACAGTAGTCAGGCTTTGAAAGAAAGGCAGCAGCCCCAGTCAGGGACTTATAGATAAAACTCCCATCTCCCTGGGACAGAGCACCTGGGGGAAGGGGCAGCTGTGGGTATAGCTTCAGCAGACTTAAACGTTCCTGCCTGCCAGCACTGAAGAGAGCAGCAGATCTCCCAGCACAGCGCTAGAGCTCTGCTAAGGGGACAGACTGCCTCCTCAAGTGGGTCCCTGGCCCCTGTGCCTCCTGAAGGGGAGACACCTTCCAGCAGGGGTCAACAGACACCTCATACAAGAATGCTCTGTCTGGCATCTGGCGGGTGCCCCTCTGGGATGAAGCTTCCAGAGGAAGGAACAGGCAGCAATCTTTGCTCTTCTGCAGCCTCTGCTGGTGATACCCAGGCAAAAAAGGTCTGGAGTGGATCTCCAGCAAACTGCAGCAGATCTGCAGAAGAGGGGCCTGAATGTTAGAAGGAAAACTAACAAACGGAAAGCAATACCATCAACCTCAACAAAAAGGGCGACCACTCAAAAACCCCGTCCGAAGGTCACCAACATCAAATACCAAAGATATCAGTGGAACCCACCTCCAATATTTCAACGTAGGTTCTATTTTCTGTAAGTGTCGGCCAGCTGAGAAATAAAGAGAAAGAGTACAAAGAGAGGAATTTTACAGCTGGGCCTCCGGGGATGACATCACATATCGGTAGGACCTTGAAGCCCAGGCTGTGATTTGATCAAAGGTTTGATCTTTGACAAACCTGACAAAAACAAGCAAGAGGGAAAGGATTCCCTACTGAATAAATGGTGCTGGGAAAACTGGCTAGGCATATGCAGAAAACTGAAACTGGACCCTGTCCTTACACCTTATACAAAAATTAACTCAAGATGGATTCAAGACTTAAATGTAAGACCTCAAGCAATAAAAACCCTAGAAGAAAACCTAGGTAATACCATTCAGGACATAGGCATGGGCAAGGACTTCATGACTAAAACACCAAAAGCAATTGCAACAAAAGCCAAAATTGACAAATGGAATCTAATTAAACTAGAGCTTCTGCACAGCAAAAGAAACTATCATCAGAGTGGACAGGCAACCTACAGAATGGGAGGAAATTTTTGCAATCTAGCCATCTGACAAAAGGCTAACATCAGAATCTACAAGGAACTTAAATAAATTTACAAGAAGAAAAACAACCCCATCAAAAAGTGGGTGAAGGATATGAAAAGATACTTCTCAAAAGAAGACATTTATGCAGCCAACAAACATAGGAAAAAAGCTCATCCTCACTGGTCATTAGAGAAATGCAGATCAAAACCAGAATGAGATACTATCTCATGCCAGTTAGAATGGCGATCATTAAAAAGTCAGGAAATAACAAATGCTGCAGAGGATGTGGAGAATTAGGAACGCTTTTACACTGTTGGTGGGAGGGTAAATTAGTTGAACCATTGTGCGAGATGGTGTGGTGATTCCTCAAGGATCTAGAACTAGAAATACCATTTGACCCAGCAATCCCATTACTGGGTACATACCTGAAGGAATATAAATCATTCTATTATAAAGACGCATGTATGTTTATTGCAGCACTATTCATAATAGCAAAGACTTGGAACCAACCCAAATGCCCATCAATAACAGACTGGATAGAGAAAATGTGGCACATATACATGACTGAATACTATGCAGCCATAAAAAAGAATGATATTCCTCAAGGATCTACAACCAGAAATACCATTTGACCTAGTAATCTCATTACTGGGTATATACCCAAAGGATTATAAATCATTTTACTATAAAGACACATGCACACATATGTTTATTACAGCACTATTCACAATAGCAAAGACTTGGAACCAACCTAAATGCCTTTGCAGTGACATGGATGAAGCTGCAAACCATCATTCTCAGCAAACTAACACAGGAACAGAAAACGAAACACCACACATTCTCACCCATAAGTGGGAGTTGAACAATGAGAACATATGGGCACAAGGTGGGGAACATCACACACTGAGGCCTGTCATGGGTGGGGGGCAAGGGGAGGGATAGCATTAGGAGAAATACTTAATGTAGATGATGGGTTGATGGTTGAAGCAAACTACCATGGCACATGTATATCTATGTAAGAAACCTGCACGTTCTGCACATGTATCCCAGAACTTAATTAAAAAAAAAAACAAAAAGATCAAAACAAACAAAATTTTATTTATTGTAAATTAGCTCTATAAGGTCTTCTTTAGTAAGAGATATTCAAATACCATGTTTATATACATTATATTTTTATTTTAAAAGAGTTATTAGTACATATTAATTGCCAACTGATTCCTATAAATATTTTACTTTAATTTATATTTGAAATCTACCTTTATTACAGACTTAAGGCTACAAATTAAAATATGCTGGACTCCAAGAATGCCACTTAGTCACAATCTAAACAAAAACATTAATATGCCACTCTAAAAGTTTCTATCAAGAGAAACTAGACTAGCATAAGAGTATCAGAATTCTTTCTACATTCTTGGAAGTTCCTAAGTGTTGCTCCAAGACTATACAGCTGACCCATGAACACTGTGGGGGCTAAGTGTGCCTACTCCCCACATATTCAAAAATCTGAGTAAAAATTTTGACTCCCCAAAAACTTAACTACTAATAGCCTGCTGTTGACGAGAAGCATTACCAAGAACATACAGTTGATTAGCATGTATTTTTTATGTTATATGTATTATATACTGTGTTATTACAACTATGTAAGCTACAGAAAGAAAATGTTATTAAGAAAATCATAAGAAACAGAAAATATATTTACTATTCATTAAGTGAAAGTGGATCATCGTAAAGGTCTTTACATCTGTTTACATTTCTCTCAATTGTAAATAATGCCTGTATAGTCTTTGTTTGTGTACCTAAGTTTTAATAAATTTTAAAATTTTATCATATATTCCTGTATATTTTATAGCACTAAATGATAAAACAGACTAGTATCTACATATATTTGATGGATTCATGGCATATTAAACCTTTCCTTCATTTTTTTCAATATTTCTAGGCTGCAGTTCATCTGTGAATTTTTTCAGATTATTGCAAATCTCCAAAACATGTTCTAATACATTTATTGAGAAAAATCTGCATGTAGGAGGACTCTCACAGTTCAAACTCGTGTTGCTCAAGGATCAACTGCATTTGTATTTTGTTTTCTACATGCAAAGGGTGTTCACAAAGTTATTAGGGATAGGGAAAAGGACTAGCCCACTTGGATCTCCTGATGCACAGGAGAATCTGTGCATTCTGTGAGGAGTAACTTTTCTGGATATGCCAAATTAAAACTCACTTCACTAAGGGCATATGAGGAAAGTTGGTAGGCATTCCCAGTTTTAAAAGACAATTCTTTCTTACAGACAATAACAAAAGATCATTAGAGAGTTGTCTAGGATAGAGATAAGCAAATGTTCTTGCTCGGTTAGACCCAGTGTGACGGTTAATTTTATGTGTCAACTTGCCTGGGCCGTGGTGCCCAGATATTTGTTCAAACATTATTCTGCATGTTTCTGTGAAGGTATGTTTGGATGAGATTAACCCTTAAATTGGTGGACTTTGAGTAAAGCAGACTACCCTCTATAATGTGGGTATACTTCATCAATCAGTTGAAGGCCTGAATAGAACAAAAAGGATGACCTCTCTGGAGCAACAGGGAGTTCTGCGGCAGACAGCCTATGGACTAGAACTACATCATCAGTTCTTCCTAAGTGTGCTGCCTGCTGGCTCACCCTGCAGATTTTGGACTTGACAGCCTCCATAATTATGCAAGCCAATTCCTTAAAATAAATCTCTCTCTATAAACATCCTATCAGTTCTGTTTCTCTGGAGAACCCTGACTAACATACCCAGGTTCCAATCCCAACTTGGCCATATTCTTGTTGTCTGGTGTTGGGTGAGTTACTTAAGTCAGCTGAGCCAAGATCCCCTCATTTGTGAACTGGGGAAAGTAATGTGCCTGTGTCCAAGGGGTGCTGTGAAGATTAAAAGTGATTGTGCACCTGTAGTATTTAGTATAGTTTATAACAGGAGTTGGCACACTTTTTCTGCAAATGGACAGATAGTAAATATATGAAATGTTGCAAGCCAAGATGCAATGTCCTCAACTCTTGAACAACTGTTCTCATGCAAATATTTTTTTTTTTTTTACATTTAAAAATGCAGAAGCCATTCTGAGTCCCTGGGTCATACAAAAATAGACAGCAAGTTGGGTTTGACTCACTGACCATAGTTTGCCAACCCCTCGTTTACAATATGTATTAAACATGTATTGAATACTGACTTCTTGCTACCCTGAAACGTCAAAACTATGAAATAAATAGCATTTGTCTCCTGGGCCCAGAATGCCCTTTCTATAGTCCTTTGCCCTCTTAATGACACCTTTTCTCTGTTTCTTTTGAAGGGGCCTAATAACCATGTATTCTCCTTCTTCACATTCTTTTTGAGATCTGAGAAGAAGCAGAAGTTTTTTAGGATTCCTCTGTTACTTTTTTTTCCTAGGGAAATGTTGTCATATTTTGTCCAAATTCAGTAAAGTGGTGACAGAAGAGTCACATGGTATGCCCTCTGTTCACTCTGGAATAAGCAGAGACACTCATCCTCTATTTGGTGGAAACTTTTCAATGACTGATTTCTATTCCTGACAAAAGACAGTTACCACAGGCACCCTACCTGGGACCCCAGGTTAGATAAAACATAGGAAAAGTTTTGATGAAAAAAGCTTACCCACTCCCCACTCTCATCCCCTGGAGCATTTGCAGAGTTTCACTAAGTCTCTCTAGTATCAGTTTCAGAAGTAAATGTTGAATCACCCATCAACATTTCAGCTATACAATATCTAATATTTGGACACAGACTGAAACCTAAAAGAAGTCCCATCCCCTCCCACCCACCGTGTTCTTCCCATTGACATTTCTTCTTTTTTTCCCCATTGATGTTTCATTTCTCCTCAGAGTACACAGCCTTTTTCAAATTTTTTATTGTGAAAAACTTTAAAGATACAAAATGTTCAAAGAATGGTAAAACAAATACAAATATAGCAGCCATCTAGATTCAGCAAAACTGCTAACATGTGGCCCTATTTTCTTTATCTATTCAGAACACAGTCTCAGCGAAGGGCAGTCTGAAGCATCCTAGAGTACGCCATTGTGAAAGCAGAAAAGGACTCACAATTGGACCAGATTATGTAAAAAACGTTGTCTAGGTAAAGTCAAGTCATCTGCACAGAGACAGAGTTCTCAGTCTTCAGATCCACAGATGCACACACAGGATTGAACCTGATCACATCAATGTTTCCGGACACAAAAGAAGTTACACAGTTATCAAAGTAATCTTGTGAACTATATACTTTGAAAAAATGGTGGGATAAAAAAATTTACATTATCCCGTATAGTCAAGAGGAATCTTATAATGAATAAGAAGTAGTTCTTCTTTGTCAGTTAATGGGGGAATATTTGAACTGGAGCTCAGGGCCGTGAGGAAGTGAATTTTTCTTAGCATAAGTCAAGGGAATAGGGTTGCAAAGATTAAACATATGTTAATGGGAGAAATATGAATCACTCAACAAACCTTAGACAAAGTTTTGGGATAAGTTCAGTTGTGGAGACAAGAACTGAGTAAGTGTTTGCTCTTGATACGTTATGGGGAAAATCAGCTGCAATCGAAAGTAGAAGTTCATACTATTTCACACACAAACACACCACCACCGTCATTATCACCCCTTGATTCCTGGCACTCCAGCTCACACTTCCTCCTCCCCAGGAGGCCAGCTTACATAGACACAAAGACACACATTACTCACTGCTACATAGCAGGATTTAGGAAGCAATTCTGTTCCTTATTTTGTATAGCTGCTGAGTAATAACCTTTGAATATCTCCTGTGGTCCGGGAGACAAAGAGTGAGATGCTACCGAAGCATCTACTTCTCTCATAGGGCCAACCTGAACATACTGATGCAACTAGAGAGATGATAGGGTGAATACTCAAGACTTTCTCTGTTCCAGAGTGTAGCTAGAGACACTCCTGTTCAATAAGGATTTTACTACATGGGCTACAACTTACCTTTCAACAAACAATTTATAGAATTGATTTCTCTCTCTCTCTTTCACACACACACACACACACACACACACACACACACACACACACACACACATTAAGTCCATCACTAACTTTCCTTTTTGCTGATTCTCCTTGTAGCAGTTATTCAAAACTTCAGACACTTCATAGCAGCATCCCAAGAAACAGGATCAGTTCAGGAAAGTTGAACCCCTGTCCCAATTTGGCAGATCATCCTGATTCACATTTTTTAATTCCCTCACTTACTGAGCCAGTCAGCCAGTGTTTATTCAGCACCCAGTATGTGCTAGGCGCTCTGCCAGATGCCACAGTTATAAAGAACAAGCTGCTGCCCAAGGATTATGCAATCTCTTGAACAGTTTGACAGAAAACAGAAAATAACCTGTCAACTTAGTTACCCCTGAGGAAGACCAAGCTACACAACTCAATTCAATGAATCAGAAAGAGATGGTAATTATACAGAAGTTTTTTTTCAAAGGCAACTATCATTTATTTTGTGCTAACTTGATGTCAGGAATCATAGACACAATTCTGGTTTACCTTTTATAGATGTGTCTTAGTAGGTGTCTTTATAGTAGGTGTCTTTAGGCTTATTCAAAAACCACTTTGTGTTTGCCTCTGTTTTTATTTATTTTATCCCACCTTAACACATGTGATTTTGGGGCATTTCATGTTTCATTTTAGTCTGCTTGAAACCAGTTATAGAATAGGCAGGGTATAAATAAATAAATCCAGGCACTGCCAAACTTATACAAATGTTCAATTCCCAGAAGGCCTTACACAACTTGAATTTTTCATAAACCAAAAAAAGAGCTTTCCTACTTCTTTAATATTTTAACATTCTATTCTAAATAGGCCTTCTTAGGCTAAGGAAATGTCCTTGCATTTTGACTACACTTGATCCTTTCCCTGTCACTATTAAAATGGGAATATAGAGGGTAAGTAATAACCCAGGTAACGTTGTGGTAACACAAGCAAATTCAAGGAGAATCAGCACTGAAGCTGAAACTGCAGGAGACTTGAAGCAAAGGCCAAACAAGCTTCTGCCAACTTTGTGCACCCACTTTAAGATATTCTTCATCCTTGTGTTTCCAATCATACACCAAAATTTTCGTCATCTCTAAAATGCCATTATGTGCTTTACAATAGCACAGGGAGGTGGTGGCATAAGAAACTCTCAGATTCCTGCCATAGGTGACCTCATTTTATGTATCCATGACTTGCACTCACCCAGAGATTACTCTAAATTCCTTTAGTAGACACTGCAAAGAGCTCCTGGGGCAAGGACTGTGTCTTATACACAGTGCAGCCTTCCAAAACCTAGCATAGCATCTGGCCTACGGTCAATACTTGATCAATGCTCAGGATTAAGAAACTATGCAGGATACAGGTGACAGTTCATTCAATCGGAAGTCTCCTCATATTGTTGATAGACCCTCTGCTGTTTCTGGGTTTTCCCGGAGCTGTTATTTTGATCCTTAATGACTACAACCAATTCAGGGAAATATGAGGGCATAAGAAATTTGTGTTCAACATTCAATAGTAGGTAAATAGGTTTTATTCCTCAGAAATATTTTACTGAAAATGTTTGCCTGAAAGTATATTTTCTTAGACTGGAAAGATTCTAACTTCTCTGAGCAAGTTCCAGAAATGCTGCAAAGATGATGAAGTTATCATAAATTAGTTCCAGATGTCACCCTTTCTGTAGAAGTTATGAATACCAGGATAAGTTTGGATGGGAAAGAAGGGGTAGGGGGTAAGGATGAAAAGACAGTTTCTATTTTTGTAAAATTTTGGAAGAAAATGTCCGAGAAAACGATTAAAATGCTTATCCTTAATTTAATCAAAGTATTATTTCCTATGTAAATTTTCAAAGGTGTAACTTTCCCTTTACAAATGTCATTTGACTCAGTGTGATCACCACCTATAGAGATTTAAGGCTATGTGTAGATGACTCGGGACTTGCATGCTTTAAAAATATTAAAGAAGCAAAAAGTTGATAAAATAATTTTTAAAGCTGATTACAATTTAAACAATTTAATGGTCCCAAATCAAGCTGCATTAATAATGGAAAGTTCTTGTGGAGCTAAGAGTATGTGGCAAAGATTGAGAGAGCAATTAGGTTAAATCAAGAGTAAGCTGGATCCTTTTGCAATTGAATTGCCTACTTGTCCTGCAAAAGCAAAGACAGGAAGTTAGGCTGATTCCATAGGGTTAGAGAGTGAGCTGTTCAGATAAGGTCAGAATGTAGACTCCAGCCTAGCAATATTATGTGCTGAGGCTAGTGCTAGTAGTGGTGAACAAGACAAAAATACAATACTTGTCCTCAGGAAGCTTACACTCTAGTGACAAAGAAAGACATTGAAAAAAACAACAACAAATTTGATGGGGTGGGGAAAGAGGGTTTCAAAAGTTGGACAGAGTATTAAGAGCATAAATAACAAGAAAACCAACCTCTTCTGTGGTCCAGAAAAGTACATGGTGTTTAAGTTGAAATTTGAAGCTAAATAAGAGTTGACCAGATGAACAGTGAGGCAAAGAGTATTCCAGGCTAGGGAAATGCATACAGACTCTTAGAAGCAAGAGAAAGTAGGGTGGACTCCAGTTCCAGAAAAAGTTCAAAGAAAGTAGAATATGAGAACAAAGAGGCTAAAGAGTTAAGCAGTGTCAGGTGTTGAAGTCCTGATAAACTATGGTAAATAATTCTAGATTTCATCCTCAGTGCCTCAGAAAGCTACAAGTTGGGAAAGGCTTATTGACAACTTTTCAAATCATTTCCAGAGAAAAGGTAATTACTAGTGATGGTACCCTGGGTCTCCAGATATGTTTCAAACATAGTTTTCATTTAAAATTTTGCAACTCATTCACATATTTGAAAAAAATAATAAAGAAAACACTAAATGAGTGGTTTCCTAGAAATCAAATTCAAGTGCAAATGTTCCCACTAATTTGCCTTTCCTCTTTAACATCCCTAATTTGCAATGTAAGCTTTCATTAGGAAGCTATGGTAATGGCTGAAAATCAAGATAACCAATAGAATCAGATGTGTTTTAGGTATTGTGATGGCGAAATGGCACTAGAGTATTTGAGATCCTCATTGTTCAGCTCCTTCCATGCTTCAGGCACAATCAAGAAGTAAAGAGAGACCTAATCCTATCAACCAGAACAATTCTTCCCTCAGGGTAGTCATTAAGTCAGGTGCAAAGTGAGGTGTTTTAACTTCTAACCTCAAGGGCTACAGTTAGAGCACTGAAGCAGTCACTTGGAAATCTCAGCTTTCACCAGCTGTATTTATTATGCTTATGTTATTTGTTCTTCCAGTTTCCCTTCCCCCAGAGAACGACTCCCAAAACACAAATATTTCCCCATCCCGCTTATAGAGAAATTCCTTTCACTAGGGGACAAAACATTTCATTCTATATACAATGCTTAGAAGCCAAACACTCCTGGAGGAAGTAAGGTTTCCAGTTTAAATTTTCAAAGGAGGCTTCTCCACAAGCCATCCCAGGGCCTTCAAAGATCTTCCTTTACTCTGAAAGCCCATCCTACTGTGTAAATTGAGAATAATCCTTTCCTTGTGCAGGAAGGGAATGCAAATGAGGAAGGAAAGATTCAAGGGTACCGAGCCTCCTGGGGATGGGAGGGGAGAAGAAACAGAAATGTTTGTCAGGAGTGTGGCTGAGAAAAGACTCCTCCTGACTTTCCAGGGGTAGCCCTCTAAGCAGACTACTTGTTTGGTTATTTCCAAGAATATCCTCCAACAGAACAAGGAATACTCAGGAGATTTTCCCACCTACCTGCAAGGTTTATGCCAAGACTATTATGGCCATTGAAGGGGAACAAAGGCATAAAATAATGTTTTGCCAGGAAATAAAGGAAAAGAAAAAAGACTGCAGCACTATAATTAGGTATTTGGCTTCACTGTATTTCAAATTGAGGTTTCCAATACAGTTTTGTTCTCTTCTTGAAAGGGCTAATTATACTGATGTTTCCAAAGAAACACGTGATTGTTACAGTGGTTTTATTAGCAAGTTTTCCAGAGAGCTGGTATGAATTAAAAGCAGGACCAGTTCCATTCAAAAAATATTTGGTCGTTTTATTTTCAAACTCTGAAAGTAGGAGCACTCATATTTATAGATCCCTCTGTACACATAGAAATGTGCAGAGAAGCAGCCAATGTCTGCCTTTGGCTTTACTTCCAAGGAAACTGGAGGAATTACTCATGCACAAATAAGTACAAATAACTGTCTTTGCAATCATACAGAACAAACTTATGAAAATACAGAGATTTCAAGTGGTATCAATGCACAGAGGCATGTATTTGTTTAGTTGTTTATTAGATTTATGAAATTGTGCTTTTCTGTGATGCATACTCTTCAGGGAGCCAGTGCAAAATAATGTTTAATTAAAATAGATAGCAAACAACATTGAGTGCCATATATTAGCATCAGTGACTCACTGTAATAAAAAGAAAGTTTTTCTCACTAGGGCTTTGCCAATCAGGGCAGGCAGAGAAATTTCTACAAATGAGGACCCTCCACGGGAAGTTTCATCTCCTCTTTTCCTGAAGGCTGAATTTCTAAACTGTAGCTGGAACGCTTCAAGTCAGGCTAATTGTGATTATGGCACATGGGGAAAGGTGCTGGTTGAGTTATTTAGGGACTTAGAGGCCAGTGTCTTAGAATTGCTCTAGGAACAGAAAAGGAAGCTTGAGCATGCTGAGTCCTTGTATCCCCATAGCTCAACCCATTTAACAGTCAAAGAGTGACATTCTATATTCCCAGAGGATCTCAAAGGTACAACACTCACACTCAAATTGTACCCAAATACTGACAGACTCAGGGAAAATTGATGGCAATGAAATCACATACAATGTTACACACCATACTTCTCAGTCCGTTTTAAACTTCAGTTACTAATTTACAAAAGCACCCTCCTGATCATTTCAGTCTTTGGTTGAATAAAAAAGAGCAAGAGATCAGCAGCCATGTGGGCTGTAAAGACAGCAACTATCAAGGGAAGCAAAGGATGGGGGTGAATTGGATTTAATCAGGAGTGAATTGCTTGATGATATAAACTGAAATGGTGCAATTCTTTTAAGTTCTAGGACTGTTAAGTTATTCAGCTGTATTTGAGATTAAGTCCATTTTTGGAAATAAGGACTTCTATTGTTTTGGCCTTCCCAAAAATCATTCCTCTTTTTTCAATTGTTATTAGGGGAGCATCCTCTTCTTACGCTCAGAACCACTGCAGTGTGAGGGGATGACTAACCCACCCATCTCCAGCTCCAGCATTAAATGCTTGACCCATGACTGGTCAGGAAGAGTTGCTGGACCCCTTGGCCACAATAATTGGTTCAGAAATGCACATACACTCAAGCATGGTGGGCCTATAAGAGCATGAGAGCAAGTCATTGGGTTTTGTCACAATTAGGCAGAGTTTTCCTTGGAAAGGTAGGGAGATTGTTAAGCTAAGGAGATATGAGCTAGCAGACCTGGATACAGGTGTGGCCAGGGCTAGATAAATTCTTATTCTGGTTAAGCCAGTTTGGATTGGTTTCTCTTGCTAGGGACCCAAGAAGAATTGATTGACACAGGAAGGGAGCTGGGATGTCCACAGCACCTGATACAGGTATGCTGGACAGAGTCCTGGCTGGGAGTCGGGTCCTTAAGATTTCATCCTCATTCTATTAATAACTGCATGATTATGGGTCAATCTTGGCCTTTCTATCTGTGAAATCATTGAAAAAACTAAAAATTGGCAGTTCTGAACTTTTTTAAATAATTTTTTTTCAAATCAATTCTTATTCCAAGTTCCATTACCTGAAATAAATTCAGAGCAGCAACAATAAGCGTATTCCTTGAGCATGTACTCTGCAGGTGCCTCAGTTTTAAATGCTTCATGTGTATTTCACTTATCTTGATCTTCACAAAATCCTCTAAGGCAAGGATAGCTATGAATTCCATTTTGTAGAGAAAGAAACTAAAGAAAAGAGAGATTAAAACTTTCCCAAGATCACACAGCCATACCCAGTGAGTCTGGGATACGACTCCAGCCCCAAAGTCTGTGCTCCCTACCACTCCACACTTCACCAAAGCTCCTCTAGCTGAAATGGGGTAGGCAGACTAGAAGCCCACCTCTGAGGCTTCACTAGAAAACAATAGCACTTTGACGAGCTTGATAACCACAAAACTTCATGACTTCTAATATTTATTTCAGCTTCAAATATTTGCATACCTATGTGCTCAGCATGTTGTGCAATGCCAAACACGTTTTGACATACCAGTCCTAACACAATCTGGGATAATATTCTGAGAACACCTCTGCAAAGCCCCAGAGGGATTGTCCCACCAGTGTAGCCTCTAATCCCATTTCTGGGGCAGCAGGATGTCTCAGAGCCAATTGTCAGGAAAACCATAAAATAGAGAATGCTTGACCTCTGACACTATTGTACCTCCTTCTACTTCACATCATTTCACCTGCAGGCAAAATGAATTTGAGACCAGAGACAACTCTAGAAGATGGTAAACCACCATTTCTATAGACCATGTTCTCTGCAAGACCCAGGCACTTGGAGATGTGTTTGGTGCACTCAAGGACTTGTGATACAGGAATCTGGTCAATAGTTGGAAATACAAGACCACGAGTCAAAAGACAGGAGGAGGCTGGAGATGTTCATTTGGAACTAGGTCATTGTTCATGTCATAGCTATAGTGAAATTGCTTACCAAGCAACAAGACGAAAGAGCCAATAATTAAAATATTAATGTTGTAGGGATGGAAAGAGGAAAATGAATTAGGAAAAAAACCAAGGAGAGTGTGGTCAGAGAGGTTAGAGAAATATGTTTTGTTTCTAGGTGCGCAGTTGATTCTTTCTTGTTTTAATATTTTTCTCTTTCTTTTCTGAGCCCACGTTCTCATTCTCATCAACTGGCCAATAGGTAGTCATTTATTAATAATATATTTGATATATGGTTTTACTTATGCTTATAATATGTATGGTCTTGTTTTTGTTGGTGGTGGGGTTTTTTGTTTGTTTTTTGTTTGCTTGTTTGTTTGTCGTTTTTGAAATACAGGCTCACTCTGTCACTCAGACTGGAGTGCAGTGGCACAAAGCTCACTGCAGCCTCAACTTCCCAGGGTCCCAGGCTCAAGTGATCCTCCCACCTCAGCCTCCCTAGTAGCTGGGACTACATGCCTGGCTAATTTTTTTTTTTTTTTTTTTTTTTTAGTAGAGATGGAGTTTCACCATGTTATCCAGCCTGGTGTCAAACTCCAGCCTCAAGCAATCCACCCACCTCGGCCTCCCAAAGTGTTTGGATTAAAGTGTTAGGGTTAAAGTGTTAACACTTCAGGATTACAGGCATGAGCCAATGTGCCCTGCAGGTCTTGTTTTATAAATATGTAAACCTTTAGATAAATATTATTGTATTAAAATTTCATTTTATTTCCTACTTTTTCCACTTAATTTTTTTTAAAAAATAAGAATTATTTCATGCTTTATATCAAATTTGTGGTTTTCTCTTCCCATATGGTATTCTATAGTTAGATCTATCATATTTAAATCATCCATTCCCAAAATGATGCACACTCAGGTTCCCTCTACAAGCAGACATGCCTGTTTCTGCTTCACATTACAGTACCTTCTCTTATCAACTGGAAGATAATTATTGTGTATATTTCTAATTTTTGATCTCTCTGTTCCATTCATTCTGATTCTGTTCAGGGTGTTCATGATTTCCCTTTTTTCTTGGCTGTGCTGTTCACTCTCTGATTACTTTGCCTGTGACTCTTCCTTACCCTGGAGGCATCAGCTATTGTTGTTGGTAATGTGTTCACAATCTGGGTTTGATCACCCCCGACTGCTTTCTGCTTAGCAAGTGACACTGCACCTAGGAAACCTAAAGGGAAGGAATGCCTGAAAGTGGGCCAATCAGTCTATCCTTGTGCCTGTCTTCTCCCAACCGTACCCTACTCCTAGAATTATCTCAAGATCTCCTACCCCTACAAACAGGGCTGGGGCTGGAATGTTTTCCTATTCCACTATGGAGAGAAAAAAGACAAGTGCCCATTAGCCATTCCTGGCAATGTAAGAGAGCAAAGTGCGCAGTGAAGATTCTCCCCAACTGTGGCAGCTGGCCATTCCCTGCCTCTGCTTGTCACTTCCTATGCGTGATGTCACAATTGTACTCGCTCTTCCCAGGGTTTCTTACGGTCTTTGCTTTCATTTTTTTAGACTCCTACAAATTCTTTTACTACTGAGGAATCTCTAGGGTAGGGCTGGGGAGACGACCGGCACGTTGTGTTCATTCACCATCCAGTCAAGACCAGGACACAACCTCAGGCCTGGGTTTGTCTCCCCACTAAATTTGAGTCTGTTTAAAAGTAGCTGCTGGGTCCCTATATATACAAACTCCCAACTAGCTCAATGTCTAGAAAATCACAGACAACCAACAAAAGTTTGTTGAATGTTATGGATTGAATTATGGCCCCTCACATAAAAGATATGCTGGAGTCCCAGTCCCCAGTATCCTGGGATGTGATCTTATTTAGAGATAGGGTCTTCCCAAAGGTAATCAAATTAAAGTGAGCTAATTGGGGTAGACCTCAATCCAATATGACTAGTGTCCTTATGATTAAGAGGAAATTTGAACACATAGACAGACATACATAGAGGAATAACTACGTGAAAAGACACAGGGAAATGATAGCCATCTATAAGCCAAGGAGGAAGGCCTGGAGCAGATGCTTCCCTCCCAGCCCTCACAAGGAACCAATCACTTTCAGCCTCCAAAACTATGAGACAACATTTCTGTTGCTTAAGCCACCCAGATTGTAGGACTTTGTTACAGCAGCCCTAGCAAATGAATACATTGATTGGATAAATACATGAATATCATAAACAAAAAACAGAATGAAGACAATAATAAAACAGTATGAGGGAGAAGACAATTTCAAGGAGGAGGATATAATTTTCAGAGCTAGATGCTGCAAACAGTGTGGACAATTAGAATAACAGGACAATTAGAAGTTCTGTTTTGCTTTCTTTCTTAATGTTCTCAGTGAAATCAGTCCTAGTGGGATGGTGGAGGCAGAGCCCAATTACAAGGGGAAGAAAAGTCTAAGGAGACATAAGAAAGTGGGAGGAGAATACAGTCTCTTAAGAGTTTGAAAATGATGGAATTTCCTTTAGGATGGAGAACTGAGTCTGTTTGGGAGATGAAAGAAGCAAGCCAAAAATGGGAAAAGGCTGACAATACAGTAATATATAATTAGAAAGTATAATACACTGCCTTCTCTAAGCTGCCTCTCTGCTTCGGCATAAACCACAGCACTAACTACTTCTATTTTCATCACTACATTGCAGGCAACCCTTCTCTTTGTCATATCAAGAGACATTTCCTATTTCTTTCAGCCCTTGGACTACTTTTGCAACTATCTGTGTCAATAGACAAGTTAATAAGGAAGAGATTTGCCTCCTGTAGAATGCGCTTTACCCTGGTCTTTGCATAGCCTCCACCCTCCACCTCTTTTTTGTTCAGAAAGTGAGTCCATCTGTGTTCCAGTTCTTCAGCACTGATTCATAAATTAATCCCTGCTAAAAATGGAAGCTAGCTAACTGGCAATGGCTAAAGGTATGATGGGCTCTATCATAAACACACACACACACCACACACACACACACACACACACACACACCTGGAAATATGAACTATTGAAATCTGAAAGCCTGTCTCCAAAGAATCTAATTATAAACTATTCCTTGGGAAGATGAAAGTTTGGAGCTGGAAATATTTTAGGATGGGGCACTTATCAAACCTCTTTTAAATAATACTTAAAATACTTTATACTTCTTCTACCTAATCTACAGTAACTCTCTGTCTTTACTGGAAACTCGCTAATTTCCAGGTACAGCATACCTACCTGTCTTTGAGATCTCAGTGTTAAGCATGAAAGGAGACAATGGCTAACAAGACAGGACTTTGGAGTCAAACAGTCCTGGATCAAAATTCTAGCCCCATCAATTATTAACCAAGCAACCTGGGGAAAATCACTTAACATTGCTAAGTCTCATGTTCTCTCTTGTAAAATATCATAATAATACCTGTATCTAAGGGCTGTTGTTAGTTATCAAGTGAAATAATACATATAAAGCATTAGCTCTTGCCTAACATGGAATTAAGTGTTCTTCAAATGTTAGCATTCGTTATTATCCCTAACACAAATCCGACTCTAAGCAAATCAACCCATAAGCTAGTCTGCCCCACTGAAATTTAATTTCTTGTTAATAAAGAAAAGTATTTTTACCACTATGCAAAATGAAGCTTCTTAAAATACAAATACATTCCTGGTAAATGTAGTTGAATTGATAGAGAATAAGAATGACTGATGGTAGCATTTTGAGGAGCACATTTTGATGACAGAAGTGCAGGCAGAGTGGAGCCTGTGCTACTATTAGTTTGGTGCAAAGGTAATTGCAGTTTTTGCAATTACTTTCAATGGCAAAAACTGCAAACCTAATATATGGAGGAAACGCATTGGAAGAAAAGGCAGCAGCTGCAAAAAGTAAATTCACCTATTTGCCTATATTACCTGACTTCCCTGGGTGAGATCAGCATTAAAAAGAGGGTAAAGAGGGTATGTGGTCTCTGAGCCAAGTGCAGTGGGACACGGCCAACCTGGACACAACTATTGGGATGGCAGAAGCAGGTAAATATCTCAGAAAAGTCTAGCATGACAAACTTCAGTAACCAAGACATTGTCCTCAAATGAAGGACAATGGTGCCCCTGCCACACTCAATGCCTCCTCCTAATATTGGATTCAACTCATCCTTCTGCAAATTGAGCCACCATGGTTAAGTTTGTACCTAAAAGATTTTTTAAATCCAGATTTTTTGGCTTTTACACACAGTACAATTATACTTTTCCTGACTTGAAGCAGCACATGCAAGGCCCGAGATTCATGTATATAGTGCAATTATTCACCTGTGTTTTCAATAGAAAAAGAAGAAAAAATAAAACATAGGTACACGACGCCCCTATGCCAACGAACAATAAGCCGTCTCACAAAACGTGTGAGTGCTTTAAGAGGGGTAGATATAACATATGATGGCCATGTGGGCTAAAATGACTTAGGAGTTATCTGTGTAGACAATTCAGTGACCAAACAGCTTAGTTTTTGACCTATTGATATCCAGGACTGTGTACGTTTTCTAGGACCTCAACATGACCTCACATAGCAAACACTGAAAAACCACTGAGTTCACTGATTTTGCTGAACTTACGATTTTGCTGAGCTTACTTTCTATTGTAAGCTTCTATCCTGCCAAGCTTCTATCCAAACTTGCTTCTATCCAACCAATAGAAACGGAACAGGAGAGCCTATAGCATTAACAGCAATGACTACAATTAACACAAGTATGTAAAATAATCCAATGGGACCACTGAACAATCCTGGGCAATAAAAGCATTTCTATCCAAGCCTGGCAGGATAGAAGCTTACAACAGAAAGTAAGTTGACTTATACACAATAAGAGATAAGACATGACCACATTTAGATACACCTCACACCCTCCAGGATAGTTATAATAATAAAGATAGATAATAACATGTTGGTGAAGATGTGTAGAAATTAGAATCCTTGTATATTGCTTGTGGGAATTAGATGGTGCAGCTGCTTTGGAAAACAGTTTGGCAGTTCCTTGAAAAGTTAAACATAGTTGCCATATGGCCCAGCAATTATATTTCATGCAAGAGAAATGAAAACATATGTATACGAATGTTCAAAAACTTGTACACAAATATTCATGGCAGCATTATCCATAATAGGCCCAAACTGGAAACAACCCAAATGTCCATCAACTGATGAATCAATACACAAAATCTGGTATATCCATACAATGGAATATCATTCGGCCATAAAAAGGAATGAAGTACTAATTCATGTTTCAACATGGATGAAGCTTGAAAACATTATGCTAAGTGAAAGAAGCCAGACACAAAAGTTTACATATTGTATGATTCCATTTATATAAAAGCCTAACATAAGCAGCTCTACAAAGACAGAAAGTAAATTGTTAGACATTAGGGTCTGGGAAGAGGAGGAAATAGGGAGAGGCTGTTAATGGTCATGGAGTTTCTTCCTTGAGTCATTAAAATTCTCTGGAATTAGATAATGTTGATGATTGTACAACCTTGTGAATCTACTAATGGTTGTTGAATTTTACCCTTGTAAGTGTGAATTAAATTACACCTCAATTTTTTAAAAAAGATGATATGTTTACACAATCTGCATTATAGGCTCAAATTTGCAACTGCTACATATTTAAAGTACCTTTATATAGACCTGGCTCATAGTAAAAGCGTGATGAATAGGAGCTATTATTAGAACTTAAGTCAGGATCTGATCATTATCAAAGTGTCAACAATGCAATTTCCCACTAGGCACAAGCTGTTCCCGTCTTGAGGCAAACTTAAATTCTCTTGGTTTCTACTCCCTAAAGCTAAAAAACTCTCTTTTGCCTGATGTAGGCTCATGATCTGGGGAAGGAAGTTGCTTTTTCTCCTCTCTGAGTGGTTCTTACAGAGTCAGCCCAAACAGTAATAGTAAAGGGAAGATTCTCTAATTCATCCCGACTATACATTATCAGGGCTAAAACCCGTTCTATGCTGACACTGAAGAACTGTCCTGGAAAGGAAAATATTTCCACTTTAAAGTTTCTGATAGTATCATATGGGCAGGAGAGTGGGAGGTGTCGACCAGAAATGCGATATTTAAAGGACTTAGATGTTTTAAGAGACTAACAGAGCAAGAGTGGACAAATTAAAGTAGTAAACTAAGAATCAGAGTAGCACAGCTAACATAGGCAGCTCATGTAGAGATTAGGGAGAAAAGAAAATATTCTTGAAAATGTCCTCCCAAGTTCAAAAACAAACCTCAGTTCCCCTCAACAGAAGGAAAGACTTAAAATAAAAAGACCGTGGCACAGCTGTGAAGCAAGGCATGGATTCTTTTCTTATGACTGTTAAATGTACAGTCCCCTTAGAATGGAAATAATGTTATTACCCTGGAGGGGGCTCCATTATGATGCACACTGGTTCATATTTTAGTTTAGAGCACAGGTTCTTAAGAGAGTGACTTATTCCTGAAGGAATAAAAAGGACTTTGAGAAGAATAAAAGTAGTCAACATTATTATGGGGCATTGACATAGCAATTTGCTTGTAAATGATTTTAAAAACTACTGCTAATAATACACCTTATTGTATATAGTACTCCCAACCAAAGCCACCTTGGGTAATCAAATTAATACAAGGCAATAGAAAGGGAATGGGAGCGCATATAGCATTAACAGCAACGACTACAATTAATACAAGTACATAAAATAATCCAATGGGACCACTGAACAACCCTGGGCAATGAAAGCATTTTTCAAGATATACCATTTAATGTGGTTGTACAGCAGAGTAATATAATGGGGGTGAATAGTATTTACTAAGGAAAGAAATTGATGCAAAGAGTGAATGCTCAACAATGGAGGTTTGTCTGTATGCTTGACTTGGAGGTAATGTTCTTTTCTTTACCTCTGATCAAATTGCAGTCCTAAATGGCTAGCCAGTGGAACAGTAGTATCACTGTTGTCAAAGCTACTGTAAATCTTCAACTGAAAGAGAATGTCAAGGTCATTGCTATCAAAAAGCACAATGATAATACAGAAAAATGGCTGCAGTAAGTTGAGAAAATCATGGTAGACACACACACATACACCACTCACGTAGAAAACATGCTTGTTTGCAACATTGCCTATAGGCAAAGTGTGAAGCACTTGAATCTCATTGTACACTCACAATCCGTGAATGCTATTAATAGTTCCTACCTGTGAATGAGAGGTCAGATTTTATGTATCTATGGAATTGAGTGAAGCTTTCAGAAACCCAGAACATCAGGAAGTTTTGCAGAGCAAAACCTCACTCTTTAATCACCTGATCCAATCTGTCTACTTCTCTTGCCACTGCCCAGATCACTAATAGATGATAACATTCCCTGATTCACTAAGCATCCTCAACTGAGTTGCTGATAGAGGGAATCCTTTCAGCTAGTAATATCTATCACTAACTGCCTGCAACTTAGCCTTAACCTGGTCCTCAGTCTCTCCTGACTGTCTTTTAAAGATAACATAGACCCATGTTCGGCCCATTTGACCAGAAGTAGGAAACCTGATTAGGAAGTGATAGAAATTTTTGAATCCTTATAGCACCAATTCTTGAAGCAATTGAAAGGGTGGAGACTAAAGAACTTATTTAGTAATAAGAGTCCTATTTTAAGAATTCACTTGACCACATCAAATAATTCCACTGGGAAAACATAAAGATGAGCCACCTCAACCCTGCCTAAAAGAGATTCTCAAAACAGTGACGTGGCTGATGCAGCCATAGCCTTAAAACTAGACAGGCTTACCCATGCATGATGCCCCCTTGTCAGCCCACAGAGGCAATCCTCAAACATGAGCAAATGGCAAGCTATCACTCAGGACTATCTTCTCCAACTGCACATTCCCTGCTTAATTCCAGTGGCTTTTGCTGTGATAAAGTGTTCTCAGCTCTAAATAATGGCTCCATAACTCCAGTTATGACCTTTCCTTTGTGTCCTCCAGGTTTGGCATTAACCTTACTGGACGGGCTTCCAGATAATATAAGAGCCTGCGCCTCCAAGCCCAAGTCTCGAGCACTGTAATGAGTACAATCAGCTTCTTTCATCTTGGGCTTGCCTGGACACTTTGTCAGTTTCATTCAGTCAGGGAGGATTTAGGAGTTTAAAAGTAGAAAGAAACAAATTCCAAAGAGGTGGTTGCTACCGTTTGGATGTTTTGTCTTCTCCAATCTCATGTTGAAATGTGATTCCTGTTAGAGGTGGGGCCTGGTGAAAAATGATCGGATCATGGAGGTGGCTCTTGCATGAATGGTTTACCACCATCACCTTGGTGATAAGTGAGTTCTTCCTATTTGTTCATGTGAGATCTGGTTATTTAGAAGAGTCTGGTGCCTCCCCCTTCTCTCTCTCTTGCTCCTGCTCCATGTGATGTTCTAGCTCCCCTTCACCTCCCACCATGATTGCAAGCTTCCTGAAGCCCTCACCAGGAGCTGAGCAGATGTTGGTGCCATGCCTATACAGCCTGAAGAACTTTGAGCCAAGTTAAACCTCTTCCTTTTATAAATTACTCAGTCACAGATTTTCTTTTTAAATAGCAACACAAGAACGGACCAACACAAAGGTGATTAGCAGCAATATGAGGAGAACAATGAGCAATCACAGGTTGTGAGATTTGGTGACCGCAGGCCCACCAGGTGACTAAAGGGTAAAAAAGTGGGTAGGCAGTGAGGAAGTAGACATCCAGAAGCAAAGACACAGGTAGAGTAATGTGTTGAGACTGTAGCAAAATTAAAATTCAGGTTTTTAAGATTGCAAAGACTTGAGCATTGTATGGAGGGTTTATCCTTAGAAATGAGAAGGGCCATAATTCTCAGACATTTAGAGAAAATAGTAAATGGAAAAGATATAGCAAAATCTTTGTAAGGAAAAAAGGAAGTTGAGAGAATTTATATTTATTTATCTTGATGACTTCTCTTAGAAATATTCTTTATTATATTTATTTAAGATGTATGGCATGATGTTTTGACATACTTATATTGATATAAATATACATAGTGAAATGATTACTAGAGTCAAGAAAATTAACATATCTATCATCTCATAGTCACCATCCTCCTCCTCCTCCTGCTCCTCCTCCTCCTCCTTCTTCTTTTTTGTGACAAAAGTACTGTACTAGTCCATTCTTGCATTACTACAAAGGATACCTGAGACTGGGTACTTTATAAAGAAAAGAGGTTTAATTGGCTCACAGTTCCATGGACTGTACAAGAAGCATGACTGGGCAGGCCTCAGGAAGCTTACAGTCATAGGGTAGAAGGCAAAGGGGAAGCAGGCATGCCCTACATGGCTAGAGCAGGAGGAACAGAGTGAAGGGGGAGGTGCTACACACTTTTAAACAACCAGATCTTGTTTTTTAAATTACACTACAGTTCTTTTTAAAAGATCTTGTGAGAACTCACTCACTGTCACTAGAACCACAAGGGGAAAATCCTCCCCCATGATCAAATCACCTCTCACCAGGCCCCTCCTCCAATATTGGGGATTACAATTCAATATGAGATTTGGATGGGGACACAAATCCAAACCATATCAAGTACCTAAAATTACTTACAAATTACCAGTATACAATATTATTAACTATAGTGCTTATGTTGTAATTAGAACTCTAGACTTATTGATCCTACATAACAGCCACTTTGTACCCTTTCACCTATAACTACCCATTTCCCACCACTACCCCTGCCTGCGCGTCTCTGGTAATCACCATTTTAATCTCTGTTTATATATATTCAATTTTTTTTAAGATTCCACCTATAAGTGAGATCATGTAGAATATTTTTTTTCCTTGTGTGGCTTATTTTACTTATCATAGTGTCTTCTGGATTCATCCATGTTTTCCAAAATGGTAGAATCTTTTTTGTTAAGGCTGCAAAATATTCCATTTCATATATATATATATATACATATATATGTGTGTGTGTGTGCGCACGCGCACAGTGGAATATATATACGTGTTTGTGTATATATATTGTATATATATATACACCACATACCACAATTTCTTTATCCATTCGTCCATCAGTGAAAACTTCAATAGTTTCCATATCTTAGCTATTGTGAATAATGCTGTAATGAACATGAGAGTCAGATATTTTTAGTAAGTGGTGATTTTATTTCCTTTGGGTATACACCCAAAAGAGGGCCATCTTTTTTTTTTTTTTTTTGAGATGGAGTCTCACTCTGTCACCCAGGCTGGAGTGCAGTGGCGCGATCTCGGCTCACTGCAAGCTCCACCTCCTGGGTTCGTGCCATTCTCCTGCCTCAGCCTCCCGACTAGCTGGGACTACAGGCGCCTGTCACCACGCCTGGCTAATTTTTTTGTATTTTTAGAACAGACGGGTTTCACCAGGTTGGCCAGGATGGTCTCGATCTCCTGACCTTGTGATCCACCCACCTCAGCCTCCCAAAGTGCTGGGCTGGGCCATCTTTAAATTACAAGATAAGTCATCTTTTGGGAATAAAGAAACCAGTATCACTGTCAGTATCTGCATGCGGTTGCCAGTAAAGTGTGATGAATAAGTAAGTTGGATGCCAAACAGCTGTAAGCATCCAGCCACAACCAGACAGCATGAATGTGCAGTCGAATTATCCTCAAAAATACTCAGAAGATTGAGATCAGGCATAAGGAAGCCAGGCAGTGCACAGAGGACTAACCCAGTGAGGGCTGAAGGATCTGAAAGTCCTGATAAAAGTCACTGTGAAATGGCTACAGGTCATGAGTCCACAACAAAAGTGCTGAAAGGAGAGAGGGACTCCAAGAATAAATAAGGATTTTATGGTAACAGTACATTCTAGGTTCATAATACTGAGATAAGTGGAAGAGAAAGAGCTGTAAGACTGGAATTGTCAACAGAGATAAATGGAGATAAAAAATGACTATAGCTCTGTAGGTGAAAGGGGTAGGAAGCCAAGTTGATAAAGGGCCTCACTGGAGAAACAAAACCCCCTGAAGCTGAAGCCAGGGTGCAAATCAGAGAAAGATAAACCAGAAGGCTGATGTTGAGGAATACAGTAAACTATCCCCCTGAATCCATTACCTACCTTCAACAATTATCAACATTTTGTCAGTTTAATAGGGATCTTCTGCTCTTAGCCTCAATATGACAGAAAGCCCTTAACAGGGTTACTTAGGAAGATTTAAGAATATGAGAAAATGGCTGGGCACAATGGCTCATGCCTATAATCCCAGGTAGCCTTTGGGAGGCCGAGGCTCGTGGATCACTTGAGCTCAGGAGTTTGAGAACAGCCTGGACAACATGGTGAAACACTTTCTCCAGAAAAAAATGTTAAAAATTAGCCAACTGTGGTGGTGTGCGCCTGTAGTTCCAGCTCCTCGGGAGGCTGAGGTAGGAGGACCACTTGAGACCGGGATATTGAGACTGCAGTGAGCTGTGATCACACCACTGCATTCCGGCCTGGGTGATGTAGTGAGACCCTGTTTCAAAATAGTAATAATAACCATCTAGTACCCCTAGAGTCAACTGGATAATCAAGCACACACAGTTGATAGAGACCTGTGAGTTAACACTAACATTCTAGTTGGTAGTTGATACAGATGAGTAGTTAATGGGCATGAGTATAGTAGTATAATGGTAGGTCTATGGTATCCAGAAAAACCCAAGCTATCTTTTACACCATTTCCTCTCTCTTACTCTCCTTCAGTGTTTCAGGAAATAGGTAAACACTATCTGGATGACTAATACAATCTATTTAACAGGACATTTGTTTTTATAAATGTCACATTAACTACACTGTGTCATATCAGATAGTAAAGATATGCAAACCAGATTTTGTTTTAAATTCAATATTACTGTGATTTAGAGAGTATGACTGGCAGTTCTGAAGCATGAGAAAAACACCAAGGATTTAAAAAATTGTTTCTAAATTCCTGTTATTTATTCCATCTGTTCTCTGAGTTGCACATGTATATTTTTAACATGGTTCTAGTTTTGTCAATTCACTGATAGTTTTCTCAGGGAAATACTTAGTGAGTTCAATCAATATCCATTTTATTGCTAACAATCTGCCTTCTGTTAAAAAAGCCAGAGTTTTGACTGTCTTTCACAGGAGAAAGAATCCAATTCGTGTATCCTTTAAAATGTAGAGGCAAAGAATCATTACTAAGGAGTTTCGTCTATAAGCTAAAGTTGATGCATTTCTGTATCATATTTGGAATACATTTTGCATTCTAAGTATCATTTGAGAAAAATCAGAAGCCTCATTCCATAATTCAGGAAATACTAATTCTTAGTTAACTTTTAATTGTACTGGTTAGTGCTTCTGCTTCCATCCTTGGTGGAGTAGCTGACATCAGATTTGCCTTTCTCTATAAACAACTGGGAAAGTGAACAAAATATATGAAGCAATTATATGCAGACATTGGACAATAAGCAGCCTCAGAATGGAATTCCTGAAAGAAGAGAAAGAAAAGAGATAAGCCTTGAAATATCCATAGCTTTCTGCCTAAAGGAGGAGGAACCAAACCAAAATATATTACCCCACCTTCTGGTAATATAGTAATCCTTAAATGGTTATTGAAAGAAATTATTTCTGCATCATTATGAGAGCAAGATTTGTTAAGGATGGCATAGCCAAGGAAAATAATCGCTAGATCACTTGTCTGTATGCCTCAGCCCACAATCAGCTCCAAAACAGATAAATTCTCATCTGCAAACATAGAGGAGTTGTTCAAACTAAAGGAGAAACTGCTAAAAATACTACAATAGACTGGAAAAGGGCTATGGCAACTCTATAGTGTACATCTGTTTGAGTGACACATATTTATGGGTTTTTTAATCTTGGCATATTTATTGTTCTTACTTCATTTATCAAAATGTTCAAAACTGAATTCTTTCTTCTATAATGGCAGGTGATCTAACAAGGGTCTTGCATTCTCCCCAAAAATGAGGGAAAAGGAAAATGGATGAAAACAAACATGGACTAAAATTTAGAGAAATTAAAACAAATTAGGATAGGAAAATAAATAAGTTATACACCACCACCATTCCACAAAAAGGGAGTCTGGTTGCCTCAGGGAAGTAATCTACTAACTATCTGTTTTGTTTCTTGATAGTGTAAAAATTTCCTCATGGATCTGTCTGCATCTGCCTTTTGGGCAACGTGATTATTGTCGGTTATATCATTGCTACATTACTAAAGTCACATGGTCTTCCCTTCCAAAATTAATTTACAGAAATTCTTTATAAAATACATGTTAAAATTACAATCCTATCACTAACGTAGAATAAAGGAAAACAAGGAAAAGAAGGAAGATACTGAGAGAGGAAAAAAAGAAAGGATGAAAGGAAGAAAGGAAGGAAGGAAGGAAGGAAAGAATACTAAAAATACTTTTGGCAATAAATCTGAAAATTCAAATGAAATTAATAATTTTGTAGAAAAATAGATATTACCAGAACTAACGCCTAAGTGAAAAATGTTTTATCTTACAATTAAATACATTAAATTAAAAGTTTTAAAATCTATTCACAAATTAGCACTAAATTCAGAGATTTAAGTTGTTATTGTTGTTTTGTTTTGTTTTTTGAGACAGAGTTTCACTGTTGTTGCCCAGGCTGGAGGGTAATGACACCATCTCAGCTCACTGCAACCTCCGCTTCCCAGATTCAAGCAATTCTCCTGCCTCAGCCTCCCGAGTACCTGGGACTACAGGCACCCACCACCACACCCAGCTAATTTTGTACTTTTAGTAGAGACAGGGTTTCTCCATGTTGGTCAGGCTGGTCTCGAACTCCCAATCTCAGGTGATCCACCCACCTTGGCCTCCCAAAGTGTTGGGATTACAGGCCTGAGCCACTGCACCTGGCCCAGAGATTTAAGCTTCTATCTTCCAAAAAGTTCAAGGAGCATATCTGTACCTTAGATTTAGGAGGAGAGAACTAAAGTTTTTTTGAAAAAAAAATTTCAAAAAAAAAAAAAAGCCCAGGACTAATTATTTTAAAATGTGCTGAAACCAAAGACAAACTACTAACTAATCGGCTAAAAGAAAACTTTATCTTCAAAGAAGCTAACAAAATATTAAAGTTAATTTTGAACAGAAATGATGAAAACCAGAAAATAAAGGAGTGATATCTTTAAAGTACTAAAAACAAAATCTACCAGTCTAAAATTTCATGTCTAGAAAAAATATTCAAAAGTGAAGGCAAAATAAGTGCATTTTATTATAAATAAAAATATATTGCTAGTAGGCCTGTAATTTTAAAAGTTCAAAGAATTTGTCAGACACATGTAACCACATAAATGCAGGAAATTGAAGCAAGAGCAATAGAAAAAGTAAAAATGTGGGTAAATATAAATTTCTATTGAATAAAAAAAATTTTATAGGATTTAATATATATCTACATTTAAAAGGAACAATAAAAATTATGCAAGAGACAGAAAATGGTCAATTAAAGTGTTTCAAAGTTCTAGAATTTTCAGGAAGTAGTAAAGTAATAGTTAATATTAGCTTATATTATGACAAAGATGCATGCTGTAACTTCTAGGAATTGAAAAAGAACATAAACTATATAGAGGATGAAAAAATAAAAATATATTTAATTAATTTAATAAAAGGAGGTAAAAATCAAAAGGAGCATAAAAGAGGAAGGGAAAATAAAAAATAAATAAAATAACAATACAAATATATATTTATATATAATTATAAAAATAAAAAAGGCTTAAATATTACCATTAAAAGACTAAAATTATTATCTAATATTTCTTTAAAAACAGTAGTTAACTGTAAGTTTCTTTAAGAGACAAATTTAAAATATAAAAACAGAGAAAGCATTAAGATCACAAAAGATACACCATAGAAAGATAGACACAGAGTTAGACAAAGAAAATTTTAAAGCATGAACATTATTAGATATTAAAGGTGTATTGTATTAGTCCATTTTCACACTGCTATAAAAAACTACCTGAGACTGGGCAATTTATAAAGAAAAGAGGTTTAATTGACTCAGTTCTGCATGGCTGGGGAGGCCTCGGGAAACTTACAATCATGGTGGATTGCAAAGGAGAAGCAAGCATCTTCTTCACAAGACAGCAAGAGAGAGACAGCGGGGAAGTGCCACACTATTAAAACATCAGATCTCAGGAGAACTCACTCACTACCAGTGGAACAGCACCTGGGAAACTGCTCCCGTGATCCAATCACCTCCCACCAGGCCCCTCCCCTGACATGTAGGGATTACAATTCAAGATGAGATTTGGGTGGGGACACAGCCAAACCATATCATGTATTTTATAAAAATAAATTTGTCAATCCACCAGAAAGATATAATAGTTCTAAATCTGCATTCATCAACAACATTTCTTTAAAATATATCATGGAAAAATCTACAAAAATGAGAAATAGATCATTCTGTAATCTTAATAGCTGATAAAACAAGCAGATTTTAAAAATCAGTAGATACTAAAGACTTGAGCAACACAATTACTAAAACTAACTTAATTGACATATGTAGATCATTGCATTTAAATACATAATCTTTGAAGTGCATATGGGATACTTAAAAAAAAAATGACCCTATGCTACTCCATAAAGCAAATCTCAACAAATTTTGATGGATTTAAATAATTTCAGCACATTTTTCTGACAATAATTATCAAGCTACAAATAAATCAAAAAGCTAAAAATAAATCAAACAAAGTTAACTAGAAAAATCCTCCATTGCTTGAAAACTAAGCAGGATATTTGTAAATATCCATAAATCAAGAAGAAATCACAAAAAGTAGCAGAATAGACTTTAAATGATAATGAAGACATGACATCAAAATTTTAAACATGTAGAATGTAGCTAAAACAGTCATCAAATAACTTATAATCATTAAAAGATATACTAGATTTAAAAAGCTAAAAAAAATTAACAATCTGATTTTTAATTCAAGAAGCTAAATACTGCAAATCAACCCCAAAGGAAATTGAAAGAACATAGTAAAACACAGTTCAAAATTCAGTGAACTTGAAAATTAGATAAAATGAACATTTTCCTTGAAAAAGATAACTGATCAAAACTTAAAAAAAGGAATTCTAAATAATTTGTATCTATTAAAGAAACTGAATTCATTTGTAAAAGCACCTCACACAAAGAATACCGTAAGTCTGGATGGGTTCATAGGTGAATTATTACAAACATTTAAGAGTTAACATGACTCTTATACAAACACTTCCAGAGAGAAGAAATAATAAATGTTTTCAAATTCATCATCTGAGTACAGTCTAGCTCTGATTTCAATACCTGACAAGGACATTACAAGAATGGAAAATTACAGACCTTATTCTCTAATGAGCATAGATGCAAAAATCTCAAACAGAATATTAGAAAATCCTGTTCAGAAACACATAAAGAAGACAGAACATCACAGCCAAATGGAGTTTACTTCAGATAGGCAGAGGTGATTTGACATTCAAAAGTGTATCAGTACAATTTACCATATTAATAACAAAAAAGTAGAAATGTCATATAACAATCTCTCAGATGCAAGAAAGGAATTTGACAAAAATTCAACACCCACGTTTTGTCTTTCAAAAATTCTCAGCAAATTAGAAAAAAAAAAGAACATTTTAAATCTGATATGGGTTATTTATGAATGTCTAATGTTATAAACAATGAACACATTCTCCCTAAGGTGGGAAATAAGCCAGGAGATACAGTATCATCATTTCTATGTAACATTGATTGGAGGTTCCAAAAAGTGCAGTGAGGCAAGAAGATAAAACCAAAGGTTTAAAGATTGGAAATGGAAACGTAAAACTGACATTCTTAACAGAAGACATAATTGTGTATGTAGAAAATTTAATTAATTGATCAACTGAAAATCTACTAACAATTAGGATTCTTAGGTAAATTCATATAAGTCAGAAGAAAATCTTCCAGAGTATGTTCATATCTCTGCACAGTCCTGTCTGTCTGAGCAAGAAGGTAAATTTGAATAGTAAATACTCCAGAAGCAAGAAATAAAGTATGGTTCTGGAAAGATTTAGAGACTTCTCTCTCTGGAGCCATTTGTTTGCATACCTGGATAATAAACCTAATCTCTGTATCTCCTGTGGGGAGAATGGCCAGGTTTCCAGTAGCCTCTTCGAAGAAGTTTCTAATGTTTAGTGTTCCTCAGATGCAACATAAACCTTTTGGGCACCATCCTCCTGGGCCCACTCTGTATGACCCCGATGAAACTTTGGGGCAAGTGAAACTGACGCAAACATGTTGTGCCATGAGTAATAAATTGTCCACACCCGTTCCAGCTCTTTCTTACTGATAGAATTTTTGGAAACATGACAAGCAAATCTTAGTAACTGCTTGACAACCTGCCTTAATATTTAACAGTGAATAAGTGAAAATGAAATTTTACAAACAATACTATTTATTGTACTAAAATATATCAAATACCTGAGATTATATTTAACAAAAATTGAGAAGACCACTACACTAAAATCTATGAATAATATTAACATAAATTAAAGGACTGAGTAAATGGACAGGTTTATCATGTGACAAACTCACAAGCCTGATTTATTGTGATTTATTAAAGCAGCCTTGTGAATTTGCCTCAATGATCTCAAAATTATTCTGCAGATCCAAAACATTCTCAAACAAAATTCCAGTATGTTGTTCAAATTAACAGGCTTCTAAAATTCTACATTTCATGTAAATTCTTTAATACATATGAAAATGCAAAGAACCTTGGCAATACCAAGGCAATCCTGAAGAAGATGAACACTGAGGAACATAGACTTCAAGATACTAAAGACAATTGTTATTATCTATAAACAGTGGAATAGAATAAATTCTATAAGTAGTCCACACACATTCACTGACATTATTTTTGAACATGACACTTCAAAAAAGTGCAAGGAGAAAGAATTATCTATCAAAATACTGTGCTGGACCTGAAATTATAAAACTCCCAGAAGAAAACATAGGAAAAATGTTCCTTGATACTGGCCTTGGCACTGATTTCTTGAATATCACGCCAGAAGCTCAGACTGCAACACACAAAAAAATCAAGAAGTGAAGCTACATCAAACTGAAAACCTTCTTCACAGCAAAGGCAACAATTAACAAAATGAAAAGGCAACCTATGAATCTGGAAAAAATATTAGCACACCATAAAATTGATAAAGGTTTAATAACCAAAACATGTAAAGAACGCATACAACTCAATAGCAAGAAAACATGTAAGCTAGTTCAAAAATAGGCAAAGGATATAAATGGACATTTTTCCAAAGAAGACATTTAAGTGGCCAACAGATATATAAAAGGATGTTCAACATCACCAAAAAATTAGAGAGATACAATTCAAAACCACTGTAAGATATCACTTCACACCAGTTAAGATAGCTATTATCAAAAGAGAAGATGTAGCAAGTGTTAGCAAGGGTATGGAGACAAGGAAACTTTGTACCCTATGGGAATTTAGAATGGTTCTGAGATTATGGAAAACAGAATGGAGGTTCCTAAAGAAATTAAAAATAGAATTATTACATGATCCAGCAGTCCCTCAAAAGAAATGAAATTACCATCTTGTAAAGGTATTTGGAATGTTCATTGCAGTTCATGCCAATGTTCATTGCAGCATTGTTCACAATAGCCAAGACGGAAATAACCTAAGCGTCGGTTGATGGATGAATGGATAAAGAAACTGGTGTATATATAGATAGTAAATGGAATATCATTCAGCCTTTAAAAAGAGGAGATCTTGCCATTTGTCACGACATGGATGAAACAGGAGGACATTGTGCTAAGTGAAATAAGCCAGAAACAGAAAGAAAAATATTGTATTATCTCACATGTGGACTCTAAATTAAGAGTTAAATGCACAGAGATAGAGGAAACAAAACACTGGTTACCAGTGCTGGGCAGAGGGAGCAGGAAATGGGGATACGTAGATCAAAGGACATTAAAGTAGCAGATATGTAGGATGAACAAGTCTAAAGTTCCAACATACAACATGAAGACTACAGTTAATAATAGTGTATTATTTCTAGGATTTTTGTGGAATGAGTAGATTATTGCTACTCTTGCCATAAGGGGAAAGAAAATAGTAATTATGTGAGATGATGGACATGTGCAATTTTTTCAGTACAGTAACCATTTTACTATATGTATATATGTATCTCGTAATATGTGATATACCTTAAATATACACAAGAAAATCTATTTAAAAAATTATGCCAGGGTCATTTAATCCACACCAAAACATGAATCTAGAGCTCTCTTACCATACACAAAAATATTCCAGATGGACTGCAGATCAAAATGTGAAAAATAAGCAAAGATTTTTAAGAAAGCATAGAATGTACATTCATGACCTTTGAGTAACCAAGGATTTCTTAAAGTGGAACACAAAAGGCAGTACTCCTAGAGAAACAAAAAATAATAAGTCTGGCTATCTTTAAAGTAAATACTTCTATTTATCAAAATACACCACCCAGAAAATGAAAACAACCCACAAAATGGGAAAATATAATTTAAATATGTATACTATACACACTCACACATTCAACAAAAGATTTATATCAGAAATAAAAACTGCTACAAATAAAAAAGTAGATATATATAAATACAAGACATGAACAGGCACTTTACAAGAGAATAGCCAAATATTTAATAAACATATGAAAAGATACCCTTTTTTTCATCACCAGTGAAGTGTAATTTATTAACCACAATGTGATATCATTAGAAACCCATTAGAGTGGGTAAAATGTACCATGTATTGGCAAATGTGTGCCAAGTATTAGCAAATATGTGGAGCAACTTGTCCTCTCGTATGTGCTAGTAGGAGCCTAAATGCTCTAATCATTTTAGAAATCAGTTTGGCAGTATTTATGAAAGCTGAACATCTCCATACCTAACAATTGCACACCTAATTATATACCCAATATAAATACGTACATAAATTCACTAAAAGACTGGTAAAGAATGTTCCCAGCAGCACTGCTTATAATAGCCAAAAACTGGAAATAATGTAAATGTCCATCAAGAATAAAATAAGTAGACGTTTTGATGTTGTCATAGAATTAAATACTAGGTAGCCATGAGAATGAATAAACTTCAACTATTAGTAAATGCATGCTAGTAGGTTATTATTATTATTATTATTATTATTATTATTATCATTATACTCATAGTGTTGAGCAAAAGCAGCTAGACCCAAAAATAGTATAATGTATCATTCCATTTATATAAAGTCCAAAAGTAGACAAAATTGATCTCTGGCATTAAAAGTCAGTTTAATACATTTAGTGGAGGACAGTGACTGGAAGTGGACAAGAGGGGGCTTCTGAGTGTTAGTCATACTCTGTTTTCTGGTCTGAGAGACTGTGAAAATTTCCCGAGCAGTATGCTTAAGTTTTGTGCATATTTATCTGTCATGTTCTACTTCAATAAGAAGAAAAAAAGAAAAGAATCATTTCTTAGTACTCTTTATTGAAAGGATCTAGAAATAATAACCAAATTTTCGGGCTGCTATTATAGAATACCAGCGACTGGATGGCTGAAAGAACAGAAATTTATTTCTCACAGTTCTGGAGGCTGAGGAGTCCAAGGTCAAGGCACCAGAAGACCTGCTGTCTGGTGAGGACACTCCTCCTGGTTTGCAGAAGGCCATCTTTTCGTGGTGTACTCACATGGCTGAGAGAAAAAAATAATCTCTCTCATGTTTCTTCTTCTAAGAACACTAATCCCATTCATGAGGGCTGCACCCTAATGACATGATTGCCTCCTATACCTCACTTCCTAATACAATTATATTAGGGGTTAGGAATTCAACATATGAATTTTTGGGAGACACATTCAGTCCGTAACACAAAAGATAGGAATCAATACCTCTAGTTTCCAGACTATGGTCTCAAAATACTAATTTCAACTAAATGGACCCAGGACCTCTTGGAAAAATGTAGGTTTTCAAGTCTGGGACAGAAATTTCCAAGATGAACCTAGAACAACTTGTCATAACAGATACCCACAAAGCTACTGATGACAACTAGGGTTCTATCTAAAGGACTCAAGAGCCATCATGATTGTCCAAGGAGGGATCCAGGGCCAATTACATAATTTTCAGGGCAAAATAAAATTATGGAGTTCCTTGTTCAAAACACAGGGGGATATTTGCAATTAAAGGCACTATAAGCATTTTTTTCCTTCTGCAGTATGTCTCTTGACTTGTCATTATGATTCTTATTTGCTATTAAACATCATTATAAAAATGAAAAATTAAAATTTTGAATTATTACCATAGATTGTGCCATTCTTCTTTATATTGTATAATTTCATTTCAAAATGCAAATAGAAAATCATTTAACTCATATGCAGAATTACTGAAATTACACAATTTGTATTTCCTAGCTGGTACATTCAAATGTACTTCATTCTTACTAGAACAATGTAAACGCTGCACAAAATTAACTCTTCTATTATTTTACTTATTGACAATGAGCACCTTCTATCAACACTCTACCTTTGGCTTACTGATGAGTAAAGAATAACTGAAGGAAAGCAACTATGAGTTGCCCTGTTTCCCTTACCTTCTAAGTCATCATTTTGTCATTGTTGTAAATCTTTTGATAGTACAGGGAAGTAACTTAAAAAAAATGGTTGTTCATCTTTCTTAGAATGCTAATGCCTTCTCTGTGCATTAGAAGCGAATTCTTGTTTGAGTGGAAAGTATGGCTTCTCAGGAAAGTCAGTGCCCTACTTAGTCATGGGCCTTAGGTACCTACCTTGCATTTACTCTGTGTTTCACTAAACTCCCACACATTTTTCTACCAGAATTCAGTGCTCATGGCATTATGAACACTACATGCAAATGTGGCAGCAAGGAACAGTAGACACAGTATGTCTTCTGTGCAAATGTGTGCTCCATTGTCCCATCAAGACTTCACTTAGAAAACACAAGTTCAAAAATAACTCGATTAAGAATTTAATGACAGAAACAGCAAAGCATTAACCAAGCATGTGCCTGTGGTTGAACGGGACCCTAAAAATGATGTATCTATGTCCTGACCCCCAGAACATGCAAACATGGCCTTATTAAGTTAAAGAGCTTGAGATGAGATTATCCTGGATTATCCAGGTGGCCACTAAACCGGGTCTTTATAGGAGACATACAGAGAAAAGACACACAGGGAGAAGAGGACAAGGCTGTGTGAAGACAGAGGCAGATATTGGAATTATGCAGCCAGAAGGCAAGAAACACACAGAGCCACCAGAAGCTGGAAGAAGTAAAGAAAAATTTTCCTTTGAAGCTTTCACAGGAAGCACAGCCCTGCCACCACCTTGATTTTGGACTTCTGGTCTCCAGAACTGTGAGAAATAAATTTTTGTTGCTGTAAGCAACCCAGTTTGTAGTAACTTGTCATGGCAGACACAGAAAACTAATACAGGGTCCCCACAAATGTGAGGCCCTGTGAGACTGCACAGGTCAAACATACAAGAAGCCAGCCCTAGGTAGAACCTTCATGATTGCTCAAAAATGGAACAGTTTAGATAGCAATGATAACAATAAATTAGAATGGATTGAGACACATCAAATATGTTTGAGTTTAAATTAATGAGTTTAGAATGATGCTAAATATCATCTTTGGAGAATACAAGATAACTAACCCAATGTTTTGGAAACTGCTAAAGGGGAAAATCAATAACTGATCTTGCCTCTCCTCTACAAATTTTAACTCAGGGTAATTAAATAGTTGATAAAGGAAAGTTCTCCATGGAGATATACTCCAGATAGTAAATGAACAAGGAATGATACAATTAGAATATCACCATTTTTCAGCCTCTATTGTATTAATGGATTCAGGCAATGATCATCAAAGGATTCTGACACTACACAGAGATATAACAACCATTCTGTGTTTCTTGACTAAAGTATATAATGCTGTCTTTGATGGTGCAATGCAACTGAAAAAAGAATCAACCTAAATCTGATCAGTCACCTAGATCTAATTAGCAATTTATAGGAAATGCAAGGGCCACAGGAACATGTTAAAGAATACCTTGAAAATGCATATGGGAAATATCACACTGTGTTTTGAGAGAAACAGAGCAGTACACACAATCTGGTTCAAGTAAATAAATAAATTATAAGGGATAAAAAAAAGAGTGGGGGAGAGGAGACATATAGATTTAAACAGACTGAAGAGACATACACCGAACTAGAAATTTAGGGTTTCAATTTTCAATTGCCATTCAAATAATAAGCTGTATTTTTTTAAATTTCAATAGACTTTTTGGGTGAAATTTACTTGAGAAATGTATCTTAGAAACAGAAGAACAAAGAAGATTTATGAGAATTTTGAAGAACAACAATGAAGTGTGAGGAATTATTCCCAATATATAAACAGCACTAATCAGGCAGAAAGGCATTAGCACTGGTCTCATAATCCCCCATGAATGCTGAATGTTAATCCTTTAATTTCTAGATCATGGATGGGTTCGAGGAGATGGGCAGAGGGACAGTTGGGGAAATGGAGAGAGAAGCAGAGGAGACTCAGAGGTGTCAGAATAGTGACATTTTATCAAAAAAAGTCACTATCTGTACAGAAGTTTTGTATTATCTTAATAATTAATAGGGCTATACTAGTACAACTCAGCTAAATATAATCGTTAGATATCAGCGCATACAATGAAATGAATGAAACCAGAATAGAGAGCTGAGAAAGGTATACATACATATGAGAACTGAGTGGATCCCTCGTGTAGCACTGTAAGTCAGAGGGAAGAATAGCTATTCAATAAATAATATGAAGATAATTAGTTATCCATTTGAAAACAGTTAGAACCCTACTTTATCCACTTAAAATTAAAGCCAATAGCTTAAGAACCCAAATGTGAAAAAACTAACTTTGAAACTTTTAGAAGAAATATAGAAAATATATTTTAGACCTCAAGATAGCGAAAGAGTTCTTAAATAAGAAACAGAAAGAAAAAACATATAAGGGTAAACCATTTTGACTATAGAGAAATGTAGTTATCTGTATAAACTAGTAGTATACATAAATTTTTAACAAACAACTGAAAGACAATGACAAGGTATTTACTATCATACACATATATTATATATAAAGACAAGAGACCCATTTGAAAAATGAGCAAAGACTACTAACAGAAAAGGAAAGCCAAATTGTCACTAAGCATATAAAGAAATATAAACTTCCTTGTAATCCAGTAAATACAAATTAAAACAACAATGAAATACCATTTCATAAATATTGGGTAAGCAACATGTTTCAAAGTTAAAGACATGTAAAATGACCCATATGAAACTGCCATATTTGTAGGTCAAAAGTGGTTAGATATTGGCAATTTTATATAGTTCACAAATACATAATCTATAACCTAGTATTTCTCCTCCTTGTGTATATCCCTTCTAAATTGGAATTCCATTAAAAAACTAAGCCCTACAGAAAATAATTTGAGCAACTACCTTCTCAATTTTCTCAGGATGCATAGCTAGTTCCATTCTAGATGCATAGGAAATAATTGATATATATGATGATTGCTTTAGAACAGTAGGGCTTAATTCTCTTCCAGAATCCTAGTTGAAAAAGGGTAAAAAGAAACTCTCAGAAAGGTGCTCCCTGGTGTGGGGAGAGAAAAACTGGAGGGCATGCCAGGCGCGGTGGCTCACTTCTGTATTCCCCAGCACTTTGGGAGGCTGAGGCTGAGGTCAGGAGTTCGAGACCAGGCTGGCCAACATGGTGTGACTCTGTCTCTACTAAAAATACAAAAAATTAGCCAGGCATGGTGGCACACACCTGTAATCCCAGCTACTCAGGAGGATGAGGCAGGAGAATTGCTTGAACCTGGGAGGAGGAGGTTGCAGTGAGCCAAGATTGCACCACTGCACTCCAGCCTGGGCAACAGAGTGAGACTCCGTCTCAGAAAAAAAAAAAAAAAAAAAAAAGAAAAAGAAAAAGAAACTCTTCCACGTGTACACAAGTACACAATAAAGAATTTATTAGGATAGCTAATGAGCTTGTTTTTAATGGCCAAAAGTAAAATAAAAAGAATTATATGCATGAGAAACATAAATAGATAATATATCCACACAATGTATTACTAAAATAAATGAATTACTTATATATGTCCCTGAATAAATTTTAATAATGTAATTAAGTGGAAAAGTTGCGAAAAAAAGTATGTAGAATATATACTTTGTATTTAAATTTTAATAGCACACCAAGTAATTGTATATATTGTTTTCCAATAACCATATATGTAATAAAACTATAAAAATAATGTATGGAAAGAATAAACACAAACGTCTGTATAGTCATTACCTTTGGGAAGGAAGGCATAGGAAGAGGTTTCAACAGTATCTGTAATCTGTTACAATATTATGATTTTCTCTGTAAAAGAAATTTGCAACTTGTTAATGTTAAATTTAGGTGTTAAATAAGTACATGGAGGTTTATGTTGTCATTTTCTGTGCTTTTCCGTTTTAAATTTTTTGTAATGTTTTGAAAATTTAGAAAGGGAAGAAAATAATTCCTAGTGTGGTAAAGATAAGAGCAATTGACATCATTTATTAAGCACTTACCACATGCCTGATAACATATTAAGCACTTTACATGGGTTACCTCCTTTAATCCTCTCCATAACTCTACGAGAGAAGTACTCCAGGATCCCCTTCTCACAAATGAAAAAATTAAGACCAGACACTTTGCTCAAAATTCTAGTTGGTTAGATTCAGAGCAGTCCAAACTACAAATCATTCCCTCCAGGATGACAAAAAAGAACAACGAAATCACATGAAGTTATTTTAACTTTTTTGAATTCACCCATCCGGTTATGCAATCTCTCAGTCATTTTTCCCTACTTATGTCTAAGCTCCATCCCTTACAATATGTGTAAGGTTGGAAAAATTATCCAAATCATCTTTAATTTGGTTACCTCATCTGTTAATGGAAACTTACTTTTGAGTTTTTAGCCAGATTAAAAGCATTTAAAATATTTAGAACAGTGTACAGAACAAGCACTCAATAAATCTCAGTAAATCTGTACTTACTCATTCACATATTCATTTGCAATTAACTATTTACCATTGGACAAACATAAGATCTGGCCTGAATATACAGAGATACTGAATAAAACAGCTTCTGTGATTCCAAGGCATTTCTAATTTAGTGAATAAGATGCTCATAAGAACATGTAAGTGCAATTAAGTGTTGTAGTGGTGAGTTAAAGTCTAAATAAAGTACAGAGGGGAATTAGGGTAGATCAATGTCACCTGTGAAGAGACAAGGCCAGTAAGAGGATGGCAAGAATATTTTCAAAAAGTAGAGTTCATGCTTGAGTTGAGTTTGGGGAAATGAACTTAGTTTAGCCTGGCAGAGAGGATGGGGTCCTGAGTGAGAGGAGTGGAGAGAGAAGAACATCCAAGCAGAAGATAGAGCATGAACAAAGGCATGCAGCTGTGACCTGATATGGCCTGTTCAGTGAATTGCTGAGGTGTTGGGAGTGTGGGAAGATGGTGGTGTCAAGGGAGAAGACTGGAAGGACACTTAGGGATCAGGGTGTGAAGGACCTGCCTGGGATGCCTCACTAAGTTTAAGATTTTCATCCTAAAGAAAATGGGAAGATACCAAGGGATGTCAAGCACTAAGAAGAGATTTGCATTTTGGAAAAATTAGTATAGCAGCTGAGATTCTGTTTTTTGATCATTTTATTCACATTTCTCCCCCCTACAACACTATAAAGTTAATTAAGGTACTGACCATGTTGGTCTTACTCAACATAATGTATACCCAACATACTTCACAGTAAAATCTCATAAATCCTTATTGAATGAATGGAGGAGGTGAGATCAGAAGCAGGAGGCAGCTGAAATAGAGTGAGTAAATTGGAGCAGTGGCAGCAGAGGGGGTGGATATGAGATCCTCGGGAGTGTGTATAGTGCAGCACTTGGGTACGCATTGGATCTGGAGAATAAGGGAGAGGTGTCAAGCTTGGGTGATTCTATCTATGGTAACTTGGTGACTGGTGGTTGCTATTCATTGAACCTGGGAAAAAACAAAGGAGAACTGGGTTTGTAGACCTAGGAAATGGATTCTGCTTTGTTTGGAGGGAGAAGAGACAATGTCAAATTTGACTATTTTCTTTCTTATCTTATAGTCTTATAAAGAAATTAAAAATATGAGAAGACATTTGAATGTAGATCATTGTTCCCCATGGACATAAGGTACTTATACATATAAAGACTAATACCAAAATGGTGAACAATCTTTGAAGTAAAAGAAATATCATCGAAATAAAGAAGGAATTAAACAAGTAAGAGAAACATTTGAAATTTTTTGACATAATGGGGGGAAATTAAGGAGGGATCAATTATAAATGTGAAATGAAATTTGTGTGAAAATAACATCATAAAGAGGAAAGAGTAAAGAATCTATTGAATAACACCTTTACCTAAACATGGTGACTAGGAATTGCTTTACATTAATGGGTGCTGTCAGACTTTCAGTAGGAGCAATTTACCAGACCTCAGTCAGTAGAAGTCTGAATCCCAACTAGAGTATCCCCTGTTCAGAGAACCCAGAAAGTGTCATATTAGGAGCAGAAGACCTTACATTGTCATATTAAGGGAGCTTTGATCCCACTAGATTTTAAGCAACTTTCCAAATGGAAAGCCTGAGTGCTAGCTCTGGAATCCTGCTTTCCAGAGCTCCGTAAGCAACCCGAGGCTCAGAGTCTCTCTTAGCTCTGGGAGGTGAGAGGGCGAATGAGGTGTACTGGGTGATGACTATGTCAACATTTTCTTTCCACTTTCTAACTTTTTAAAAGCTCATGACCAAGATTTATTTTCTCTTTATTTTAAAGAATATGTACACACCTACTTTCTCCATAAAGGCTGTTCTAATTCTATGAAAGAAAAGTAGTTAAATCCTCTTTTTCCACCTCTTCCCAGATTCTGAACAATGAACATTCATTTCCCCACAACTTGCAGAATAAATGTTGATTGGTGTAGTTCTTTTTGTGGTGGAAACAATGATCTGTGTTTGTAACCACACGTGTTGTAGGTTATATGGTGTGCAATGGAACCCAGCCATGACTCCTATACGTGGGTGTGAAACAACACCCATTTTTCTCTGAGTACAGAAGGAAGAAAGCAGATTCCACTAGCATCACTGTCACTTCCTGAGATCATTTGTTCAATGCACTATTGAATTTTAGGATCGTATTTAAGAGGTGGGCAGTGCAATGAAGAAAAGAGGGTAAGTGTATCTTAAATAATTTTCAAATATCTTCACAGACCATTGATAGGAAACTGATTGCACAAAACAACAATTCCCCAAAGTGTCCCAGAAAGTGATGTATTCTCAATGGTAACCCTGTAAGCACCTGGATTCTGAGCCACTCAGGATGAAATTCTAGCCAGCAGGTGCCTGGCTGACTCATCTTGGACTAGAAAGAAAAAGTATGCAGTTCTGGACATTTTCTGTAGACATGAAGATGGAAGTTCAGCAAAGAATGCTCAGTAACAGCTGCCAGGGTGGCATAGGCCTGTAAAACACAAAGCATGACAATGTGGGCCCCAAAGGGTCCCAAATGAAATTTCTACCGTAATGAAATTTCCCTCTTTCACAGTTTCAAAAGTAGACATTTGTGAGCAAATGTAATCCCCAGCTAGCTAAACTCCACCTGTAGCCTTTCTCTGCGATGTTAGGAGCATCTCATGGAATGGCAGGATATGAAATATCAAGAGCAGAGTGTCCTCTGATGGGCAGCATCCCTGTCATTTGTGTTTCTTGTGGTTGGACACACACCAACCAATGTGAAGCCAAGGGATTTTAAGTGTACTCACTCTAAGAAGGCACTTGGCACTGGACAAGCCTGGTTCTGACTCTGGGACTTTATATCCTGGGGGAGTGCAAGGCTCATGACACACAAATGTCATAAACAAAAGCCCCTCCTCAATTTGTCACTTTTCACATGCATTAAGTATTCTTTTGCACATCTTGTACTATGGATTGAAGGTTGTCAGTTATATTGGTTATGTTTGTTGTTTGCATGTTTTCTTCATTTATTTGTTTGTCTGTCCTGAATAAACTTAGAGTATCGTTTATACTCATTAACAAAAGTCATTTTTAATGAGTGAGGTAGAGAGTCTGGAGAAGGATCTAGGAAAGTAATTTCCTTGAGTTCCAGCTTTGTTCCCAGCCCTCTGCTGGGTGTTTCTTATGCCTCCTTCTACTCAAACCCACAACCACCTTATGAAATAGGGGTCAGTTTCCCCATTTTCCAAACCTAGAACCTAAGATACAGGCACATTAACTGACTTTCCCAAGGTCACCTGCTGGTGAGTGGGACACTGGGATATTACTCAGGTCTCTCCAACTCCACTATCGCATTATACCTCCAATATGGCACACTGTTGACAATGGTATTCACAAGAGCCCAGATTATAGCATGTATCTAGAATAATTTTACATTGCCATATTGCCTCTTGAGATATCTGTACTGCTGTGAGGACAGCGAATATGTTTAGTAGACCAAAGCCCCATGACTGAGTCATTACATGGCACAAGCCATGACAAAGTTAGTGATACGTGACTCAGAAATCATGAATTTTCATCTGTGTTCTCATCTGTGACCAGATAGTTATTTATTCATTAATTTTCTTATCTCTTTGCTCATTCCAGATGTCACAAGGAGGTGGCCTGAGGGCTGAATTTGATTTGCAGATCAGTTTTGTTTGAATTCTCCCACCCCTGATCTCACACTGTGTTCTTAAATGCTTTTAGTTGCCAACATTTGAAAACTCAAGGGCTTTCCCATCTAAAATATCAATTTCCTGATTTCCTTGAAACCAGTAGATCTGGAAATATTAGGTCTCATTTTCCACATGGCAAAGAGAAGCTGTAGGTGCATGCACTTTTAAACAAGTTTTGGCTCTTTCGCCCCAGCTCCCATCCAGCCCACTTTGCTCACTTATGTTTCCTTCCTACAAGTCCCCCATGCCCTTTTGAGTGTTTATACTCTACTCTGGAAAATTAAAAATGCATGGAGGTGGTTCTGGGACTGGGGCAGGATGAAAGATTTCCTTAACAATGCAGAGTCTCAGTGTGTTCAACCGGACCAAGAAATTATGTGTGCTTCCTTATTTTTAGGGCATTCTAAGAGCCCAATAACTTCAGGAATTGGGGCGTGAAGTTATATCTCTTACTCTGTAACCTGAATAATATTCTACAGCCCTCACTTGAACACCTCAGGGAAACCTGTTCCTTTGTTGAGCAGCTACAATTCTTAGGAAATTTCTCATTAAACTGAGTCCAATTATGCTCCCCTATAAAAATCTGCCATCTGATGATTCCACTTCCAATTCACTTCTTGGGAACATGCTTCACCTGCCAACCCACTAAATATTTGGGGACATCTCTCATCGTACCTCTAAGCCTTCTCCTCAAGATCTAACATCAAGCACCTACCACTTCTTACTTGAAGCCACTCCTGTTTCCCACAGTGGGCTGTGAGTGGTTTTAAAGTTGTGCAATATAGGAATCAGTGAAGAATTCTATCAAAAGGGAGGGATGATGTCTAAGGAGTTCCTCCTTTTATATCATTACATCTTACTTCTGACTATAAAAGATAATCTTTCAAGCTCATAGGACTGGATTCTCAGAGGAGTTTGTGCACTAGGATATCTCAGAGGGCAGCAACTGTCTTCCTCTCTGAACTACATAAATTTTCTGCCAGTTTTCAGTTTCACAGTGAGTTTAGGGTATTTCAGCCTTGTTGATAAGTGTGTGTTCACATAACCCAAAATAAGTTTAAAGCAGTCTGTGATGACAAACTCTAAATTGCCTCTAATTTTCCAGAAGTAGATTCTAAGAGCATATGTGTTTGTGCTAAGTATCCCTTTCTGATAGTCATATCAAAAGAAGTATTACTACCTATTATGACACTTGCCCAGTCAGACCATGAGCATCAAAGATATCCCAAGTCAGGTTAGGACAGGTAAAAATGTCTATAGGGCAGGAGGTGAAGATTAGAGAGGTTGGAAGGGCAAGGAGATAGTAAACATCCTTTCATGTATATAATTTCACACAGGCTAAATGTGAGTCTGGGTTTTAATACATAGTTACTATTTATGTATACTTAAGGAAGTTAAAAATCTGTGGGGGGAGAAAGGCAGTGATCCTTTAAAATGAAACTTGAGCACAATGGAAATCAATATTACAACTTTTCATAAGAGCTTTAATTACACAAAAAAATGAAGATTTTGATGAAAGGAGAAAAGTTTAAAATTAATTAATAAAAACTCCATGAAACCTCTTTCTACTTTAAGAAAGACCATCAGAGGGAAGTCTCAAACAAAAGTCCCGTGACCATAACCTTTCCCTTGCAATAAGATTGTAGTCTGGCTACCACTAACCATAAATTCCAAAAGTAATTTAAAGATGAAAAAAGGAAAAAAAAAAAAAAAAAAGCACTCCATCTGAGTTCAACGGAAGAATTAAGGCATTATGTTTTCTGAGTTAAATATATTGCAGTCCTGAACTGAAGTATTGGCTTTTGGTCTCTCTGAAAAACACAGGAAGCAAATTAGGTTATATAATTTCCATTTCTGGTAGAAAATTTCTGTACTAAATTTTAGCAGGAAGGTACAGGCCATCGCTGAGGTTCAGAGAAGCCAAGGACATACCTAAACTCACACAGCCAGTAAATGGCAGGGCCAGGATTTAAAGTCAGCATGATCTGACTTCAAGGAACTATACTCTTTAGCTGTTTTTACAATTGCATAGAATTGATAAAACTCAATTTTGGCTTCGCTATCCTGGAAACAGACTCTCTTAATAAGTGCTGTAATTATATAATTCTTAAGTTCCAGGCTCCACTAGCAAGTTTGAGAATAAGGGAAGTATCACAAAAAAATAAAAAGCAGAAGAGGTTGCAAGACCCAAGGAAACACCACTCAGCTGGTTTTCTATGTATCAAGAGTTATGCAACACAAATGTTCTCACTCAGAAATGGATCCTGATGGCATTACTTTTGTACTGAATTAAGTTCCTTCAAAAAACAGTTTCAGTCTTGGACCATTTCAGTTATGTGAGTCAATAAGTCTTTTTGCTTAAGCTAGGTCATAAGGTATATGCAATTTATGCATCTACATTATAAGGCTTTCATAAATAACTAAACAAGGTAATGGATAGAAAGTGCCTAACATGGCCGGGCGCGGTGGCTCACGCCTGTAATCCCAGCACTTTGGGAGGCCGAGGCGGGCGGATCACGAGGTCAGGAGATCGAGACCATCCCGGCTAAAACGGTGAAACCTCGTCTCTACTAAAAATACAAAAAATTAGCCGGGCGTAGTGGCGGGCGCCTGTAGTCCCAGCTACTTGGGAGGCTGAGGCAGGAGAATGGCGTGAACCCGGGAGGCGGAGCTTGCAGTGAGCCGAGATCCCGCCACTGCACTCCAGCCTGGGCGACAGAGCGAGACTCCGTCTCAAAAAAAAAAAAAAAAAAAAAAGAAAGTGCCTAACATGAGTCGAAGATACAATAGGCACAGTTAAATGTGAGCTCTCTTCCTCTCCCAACTATTTTCACTTTATTAAATCCACACTTAAATTGGACATTAAAGTTTAAATTGTTATTAGTAATTCCAGTAAATTTCATTATTAACTCAGTTAATTACCATTTCTCCTCTTGTAGGGCTCTGAACCCTCTTCCATCTTCTTATGCTCAATTGCAGGAGAGAGGAAGGAGGAAGAATGGAAGGAAGGAAGGAAGGAAGGAAGGAAGGAAGGAAGGAAAGGAGGGAGGGAGGAAGGGAGGGAGGGAGGGAGGGAAAGACACAGAAAACCTCTAGCCATATGCACAATCTCTCTCTCTTTTACCTGTCCTATTGGAAATACGGACTAGGACTTCAAGAAGAAAATATGCATTCCCCTATATTAATCTGTATTATCTGGCTGAAAATAACAGAAACAAATTTTAAGCTATTTAAAGCTTTAAAAAAATTGTAAAGGTGATTTACTGGATCACAGAACCAAAGCATGAAAAGGAAGGAATAGTGTGTCCCCAGGATGAATGGATCATGAGACTTAAACAAGGTAACCACACTCACCTTCTCTGGTTGCCACTTATTCCAGATCTCATCTACTCTGCTTCTACACATTTTTCAGCTCAACCTCTGGTCTTTGGTAACCTCATTCTCTTAGCTCTACTCCACATTGTCAGGGAGCTGGTTGCTTTGATGTCATATTTTTGCAGCTAACAGTCCAAACAAAAATAGAGAACTTCCAACTTCAGGGAAGAGCCTTGATTATATGAGCTTGGTTCACAGTCCCACTCATTATACCAGAGAGGTAAGGGTCTGCGATTGACAATTCTTGCAGAATCACAGAGTGAAAGAACAATTCCTCAGGGGAAGTGAGTGGGTGCTGTTAATAAAAAAGAGGGAAGAGGTGCTGTATGGAAACAAACAGCAGTTGTTCACTCTGTGTGAGCCTGGAGCAAGCCTTAGGAGGTCAGCACCCTGATTTCTCTCTCTCTCTCTTCAGTGTACCCTATCCTGGTACCTTGAGTCTACAAAGCCAATGTTGTTTTCTAAGCATTATGCAGGCACATACACAAGTATAGACACATACACAAGCATAGACACATACACACACAGGCTCCCTAACACTACCTAACACACTCCCTATGCCCCAGAACCCTCAGGACAAAAGATCCCCAGCAAACTAAAAAGATGCCATTTTTTTCCCCTCTCTTGCCCAAATTCTACTCCTAACCTTTTTTCTGGAGGTTCCAGGAAATGAAATTGTTGATCAAAAAGAATGTCTGCTAAACCTCTCACCCAAAGGAATATCATTCCATTGCATCCCAATCAATATCATCCAACCATTGTTTTGGGGGCCAATTTTTCATCTTTCCAAAGATTCTTTTACCCTGCTAGCATCCTTTTCCCTGTTTTGTATCTAAGGCTCTTCCCAGAAAAAACTGAGCTGAGTGGGGGACCCAAAGAAGCCCAGTTGAGTGGCTTTAGTTCATGTCCTTGACTGTTAGGACAAGGTACTCACTTGCCCCTATCGTCAGCTCACTTGAACTGCAGGCATAGCAGTAAGCAAGGAAAAATGACAAAAAAGTTGTACACTAACTTTGCAATGTAGTTTAAATGACAGATTTTTAAAAAATCAAACATGCAGGCCCACTATATTAATCCAATATAGAACTATGATGGTGGTTTTTTCCTATATATTTTTAAATAATAAAAATATTGAAAAAATAAAAATAATTTTTTCTTTGTGCTTTGTGGTATAATTTACTACCCCAGCACAATTATTTTAATTCTTATAGGTGCTTATTTAGTCTTAGATATTGACTTTAAATTGCCTTAACAATTATTCTTCATATCGCTTAATTTCATTCAAAATCAATCTTAGTCAAGACATTGTTCTGAAAACTCATGGGGCTGTTTATCAAATCACTGCGTAATTATGCATAGTGGCAATATGACTTATTTGTGTTAGCATGCTGGTGAAGATACACATTAACCTGCACAATTCCCAGCCTCAGGCAAAAAGATTGGACAAAAACATATAGAACAAAATAGGTGAAGGTCAGAGACATCAGTGGAAGGATTTGATTTCACTTGAGACTTTTTTCAAAGAGGTATATAATCACATACCCATCCAAGTGTGGTTTGCAAGTGTATGCAGGGCAATAAAGGTCTCTTCCAGTCTTATTGCTAAAGGTAACAAGAAAGTGATTGTAATCAGATGAGGTGTGAGATTGATTATGCCAAGTCTGAAGGCTGAATAAGTGATTAAGAGTTTGAACCATATAGAGGGCCATTTATTTCAATCCCAAAGGAATGTTCTGGGTAGAAGCAACACTGTGTTCCTGAAGTCTAGACTAGTCTGCTTCCTGTTGTGGCTACCTGTCTTCACACCTGTTTCCTTCTGTGAGGAGTTAGCACTCACAGAAGTAAGCTTACTCACAGGAGTAAGCTGGCTGGCCATTCAGTCATCTCTGCACATCACCTACCCACCTCCAAGGATTCATCGTGGTCTGGCTCCTAGTTAGGCGTTCAGTGCATGAGATATATACATCTCAAACTCATCAGCCCAACATCCACTTCTATATCTTCCCTACAAAACTGGCCCTCCCACAGTCCACCCCATCCCTCCAACTCAGCTCTGTTCATAAAATTCCTCAGGCCAAATCCTGTAATCATGCTTCATTTCTCTTCTCTTTCCTTTCTAAATATTTAGAAAATCTACCTGTCTCTACCCTATAAACAAATCAGCATTTACCACTTCTCACCACTTTATTGTGGCCACCCTGGTCCAAGAGAATGTCAATAGCCTCCTAGCTAGCCTCTCTGCTTCCACCTTTACCCCCTTCCTTCCTACTTCAATACAGCATTTTCTCAATACAGAAGCCAAAACCTGGGTCATATCATGTTACTCCTCTGCCCCTAATCTTCTGTGGTTCCCAATCTCATCCAGAATAAAAGCCTAAGTCCTTTCAGCAGTTCACAAGGCCCAGTGTCATTATCCCCATGAATACTTTGATCTCGTCTTCTACCACTGTGCCCTTCCTCATAACCACTCCAGCCATACTGGCTTCCTGGCTTTTCCGTGAATATGTCAGGCACGTTTCTGCCTCAGGACATTTGCACTGACTCTATGCTCAGTTGAAACACTTTGCTTCCAGATATTTGCGTGGCTTTCTCCCTTACCCTCTTTAGGTCTTTGCTCAAATTCCACCTTTTTGTGAAGGCTTTCCTGCCTCCTCAATTTTAAATCACAACTCCCTAGCCCCCACCCTACTTAATTTTGCTCCGTTACACCTATGGCTATCTGACATACTATATGGGTTAATTATTGATTAACCATTTGTTTTCCCTTGTTGGAATTTAAGCTCCCTGAAATCAGACTTATTTTCTATTTTGCTTGCTGCTTTATCCCCAGTGCCTAGCATGTTAGTGATAAATATCTGTTAATAGGATGGCTTGTTGCTTGGATGAATAGATGGAGGGATGGATGGGTAGATAATTGGATAACTGAATTGATGAATGTATTAGCTAATTTTATATTTTGTAAGAAACTTTATTCATTGTTTTAGAAAGATATTAGCTCTAAATTATATATCAAAAAGTAGATAAAGTTAAATAACCAACCCAAAGATGCTAGGTTGTCTGAAAAATGGGTCTTTCTAAGTTGCTCATTTCAAAACTGCTCCCAGATTAATCTCTACATTTAGAAAAGGTTTTGGATAAATGGTTTGGACAAATAATCACTTCTTAGTGCACATCAATTATGTTGTAAGCAAACAAAGTAGGAAAATTCAAGACAAAAATATCCGAATCAATTTCAAGCCACAGAACAGATGTAATTCAAACCAAATAACCAAAACGAAATGGAGGGGGAAGGAAAAAAATACACACTAAGGGATGGATGTTCTTGTTTGACTTTCTATGCTGATAAAAATTAAACAGATTTTTAATGCTGTCTTTCATTTTGCACTGTTAAGAATGGAGACTATATTCAACTAAGTGTCCTTCTTTCCCATTTCTTATCAATAATATTTTACGGTCTTTAAGTATTAGTAGATATTATAATTGGTTTTTCAGGCACATGACAAAAAAGCAAGAGAAGCTGACAGATGGTTTTAATGCGAACTAAGAAGAACACGTTGGATCTTCAAAAACATGTCAGATCTCACCATTTTGTGATTAGGATGGTGTTATTCATTGCAGTGAAAGGAAGGAGGAAATATATTGGTCTGAATCCTTTGTTTTGTCCCTTGAGGGTAAAGGCAGGAAGCACATGGCCAGGGTATCTGTAGATAAGGCCAGTTTTGGATGCTGCCCTCACCAGCATCCCCTGCCACTGGTCATTTTTGTTTGCTCTCTAAGTGGGAAAAGTATCTTCTCTCTGGAGAGTTAATTTTAGGGTCATGTCACATGAAAGCTTGGGACTGATGAATTTGCCCTGACGGGGAGGAAGGATAACAATTACAGAAATAGTTACTGTTTCAAAGCTACCAGGAGAGAAGAACAGGAAAGTAGTTTTTTTCCTCTTGTTATCATTACATAGCTATGCACTGTGTTTTGATGAAGCAATGTACTATACAGGGCAATTGGGAGGAACTGGACAAATATATGAAAATGATTTCTGTTTTAAAACCAGAGAACTTATGGTAGAAGAAAGTGAGTATACGCAGTTAATAGAGCTTTTTTCTTTTATTTTTAAATTATCCCATAGTTAGTATTGAGAACTAACACAAGTGGGGAAAACTGAGTATACGAGTAAATATTACTCTCAAAAATGGGTCCAAATAGCCAAAAGGATACAAAATGTCCCAAAACTGTAATCTAAGTCACTTACATGATTTAATCCAAATTTTCATAAAAGGCTGTTAGGCTATTACATTGATTTATCCATATGTAAATACTGGTATTATGTGGATTTTCTTAATAACTAATAAGAATTCATTTCTGCACCCTCTCCCCACTTCCACAAACACTTTTTGTTACAGGTGTTCAAGTTTATTTTGCCTTTTCTCTATTTTTCTATGTTCCCTCATCACTCATGTCTCCCCACAGCTGGTATTCACAGATCTCGTTTAACAAATTTTGGGTTTGCTCTCACTTATGTGGAAGAGTCTATTTCCAGCAAACTACTGGACTTGTATCTTAGGGCTAATTATTCAGGAACTGGCCTAAGTCCTTACTTACCATTCTCTAAATATTCTCTGTCACTTCATTACAGCCAAGACTTTATTGTAAATCTACTACTTTGACCTGATACACACATGAGAAGCTTTTATGAAATGAATGAATGAGAAGATGTTAATTTGCCTAAAGGCTCTTCAGCTAGTAAGTCATTATCTTATTGAAAGCTATCAAAGCCTTTCTTAGTTACTTCTCAAACCACTCACTGCCCTTCCCTACCTTGCTTCCAAATTTATTTCTTCTCATTGATCATCAATAGAGGATAGATGTTACTTCTCAAATAGTAATATAACTTCTCACAAAGAAAAATAACGGAGATCTCTCACTCATATTGTCATCACCTATATTGTAATATTTTGTATTAGAATGAGAAATCGTGTGGTGAATTGCAAAGAACAATGAACTTAGGGTAAGATCTGAATTCTAGGGCCAGATATGACACTCTTTAGTTCTATGGTCTTGACCAGGTCAGTTAACTATAGACCTTAGTATGTGCAACAGAAATTGAAGGGATTATATCAGATCAGCCTTTTTAAATTATGGGTCTTATAAAACACTAGTTTCATATAACATTTTTTAAAACATCAATATTGCATTTCATTCAACAAAAATTTACTGAATGTCTATTACATACCAAGAAGATAAACCAGGCTAAATGATCCTAAATGCAGTATGAAGAGAAAAGGAAAAAAAAGGAAAAACAGGAAAAAAAGGAAAAATAATGAAATGCAGGGAAGAATAAGCAATGTGGAAAATGTAATGACAAGATCTAAAATTGAAGTACCAAAACAAAAGAAAAGAGAGAGTTAGAGACAATATTTGAAAAGATGATATCTGAGGATTTTTAAGAACTGATCAAAGACAGCAATCCAGAGATTCAAGAAGACCAAGTATATCCCAAGTCAGACAAGTTAAAAGAAATCTCAGACAAAATACATTATAGTAAAATTGGTGCAAATCAACAACAAAGAGAAAATCTGAAAGAAACCAGAGAAAAGAAAAGACAGATCACACACAAAGGAATGTTAGACAGCTGACTTCTCAGTATCTCAACAGAATCTTAATAATAATGGAAAAAATCTTCAAAGTTCTAAAAGAAAATGACTGCCAATCTAGAAGTCTATATTCAGTAAAATATCTTTCAGGAATAGAGTAAAAATAAAGACATTTATAGACCTAAGGGAGTTCTTCACCAGCACTAATTTAAAGGCGGTACTTCAGGCAGAAGAAAAGTAATTTCAGATGTAAAACCTGAGATGTCGGAAGGAATAAACTGAGCCTATATTCATGAATATTGATTGTATAAAAGAGTAATAATAATGTCAGTTTTTTAGTAGAACTGAAAATATAACAATAGCGTAAGTCAAGAGGGGAATAAATGGAATTAAAGTTTGAAAAGAGCTCGTTTTTTTTTATGGACAAGACTTTATTGTAAACCTACATTTACCTGTTACATTTATGGGCAGCTTTCGTAAAACCAATGAGTGGCCATCTTTCCAGTTGAAAGGAAGAGCAAGGTTTTGATTAAACTTAGACTTTGATAATTTAAGCATATTAGGTAAAAATCCCTAGAATAAACACATAAAGAAACAATACGTGCAGTTTTCAAACTAGAAGAGGGAGAAATGAAAGATTAAAATTACCCATTCAATCAAGAATAAAAGGCAAGAAAGGAAACAGAAAACAATCCCAGAATAGTCTTAGAACATAGAAGTAATTTTAAAATATTGGAGTGATAAATGGCATCATTCATGAAGGAAAGATGATAAATGTACATGTTGGCATTCCTTATACTAGGATACCAGGTAAGAAGAAATCAGTTCCTGGACATTGCCTAGTTCAGAGGTTGCAAATTAGAGATAACTGGATAAGTGAGCTTGTAAAGTGGCAAACATCTGTATTTGTCCTAAAATGTGTAAAGCCACTTTGAAATTTTGGATGCAAATTATCATCCCTACATTCCTGAGTTGCATTCCTCTTGTGGTGAGCTGGATGAAAAGACAGCATCCACTTTCCACAGCTCTGATACATGTTTGGTGGCACCCTAGGATTTCCCCATTTCCCACATGTTTAGTCAAAAGTCATTTTATTTTTTCACTTCATTTCAGTATTTCTGAATGCTACTTACCACAAAAGATTGCATTTTCAGACTGCCTTGATCACTAAAGGATTTTCAGTTGTGCCGGCCCCTCTGTCTACTAGATCCCCAGGCAGAACAGCTGCAAAACTTAATCTAGCTTTTGGTAATGAATTCATTCATCTTATTTGTATGCAACTCAGGCAGACTAACTCTAACTTTAAAGGAAAATGAGTGCTGATCTTTTTAAAGAGAGCAAATATGGAGCAGCCTGATCCCTAAGAGGCTCTGAGAGATTGAAGTTGTTCAAGTCTCACCCTCAGGCCTTTACAAGGGTAAAGCCACACAATCAGGAAGAGATTTGACTGTCCTGTCAATCAGAGATACTGCACCAAACCTCTCTCATTCAGATTGATTAGCTGAGAGGACTTATCTGAGAACAGTTGAAAGAACACTGCTAAAAATCAGCAGCTCAGCTCGACCTCTTAATCTTTCTGACCCTTAATTTACTTATCTGTGAATTAGGATGAATTCAAACATAGTCATCTACAAGCCCAGTTCTTAAACTTTAGTGTGCATTGAAATTACCCAGAGAGCTTGTTAAAACACAGATTGCTGGGCCCACCTCCAAAGTCTCTGATTTGGTAGCTCTCAGGTAGAGCCCAAGAATGTGTTTCCAACAAGTTCCCAGGTCATGCTGAAGTTGCTAATACAGAGAACATACTTTGAAAACACTAATCTATAAGGCCTCATAGCTATGTTATTATACTCAAAAGTAGTGCAAAATTCAAATTATGGAAATGTTTATTTTAACATCAAGTTTATACGTAAAATAACTTGCTAATCTTTATAAGCACATGTATTATCAAACCTTGTTGACACACTGTTAGAATCATTTACAATTATTCTCATTATTTGCCTTTAATATTTAACAAACAGACTTGATATACAGTTTTTTTTCTCAACAAGCTATGCATTTCTTTAAAAGATATGTATCTAATATGCAAGATCAAGCCTTTAGGTATGCAGTAAAAATAGCCATTTATGTGTTCGTGGGTACTAAAAAGAAATATTCAATTCCAAAAATACACTAGCTTGACCAGTTCCTTACCTCAAGATTATATTTAGTCCTTCGTAGAAAAGCTGAAGTTCTATTAAAATGCAAATATACCAGAATATAGTAAAAAATAATTAAACCTTACCAATTACCTATTACTGTAAGTGATTTTATCAAATTATTTCTCAAGTCCCAAGTTTGCTAGGAGAAGGAGAGAAAGAAGATGAAGGCACAGGCATGATTCACAGTGGACATCATCATGGTAGGAAAAGGTGATGCTAGTTAGGAAGAATCAACATTGAAAAGTTCACCAACATCTGCATTTTGTCCAAGCCTAGACTTATCTGTACATTTAGTAAGGCCTTCTCCCCAGTGGGCAAAGCCAGGTCCAGCAATCACAAGTTCAATTGTGAAATCCAAGTGAATAAAGCTCTGCAGATTCAGATTTGCCTAATAAAAGATGGAGTTGCCCAAACTCATGCAGTTTCCTGGACATGTTACCGATGATAACTACATAACAGAATATTGGTGTTGTGTTACCCAGATCACAAATCACCTACCTATTTGGTAGAAATGATTATGCCAATGCTTTCTGTAGTCAAGAATAAAAATCTAGGACCCAACCACTCTCTGTGGCACAAAAAAGTAAAGCTATAGCTCTCTAGGTCTATGTTATAAATGAGAATGGGCAGATTAAAATTGAGCAGCTGTGTGTTCCCCTAAGTGCTCCTTACTACCTTGCTATTTGTTTCCTTATGTCTAACTGAAAAGCATTCAAATATTTCAGAACTCCTAGCGTCTGAATGCCTTTGGCTACCACATTCATTTGAGCCCCAAATACACTTGTCTTAGTCTGTTCAAGCTACTATAACAAAATACCATAACCTGGGTAGCTTATAAACAATATAAATTTCTTTCTCACAGTTTGGGAAGCTGGGAAGTCCAAGATCAACGTGTTAGCAGATTTGGTTTCTGGTGAGAATCTGCTTTCTGGCCCTCACCAGACATGTCTTCACATGGTGGAAAGAGTGAGGATTGTCTCTCTAGCTCCTTTTGTAAGGACATTAATCCCATTCATGAGGGCTCCACCCCAAGACGTAATCACTTCCCAATGGCCCCACCTCCGAATACTTTCACATTGGTGGTTAGGTTTCAACACACGAATTTTAGGGGAACACAAACATTTGGACCATAGAACACTCTGTACTACAAACAAGATAAATTTGTGACAGGGAAACAAGCAAAATTTGCAGCATAAAAGAAGTTGGAGTTTATATAAATCAATCAACAAAACACACGACTTCCCCAAAAAAATAACATCACAAAAGCTGGCCTGTATATGGCTAACAAAGATGTTGTCGTCTGTGATCTTGCCTTGACATTGTACCCACTTAGCATGTCACTAAGGCAAATATATTTCCAAGATGTTAAAATGTGCATTTAGTTTGATTTCAGTAAATATTGGTTAGAATCCCTGCTACCTAACGGCTCTAAAATTAGATGCTAGTGACGTCATCCTGAGAAGAAGCATGTCTTTAACTCTGGGTAGTGAGCCTTTGTATTGCTGAGGTGGAGGAACTCCTTCCACTAGCTGCCATTTTGCTTTGCACACAACTCTATCACAATAGCAAAACCTGCAGGGCTGTAAATGCCAAGTATTGCCCCCAAGTGTTCCAGGTCTTTGGAGATGGACTGCCAGAATTTAAATTCCAGCTCTGCCACTTAAGGCCTGTGACTTTGGGCAACACATCTAAATACTCTGTGCCTGTTTCTTCAACTGTAAAATGAGGCCAAAATAGTTATCTACCTAATGGTGTTATTGTGAGGATTAAATGATTAAAAGACTAATATATGTAAAACACTTTAAAAAGTGCCTGGCACAAAGTAATTGTTAACTGTTGGCTATTAAAGTTTAACCATTCAAGGTTCTGTGGATCAACCACCTTATAAAATTTGGATGGAGGTTACCGTGTGCTCCTCCATTAAGCCTCGGCGCCCTTGTTCAGCAAAAGCAAGGGCGTTTTCACAGGGAACTCTGTACTGTCCACCTGTGGGTCTAGGTCTATTTTGTCCAGTGCACTGTTTTCTGTAAGTTCAATGTCCAACAAATATGTATAATTGGTGTTATTAATAATAATAACTGCTGTCCATTGAGTACTGACCATGTGCTGCTTGCTGTTTCTCTCCAGTATTCAGACTACCCCTGCAAGGTAGGTACTGCTGTCACCATTTTAGAGCTTCAGAAACTGAAACTCAGTGAGATTAAGTAACTTTCTAAGGCTGCAAATTTAAATGGCAAGACTGGGATTTGATCACAAGTTTAACTGGCTCCAAAGCCATGCTCATTCCCCAGAAGACTCTGTCTTCTACCCAGTGGAGAGCAGATACCCAAAAGGTCTTATCTCAGGTGTGTGGTTTGGAAGCATCTTTACATGGTGGATGAATATTCTATGGTTCTTAAAACTGCTGAGGTTGTTTATACCTGTATATACCTTTAATTGCAGCCTAAACTGTCCTGAATGGTGATGTTTCTCCCTTGTATTAGAGAGGAAGCACCTTCCATCTGCTGTTGCCTGTGGTCAAAATTATCCTTACTGGTAGTTATTAATGCAGGCATCGGGAGCCAGCCAAATGAAGGTCAAATCCCACCTCTGCCACCTCTTGGTTACCTAACTGAGCAAAGCTACTTAACCCAAGCCTTCAGTTCTGAAAATGAGGTACTTGTACCTTATGGGTCTTGCGGTGAGGATTCCATGAGAAGGTGTATGTCTAGTGCCTAGAACAGAGACTGGCAAGTGGCTGCTCCACAAGTAAGCCCAGCTGGGGAGACAAGAATGAATATGCTGGTGACAGTGGGAGCTCTCCTGGCTGTGGGAGACTTGTCATTCCTTATCCTTCCCCAGATCCCCAATTCCCTGGTTGTCCCAGTTGTTACCCTTTGTCCTGAAATTTCAGCCCACTTCAGGAGGATTAACAAATATTCATCAACAATAAGAAATTCAGGAGAAAAGCATTACTAAGCTTGTCTATTCATGACAATCACTCACCATGCATTTACTGATCATAGGACTGATTTGTTGTGATCTGTATTTGTTGTGATCTATATATATATTTTATATATGTTATATATATTTATATATTACGATATATACATCATGTATATCACTCATATATATGTTTTACCTGTTTATGTGGGGGTGTGTGTGTATATATATATATATAAATGCAAGTACATACATATATGAATGTAAGTTCATACATAATTTTAAAGAATTTTTAAATGTCTACTTCAAGACCTATTTTCTAGGAGCCTAAGCAGACTTGGATTTCAAAGAAACTTCCTTCTCTGTGAGTTATTATTAAAACAACTGGGCCCTCTCATTTGGGTTCGATTGTGTCTTTATTATCTCCTCAGGCTGAACTTGGTTGGAAGGTCACACAGTCTTGTTGAATCAGCTCAATCTGTTCATTTAAAGTCTTCCCATCTTTTCCACTGATGTGAGTTTAAGTGAGAGCAATTCAGGCCCTGTAAGTTGGTGATGTCCTCAGGTCCTCCGGGCTCTAGATCACTGCTGATCCCTCCACCCACCCTCTCAGCTTTTATGAGAATGTTAATGATCAGCCCCTTGATGCTATCTACTTATTTGTAACTCTCCTGAGTCACTATCAACCTTAAAATGACAAGGGTTCAGGCATTGAAATTCAGGACCCATATAGTCCACCTACTGGTATAACTAATGCTCATTAACCTCACCTGAAATCATACAGTTCAGAAAAGACACAGAGAAAGCTTCTGTTGGTTCAGAAAGAGTGAGCTGAAGTCCTTCAGGGCAGCTCCCACATTAACTCAGGAAGCCTACATTAAAACCAAAGACCATGCAAAGGCTACAGAATTTATTTTTACTAGAATTGTATCTTGAGCTACAAGGAGCTATAATGGTAAAATAGCAGGAGCTTGAATATTTTACAAGAAAAATTTTCTACTCACAATAATTGAGCTGTTCAAGCTATATCTACACATTCCTTGTCTCCAATTTTCCTAAATGTTCCAGCTGTAAACACACATGTAATTTCTGTGTGCCTATGTGTGATTTGGAGTTTGAGAAGTGTTTAAAATGGAGAAAAATATAAAGACTAATAAAACAAACAATCCAATAACATATGAACCACTGGAAAAATAGTATTAACCATTGAAAATATTTTGTCTTCTTTACTTAGAATGTTTTATTTTGTAAAATCAAAATAGATCATAGTATAATCTTCTTCGACCACCTTCTCCTAATCCAGTGTCAACCTTTACCATGAACTGCATGTATATTCTTCTAGTCCATTTAAAAATTTTTTTTATGTTTACACTCATTAAAAATATAGTATACCGTTATTTTTCAAAGTTTACATAAATTGCATCATGTTGTACCATTCTACAAGTTGCTATTTCCACTCGACTTTGCATTCCAGTGACGCTTACATGTTGATATAGAAAGCAGATCTAGTTGATTGTTTTTAATTGTTCAAGGTCACAAGATAAGTTAGTGTAGGAGAAATAAAACTTGTCCATTTGATCACCCGGTATACAAAAGGCTAGGGACTACAAACCACAATCAGCATACAGCAGTGCCCATGAAAAAAGTGTCCAGTTAATATTAATTAAGTTCTGGTACTGACTGAAAGTGTTTGTCATGGCCCACTGAGCTAGACAAAAAATTTAAAGTCACAAACGGTACCTACCATTACCAAATTCACAAATGAGTTGGGAATGCAAACTTAACACCCCCAAATAATTAAAAGATAATGAAATGGGTTTTTAAGGAATTGTCTTTAGGGACCAAAATCAGTTCAGAACTGGGAGTGATCACCATGGACAGGTATAATCAGACAGGGCTTCCTGGAAGAGGCAATAGCTGAAACGGGCTATGAAAGGTAGGAAGGGGGCTTATGGATAAGGAATATCATGAGCAAAGGTTTACAGGTTGGAATAAGTATAGCATGCACAGGATTACCCTGAATGGAGGAGAGAGAAGCTCCTGGAGAAGGGGTAAGGTCAACATGTGGAGGGATCTGAGAGCCAGACAATGGAGCTTGTGTTTGTGTAGTTGCCAACATAGAGCACTTTGAGAATGTACATGTAGGATTGGCGCTAACTGCTCTGACTGGAGCTCCTGGAATGTTCTAGGCTGTTTCCACCCCTGCACCTTTGCACACCCTATTCCCTCAGCCATTCCTGATTCCTGCTTCACCTTTGGCTTACGGAGCTCATTTCAGCTGCATCCTCAGGAAGCCACCCTGGGCATGTGTTCCCTGCCCCCTCACATACTCCACAATGTCTTGGGCTTCCTTCTAGTACAGTGTTTGTCATACTGGGCTGTAATTTTGCTTAATCGTCTTTCTCATTAAATTATAAACTTATTGGGAAGAAAGCATTTGACATATCTTTTTGCTTCAGGGTGTAGCACAATACCTATTTCATAGATGCATTCAATTAATGTTTGAATAAATTAATGCATTAATTAATAAATGATTCATCAAAGAATTATGTTTTCTAAACATTTGCATATAATATTACCCATTTAGGCTAGAAAAATAATTATTTAGATGTCTCTTGACTTCTAGAATACATCCCATGAGAAAAAACAAATTATAACTGGTAGCAACATGAAAGAACTGTCAATAATGCATAAAATTAGGGATTTAAATTTTGAAAGGTAAGTCAAAGTTTTGTTTTGTCACTGTGCAAAACTCAAAATCTTTTCATCTACAGGGAAAGAAACCATGAGCACTTTGATGTAACTGAATATGACACTTCAATCATGCCATCTCCAACTAGATGTATTGTTGAAAAAGGAAAAAATCATTTGAATTTCCTATAAAATCCTGCTTTAAAAAATAATTTGTCCATTCACGTCTTTATTCAAAAAATGTTTTGAATGTTAGCCCCAGGGATTGCAAGGAAACAAGCCAAATGGAGCTTATAGTCTCATAGATAAGAGATACAAAACGAAAACAGCAAGCAAATAAATACATGAAATAATCTGCACGTAACAAGCTCATGAAGAAACAAGAAACCAACAAAGAAAATCACAAGGTGCTGCTACTATAATCACAGGAACTACTATTAGGTATGTGGGTCAGAAGTCTCCTCTGAGAAGAGGAGGATGAGCAACACTAGCCATAGGCTCCCTGGAAAGAAGAGCATTCCAGGCAGAGGCTTTAGCATGTGCGAAGTTCCCAAAGAGGGCAGAGGGTAGACATGCTCAGGAAGCTGCAGGACCACAGTGCCTGGAGGATAGAGCCTGAGGAAGGGAGCAAGTGGCCACAGAAGACGGCAGAGCCACGGCAGCAGAGTTTGCAGACTCTACTGGGGAGTCGGGATGTTTTTCTAGGAAAACAGGAAGCCATTGATGAGTTGAAACAGCAACAGTAAAATCAGGTCATGAGTATTTCCTATGTTCCAGACATTGAGCAAAGGGAGAAGAAAGTCAGGAACATTAATCTGAAGGTAGCCTGCCTTAGTTCAAATTCTGGCTCTGCCACCGGCCAGCCATGTGATCGTGGACAAGTCACTTCACCTTCTGGGCCCCATCACAGAGTTGTGTGAGGACTGAATTAATAAAGTGCCTAGAAGAGGCCTGGCACATAGGAAGTGTTCCATACCTGTTTTAGTGAAACTCTTCACATATGTTAGGGTTTTCCAACAAACTTAAAATAATATCCTAGGTCTTTCTGATGGCTATCACGGCCCCAGGTGATCCAGCTACGTCTCTAACCTCATTTGCTGTGACTCCTTCCTTTATCACCTTCCTTTATCACTGGCCTCTGGCCATTCCCCAAACACACCAAACTGGTTCCACTCTCAGTGTTGTCTTTGCTGTTCCCCTGCCTAAAATGCTCTTCCCCTAGAGAGCAGAATGGCTTGCCCCCACTGCTTCATTTGTGTCTGCCCCCATCAGAGACCCTGTCTGAAGCTGCATCCTCCATCACCCTGTCTACTCTGCTGTGTTTTCCCTCCTATCACTTCTCAGGACCTGACACTCTCTTTATATTTCTAAGTTGAGTTGCTTATTGTCTGTATCTTCCATGGAGGCAGAGACTTTATTTTTTGCACTGCTATTCCTGACCACCAGAAAAAAAAAATTGATGAATAGACAAATAAGAAATGTATGGTCTGGTTTAATACTCACAACTCCTTAAGTGTATTGTTTCACAGGTGAGACAAATAAGGTCTAGCAAGGAAAAGTGGTTTGCATGGTTGGCTCTGTTGACTCCTGGGGTCTTCATCATGATGATGTCCCATTCTGTGTTTGGCTACACACCTACCAGTTCATATCCAGCCCCTCCTAGACAACTGAATGAAGCTACAATTGTGCACAGTGCATGATGAAGTTACTAAAGCTTGTCACCACCTGGCAGGGAAAGGGAGAGCAGCCCTGGGCGCCTCTGTCACTTCACACCGCCCCTCCCAGATTGACTTCTGCATTAAACCTGTGGCAGGCACAGCTCTGCCTCGCCCCTCCCTTCATCAGACATCCATGCCACTCCTCAGTCACATCAGCACCTGCTGAGCAGAGGCTTTCTCCCCACTCCCTGCTCTCTTTCCTCTTGATCTTTTCTGGGCAGACTCAAAGATGCAGGCCACAGCGGAATGAGGGAGTTGTGAATAGACAATCTCCTTTGATGTCTTTCCCCAGCTGCCTACATTCTTCAATAAAAAGGCTACCTCATTCTGCCAGTAAACCTCTTGGTGGTACCTGACCTTCTGTGGTTTGATCTTTTCTCAGCCTGTCTTTGCAATTCCCTCAAACCTAGTTTCCCTTTCAGTGCCTAGAATGCTGATTTACTTTGAAAGAGCACCATCAGCTGTGGTTTTTCTGTGCCGCGAGTTAACCAATAACTGAGTCCAGGCCAGCAGTGAGTAGACCAACCAATGTTCCCATTCTACTCACCCTCAGCCTTCCAGCAACACCGTTCCCTGAGTTTTGGGTGAAAGGCATACCAAGAAGCAGAAATACAACAGCAGATCCGTCAGTTTGCAGAAAATCGAGTAATTCCAACTTATTTTTGAAGGAAAACCTTTTAGCAGCTCTTACAAAAGGAAATACAGAAAATAAAAATCACAGGGCTTCCCCTCCCCTCATTTTTATGTACCCCTGATCATGGAAGGGTGAGATGGTCAAACACTTCCTCCCCAGCTGAAGGACTGACTTCAGGTTTCCTCTCCCACCCTCTTCTCTGAGCCTGCAATCTATGGGTTCACCAGGCTTTTCATTGCATTGGTTTCAAAACCTGGCATTTCTCTCTCCCTAACCCCTTCAGGGCCGGGGCTAAAGCAGCCACATAACATTTCGAGGTAGGAATTGAAGTTGTTTTCCTGCTGTGCTTTTCCCTTTTCCTCCCTTCATCAAAGCAGGGAGCCTGCTCTTTGATACATTGCCTTAGGGCAAGTCCGTGGCAGAGTGCAAAACAGTAAGTTTGTGAGATTTTCTGGTTTGTGTTTTCTTAACTCTAAATCCTTTGGGGACAGGAGGATTCAACTGAAGAAACAGAGGGGCTTGGAGAAGTAGAAAGTGCAGGAGGGGATTCCCCTAGGCTGGGGGTAGTAGAGAGCAGCAGATGCCCAGAGGAGTGGAGAACTACCTGGTCTTGGTACCTTGAGGCACAAAGACCCCAGAAAGAAATGTTTCCATGGACAACCAAGGGGCGAGACCCTAAGCACAGAGGGTACTGGCTTCATCAGAGCTGCCCATGACCCATGAAATGTGGAAGCAGTGAGCCATCAGATAACAGGAGACAATGAGGGCTTAAATAATGAGGATGCCAGCCGTGAACACAAAAGATTTAATATCAAGAAGATTTAAAATCAGAGGACTTCATTTTTTTCAGGCATCATGCAAGACTTCCTCCCACCCCAGGATATGGTGCAGTCCCAAGAGAGAGAGGGAGCCACAGTGATAGCAATGGAATATGCCACCAATTGGACAAGTGGGCCCTTAGAGTCTTAAATCAAATCTGTCTTCAGAAAACAAAGAGATATTTCTTCTACAGTGAAGTTTATTAGAATGACATTCATTCGTGTGGTCAGATCATCCTCCTGGCTTTTAAAATATGCTTTTGCCCCAGATTCCATCTCTTAAATCTACTTGAGATATACCTCATGTCTAGTCACTGCCAGCAGCGAGCACTGTGATCCTCTGCCCAAAGGCCCCATTCTGCTTATCTAAGTAGGAGAGGGGGCATCTTCAGACAGACGTTTTAATTCATCAAGGCTTCCTGTGTTAAATAGTTAATATTTCATTCTCTTCATGTCTCATAGACACTTTGAATCAAATGCTCCCAGAACTGAATTATTTCCCCCACTTAGTTAACGGTGTCTCCCAAGAGGAAAAGCTCATAGCTATGCAATCTTTGTTTCTTCTCTGCACTTTCCTGGGGGTTCTAGATCAGAAATATCCTTCAGCTCTCAACTCTTTATCTCTGCCACCACAGCCTTATTTGGGACTTTATTAATCATTGCTAATACTATCTTAATTAATGCACTATGGTAGCCTTTTAGTGGGCATTAAATGAATATGTAATAAAAATGAGGTCAAGAACTACATAACACGTATTTTATTACCAATATGTGGAATCGATAAGTTCTAATATTTATGGTATAAATTTATTCTACAGAAAGAGTCGTATATTTAATGTGCATTCTCATTTCACTATTTTCTAACATGCATCTGTTGTCTTTGCATTTAATGGGGTTTGGGCATTGTTTTGTCTAAATGCTAACATCACTTGAGGTAAACCAGCATGGTCAGGGCGTTTGTCACAATACCCAGCCTGTCAACCAGCCAGTCAGCCTCAATTCAGCTTGGGAAGCTAACCAAGGTCAATTGCTGCTATCTAATAAAATCAAAGTTTCTTCTAATTAATGCTACAGCAATCACAGATTTGCAAAAGTGCTTTCTAGAAAAAAACTTGATGCTAGAATTGAGATGGTTATTCTTTCTTGGTGGAATTGCACTTGACCTGACAACTTGCCAGAGATCTCTATTCCTTTCACAGGGCTACAGCAGCCAGGAAAAAGAGTTTGTTTCAGTGAATGTAAATTCATTAGATTATATTTCAGAAATGTGAAGATGGCAGGCACTGGTGATTAATGGCAGGAAATTTGGACATGATAAGTTGTGAGAACCTATAAAATATGACACTGCCATCAAGCAAACATGAGTGTGTAGGGTGTGTTGGCAAGCCTCAAAGCCAGCGTCTTCCAACAAGGAAAAGGAGACCAGTCTTCCCATGCCAGAAGAGAGCCAGGAAGAAAAACAGATGCTTCACTTACAGCCCCATGCCTCCTCTCTTCCAAGCTTGGATGTAACAAATGACATTTTCAATATTTATAATGGTAAAAAAGGTAACCACTGCATTCTCCAAATGACTTCACCTTTAACACATTTGCTATCTCTTTATTCTGTTGCAAAGCTGATTTTCCTGAATTTTACATAGATTCCCACTATACACATATTTGGAATCAACTTTCTGTTGATTCTTCATAGCTACAATAGTTTGAGCTTGTCAGAGTATCCTTTCCTCTGGTTTGTGCTCGTCCCCTCATCATCCTCGTAGAGCAGATGCTTTATCCAAGGATTTATTTTGTGTAACTCTGGAGCTACAAATGATTCATGGACTTCACTTAGGATATGCTACCAAGGTACTAGCGATTCTCCTCCCTGGGACCTCTAGGCTGGGCATCCAGCATCCATGCCAGCCAGTGCATTCTGACCTGTTCTACCCCAGCAGCTCCATCATCCCTCCATGCAATTAACCCCCGGCCTTTGCAGTCAACTTTTGAGAATAGTGTTCTGTGATTTTATTTCACCCAGTGCTACCTGAAGCAGAACTTATTATTTTAAAGTTTCATCATTGGAAACTTGAAGATCTCTGTTGGCTGTCATTTGTTTATCTAGACTAAGTGTTTTAGGAAATGGAGCATCTGCTGAATAGGTGCTTTCATGAGGAGAAGTTCTTTTGTAGCTCATACCCTCCATTCCCTTAACAAAAATGGGTTATTTGAAAATAAGCAGCTCAATTTTGAGAATAAATAGATAAAGACACTAGGCTTGCTAAGGATCTGACATGTTATTATTACTTAAGAAGGAAACTGTGGCTCTTATTCTCTTTCCTCTTTCATGCTTTCTTTCTGAATTTATAATTCTTCAACTCAAACACATTCTAATACCTTATCAGAGGGTCTCAAGCTGCTAATAGGAGTAGAATGATTGTAGTCAGAAACTTGACAGAGTTTAAGAAAAGTACATATAAATCAAGCCAAACATTTTTTATAAAATACATAAAGATAAATTGATTGATAGATAAATGATGGCTAGATACAGATTTAGTTACAAAGGCAAAACTGCTGGGATATATACTAAAATGTTAGCAGTGTTTATCATTAAGAAGTATAATACCAGCGATTTCTATTATCTCACTTTTTTTTTATATTTTCTAGATTTTCTACAAGAAACAAATTTACAATCAGAAAAAAAAAATGGTTTTGCAGTAAAATAAAACTGCATTGGCCTGAAAAAACATTGAAAACCAAGAGGCTGGATAAGATTCTGCCATTCGGACTTCTTACATAAGGAATCAAAAGGTGGGAACTGCCAGTCCTCTTAGGCTCTTAAGTCTAAGCCCAGAAATGAGCAGCATCACTTCTGCTCTATTCTGTTAGACAAACTGGACACAAGCCGGTCCAGATTCAAGTGAATGGAGGCAGAGATTCTGCCTGTCAATGGGGCCATGGAGGATTGAGATGTATATGGGCAAAGAAGAAATTGAAGACAGTCATTTTTTAAGACAGGCTACCACATGCTCCCAGAGGAGTCTGATAGGGAAGGGAAGAAGGTAAAAGTCTTGGCCGCGCGCCGTGACTCATGCCTGTAATCCTAGCACTCTGGGAGGCCGAAGTGGGCGGATCACAAGGTCAGGAGTTTGAGACCAGCCTGACCGACATGGTGAAACTCCCTCTCTACTAGAAATACAAAAATTAGCCTGGCTTGGTGGTGCGCGCCTGTAGTCCCAGCTACTCAAGAGACTGAGGCAGGAGAATTGCTTGAACCCAGGAGGTAGAAGTTCCAGTGAGCCGAGATCGCACCACTACACTCCAGCCTGGGCGACAGAGTGAGACACTGTCTCAAAAAAATTCTCACAGAGTGCTTGCTTTGCTGTGAGTCTTCAGAGAAACTGGAGAGAAAGTCATGCCTCAGAGTTGTCTCTAAGGTCATGGAGCTAGGTGAATCCAGTTCAAAAATAGGCAAAGGATCTGAATAGACTTTTATCCAAGGAGGATATAAAAACAGCCAATAAGCACATGAAAAAAATGTCCAACACCATTACTCATTAGGGAAATGTAAATCATAGCCACAAGACACCACTTCACAGCCACAAGGATGGCTGGAATTAAAAAGGTAGATAATAACAAGTGTTGGTGAGGATGTAGAGAAATCAGAACCCTCATACACTAATGGTGGGAATGTAAAAGGGTGCTGCCATTTTGGAAGACACTCTGGCAGAGTTACCTTATGATTCAGCCAACTGAACTTACAGCTATATATACCCAAGAGAAATGAAAACATACTCTACACAAAAATGTGTACATGAATGTTTATAGTAGCATTATTCATAATAGCCAAAAGGTGGAAACTACCCAAATGGTTCATCAACTGATGAATGAATAAAATGTGGTATATCCATACAATGGAATATTATTTGGGCACAAAAATGAATAAGCCATTGGTACATGCCACAGAATGGATGAACCTTGAAAATATTATGCTGAGTAAAAGAAGTCAGTTCCAAGATACCACATATTATGTGATCCAATTTGTATGAAATGTTCAGAAAAGGAAAATCTATAGATACAGAAAGTAGATTAGTAGTTGCTTAGGGATGAAACTGCTCTAAAATTGACTATGGTTGTGGCTCCACATATCTGTGAATAGACCAAAAAAAAACAACAACAATGAATTGTCTTTGTGTATGGTAAGTGAATTATATCTTTAAAAAAAATTTAACTGGTCAAAATTGTAAAAAAACAAACCAACAAACAAAATAAAGGAAGGAGAGACATAAATTCTTGGACACTTTCAGTTCTCTATGGCTGGGGTAGTTCAAGGGTGGTCCTCTAAAGAATTGCAACTTCTGGCCCTTGAAAAAAATGTAGAAGGGGCGTTGGGAAGGTGAGGGGAATGACGGACACAGGTTCACACAAATGGTAGAAAGATAGCTCAAGGTGTATAAATTGAATCTGCTTATGGCCTGTACCCATTGTTTAATCAACCATTATGACCAAGAAGATGCAAATGTCTGATTATCCAGCGCTGGATCCTATGCCCACCACAAGCCCAGACTAAGAATAGGGGAGAGCGGCCCCAGTGGGAAAGTGAACTGCCAGTGCCAGAAAGGAAAGGAAAGCTGGACAGGCACCCACAAAAGATGTCCACTCAAAGAACACAGCCTTCATGCTTCAACCTAAGGAAGAACTTTCTAGAAGTAGAATGAAAACAGCAGCCTCAAAAGCGGCCAAGCTCCCAGTACAAGAAGCTTTCATGCAGAGCAGAGATGTGGCTGCCTGGATAGCTGAAGGAGATGGCTTTTGTGGCAGGGAGCTCTAAAGTGATCCTCAGTGACTCCCTCCTCTTGGCACATATACCGTTGTGAAATCCCCTTCCCTTGAGTACGTAGGGACTGCAGAGAGTGACTCACTTGGGGTGAATAGGATGCAGCAGAGATCCTAGAAAGCTGTTTTTGAGATTAGGTGGCTTCCGTCTTGGGTGCCCTCTCTCACAGTCTGACCTCTTGTTGCTTGCGTGCTTGCTCTGAGTGAAGCCAGCTAGCTTCCCTATGGAACCCTCACGGAAGGTACTGATGTCTCTGGCCAACAGCCAGTGAGCTCTTGAAAGCTGCCAATGGCCTCATAAGTGAGTTTAGGAGTAGATCCTTCCCCATTGAGGCTTGAGATGACAGCAGCTTCACTGACACCTTAATGGCAGCCTTGAGAAAGACCCTAAGCCAGAGGCATGCAATTAAGCCATGTCCAGTTTCTTGACCTGCAGACCATGACATAATGAATATTTGTTGTTCGTAGCTGCTAAGTTCTGGGATAATTTCTTATACAGCAATAGACAACTAGCAGACTTTAGAGCCATTTATTCTATTATTACATTAGTTTGAGAATATGTTTTATCAAAGGGATTATTTTTGTGGTGTGAGGCTGTGTGTGCCTTTGTGTGTGAACATTACTAGGAGTTTGTATGTACCTGCAGGCGTTTTGAAGGGGAGGCCAGGAAGGTGATCCACAAATAGGGTAAAAGGACAGTAATTTCAAAGACTTCAGTCCACTTTGATGTTGACGTGTCCTGGCTTTCTCCACTAGCACATTGGTTCCTGCAAACAGAACTTGCCTTGTCTTCCAGAAAGCAAAGTATTGCTGTGACAATAGTCACAAAAAGACTAGCACTTTCCATCTTAACCATGTTTTGTGCCCTCTGTGAGATTGCAGACAGTCTCTAAATTTAGGTAGGCCAAATTAGGCTCCAAAGAACTGATTTACAGTATAATCAACATCACTTGAACTTTCTTCTGATTAGTGTGGGAATGGTCAGGAGCTTCCCAAGTAGCATTTATCCCACTTATTCTACTCTTTCTTGACAAGAATATGTTAGGCTTCTTTTCTGCCCAAAAATCTAACTGCCCATTCTAAAGCCATAAATTATACAGGAAGCTCTTCTGTGCAGAGATCAAACCCAGATCACTACATGGCTTTTATTTGTGCCAAATGCACGCAGTCTGCTTTGTCCTGGAGAGCAGGAGTCTCATGCAGTGGGAGCTACAGAAACACGGTTTACATGATCAGAAGCCCAGTTTTGCTCCTGTTTCCTTGCTGCTCCCAACAATTAGCCTCTCTCGGAACATCAGTTTGCCCTTATCCTAATGGCACAGAATAACAAAACAACAGCTGGCATCTTAGAGCAGCAGTAAGTGAGGACCTGCCTGGAATTCTTTTCTGATGACTTCCAAGTGACGCTTCCAAAGAAGCAAAAGTTATCACCTTCATCACCTGAAAACACTGGCTGTGCTATGGTCAGAGGTCATACAGGTTTGAGGGACACAGGGCCCAAGATTTTTCAGATGTACATTCAGATGGGCATGTGGAGGGGATCACAACACAGATTTCTGTTCCAATCTGAGTGAGGATGCGCACTGGGTACCAGTAGATCGTCCAATATAGAAACAATCTAGGACCAAGGGCTGGAGGGTGGAACCATTCAGGTAATAACTTCTAGGGGGCTCTTCCAGCCCCACCAGGACTCAGTGCAGTTGTCAAGAGAACTCCACTGAGGGTCTTCTGCTGCATCCTAGAGTTGAGGTATTGGCAGGAGGCCAGTAATGTGGCCAAACATTGACCTGAGACAGGAGACCTGGATTCCCGTTCTAGAGCTGTCTTTCATCAATTTGTCTTGTTTAAGACTTTTTTTTTTTTTTTAACAATTAAGCAAAACTTATTCAAATTCGCTTAACTCAAATAGGAACTGGGGTATATGTCTCTCATAGAGCCCAAAAGAAACAAGTGGAATTGAATTTCAGAAGAAACTGAAACTAGAAACTAGAAATCCATCAAAAATCAAGACAGCCGGTTCCCCTCACCCCCTTTCCCTTCCCTCTTTCTCCTTCTCTGTGTTCTCTCATCTATTTCTGCTGTGTGGCTATGTCTTTCTCATCTCTCTGCTTCTGCGTGCTCAGAAAAAGTCACCACCCCCCCCAAAGTGTAAATGCCTCAGCTCAGAAAGCCAGCTGAACTGCAAGTGCTGCTGAGTCTCAGTTTCAGGCTCCCAGGTGAGAGACTGTGACTAGACAGATTGAGTCAGGGGCCTGAGGCTGGTCCAACCAGCTGTGGCTTAGAATGGGGGTTGGGGGTGGGAGTCAGGATTATACAGGACAAAGGTAGTTTGAGTGAATTGGGGAAGGAGTGTGGTACAAGGTGGGCACCAGGAGGGGATTATTGGGCTGGGCACACTGTCAAAATGTGTCAACTCTAGTACTCAGCCTGTCTGGATTCTAATACTTTGAGAAGTTTAAACATCTGGCCCCTAAAGTTCTCCCCTGTTTTCACACTGTATGAATCTTGAGCTCTGTTTAACAAAGACATCAGCCTGGCAGTGGAAAAACATTTCTTAACTCAGCCTTGGGAAGAGCAGACAGTCTCTTCACCAACATAGTAAGCCCTTCATTCACAAAAAAAGAGACGGAAATTAACTGTAGGATACGTCTGAAAAAAATTAGACAGATAGACCTAGGAGACCAATCATGTTAGCCATTCTCTTATCCACTGTGCCCTCTGGTCCCCCAGTGCCTAAGCATCAAGATAGCTAGGATCTGATAGCTGTGCTTTAATTAACCTGTTAAGGCCCAGAGGGGAGCATTGACAGCATTATCACTGCACAGAATGGATCAGAAGTTCCAAATATCTTACTAAGTTTATTGGATCCCCTGGGGCCTAGGAAGAGTGTGCCACCCTAAGTACTCAGCTTGCCCCACTACTAGACAGCAAATGGAACAGCAGGGAGGAGACTCCACATGCAGCAGAAGGCATCTGTCCTCAGGTTGTTTACAGCACAGCAAAGACACATCTCCAGCTCCTAGGGAGGCCCCACATTATAGTAATAGGCTGCTTTAGGGGTTTCTTATCCTGGTACATTCATGTTGGTTTACTTCTCAGTTTAGCTCACAAGTCATCTCTTTTTCACTCTCCTGTCTTCCTGCAAATGGTTGAGAAATTATCTGACTCATTGACACCATCCTTGAGCCAGGGGTTTCCTTCAGTGTCAGTCACTTCTGAATCAAGTACATTTAGCTGCCATCTTGCTATTTTTCTAAATTACTGTCTTCAGCAAATGCTTAGATAAAACACTCTTTTTATTATTCTCATGGAATTCAGCAAACAGTGTCTATGGGACTTCTGTTTTTCTGAAGTGCTCTGTTGCCAGGATACCCAGGGTGAAGATGTCAAAGAAGACACATTGAAAGGACAAGCTATAGTGAATATCCCCGAATCAGCCCCTTGCATACTAATCATTCAGATTTACCCTATGCTGTTTCTGTTTGCTATAGGAAAGATACTAGAGTCCATAATTTCTAAATAACAAACTGTCCGGGGAACAGAAAACATGTATTATTAAGGAGGGCAATGCATGTTTAACTTCATTTTTTTTCCTTTTTTTTTTCCTCTCTTTTAAAACGTGGCACTAAGACCATTAGAGACAAATTCTGGCTTTTCATTAATACATATAGGAAGATGAAAAAGAAATAGATTTCTACACTGATTATTTCAGGAAGAATGTAAAATATAGTGAAAAGAAAAAGGAAAAGATGAGAGGAAGGAAAGGTACCATTAATAATAGCAAGAAGACCCCAAAAGTCACCTATTTATTTAAAAAGCACAGGTTAAGCATTATAACAAGCATTTATTATCACTTACTGGGTATATACTATGATACTATGCTTATAATGATGGCCCTAGACTTAGATACACTTGAAATGGAATAGATGTAAACTCCTATATCCACATAAATAAATAAATAAACAACAGAAAAGGCAAATCTACAAGTTCAGAATGAGATTTAAGATGATCTTAGCAGTTACTTTCAGGGCTATAAAACAAAAAGTTTATTATAAGCAAATGGTATGATATGTTTGGGTAGAGGAACAATTAATGGAACTTTGGACTGTCTCAAAACTATTCTTCTGACCACATAAGCATATTATACTATTAGAATGTGGCTAGTCATACTAGATTACATATGAAGTCTTATGTTCATGCAGGCACAATATTGCAAGAAAAATATGCTGGCTAATTACACACATCACAGTTGAGACTGACAAGCTTGGTAGAGATGTGAAAGAGAGCTGACCAGAAGGAAAGTTCTGGAAACTACCTCACAAGACTAACTATTAAAGAAACTGAGGATGTTTAAGCCAGGAGAGAAGTTTAAAATGTTGGTGAAAATGCTATTGAGGTTTTAGAAAGCACCAATCCACTCTAAATATACCCATCCTGACCAAAAGTTGACTGAGCTCAAAACAAGTATTGTTTTCTCATCGTTCAACACAATGGACACTTGAGGGATACATTTCCCAAAGAAAGTTCATTAGCAGTCTCCCATTGGCCATGCACTGCTATGTCCTAGCACAGGCCATAGGATCTGACAGTCTTCTGTTCTCAGATGTGGTACCTTGATCCTGTGGTCCTGATCTTGGTTCTGAGGGAATCTTCTCTCCTGGCCTGGTTCTTTCTTTCTCCACCAAAGAATGAAAAAGACAATCTAGAGGCCTCTTCTCCCCTGCAGGCAAGAGGTTTCTCTCTGCCAGTGACAAGTGTTAAGAGAGTTTTGGAGTTTTGGGGGGCTCTCATTTTGAACCTGGGCTTCTACCTCAAAGAGCCACCAAATAATCACATATTCTGAGTACCCACTTAGGGAAATCCATTCCAAGATTTCTGTCCAGTTTTTAGAATGAACATCCAAAGTAGCTAATAGAATATAAAAAATGTTTTCTTTTTAAAAATAGAATATAAAAAATGTTTTCTTTTTAAGACCAAAACATTTTTTTTCCACAATTTGGGTCAAAATGTGCTGCAAATACCAGAAATGTAGACCACCTCAAATTGCTTAAGCTGTTTCTGAAAGAAGGAATCTCTTCCCTTTCTCCCTTCCTGCTGCCAGCCTGCTTTTTAAAGTAATTCATGTACAATGATGATCAAGAAAAGGGACCATCAAGACTGCCAGAAAAATATCCAGCTATGAGACACCACAAGTATAATAGGGTCACATATGACATTAGTATGCATAGAAACCAGAATTTTTATATTGAAAAATCCAAGTTACCCTCTATGCTGGGTTGACCATAAAATAATATTTTATGGAGTGCTATAAGGATAAATGATTATAGTCAGACAATGCCTATTACATACTATTAAAGTATTTTTTAAAATATCAAGTTAGTGGTAAACTGATAGTAGTATTTCAGAATAGCTTTTCAGTTATTCAATATGAATAAAGAACTTTAAAAGTTTCATGACTTTGACCCTGTAATTCCTCTTTCTCTATTTTTACATTAAAGAAATAATCTCAAATGCAGACAAGAATTTATACACAATTGATAGTTCAAAAATTTGAAACAAAATCTAACATTTGGGAAATTACTATGTAATTTTTAGAAAGTTTGTCCAATGGAATATCAACGTGATAAAATTTTAACATAATTTGAGAGAAAAAAGGAATGGAAAATTTTAGAAATGTGACCAAATATTAGATAGAACATATCCAAGCCTTAACAGTGGTTGCATTTGAATGGTAGAACTATGGATCATATTTCCTATAATAAACATGTGCTACATTGGTAATGAGGACTATTCAGTAAAAGCATGTTCAAAGCAATAACTTCTTCGGTATCAACATATCCTTACTCCAGGTGAAATAGTAGATGGATCATAGGAAGAGAAAGTAAAATCTGGTAGTGTTTGGACAGTTACACCTTGCAGATACATTACACGTGTAACTTTATTGTAACTCATGTTTATCCAGCTGCAACCAACTGCCCAAGGTTAGTTGTGTCTGGATCAACTTTTCTCTTGGTCTCCCCAGCATGGCAATCCAGTGCTTTTTTTCCTGATGAATTTGTGTCTGTTTTTGGAGACTCAAGTCCCAGAACATGATAGCTTTTGCACAGAAATGCCATGTTTTCAGGAGAAACTAATCCTGCTTCAAAAGAATATGAGAGTGGGGCTGGAACATAGGCATCAAAAGCCTCAAGACATGAAATACATTAAGAAACCTCAAACACATGCTGGAGGATCCATGTGCAATTACTACATAGCCCTGAGTGAAAATAATTTCCATGCTACATTTAAAATCAGCAACCCTATGTCTTGCACTAGAATTACTTCTAATTCATTTTCTCTTTTGCCCCCAAGTTCTCTTTTCTCACTTAATTCTCTGCCCCATTCCCATCATACACACACACACACACACACACACACACACACACACACACACACACACACAAAATCAGCTAAAATAAAGCTAGTACAATCCACCCGCACCTCAGGGGAAGAGGTTTTGTATAAAAACAAATGCAGTGACTCCCTATTGAGTTCCACACACATTTCTGAGTGTTTTCACATATATACATTGACCCAGTTAATTCTCACAAAAACTTTATGGGGCATTATTATTTCTAGTCTGTGGATGAGGAAACTGAGGCTCAGAGACACTTTAGACTACTTGTCCCATCACCCATGGCAGATCCAGGGTTTAGATTTCTAGTTCTAAATCCCAATTTTTTTGCTATTAAATCACAGTGGGTGCCCACTGGATGATACCTGTTGAGTTCCCTAGATATAGGCTAACCTTACAATTTACCATACAAACTGGGACAATTTTTAGCAGGCATAAATTTGGACGAAGCAGAGAAAACTGGGACTAGTTATCCTAAGATAGGAAAGGTACAAAATATAGTCAAGGGCTTCTACAGTTTACCACACATAACCGTGAACATAAGGTCAGGTCGTCTCAACCTGACAAACTAATACAAAATTGTCAACCAAATGGAAGCCACTGAGTAATTTTTGTGTTCCTGGAAACAATCGTTAAAAGAACCTGTGTAGGAACAATTCAGCCAGTGCAGCCACTCAAAATAATAAATGCTTGAAAGGAAGCCACACTGTTGGGATATCATCACAGACAGAAACTTTGAAATTGACTTTTAATGACGTTCCTAAAAGAGGAGTAGGTTTCCATCAAGCAACAGAGGCCCATGTCTCATAAAGCTATATCGTGGTTAAGATTTAAGTGCTGGCTGGCCACAGTGCCTCGTGTCTATAATCCCAGCACTTTGTAAGCTCAAAGTGGGAGGATCGCTTGAGCCCAGTAGTTCCAGACCAGTCTGGGCACATTGTGAGATCCCATCTCTTAAAAAAAAAAGAAAGAGAGAAAGATTTAAGTGTTAATTAAGTTACCCTTCTGTACAAACAGCATGTAACCAGGAGCAACATTTACATTTGCTCTCTTCCCTTCTCCATCACCCTCTTGCTAGAAGCATTGTGGGCTCAAGCAAAAATCAACTCAAAACCACTGCTGGTTTTATTGGCTGGGGCTGAAGAAGCCCGAGCCAGTGGTTGAATTTCAAAGGAAAATTTGCATCTCTCTCCTCCTACCTGGGTATTCTCATCAGCACATCAGAGGGCCAGAAATCAGCTAGAATTTTAAATTAAGTCAAAACAATATCCACAAATATAAAAGTCGTTGTGTCCCTCCGGACTGCCCAACAAGGCTGACTGAAGTATGAGTCTGTGCTAGCAGAAGCAACACTTGTCCCCTTTGAAGTGAGTGGACATCTCTTCAAGGAAACCCTTCAAGGCTCAATCTTCAAAGGGATACAGGATCCATCTGATGCCCCCAGCCACAGCCTCTGAACCAAGTGGGCTTTGCTCTCTGGCAAAAGAGCCAGAGAGTTCTTTTCAGGTTGAAACAGTCTCAGATGGCGCGGCTTTTAAAGCAAATTAACCACTGCCTGTCAGGTAGAAAAAGCTGGAACTGTGACAAGGGACAGCAATAGGAGATAAAGAAGAGGAAGATGAGGAACCCAAAGTGCTAAGAGAAGGGGGGAATTTTGAAGAAGCATATTTTTATCACTGTTTAAAATTAGCAGAAGAGACCAACAGATGTCTTAGAAAGGTCTTTTGCAAAATCGAAACCAATAATCCTAGTGAAAGCTAGACTCTCTCGTAGGCTCTACTGGGACTTAGAAAATGAATTGTATTTAAATCTATGTGTATTGCAGCTCCCAAAGAGCAGCCTTGTGCAGTCACTGTCTCCCGAATAGCTAGTCATAGTTCATTGAACACTGATAGGTTTGTTCTTATGTGTCCACTCGTCACACCCATAATAGTGCACCTGAGGGAAGCAGCATCATGTGGTGGTTAAAGGCCTGGAGTCAGGACTTGGGAGTGTATGATTTCAAACTCCTGTTCCACTGCTTGCTAGATGTGTGACTTTGGAAGTGTTACTTAATTGCTCTAGGTTTCAATTTCTTCCCCTTCAAAAGGTGGAGAGGAGTGATCATGGTGCTTAACTCACAGGAAAATTAAGTGAATCAATATAATCAATACATGTGAAATAATAGAACAGTGCCCACCAAAAGGTACATGCTGTATAAATGTTGGTTATCATTTATGGATAATAGAAGCACAATTGGATAAATTGTTCATGTTTGTGGTTGTTTGCATCCCTTCTTGTCCCGGAATGAATGTGAGGCAGCTAACAAAAAATAAGTAAAGTTCAGTAAGATAGCGTAATTTTCCAGTAGGAGCAAGAGAAAAAGAGGGCAGGGCTAAAATTCAGCTAGAATATTTATTGTTGGCATTTTTTTTTCAATTGTGAATTAACCTCTCAAAAGGGACCAAGAGGAAAGACACCAGCTAAATAGACAATGGGAAAGGCAAGTCCTCATGTATTGATGTTGGTCTATTCCTCAATAATTTTCAGGTCGACGTCTCATTGCTTCCTTTGAAGTCAACATTTTCCCTGGTTTTGTTCTCTTTTCTTCTTATTACTATTCCTACAGCTCATGCCAGAAATACATAGTACGGATCAGGAATGCTGCTAAAGCGAAGACGGAGAGAGTGAGGAGGTAGAAGCTAAGAACAAATGCAGACACGGACCCAAAGGGAAAGAAGAGAATCAGGAAGTTTAAGGGACTTAAAATACTTCCTGTCCAGACCTATAAATCTATTACCTAAAGATGTGTTCTTTCTACCCTAGAGTGCTCTGTGACTCTCAGGCTCTACAGGGAACTCCCAGCCTGGCCTCTGCTTCCAATTAATGCTGCCCATTAACATTTTCATGAGGTGATACATTTGTCTTCTGAATATGGTAATGATCTCAGAGTTCTTCCTTGTCTTGGGAAAATTTATTCACCAAAAATGTCTGCTCCAGGAACCAATTAGAACAGCACTGTCTTAAGGAATTTTACTATGGTTTGAACATCAGTATTAACTTAAGCATAGGCCATGTTTATGTGGCACATAAACAAAGAAGTGATTGATATTCTAGAACTAGATGGTTATAATAACAACTCATGTTTAGACTCATGAAACTGGAAGAGACCTTTTAGAGATGAAATGCTGCTTCCTTATTTTGCAGCTGAGATAAAGTAATTTCCTCCAACCCACCCTATTCTGTTCTTAATAGAGTGAGAGGAGATGCACAAAATTTATTTTTCATCAAAACAGATTAAAGAAACCCGATGCATTATTTCCTTGGTTTTCCAGTTTATCAGTGTGAGAGCATCTTTTGCTGTTGGAAGATGTGTTTCAGGGACTGGGCATGTCAGGATGTTCACTCCGACTCCTCTGTAGTGGGCCACTGGGGAGCCTCTGCTAACTCCTCTCCAGCTGTCCAGCTGCCATCTGTCAGTGTAGCCATTGTTAATTCTCGTGAGAATCAGTTATGATTTGAGAAGAGTTGCCATTTGTCAGGGGGAAACCACATCACCAAGTTTATTATGCTGGAAAGCATAATTTTATTCAAAATTAGTTGGTAAACTCTAGCTGGAGATCCAGAAGTACGGAGATCCATACTTAATGTGTGTGAGCTTTCTGATTCCTATTTTTCTCACTTCTTAGAAACATGGTGTCAAAAAAAAATGGCCTCTGCAAATAGACGGTCATCAGGCTTGTGATCTTAGGTCAACCTCTCTAAGCCCCAGTTTCCTCATATGTAAAATGGAGACATTAACAGTATTGTCTATGACATATGGTTATTATAACATATAAATGAGATAAATCAAGTAAAGCATTAGTTCATGTAGGCACTAAATAAAGCAAAGGACAGATCTCAAACCTGAGGAGTAGACAGACATTCATGTAACACAACAAAGTAATAAAAAAAAGATGTCACGCTATCAGACTGACCTTTGTAATGCATACAATTATGTTTTCCAGATAGTCCATTCTGAGGACATACCTTTCAGGGGCTCCCTGTCCCTCGCCTCCTTTACTCTCATGACATGACACTTTCACAGCCACCTCTTTACCTCACACACTGCATTCAGGAAAAGCACTGCATGCAACAGAAAATGGCTGATTCCCCCATGTTTTGAGTCTGGACACAGGACCTGGCAGAAATCTGAGGGATGGAGAACAAAGAGATGAAAAGCACTGATGGCATAAGAAATAAGGAAGGAAGGACATCTATGAATATGACATCGCCAAGAATCTAGAGTGCAACCTGTGGAAAAGTTGAATAGATTAAGAAATTTATTTTGTTTCACTGGCCAAGTGGTGGGTGAGGAGGGAAGGGAATATGTGTTCTTTTTCCCCATCCCCCATCTCCACTTTCTAGCAAACACTTGGATTTCTCCAATTGGAAGTTAGGAAGGTAGAGATAAATAGACATATCATTTGGCAAGTATAATAATAACAATAACTGACTCGGACAAGAATTATCAAAGGCTGAGAAAACAAGTGGATGAAAGTTTGATAAGAAACAGTATATTTACACCATTTCCAAATATTAATTACAAAGAAGATAGTGCTAACTTTACAGTAGAAAAACACTTAAAGATGCCCCCATAACCACGTAATCCTAGCTAACATCACCAATAATGGGACAAACTGGCATCATGTCTCTACTGATGTAATGGATACAATATTATTTATGTAGTATTCCTGCCAAAAAGGCATAACCTGAAAGTAGTGAGGAAACAAATACACACAAATGGAGGAGCATTGCACAAAACAACTGTCCAGATACTCTTGCAAAATGTCAATGCCGTGAAAGACAAAAAAGCCTGAGTAATTATTCCAGATTTAAGCAAACTAAAAAGTACAATAAGTGATCCTGGACCAAGGAAAAAGGCTATAAAAGACATCATTTGGACATGATCTACTACTGTCTGAATGTTTGTGTCCCCCCAACATGCATAAGTTAAAACCCTAACCCCTAAGGTGATGTTAGGAGGTGAAGCCTTTGAGGAGTTAAGTCATGACAGCTCTGCCTTCATTAATGGAATTAGTGCCTTTATAAAAAAGACCCCAGAGAGCTACCTAGCCCCTTCCATCAAGTAAAGGCACAGAGAGAAGGCACCATCTATTAACCATGAAACTTGCTCCACTAGACACAGAACCTGCCAGCACCTTGATCTTCGACCTCCCAAACTCCAGAACTGTGAGAAATAAATTTCCGTTGTTTGTAATCCTTGTTTTTAAGAGAGACACACAGTATTTAGAGATAAAATTCGTGACATTTACAATTTACTCTCAAATCATTTAGCAAAGCTAACAGTAATAGTAATAGGGAGAAGAAGGAGAAGGAGACTGTTGGAGGGGGAGGGGAGGTGGAGAAAGAGAAAGCAAGGATTGTATAACATTAACATTGGTGAATCTAGGTAAAGGGCATATGGAAGTTAATTACATTACACTTGCAACTTTCTGACTTTCAGTAAGTTTGAAGTTTTTTCAGAATAAACATTTTACAAAACATTACGAAAAAAAGAGAAACACAGAGAAAGAGAGAGCGTGCACCATGTATAAGACAAATAACTAGCTGATTGTAAGATAGGTTTGTTAACTGAAAGCACCATCCCCTCCATGAGGAGAACACTGACCTTGGTCACATTTTTTTTTTCTTTTAAGACAGAGTCGCACTCTGTCGCCCAGGCTAGAGTGCAGTGGCGCGATCTTGGCCCACTGCAACCTCCGGCTCCCAGGTTCAAGTGATTCTCCTGCCTCCGCCTCCCTAGTAGCTGGGACTATGGGTCACATTTCACTTGGAAGTACTCCACTAAGTTCCCATATTGTTGCAGTTTCCAGGGTTGTAACCCCCAATCATTGTGCTTTCACTGCCAAGTTACACTGCTGATTTTGTGTAGCCTTAATTCTTTCTGAAAGCATTAAATTATTTTTAGTAGAACTCATGCTACCTACCAGTCATGAAAAATTGTTTACTGTTAATTGAAAATGTTTGTAAAAAGAGCAAACTATTGTCAAAAACAATGCATACATGGCTGAAATATTTCTTTTCCCTTGAATCCTTAAGTATTCTTTGAGTAGGCATTTGCCAATTGGAGTTGTACATTGTCTTTCTTGCGTTAAGCACACCCATCGCCAATTATTTCCAGGTTTCATTTCTTTAAAGTTGAAAGTATATTTTGTCTAGATGTTTACATTCTTTTCCATCATTTACAGATATCTTGTCTGCTGATGCAATATAAACTCTTTAATCACAAGAAATTTCGTTGAATTTCTTCAGAACATTCAACTTATTTTTCATAGAAATGACTCATATATATCATCAGTTTATGTAGTATTTAATTAATTCTATAATTACAGTTTTAAAGATAACTGGAAGGAAGAGATTTGGAAACAAACACAATTAGCTCTTGGTACACATACAAGCATACAGCCAACCTAGGGAAGAACAAGAACATAAGGCTGACCAGCCAACTGACTGTAAGCATTCAATGTGCCATGAGCTTCAGTCATCGTGTTTAGAGAATAGAAGAAAATCAGTTAATTCACAAGGTGTTGGGTGTCAATTCAGTAGCAGTCACTAAGAGATCTTCTGCGTATTTACTTATTTTCAATCCACAAAAAAGATTTGCTATCTTCCATATGTAAAAATATCCCTTCCATGGGTAAAGATTGATTGTCAATTCTCCATGAAATTTACCACTTATCAGAGAAACTAAAATTAGGAGTATTGATCTGATGGACATACAGCCATTGAGTGCCTACTGTGTGCCAAGCACTGTTCTGGACATCAGGATAACGGGTTCCTACAGAGCTTCATCACAGTGGGTATAGTTATCTGGTAGGATTAACTGCTGGACTGCACTTCTCTGCCCCAGTAAAGTTCATAAGAAAATGCGTGCTTGGCTCAATAAGTAAGGAATTAATTCAAGGCTATTCTTTCTGTCTTCTGAGAGACTGGAAGAATAAAAAAGAGGGAGGTTTTACCCTGTGTCAAGTTAAATGCTGTTATCAGTTGCTGCATGTACAACATGTTGTTTATGGTAAAGTCAATTGATTATGATGCCCGAAACCAAGTGATAGATGGGACATGGCTGTAGCAGCAGCAGAAAAACAAAGAAAAATAGCCATCATTAACATATGGAGGCACATGTATGCGATTTTGTGTTTTCTTTTATTAAAGCAATTTTGTAAATTTGAGCTGATCCTTTTAATTAATCATGGAGCCAAGGCTTTTTAGTTTTCTGTTTTTTATCTGTGTCTTCAAATTACTTTTAAAAGACTGTTGCTGCTTTTAGTAGAATTTTGCCTTCAAGTTAGGAAGTAACTGAGAAGATTTCTGAATATTCGGGTTAAAGAACATAGCTGTTGGTTTTGGTGTTGAACTCTGGTTTGCCTACCTGCCTAGTTGGTTCTGCCCATCTCTGTGCTTGTGATTGATACCCACTCCCCTCTTTTATTGGCTCTCATGCCCACAAGGCAGGCCATTCCCTCCACATACACACACCCTGATGTACACAAGGGTCCCTGCCAAGGGTGGCTCCATCTTTCTTCTCTATGAATTAAAACTTCTACTTTGCTAAGTAGCCAAAAGAAGGTTCCTGAAATCTCAGTAACTTCCGGTCTTTACTCCAATTTCATGAATACCTAAAGTGCTTCTCATGAATACCCTTAGTCAATGATCCAGGTCAAACTCTTATTTTATCAGAAAATCAAGATGGGAAAAGGTGAATGACACAGCCACTGTCATATCATAGAACCAAAGCAAAATCCAAGACCTCCTCTCTCTCAGCTAAGCTCTTTCTACTGTGTAACAATCTACCATTTTTTAGTACTTTAACAATGGTTCATGTAGCCTCTACAGCGCTATCCTGAGTTTGCTTTCTGTGATTCCAGCATGTAGAGCATGCCTCACAATTAGCATGTAGGTTCCTTGAGGGCAGGGACTATTCCTTTCATGTCCACAGCTTGCACAGAGTGGAGAGGACACTGACTAAAGGACAGGGGGATTTAATTAGCCAAATCTCATATCAGACAGCACCAGATCCTCCCTCCCAGCCACCTCCCAGTACCCCAATAAACAACCAGCCCATATCTTCTGATTACATTTCCAGGCTCCCATGTGCTTTTGATTAACTTCTGTGTTTTTCAGCCTTTGCATTGCTGATGCATCCATTTTCTGTCCCCAAGTGGGATATAGAACTGTAGGTAACAGGCAGTTAATAAGCTAAACAGGTAGGGACAGAGGCTCATTAATGGTTGCTCTATGATTTGTGGCCGGTTCCCTCAGCACCTAAATCTTGAAATAAATATATTCAGAGACTCCGTTATCCAGGAAGAGGACATGGATCATTTTTCTTTCATTAACAATGGAGCCGCTACAGCAACATTTTTATTTATATGCACATTTCCAAGCCTAAAAGCTTGTCCCTTTAAACCTGCTTGCACTAAATTTTGATCGGCCCTTGATGAAAGAAGACTTATGAATCGGAGACAACCTGGTAACCATCTGTGCCCAATGCATATTAAAGGAAATGTAAATTCGCAAAAGACTCCCCAGCATATATCAGCTTCTCCACCCTGGGAAGACAGAGGATGATTAGAGAATCTGGGACCAAATCTCCCAATTCAGGAGGGCCATGTTAATGAGGAACTTTGCCGAAGTACACAGCAGGAAGAAGCCTTCAACAAAAGAAATTTCTAGATAACAGATGGGCCCAAATTTCTTCTATCTAGAAATCTATCCTTCTATCTGATGTGATAGGCACTTTAAGGGGTCTCTACCCAACCATAAGACCACACATGCATGCTTCACACATACACATGTGTGAGCATGTACCTGCACACATATGCCTCTCTGAGCTCTAGTACATGTGGGTCCAGGCAGCCATATTAATTGTCTATGTGAACATTTTGTGAGCTTTCTATCCATACCATGCCACCCCAGGACCATAGTCTTGGAATTGTTCTGGACAGCCTGTATACCATTAAGGCATATACTGTGATCAGAAATCAGGCAATCACATCCCTCCCTCAGAACCCTTTTAACCTTCTCTGACTTAATCTAAACTAATCAGATTTTTTTCTGTGAATTTGGAGTTGGCACTGATAGGAACAGCTCTACTGTTTGCCTGAGTTGAGGGCTTTGTAAAATTGCCAGATAAGAGGCAGCCGTCTTCTGCCATGTGCTTGAAGAAATAGCAAAAGTTGGTGTAATAAGAGAAAAATAAAGCAGATACACAGTGACGAGTGGAGAGCAAGAGCCTCAAAAGTCAGAGACAGACACACACATAAAGACAGAGAGACAGAGACAGAGGGAGAGAGAGGAATTGTGTTACTTTCTGAACACTTTAAGATGCTGGTCCCAAACCTAGACATGTCTTCCCCTGGTGTTTCATGAGATAGATAGCCTATTTTCTTAGTGTCAGTCCTCCATTCTGCTTGAATTAGCAGTAAAAGAGCTTTGGGGACAATCCCTAGCCAGGTGAGGGCTAGGCCCATCTAGGCTTCAGGGACAGATTTCCAGCAAAGCCACGCAGCAGTTCTTCCCCACCACTGAGCAAAGGAGCCTTTGTTAGGCTAGGGTGCACCACCTGTGCACTGTCTGCCTGTCCTTTGTCAGAACCAGCCCCTCCTGCTAGCTTTTTAACATCTCTGTCCTTGCCAAAAACATTCAGAGTTGGAAGACAAAGGCATCAAGGATGCAGAAGAGAGGCCCTGGCAAAAGTGAGAGCAAAACCAAGGATTGCTGTGGACAAAGATAGCAAGGACAAGTCACTTCAGTGGGCTGTCATTCACAACCGAAAGCCACAGGCTGGAGTGCCTGTGGTGGCTGGAATACAATGTTCTACCATAAGGAAAATGAGGTGGGTAACTCCTTTCATTTCCACCATAGTGAAGGTCTATTCTTTCCTTCAAAAATATTTAATATACTATTCCAATTGTATTAAAAATGCAATACCAGCCAGATATGGTTGCTCCCACCTGTAATCCCAGCACTTTGGGAGGCCAAGGCAGGAGGATCACTTGAGTCAGAAGTTCAGGACCAGGCTGGGCAACATAGGGAGACTCCATCTCTACCAAAAAAAAAAAAAAAAAGTTGAGTGTGGTGGCACACACCTGTAGTCCCTGCTACCCATGATGCTGAGTCAGAAGGATTGCTTGAATCCAGGAGGCAGAGGCTGCAGTGAGCTGATTGCACCACTGTACTCCAGCCTGAGAGGCAGAGCAAGACCTCATTAAAAAACAAAAAAAATCAAGCAATACCCAACGTGGTCAAGTTCTGTCTCTTCTTGGCTCTAACACACGTCCTAGGTATCTGATCGCAGGATAGAAATCAGTACAGAAAGTATTTCACACCCTGCCCCACCCCCAAACAAAGCCAAAGCAGGTCTGTCTACAGCTTACTCCATGGCACTGCATCATTCTTCACCCCACAGCCTCCCCCCAGCCCCCACACCTTTCCTCCACCGTGCTCCCTGGATAAGCATCCCACTCATGCTTTAGACTGCCCAGAGGGAGTAATTTGGCACCACACGGGACACCTTATTCTTGGAGTGCTAAACAGAAGTTAAGACTCGTGACTCTTCTCAGCTCTAATCACACACTAATTTCTCTGATAAAGCCACTTCAGATTTCTGTTCAGCCCAGACCCTTGGCATCAGGCCTTGGAGCTGTTCTGGGCCAGGCTGCTGGACATACCATGTGATCTGAGCTCAAGCAGTCACCACATACCTCCCCCATCAAACCTTCTAACCTGCTTTGTTTTGATTATTTTAAAATCCTGCCAAACCTATTAGGGCTAATGCTCCGCTGAAAGCAGCCACGACCTCCTGTCAGCACTTGGCACTGCAGGGCCATCCGTGACAAGGGGGGAGCTCACAGTCCTCTCTGTAGGAGGCTAGCACCCTCTGCTTCCAAAGAGGGAGGGAGTGACTGCAGAAAAGGCACCTGCCACCTAAACCTCAGAAGTCAACGGCTCCCCTGCCCCTGCAGCTAAGGCCTCAGTTCTTTGAAGCATATGAGCAGCTGCAGAAGCAATGGTGGCCTCAAAAAGTCCCATCAGCAGCTCTCAGAGTTTGTCTTCAAAACAAAAGTGCACCTGTGTTTTGGCAAGCTTCAAAGGGGTTATGAGTTGTGAGCAAATGCAATGTGGTTGAGTGAGAAGTGCTTTGAGCCTATGACTGCACAGACACACCACAGCATCTGGCACCATGGCTGCTCTGTGACCTTGAGGAATCACTCTCTGGACCTTCGGCATAGAAGAGATTCACACCTGATCAGATTCACCCCTGAGCTTCAGGACCTGGGTTAACAGTTAAAGACCTTCCCAGCTTGTCCTTCCATGCCTCAGGTTTGTACTGCTTTCTTTAGCATCTAATAAACAGTTCCTGTCCCTTCCCCTTTGGTCTTGGCTCCTAGAATGCCCTTCCATCTCCCTACTCAAATCCAGCACATTCTCTAAGACTCAGCTTAAGTTACTTTTTCTTGAAGGCTTTCTTGGCTCCCACAGCCCTCAAGGCTCCTCCTACTATCCCATCAGGCAATTGCACACAATTATGCAGCCATTATAGACTCCTTTATGTTGTTCTCGATTATTATGTCTGTGTTAATATTGCATCCTTCAATATCCTAAACTCCTCAAGGATAGGGTCCAAATCATTTTAGCACACTCCTGGATTGTGTGCTAAGATTAAAAAGAAAAAAATAATAAAATGGCAACATCCCAGGGCATGATTATTCTGCCACCCTTCCCCAGTAGTCACACTCTTAGTCAGGAGAACACAGCACTCTGTCATTTTCTAAAGGTCAGAAAAAGGTGATCGCGGTCAGCCAGTAAAAGTCGGGTGAGCCACGTCCATCTGGGTGTCCCTGCTGTCTATTTCTAAGTAATCCTCTGCTTAGGGGGCAGTCAGTGATGCCAACAGTGGGGGCTTTCAATCCATAATTACAACGTCTTTCCTTCAGCCCAAAATGTGGAACAGCTCCTGATTCCTCCCTTGGCAGCCAAAAGGCTGATCTAGCCCCAACCAACTGCAAGAGGTAATGGCAGGACCACGAACCTCCTGCAGCTGCAGGGATGAGCCATGGGAGGCTGATAACCACGAGAAATGACCACAAGGACTCTATGGGTGTCCTTGGAGGCAAGGACTGGTTGAGAGAAGAGTTGGGGAAAGTAGAAATGAGGCTTTGCAATGAAACTCTGAATAAAGCTAGCTCTATGGGCCTTTGCAGGTAAAAGCCCTAAATGACGGAAAGGTAGCAATCCCCATCCCCAACACTACTCTCCATATCCATGCAGGCACAACCTTCCACATGCCCCAGGAGCCCGGCAGCTTTTGAGGACCCTGCTCACTCTCAGTGGTAGAGGAGGAAGAGAAAGAGAGAAAATCCATTCAAAGCCAGGACCTAGCAGAGTCCAAATAAGAGGATATTTAAAAATAAATAAATAGCTCAATTCACTTTACAAAAGAAGACATAGAGGTGGCCAACTAGCATATGAAAAAATGTTCAACACCACCAATCATTAGAGAAATGCAAATCAAAACCACAATCAGATACCATCTCACACCAGTCAGAATGGCTATTATTAAAAGGTCAAAAAAGAACAGATAGTGGCAAGATTGCAGAGAAAAGGGAATGTCTATACGTTGCTGGTGACAAAGTAATTAGTTCAGCCATTGTGGAAAGCAGTGTGATGATTTCTCAAAGAACTTAAAACAGAATTACCATTTGGCTCAGCAATCCCATTATTGGATATATATCCAAAGGAATATAAATCATTCTACTATAAAGACGCGTGCACATATATGTTTATCACAGCACTATTTACTGTAGCAAAAACATGAAATCAACCTAAATGCCCATCAATGGTAGAATGGGTAAAGTAAATGTGGTACATATGCACCATAGAATACTACACAGCCATAAAAAGAATCAGATTATGTCCTTTGTAGCAACAAGAATGGAGCTGGAGGCCATTATCCTCAGCAAATTAATGCAGGAACAGAAAACCAAATGCCACATGTTCTCACTTATAAGTGAGAGCTAAACACTGAGTACATATGAATGCAAAGAAGAGGACAACAGACACTGGGGCCTACATAAGGGTGGAAGGTGTGAGAATGGAGTGGATCAAAAAACTACCAATTGGATACTATGCTTATTAGCTAGATGATGAAATAATTTGTACCCCAAACCCCCGTGACATGCAATTTACCTGTATGACAAACTTGCACCTGTACCTCTGAACCTACAATAAAAGTTTATTTAACAAGTCAATTTAAAAGGATCTAGAGACTTGGTCATTGGCTAATTTCATTGCACCGGATCCATCACAGACAATAGATATTTGGGCTCAAATGTTTCTAGACTGGAGCACGGGATGAGGGAAATATTGTATCTTTTGTTTTGTCCTAAGGAGGAGAAACAAATTCCCAGGGTGTATTAGTCCATTTTCATACCCCCATAAAGAATTGCCCAAGACTGGGTAATTTATAACGGAAAGAGGTTTAATTGACTCACAGTTCAGCATGGCTGGGGAGGCTTCAGGAAACTTACAATCATGGCGGAAGGTGAAGGGGAAGCAAGGCACCTTCTTCACAAGGTGACAGGAAGGAGAAGTGCTGAGCTAAGGGGGAAAACCTCCCATCTCAGGAGAACCATCAGATCTTGGGAGAACTTACTTACCATCCTAAGAACAGCATGAGGGAAACCACTCCCATGATTTAGTTACCTCCACCTGGTCTCTCTCTTGACACATGGGGACCAAGGGATTATGGAGATTACTATTTAAGATGAGATTTAGGTGGGGACACAAGCCTAACCATATCATTCTCCCTCCAGCCCCTCCCAAATTTCATGTCCCTTTCACATTTCAAAACCAATCATGCCTTCCAAACAGTCCCCCAAATTCTTAATTCATTCCAGTATTAACCCAAAAGTCCACGTCTAAAGTCTCAACTGAGACAAGGCATGTACCTTCCACCTAGGATTCTGTAAATCAAAATCAAGTTATTTGCTTCCTGGATAAAATGGGGGTAAAGGCACTGGGTAAATATACCCATTCCAAATGGGAGAAATTGACCAAAACAAAGAGGCCATAAGCCCCATACAAGTCCTAAATCCAATGGGAGAGTCAAATCTTAAAGCTCTGAAACGATCTCCTTTGACTCCATGTCTCACATCCATGTCATGCTAATCTAAGAGGTAGGTTCCCATGGCCTCAGGCAGCTCTGCCCCTGTGGCTTTGCAGTGTATAGCCCCCTCCTGGCTGCTGTCTCAGGTTGGCATTGAGTGTCTGCAGCTTTTCCAGGTGCATGGTGCAAGCTGTCAGTCGATCTACCATTCCAGGGTCTGGAGGACAAGGGCCCTTTTCTCACAGCTCCACTAGGCAGTGCCCCAGTAGGGACTCTGAACAGAGGCTCTGACCCCACACTTTACTTCCACACTACCCTAGGAGAGGTTCTCCATGAGGGTTCCACCCCTGTAGTAAACTTCTGCCTGCACATCCAGGTGTTTCCATATATCCTCTGAAATATAGGCAGAGGTTCTCAAACCTCAGTTCTTGACTTCAGTGCACCAGCAGGCTCAACACCATGTGTAAGCCACAGGCTTGGAGCTTGTACCCTCCAAAGCAATGGCCTGACCTGTAAGTTAGCCCCTTTTAGCCATAGCTGGGATGCAAAGCACCAAGTCCCAAGATTACACAAAGCAGCAAGGCCCAGGAACAAGGCCTCTGGGCCTGTGACGGGAGGGGCTGCTGCAAAGGTCTCTGACATGCCCTGGAAACATTTCCCCCATGTCTTGGCAATTAACATTTGGCTCCTCGTTACTTAAGCAAATATCTGCAGCTGGTTTGAATTTCGCCTCAGAAAATGAGATTTTCTTTTCTATTGCATCATCAGGCTGCAAATTTTCCAGACTTTTAAACATAACTTCCAATTCCAAACCGTCTCTTTGTGAATGCATAAAACTGAATACTTTTGAAAACATCCAGGTCACCTTTTGAACATTTTGCTGCTTAGAAATTTCTTCTGCCAAATACCCTAAGTCTCAAGTTCAAAGTTCCACAGGTCTCTAGGATAGGGGCAAAATGCTGCCAGTCTCTTTGCTAAAGTATAGCAAGAGTGACCTTTTCTCCAGTTCCCAGTAATTTTCTCATCTTTATTTGAGACCACTTTAGCCTGGGCTTCATTGTTGATATCACTATCAGCATTTTGGCCCAAACCATTCAACAAGTCTCTAAGAAGTTCCAAACTCTCCCACATCTTCCTGTCTTTTTCTGAGCCCTCCAAACTGTTGCAATCTCTGCCTGTTACCCAGTTCCAAAGTCGCTTTCAAATTTTCAGGTACCTTTATAGCAGCACCACACTCTCTGTGGTACCAATTTACTGTATTAGTCAATTTTCATACTGCTATTAAGAATGGCCCAAGACTGGGTAATTTATAAAGGAGAGAGGTTAAATTGACTCACAGTTCAGCATGGCTGAGGAGGCCTCGGGAAACATATAATCACGGTGGAAGATAAAAGGGAAGCAAAGCACCTTCTTACCTTCTTCCCAAGGCAGCCGGAAGGAGAAGTGCTAAGCCAAGGGGGAGGGGCCCTTATAAAACCATCAGATCTCGTGAGAACTCACTATCTTGAAAACACCATAAGGGAAAATCACCCCATGATTCAATTACCTCCACCTGGTCTCTCTCTTGACAAGTGGGGATTATGAGGATTATGGGGATTACAATTCAAGATGAGATTTAGGTGGGGACACAAAGCCTAACTGTATCACAGGGGCAGTATTTTTAGGAAGAGAAATACAAGCATTAAAAAACAAGAAATGGAAATAAATGCACCCAGAAATGTCTCTAGGACTTGAAATAACATCTTTGCACATGCCTTTGGCAGAGCTAGGCTTGCTCTAAGAGTCCTATCTCAGACACAGCAGTGTTTAACTGGGGCCTTCTTTTCCCTGGAGATGTCCTGTTCTCTTCTCACCATTTTCTTCGCATCCCACACTTCAGGACTTCTGTCCACTGCTCAGTTTCTCACCACTCACACACAAGCCCAGCAGCCTCATGGCTGTCAGGAGAATTATCTGTTATCAGGCTTCTGTGAGATTAAATTTAGTCATTATCTTGGAAGAGAATTATCTCATGTTGACAAAATCCCTCAGAGTTCACTGTAGAGAACTTTAGTTTCCACATTCAAGTGAGATTTGAATTTGATCAGGCATCAATTAAACACTGTGCATTACATAGTGACCTAACTTCAAAAGAAAAGTCAGTGCTTGTGCTATGCTTGTTCAGCACGAAGGGTTTCGTTTCCTTCTTCAACCATCATTTGAGGTTACAGGTCAGACTCAGAAATAATGGGCCATACGTTTACAATAATACATAGGGGTTATGATTGCTGCTTTTAAAAAGAGCCATAGCATTCTAAATTATAGGCTCATTTTCCTGGGTCAGCTTTGCCTCAATGAGGGCAGCACCATGTGGCACTTAAGAGCAAAGCTTTGGGACCAGACAGGCCTGTGTTCAAATATTATTCCATCACATTTAGCCATGTCAGATTGAGCAATTTCACTAAGCTCACCAAGCTCAGTTTCATAATCTATAAAGTGGGAATTAATAAAATCATGTATATAGAAAGCATAACACAGTGCCTGCTATATGATAAGCAGTCAATAAATGGCAGCTACCACTCATCGGTACCTCTCTTAGAGTAGTTATCATTTTCTAAATTAAATAATTTATTTAATTAGCAAATATTTGTCAACCATATACTAAGCCATTGGGGAAGATAATAGAGATAGAGTAACTAAACTCGTGCTCTCCGCCCTCAAAGAACTTATAATTTTGGAGTGAGACATGTTTTTTTATCAAGCTTATGAGACTGTGTATATAAAGTGTTTCAAGAGCATTGGAGGCCGGGCGTGGTGGCTCACGCCTATAATCCCAGCACTTTGGGAGGCCAAGGCGGGAGGATCACGAGTTCAGGAGATGGAGACTATCCTGGCTAACACAGTGAAACCCCGTCTCCACTAAAAATACAAAAAAAAAAAAAATTAGCCAGGCGCGATGGCCAGTGCCTATAGTCCCAGCTACTCAGGAGGCTGAGGCAGGAGAATGGCGTGAACCCAGGAGGCGGAGCTTGCAGTGAGCCGAGATCACGCGGCTGCACTACAGCCTGGGAGACACAGCGAGACTCCGTCTCAAAAAAAAAAAAAAAAAAAAGAGTATTGGAGAAGGAGCATCCAAACTGACTGAATATATCCAGGAAGGCATTGTAGAAAAGATAGCTCTTGAACATAGATTTCAATGATATGCATTTATTAGGACTCAAGTGCAGGCAAGCCACTTTAGTGGAGAACATAGCATGTACCGAGTCTCAGAGGCATGAGAGAGTAGAGTTCATTCACGTAATCGCAAACTGGTCTGTCATACCTGGTGAGGAGAGGTTAAAACAAAGATGAAGAGCTGGATAAGAAAAGGTCATTGTAAGCTCCCTGAAAGGAATGAAAGGTTTGATCAGTTTTGCATATTGAGGATAAGGCCCAGCTCATATTCATGTGTGCCCAGCACCGAGACCTGCACATAGCAGACGCTCAATAAATGTTAGTTGAAAAGACAAATTAAAGAATGAATGGAGCATCTCAGTATTACTATCTCACTTTCAGTAATCAGATCAAATTTGTACGGGGTAGGGGTTCCTAAGGCAGAACTGGATGTTCCCAAATAAATCTGGACCACAGCCTTTTGTATCTTCTACAGGGAAATCCCCAAGGCCCTTTTAATCATCTTACACATGTTGGACCACAGAACATACCTGAACACACTTTTCCAGCTCTCTGACCATGATAAAATTAGTTTATACTCAGGTGAGATTGGCCCTTTCCGGGCATTTTCATTTTTGCCCCCAAGCAAATACTTACTGTAGGGTTTGAGTATGAAACAGTATCTGTGGTGGAACAACTCAAGTGCCTTTCAAAACAAAGGATTTAAAGATATGGTTCAGGAATTCAGAAAAGTCAGAGCCAGTCCTAAAGTCTGCAAGCATATCTGGTGTAAGAGCAGAAGAAGGGCTGGACTTGTGAGGTGGAGAATGGAGGAGATCCACAAGAAAAGAAGAAAGATGGTTTCTGCCAGGCTGTTCTAGGAAAAGAGAAATAGAGTGAACCCTGTTGCTTCCCTCATCTTCTAAACGCTGCATTTCTTTATTAATCATTTTGCTCTGTATTCACCATGCATTTCACTGTGGCCAGAAATGTTATTTAAGCTTATAATTTGTACTTTGGTTATTGTTGACACTTAAATGAATATTGAATAGTGATGACAATTGTGTGTATAGAAGCACCATCCAGCGGACTGATGAAGGGAAAACCTACATGCCACACCAAAAATGCCTTATGAGGCCCAGTTTTCAGGATTCAGCTTCACATACTCCCTGGCTTTTCAATATTACACAGTAAAACTGCAAATCAGAAAGCATGAACAATGTGCTTTCCAAATTTATTGGTTTTGATAGGCACTGAAAAATATCTTTAGGATTTCGATATAAGGTGGGGTAAGCTGGCTGCTTCTGAGGTCAAAAGAATGTAACCCCATTAACAACAAGAGGAAGAGAACAAGAATGCTTTGCTCAGTAGAGTGTTCCATAAAGGGTTTGTCAAAATTTCTCCTGGAGAGAGAGCAATTTGCACACTATTTCCCTTGGTTTTATTTTGTGTTGTCTCAAAGGTCCACTGTGAAGAAGATTCTAAACAGAATTAACCTTGGAGAGAAAAGTAGCAACTTTGGTATCCATTGTTTTTTACATCATATATACCATTTCCTTTCTCTGACCTTCAGCGTTAGTTAGAAGGCAAGAGCAGAAGACAGAATTGTACTTTGAAAGCTCAAGAGGCTTTTGTTGTTCACGTTCAAGAGTGAAGTCTAGATCTCCCTGCTGAAAGAGCTCCCTGCCTGTGCTAGATTAAAACAATCAGGATGCTTTTCTCTGTAGAATGAACATTTTTGCCATTCAGTGAGATTCCATTTTCCTTCAAAAGGTCTGCCTGGCAAGGTTAGCACCACATGTGTGAACTCATATTCTCACATGGTGGTCAAAACCATGCTTGTTAATTAGATGCCATCATGGTTTGGGTGAATGGTTACAATCACTTTCCATTTGTCTCGTTAGCAACTTCACTCTTGGAGTCAGGCTTCCAGCTGCCCGGGGAGGACAATCTAGAAAGAGTTAAAAAGACCCTACTACCCTTGTCCATAGATATATGCAGCAACCAGGAGCTACTGGCCAGAAATGTGGCCATTTTCAATGTGTTTGTTGTCATTATTTTGCAGAGTACCATAACCCCTTCAAGGAGTTCTGTATTTTGTATCAGCAAACATATATTAAGAGTCTTCCATGCACAGGCATTGTGGGAGATAGAGGAATACAATAGCCTATACTATACAGAGTTTTCTTGGAAGGTGGTTATGTGTCAGTAACAATAATCCAGGGGAAAAAGTATAAGCGTCTTAAGAGTGTTTCAGATAAAATGCTATGAGAATTCAAAAGGGGAAGTTATTGATTACTTCTGGCATTTGAGCTGTGCTTTAAAGGGTAAGTATAATTTGGACCTATCTGGAAAGCATTTCAGAGGCATTGTCATTTGAAAGCTTTCTATTTTTACAGTAAATATTCTAAAATAAATAGGTGGGCTTTTTTTGTTTGTTTGTTTTTCAGATGAATTTTCACTGTGGCAAGAGTGGCCTGGAGCGAGCAAGTATTTCAAAGAAGACACCAGACAGTGGGAAAGCACAAGCTGGACCCATGAACTTTCTGGATTCACATTTTCACTTACAATAGGCAAAACTTTGACAACCTCAGATATAAGTGATAGAAACAGAAGTTTTTCAGTAACTTTTTTGGGAGGTATGTGACCAGTGGAGATACGTTCAAACTCCTGTCCCAAAGCAGAAGGGGGCCCACAGTACTATCTCTGGCTGGGCATTAGAGCCTTATGGAGGGGTTGCTCTGCAGGCTAGAAGTATAGGTACAGAAGGTAGCACCTGGGCCTAGAGACTGGATATGTGAGCAGGCTAGCCTGCTAGAGTTGTCAATCTAAAGACAACATGGTGAGGCCATAGTGAATCTAGAGCATGAGATCAAGTCCAGCAGTTCCCTGAGGTACTAAGGCTGACCACAGGACTCATAATATTGTGCACAATGGACAAGGCCTGCAGAGAGCCAGGAGTCATGACAGTTGCACTTTCAGTCATGCAATGTAATGATGGACCCTTCAGCAAGCCTGCAAATAAGACAGGAGACTCTCCAGGAAATGGGTGCCCACCTGGGTCAGGCACACTGGTCCGGCTATGGAGATTCTGAAATTTGCATGTGCCACCACAGGATGAAGCTGTTGCCCTGCAACTCAGTGGGGTTGTGCCAACAGGAAAGGCTCACTTGGTAGCATCATGGAAGCAGGTTGTTCAAAGAAGCATTTGTTAGAAGGTGAAGGGGAAATGCCTAAATTCTCCTCTGAGGCCTAAAATCAGAGCAGGGAGAAGTGCTGCTGGCATTGCCGAAGGAATTTTAACCAGTGGGGGACAACAAGAGAGACTGAAAAGTGCAGCCAGGTCCATCCTGTGCCTGGAACAACCTGTAGGTCACAGAATCTACACTTTCTTAGTGACACAGTGTAATACAGTTAGTCCATCATGTTATCTAAGAACTCTTGTGGGGATGGGTACTGAATCTTACTTAGTTTATTGGTGTGAGTACTTTTGAAGTGAACAGACTAGTATTAAACTGCTTTGCTACCCCATTCAGAGAAATGCACAGGATTCTGAGTAGAAGCTTTAGCCAACAGAAGCATGACACCTCTGAATGTAACCGAGCCTTTTTTCCTTTCATTCTTTTTTGCTGGCATTTTTAACCCATGAATCATGAAAAAAATTTCCCCCTAAAGATCACTGTTTCATTAAATAGATAACCATCTTCCAGCCAACTCTGAGATCTGTCTGCCCATGGCCACAATGTCCAGATGCTAGGTTCCATCACTGTAATCTGGAGACACAGGCATCCATGCAATTCTTCCCCTGGTTCATAATGATATTTTGAAATACAATCTGCTATTTAAAACAGCTGTTGTTGATTTACTTGGGACACATGCTGATTTTACGTCAAACAGAATGTCATGTGAACTTCTCCAAGGAGTCCTAGGGAAAAAAAGAAGAGCACAGAAGATAAGAACAGCATTTATAAATGTTTGCCTACGTTGGAATCCCCAATATAAAATTTTTTGACACTCTGAGAAATAACATACCTATGTAACTGACTTAATATTTCTTATTCCATCCTCCAATCTCCTATGCTGATATGAGCAAGGAGAAAAAAGAAAAAAATCCCCTACTGACAGTGAAATGCTTGTTACACTGATGAAACCTTTGATAAATACTAAAAATATATATATTTTAAGGGACGTACCTTACCTCTTCAAGTCTTCTACTTCTGTTCCATCTTCTTTTCCCCTCAACCTCAACTAATTTCCATCATCATTATTTTCCCTGAAATTAATGCAAATTTATCTGATTTTAAAAAGATTTCTTGTGTAAAAAGCACTTCGAAGGCATAAAATGGGAATGGGGGCTTCCTTTTTCGCTTCCTATCTCCAGTAGCTAGCACAGAGCCTGGCATGTATGGGCATTTAACAAATTCCTAAATAATTAAGTTGAATAAAGAGTGCGGTTAGTACCCCAGAAAGGAGGAGCTGAGGACTCCCTAAGCAGAAATTAGCCTCTCCTTTAACATTATCCCCTCTCTCCTGCAGGTTGATGTTTATCTCCACGGTCCAGCTCTGTGATCACCTCCCTCATCTTGCCAGTCACCATCAGTAGGCCCCCCACCTTCCAGCACTGGGCCTCTCTGCTCTGCCTTGAGGTGTTATATCAGTCTGTGCCCCTGACTCTCAGTTCTGCTTTCTTCAATGTACTGGAGCCAACTCTCACCCTGGCTGGCTCTTTCACCAGCTCACCTCCATTCTCACCCTAATTGCTTCCATCCGCAGTCCCTACACTGACACATCCGTGTTTCAGGAAAGTGAATTACAAAAGAACCCAGGTTGGTTTTCGTTTGTTTGTTTTGTTTGTTTGTTTGTTTGCTTTTTTCAATTTTGCCCCAAAAGCCCATTCCAAAGCACATCCAAGTGGTCAGTTTCCCTTGTGGTGTATCCTTGTGATGTATTGGCATATCTAGGACTCCTTAGGGAGAAAAAAACCGCAGGAGTTATAAAGAATCAGCAACTACACAAACATGGCTACTGAACAACACTGTGAGAACAAACAGTAGTGCACTGGAGTTAGCCAACACAGCAGGCATTTTCTGATTCCATAAGGAAGACCTGATGTCCTTATGCATCAAAAGTTAAACATGACAAAGAGATTTTCAAAGAAATTTAGATGGTATGGTGAATTAATAAGATTTTTTAAAGTCACTATGAAGCATCTACTATATGCTAGTCTTATTTCAGATGCTGAGGATACAACAGTAAACTTCGCTTTCAGGGAACTTACCTTTACTTGGAAAGACTGAGAAAACAAAAAACAAAAGCAAGTTAAAAACAAAAAATAAATGATGTAACTTTAGACACTAATAGATGCTCTAAAGGAAAATTAATCAAGTTGAGAGATTGTGGCGACACAGCCGGGACTCAAGGACCATTTTAGGTCAGATGCTCAGGGAAGGACTCTGGATAAAATCCTTCAAAATCTGGAAGAGAAACTTCAGGCAGAGGAAACAGGAATTGCAAAGAGCCTGAGAAGAAAATAAGCCTGGCATGTTTAAGGAACCCAAGAAAGCTCAGATGACCAGAACAGAATGTGTAATGGGGACAAAAATAGAAAATAAAATTAAATCTGATGTGAGATTTATTGGCCAGTGTAAAGAATTTGAGTTGGAGGATTTTGAATGAGAAGTGAAAGAATCTCTTTGAGATTTTAAAAGATCTTTGAAGGTGATGTGTGGACACTGGATTTTGGGCAGTCTAGAGTGAAAGCAAAATCCATTACAAGACTTTCACCCTAGTCCAAATGAGAGATGATGGTGACTTAATAGAATGATAGAATAGGATATTAATGACTTAATAGAATGATCAAGTGATAGGATAGTAGTCATGAACTTGGTGGAGAATAGTTGGATATATAATTTGAAGAATGGACAGGATTTGCTGATGGGTAGGATTTAGGATATGAAGGAAGAAGATTCAAAGTTAACTCCTGGAACTTTGGCCTGACTAACTGAATAGATGTACTGAACATGCTAAGTTTGAGAAACTTATTAGATAGACACTGGCAATGCCACAGAGGCACCTTGATGGGAGTTTGTAATTCAAAGGACAAGTTGAGGCTGGAGATAATATTTACAGCCATGAAACTGGATGGAGTCACCTAACAATACAGAGAAGACAAAAATCTGATAAATAAGCCCCCCCAAACTCCAAAACAGTGATCAGAAAGAAGATAAGGAACCCATAGAGAAGCCTGAAAAGTAGTTGAGGAGACAGAATGAGTATGAGAAAATTGTCACAGCCTGGAGGTCAAGTGAAGAGTGTTTCAAGAAGTAAAAAATTGTGTCAAATGATGCAGAGAGTTGACGAAGAATGAGTGCTGTAAGGTGATCACTAGATTCAGCAATGTGGAAGTCACTGGTGACTTTACCAGAACAGGTTCAAATGAGTGATGAGAACAAAGCCTGATGAAATGAGTTAAAAACAGACTGGAAGATGAGCAAGCAGAAGGACAGTATAGACAACTCCATTGAGTGTTTTGTCATGGAGGGGAGCAGTGCAAGTGGGCAGTAGGTGGAGAAAGACATGGGACTGGGAATTAAAGTTCTTTTGTGTTTGTTCTTTTAACATGAGAAATATTAAGAGTTTTTGTATACCCATGGGAATGATCCAGTTGATGGGGAATATTAATGATACAGAACACAAGATGAACTTCTGGAGTTAAGTAAGTAAAAGGAGATGAGCTGCAGTTACTAAGTGAATAGAGAAATTGGCTTTTGATAGGACAAATTGTTCTAATCTAAATGCTTTTCTTTCAGAAGAAAATACATTAATTGCTCCTTTTTTTCCTCCCTTAATAAATACAACCTTGTGGGTTAACTCTAAAAGAGAGTTACTACCTTTTCACACACCAGAAAGCTAAAATAACACAGTCAAGTGATTTGTCCAAAGTCACATACAGCCAGGCCTCATTCCCTGAGTTTCTGATGCCTTATCAATGGTTCTTTCTGCCTTTCTACACAACATGTGTGTGAGAGTCAGGCAATGGAAATGTCACTCTCAAGGGCCGATTCAAAGTCACAGGTTTAGACCCTCGTGGAAATTAAGTAAGGCAAACTTTTGACAAATTCATTCAAAAAAACTGTTTTCAACTTCAATCTGCACCTGTCTTTTCCCCAATCAGCCTAGATCAGAGATTCAGAGCTGACAGATGGTCTTTATGACTTATCAAGGCAGCACTCCTATCCCTTCTATTCTGCCAGTCCTTCCAGACGGATTTTTTTCTCAAATGGCAGTCTTATCAAGGATATAGTTTATTCTGCTAGCAAATAGCCAAGGGACAGGCTAGAAACAGATAGGCAGCAGAGGGAAGATGGTCTGGAATTATCAATTTGCTGGGCCTCATGCTCAAACGCATAATTAACAGTTGATAATTGTTCTGGGTTGGGCAGAGTCCTATAATGGTTAGATCAAGGCATAGTTTACTGTACTTAAATCTGGGCATTTACAATTATTCTCCCCTTAATATAAATTAGGAAGTTGGAAGCTCTCTCTCTCAAACAGATTTCTCTCTCTCTCTTTTTTTTCTTTTTTAACAACTCTACTACCACCTAACTTGCCCTTTAAAAATATGCTCAGATTCTTCCAAGGATAAGAGTGAGAGACAAGAGGATATGAATCCAAAAGGTGGTTTCTGCTGTTTTGCCACATCTGCTCAAAATTCCACAGCTGGCACTGCCTCCTAGAGATTACCAGAATGACTAATGATTCACACAGCTCCCAGTCTTAAATGTGCTCGGGAAAATGTTCAGGGATTTGACCACAGCTTTTCAACATCAAGAATGAGAGGTGTGAGAGCTCCCAGACATCAGCTAGTTCATCTCTTGCCAGATCTGGATTTTTCCCTTCTGGATAAGATTCTAGCAGATGCTTTAGCTAGTCTTGTTTTAAATATCTTAAAGGATGGCACTCCCTCCGCTTTCCAAGGGTAAGGCTTTTTCACAGTCCAGTGGATCTTCTCACCAGTCTGTGTTTTCCAGAAACTTGCCTGAAATTTATCTTTTGTTAATTTCTTAACATAACTCATGTTTATTCACTTTGGCAACTCACCTGCAAGCAGCATCTCTCCCTCATTGGCAATTAAGCAACTAAGTCTACAAGCGAGAGATCATCAGCCAATGTCTTCCCTCTATTTCTTTTTCTTGCTGGATAAATCCAGCATGCCAAGAAGTTCTGTGCACTGAACACCCAGTGGTTTTCTGTTCATTTTACTCTGTCTCTTCAATTATTACCTCATCACTCTCAGCCACCGCGTGGACTGTTCCTATCTACCAAGCTTGGCAGGGGACTCAAGTATCAACACAATGCAGTCATTCTCACTGATTCCTGGCCCTGACCCTACAAGGATTCACAACAAATTCCATCCTGTCACAGATTGCAGCATGGGGATGGTTAACAGAAGATACACACTGCATCAAGGTCAATGTAGAAGACTCCAACCCATCACCAAGTGGCTCCATGTTTTCTGCTGTGATGGTATCTTGTCCACGCTCATGCCAGCCTCTCTCTACGCATCAAACCCACTGCTACTTTTCTTCTAGCCCATTCTTCTCACTCTAGATGCTACTTTTGGGCCCCTTAGCTCTTCACTTCCAAATTTTCTCTCAACCTTCTTCTCTTTGTACCTCACAGCTCTCATTTGAAACTTGCTGCATATTTTCCCAGCTGAATATGTTAATCACATTCATCTTTTCCTCCTCTGCTGTAGACAACCCTGTGGGCTAAATAAGTCATATTATTTCTTTCACTTTTTCACATACTGGAAAATTAAGACAGCATAGTCAAGTGACTTGTCTCAAGTCACAGCTAATATCAGGTTCGGAGCCAGCACTCATACCCTGAGCCCTATCCATAGTTCCTCCTGATTTTCTACACAACACATGCATCAGTGACACACAATGGACACAGGCTTTGCTATTGACTCCCCTATTATTCCAGGAAGGTGCTACATACCTAAATATACTTATTTTACATGCTGTAAAAAATCAACTTTCTAACTTTCCTTTTTACAAGAATTGTGTCTTGGATGTTATTTTAAATGATTAAAAGCAAAAGACAAGTATAGTCAACAGTAATTTATTGTACTTTTAAAAATAACTAAAAGAGTATAATTGGTATGTTTGTAACCCAAAGCAATGATAAATGCTTGAGGTGATGGATACTCCATTTACCCTGAGGTGATTATTACATATTGTATGCCTATATCAAAATAACTCAAGTGCCTCATAAATAATACATCTACTATGTACCCATAAAATTTAAAAATACTTATTTTTAAAAAAACAAAGGAACAGTTTCTTGCAAAGTTAAATCACTTTTTTCCCTTTGCATTTAGACCAAATATATTTTGCTATGCAGAAATGCCTAAGTAAATTATGTGATAACTGAAAAGTAGTTTAATAGAATTTACATTTGATTTTTTAAAAATCCATTAAGCTAAGGATTTATAAAGACATTTTTTCTTCTGCTCAATACTTGCCTGAACAAAACACCCACCCAGCCAAAATCAAACAAAAAGCTTCTTTTGTCTTCATGAACTGATGTCACTTGAGTTGTACTACTTTAGAATCCACAGGACTAGAGTGAAAAAACAAGCAACTGGAATGTGAACAACATCAGGGAGATGTGACTCACATACCTGCTTACTGGCTATTAGACCTCTTTAAATTTCCCACACAATATGAACTACGGTCTGCTTCAATTTCCACACTGTATTTTAAGAGTTTTTGCTTCAATACTCTAGTATAATTTCTAAAAACACAAGGCTTCACAGCTATGGCCAACTGCTTATCCCAGGCAAATTAAATTAAGCCCCTGGCATGCAACTTAAAGTTTGTTTCGCCTAATTAAGCAGCTAATGGGTATGGATGAATCTGAGGTGCAGATAAAAATATGGTTTTCAAAGAGCCTTTCTGATTACCATGCTCTGAAATGAGCAAAGAAAAATATTTATGCAGCCATTTTTATAATCATGCTCAAATCCATTCGTTAAGCTCCTGGGAAGATTTCAGAAAACTCTGTCCTATCTTTCCATGAGGTGACCTGCTCATTGCTAAAGAAGGTTAAAATCCTTCACCAGCGATTTTCTGTATTGTGTCAACACCCAGTCATCTTTAATATGACTTGTGGAAAAATAACCTCTTCCTATTGCCAACATGTGTCTTCACTCAAGGACTGTGTGGGTCTCTATTCCAATGAAGCACCATTCTAATAAAGTGCCTCATCTAATAAATGGCCCTGGTGCTGCTGTGCCACTGCAACAACTGTTAGTGGGATGGAGGAGAGAAGAAACAAATAAATAGTTGGGGAGGAGTCTCTGAGACATCAACATTCTGGAACGTGTATTATTTCCCTATCATTTTGCTGTGTTTTCATGTATTAAATGTCAGAGAAGATGGCCCTCTTTCCCAGTGAATCTCCTTTTCATTGCATCTTTTTAAAGTAAGCTTTCATTAACAACAAAGCAAATACATGTGTTATTTTCCAAAACTTACAATCATAAAATAAACTTCATGCCATGTTAAAGTCAGTTAAACACTGGGGCTCGGTGGCTCACTCCTGTAATCCCAGCACTTTGGGAGGCAAAGGTGGTCAGATCACTTGAGGCCAGGAGTTTGGGACCAGCCTGGCCAACCAGCCAAAATCCTGTCTCTACTAAAAATACAAAAATCAGCCAGGTGAGGTGGTGCATGCCTGTAATCCCAGCTACTCGGGAGGCTGAGGCACGAGAATCACTTGAACCCAGGTGGTAGAGATTGCAGTGAGCCAAGATCACGCCATTGCATTACAGCCTGGATGACAGAGAAAAAAAAAAAAGTCAGTTAAACAAAATTTTGAAGACAACTATTTTAAATGACAGCTATCATTGTGACAGATTTATCTCAAATTCTATCCATTCCATCCATTGTCCTTGTAAACATGGGCATTTTGGGGGAGGGGGGTTCTGTGTGTTTTTCTTTTTCTTTTAGTTTTGATTTTCTTCTTAGATCTCTTACCCATTTGTAATAAGAGAGTGAAGAAATACCATGGATATAGACGAAAAAAACCCAAGGCCACAGCAAATGTTCCAGAGGCATCTGAAAACTGAAGTCAGGTTACTGTGTGGATAATTCTCAAGCAAATGGATGCCTTTATGGTTACTTCATTTGGTCCACAGGTGAACTTGTCACATCACATTTACGGCAAAAAATCCTTTATGTTTCAGGTATTTCCTGAACCTTAAGTGAGTTTCTATTAGACATGTTCTGTTTCCAAGTAATCTGTTTTCCACCCCTGTGTCCAGGAAATGATTATCAGAAAGGAAGAGAGAAAAACGACATCATAATGTAATCTGGCCCCTCTTTTGCTGGGCTAGGAACACAGCATCTGGCAGAGACTTTCAAGTGTCAGATACTACTTTATCCATCTATTTCTGAAGTTCATTTAATAAATAATGGAGACTGATATGAAAAGGCTTCTAGTTCTACCAATGGAAATCCCTCACCCTGGCTATGAAACAAACTTTAAAAAAGAAATTGTGACTTTTCTGATGTTAGTTTGCTTCAGATGAAACTTGTTCTTATTCCTAGCTTGAAGAAGAAAATTTCACCCTTTGCCCCTTTAAGACTGTATAACTTTTCTTCCCACAAACTAACAGTATCTCCACAAGGCACTACTGTCCAGGTTGAGATGAAGGTTCCAGTTGCATTCTCTTCTGGGCGCACGTCATTTTGTTTGCTGTTCACTTATCACATCAAAATGCATAGCAAGTACCAGCTTCCCGTCAGATAACACATATACATGAGCTATATGCACTCATGTGTATACACATATAACTCAATCTAACTTTCCCCTTTCTATAAATTCAAATTATGTTCCCTGATGTGGTCCATCCTGGAGGTCACGCACAGAGCTCTTACCTGAAATGGAAGGGAAGATAGGAAGGAACCTAACACATATTTAGCATCTACTATATGTATATAAAATTAAGACATATATTATCCTATTTTATCCTCACAACAACCCTGTCAGGTATACATTATTACTTCTATAGATGAAACAAAATAAACTCAGAATGGTAATAGTCACTCATGTTTGAGTGTCCTGGCCAAGAAAGACACCTTCCTCTTTCCCAAGTCTTTATTGTAATCTCACCTATGCACATATATCCAGGACTAATTCTCAATCGGAGGAAATTTCTAAAAGGGCCAGCAAAAAGGAGCACTGCTCAGTCTTCATGCTCACAGCAGTTTCCTCCTTGAAAGTTTCCATGGCAGGGCCATCAACTGGGGCCAGGAGCAGTGGAGGAGCACCTGGAGGTGGAGATCTTTTCTTCCAGCCTGTCAGGGCTCTGCTCAGATGCCATCCATCTCACAGGCCCAGGGAGTGTTTAATGAAGCCGATTTGGATCAGTGGGGATTGGTGTTTAGGCTGTTCTCCAAGACTCCTAAAATGGCCGGGAAATGTGCCCATTTTTGGCTTGCTGTTGTTTTATTTTTAAATAATCTTCTTCAACAACTTTTTAGGTGCCTGTTCTATTGAAAGCTCTTTCAATTATTCAAATCAAGTCAATCAGGATTATTGAGCACCTATTCTGTGCCAGGAACAGCTGGAGTATACAAAAATCTGTAAGATGCTACTCCAGGAACTTAAGAAGGATGAAATAAAGTCACCAATAATGCCAAGGGGTTGAATACAAGAGCTATAAAGAAGTCATAGGTAAAGAACTACGAGAATTCAGACAAAGGAGACATCCTTTCTTGTTGGGAAAAATCAGAAGAGACATCATGGATAGGAAACAAGCATTAGACAGACCTTTAGGAATTCATTCACTTGGTCATTCAGTCAACAAATACACAGTGAATATTTACTATGTACCACGCATTTGTTAAGAATCGGATATACCAGAGGGATATAATCCCTGCCTTCAAGGCATTGGCATTCTAGCAATGAGAAAGTAAACAACTAATTATAGCATGTATGGATATTAAGAATTGAATGACCAGGATGAACTGATAGTATTAAGAGGGGTAGGAGGTATATGGTATCAGTGGGGGTGGGGGAGGTGCTTCAGAAAAGTGGTCAAGAAAGATCTTGCAAGGGAAATGATTTTTATTGAAGACCTAAAGACTAAAGAGGAGTCAGCCATTTGCATAGCAAGGGTAAGAATATTCATGAGACTGAAAGCAGAACGTAAACATTTCCTAAAATGAAAAATAATTTGGTGCTCTCAAGAAAGTCTCAAAAGGTCACTGTGTTCAGAGAATAGGAGCAATAGGCAGGCTAGCTTGCGACAAAGTTGGACAAGCAGGTGGGGTTCAGGTCTTGCAAGGCAGTTAGTTATGAGTGGAAGTCTTGATTTTCTCCTAAAAACAGCAGGAATTTTGACAGGTTTTATTCTGGGAAGTGGCATGAGGCCAGTCTGCAATTAGGAAAGAGAAGTCAAGTCAGAGTACCAAGTGGAGAATGGGGTGGATCTGGGAGGTGAATTAGAAAACTATAACATTGCTCCATTTGTGACAATGTGTTTTACACAAGGGTGAAGCTGGGAGACATAAATGTAGACAAATTCAAGATACATTTTGGAGGAAGAAACAATAAGAATTTACTAGACTGAGGTGAAGCAGGGCATTTACATAGATAAAGCAGCATAAACAGAAATTCAGAGGAGATAAATGGTAGGTCTGTGTGGGCTTCAGTGAGACAAGACCAGTGTAACTCTTTCTTGCAACAGAGCCCTGGGCCATAGAATAGCATTATTCATCTTTGAATGTGGAACTAGACCCTGTTTCCACTCCTTAATTCCAGCTTTAATTCCCCTTCCCCTGCTCCTGGTCTCCATCCATGACTCATTACAATAAAAAAAAGTACAGGTTGTAAGACTTCACAGATACCTAAGCAAACAGTGAAGCCAACATTCTCCAAAATGTATTCTGCGTGTCACTTGTTATATGAGATGCTTCTTGAGAAAAAAAAAAGTTGGAGAGCTTTGTGGTCAAATAAGTTTAAAAGATGATTTTCATTTTCTTTTTCTGGAGAGTGACAAAAATATTAACATGTAAACACTCTGAGATGTCCTTCAGTAAAGAAACTTACTTATCTTTGTTTAATGGTTAACCCACCTTTTTCCCAAACAAATAGGACCTTAGGCACCTTAGTCCATAGACCAACCCCAGGAATCCTGTGGAATCACTGACTTGGCCCACAGGACAAGTTACATAATTACCCAGTGCAAAATGAAAATGATGAGCCTTTTGCTTAAAAATCATTAAGAAATTCAAGACAGTGACAGCAAAGCACTAAGCCAAGTGTGGGGCTGTTCTACATGAGGGCTCCTCTGGGACTGCACAGAGCTTGCATGACCATGAAGTCAGCCTTGTAGTACCTCAAGTTACAGAGGAGGAAACAACCCAGAGAAGTAAAGTGGCCTCCCATGATCTCACATTAGGTAAACATTGACACCGGATCTTCACCCTGTGCCTTCTGACCACTTATAGCATACCAACTTGGCTTCTATAAGATGAACCAGATAATTTGGGGGATGGGCCATTTGTGACTGATGCCTCAGTCAGGCGCAACGGCATCATCTTTGGTTTTGCTCCTGCTATGGCAGGCACCAACCCTAAGGGGCAACCTCTGGCATGACTTGCCTCTAGCTTGTCTTCAAGCTAATTTCATTGCTTTTTCCTGTCATCACTCTGGTTTATTGTCACCAGTCACTGAACTTAATCACTACCCTAACAACAGTTCTGGGGATAATGTGTGTCTTCAAGAAATATTGTGAACTGCCTAATTAGAGATGAGTCAGAAAGTAAGGCTAGAGGAAGGGAGAAGACCATGATTATCTAATTCTCACTCTGAGAGAAGAAACTAAGTACCTTTGTCCCTGACTTACAATGGTTCAACTTCCTATTTTTGGCTTTACAGTAGTATGAAAGGCATATGCATTCAGTAAACACCATGTTTTTCATTTTTAATTTTGCTCTTTTCCGATGCTAGAGATATGCAGTGGGATACTCTCTTGAGGTGCTGGACAGCGGCAGTGAAATGCAGCTCCCAGTCAGGCACATGATGACAGTGTGCTGTGTTGCCAGCAATTTTTGGATATCCTGTTTCCGCATCCATCATGTCTACAAAATGCCCATCTGTGTCTCCTGCTTCTGGTGAGAAGAAGAGGAAGGCAATTACTCTTGAGATGAAACTCAAGATAATTGCCCAGCATGAAGGCAGCAGGCCAGTAATGGCCATCACACGTGAGTTGGGACATTCACAGTCCGCAATCATGACTTATCCTTTACATGAGTTTTTAACTTCCAATATTTTCAACTTCCAACAAATTTATCAGGACATAACCCCATTGTAAGTCAAGTAGCATCTGTATTTCCTATCCATATTCCATAAACCATTAACACAGGGTTGTATACATAGTGGGTGCACAAAAAAAGCGTCTCTTCTCCCTTAAAGGTAGGGAAGCTATAGAAATCCATGTGGAATCAGAATGAGGAAATGGTGGGGAAATACTTATGCTCTGTGAAACTATAAGGTGGATGATGCTGAGTTCTCCAAGAGTAAAATAAGGAAGGGCTTCAAAGCAGAGGATAAGAATGAGCTTTGGAATAGGCCACACATGTATTTCAAGGATAGGAAGGAGATGTGGGTAGACAGAACACAGGGACTTCAAAGACACAGCAAGAGGACATGGAGAGTGTAGAGGGTTTCTACTGTCTGGCCTTCTGTATTACTCAAGGTTCTCCAGAGAAACAAAACCAAAAGGTTATATGCATATATAGAAAGGGATTTATTGTAAGAAATTAGTCTGCATGATTAGGGCGACGGACAAGCCCCAAGGTCTGCAGGGTGAGAAAGCACACTGGAAGCCCAGCAGAGCAGATGGTGAAGCACCAGTCTGAGTCAGAAGGACTAAGAACCAGGAGAACCAATGGTGTAAATTCCAGCCTAAATGCATGCTGGCTCTAGACCCAGGAAGAGCTGGTATTTTGTTTTATTTATTTATTTATTTTGAGACAGAGTCTCACTCTGTCGCCCAAGCTGGAGTGCAATGGGGCGATCCTGGCTCACTGCAACCTCCACCTCCCTGGCTCAAGCAACTCTCCAACCTCAGCCTCTTGAGTAATTTGGACTACAGGCATGCACCACCACACCTGGCTAATTTACTTGTATTTTAGGAGAGACAGGGTTTCACCATGTTGCCCAGGGTGATTTCGAACTCTCAAGCTCAGGCAATCTGCCTGCCTCAACCGCCTAAAGTGCTGGAATTACAGGCGTGAGCCACCGTGCCCAGCCAAGAGCTCGTATTTTAGTTTGAGTCCAAGGGCAGAAAAAAGCCAGCGTCCCAGTTCAAATGCAGTCAGGCAGAAAGAATTCTCTGTTAGTTAGAGGAGGGTCAGCCTTTTTGTTCCATGCAGGCCTTCAACTATGTGTGACGCCCACACACATCAGGGAGGGCAATCTACTTGACTCAGTCTACCGATTTAAATGTGACTCTCTTCCAAAAACACCCTTAGAATAATGTTTGACCAAATATCTGTTCAAACACTGACCCAGTCAAGTTGACACATAAAATGAACCTCACATCTGCCCAACATCATTCCTTCTTATTTCTGCTCCATGATTCAATTTTCCTTTGGGGAGCCACCCCTTGCCTATGAGCAGTCTATGTGGGTGGGCTAGGGCTGACTCCAATTCTGAATTTCTAAGAATAGACATTGAGAGTATTCCAATGCCCTGAATAGAGTTACTGAGTTTGAGAGAGGCCAATGAGTCTCAGATCCTGGGACTTTGGCTGTAAACTGTTTGAAAAAAGGAAAATAAAATGAAAAGAGATGTTTTCTGCCAGGGTTGTTATGCTGAAAATGCTGGGCTCACTATGTGGAGAGGACTTACTTATGAATGACGCCAGCACAGAGGAACAGAAGTGAGAGAGAGCCCTGATGACACGGTTTGATTTGAGCCCCTGCTCAACTTTTCCTGGAGGTTTCAGTTGCATGAGTTACACAAGTTAGTTACATGAGTTTCATTTCATACTTAAGCTGGCTTAAGGTAGGTCCTTGTCTTTTATAAGCAATGAATTTTGACAGATGCTATGAGCACATTATGCTCAGAAAATAAGCCAACGGAATGGGCCTGCCTTATCTAAGGAGCTGTGAGCGAGCAGCCGGCAGCTCTGCTTTCTGAGTGGTCCTTTTGAACAAAGTTACAGCATCGCTAAAGGCAGATGAGTGAGCTTGACTTAGCTCCCGAGGCTGATGGTAAATCTATCAACTCCTAATGTCACACTATTAACTGGAATGATTCTAGCCCTGAAATCCCAACACGTTCACAATAAAAATCATCTTGTGCTATCTAATATGAGCGTAGACAGTGTACTGTCAGGACTGGGATTGGGGACAGTAAGCAGAGAGGTTAAAATCCATTTCTATTGCTCTGAGGGATGGGAACAGAATTTGGGACCAGGATGGTGCCAGGAATAAGTTAGAAGCATGGAATATGAAGGCAGAGGCACCAACATGTTAGTGCTAACTTCAAACAAATCCATGTGGAATCCTAGATAACTTCCTTTTCCCTCCCTCTTTCCCATCTCTCAGTTTGCTTTTTCTTCCCCCTTTCCCCCCACAATTTTGAACCCTCTCCTGTTCCAAGCACTGTGCCAGACACAAGGGCTATGAAAACAGGCATCAAAGAAGGTTACAGGCTGGGGCTGGGAGGGTCACGTTGGTGGGGACAGAGCAAAGCATGCATGACTATTGTAGCACAACGCAGTCAGTGTTGGATAGTGACACAAGATGCTTTGGAAGCACAGTGAGAGAGACTCACCTGCCAACTGCAGGGATATAATCAAGGCTGCTTACCACCACTTTTGGGTTTCAATACCAGGCGAGTGGGACTTCAAAAAATAATAATTTTAAAAAATTACTCTAAGGATAAACTTGGAATCTTGTAACTGGTCACATTTTTTTTTCTTTGTTTTGATCACATCTAGAAACAATATATGATCTATTCTAAAGTAACTTTAGTTCCTTATGGAAATGATTTCATATGTTAACCTCACTCCTAAATTAATCTTAATTCTTACAAATGTTTTCATTTATTTTTATTCCACTGTACAATGCACATTTCTGTAAAATATTTCAAATTTGGAGGTAATGAAAGGTAAATAAGTAAATCATGTACTTATATATCTTAGTAACTTTTCAATTACTTAAAACAAGTAAGTTTTTTTAATGATCATTAAAGCATAGGTAGTAACTCTTTTATAGTAACCCTATGATCCTTGCTTAAATGAATAAAGTAGTATGTACTGGTTCATGAAAGTACAAATATCAATAGGACAGAACAAATATCCAAGAAACCAACACTAGTATATATAATGATTTAGTGTAAGATAAATGTAATATCACAGCTTAATAGGGAAAAGGATGACTCTTCAATAAATAGTGCAGGGATAATTAGATCACTATTTAGTGGGAAAAAAGTAACCTCAAGCAAATAAAACTTCTGATGGCTTAAAGAGTGAAATGTTTAAAATTCGCCTCAAATAAATGAAGAGAAATATATTTAATATTTATCAGATCCTTAGATGTGGAGTGACTTTTAAGGAATTACCCAATATAATAATCAAAATAGAACAAAATATGTTTATTTTTTATTTTATATGTTTTCTATATTTATTTTTATTTTTATTCCTATTGATTCCTAGGGCTAGCCCAGTCACTGGGCTCCTTATCATTAGATAAGTAATGGCAATATGCATGAACATATATAGGCAGACACACTTAGATTTAGTAATTTTGCTTCTCAAAATTTACCTAAAGGAAATAATCAGAGATTTGTCTAAAGATTGATAAAGATTCTCACTAAAGTTTAATTATTTAGAGAGGACATTTACAAATGTTTGACTTTTTAGGTATCCCAAGACTTTTTTTATATTTTACACAAAAATACACGCAAATATCCCCTAACATTTGAATACATTCTATTTCTTATATTGGATGATAAAGTTGCAGGTAGTGATGGATACCGGCACATACGCATATGCATTTATTTTAAAAAGAATACAATCAGCTCACACTCTTCTATAATTTATTTTTAATTTAAGTATATATTTATACTCATCCATCAATTTTTTATTGCATATCTACTAAGGGGAAGGAATACAGTGGTAAGTAAAAACAGTTGAACTCTACTATTGTGGGGTTTATGATGTAACAAGGAAGGAAGACATTACAGAAATAAGTCAACTAATATTAATGTAGACTCTCAAACGAAGTTAAGTGCTAAGGTTTGGATATTTGTTCCCCCAAACCTCACATGGAAATTTGATCCCCAGGGTTGGGTACAGGGTCACATGGGATGTGTTTTGGTCACGGGGTGGATCCCTCATGAATGGCTTGGTGCTATCGTCAAGGTAGTGAGTGAGTTCTCACTCTATTAGTTCCCAGGATAGCCAATTGTTAAGAAAAGCCTGGCGCCTTCTCGCTCTCTCCCTTGCTTCCTTTCTTACCATGTGATCTCTGCACATGGCAGCTTTACTTTGCCTTCAACCATAAGTGGAAGCAGCCTGAAGCTCTCACCAGAGTAGATGCTGGCACTACACTTCTTGTACAGCCTGCAGAACCATAGGCCAAATGAACCTCTTTTCTTTATAAATTATGCAGCCTCAGGTATTCCTTTATAGCAACACAAATGGACTAAGACAATCATCCCAAGGGATAAAAAGGTTGTCTTATGAGGTCATATGACAAATGAAACTGATCCCAAGTGTGGGGAGTTAGGAAGGCTTCCCTAAAGAAATTAAATCTGAAATATGAGTAGAACTTAAGTGAAAGTAGAGAGATGGAAAAGAACGTTCAAAAGACAGGAAATGGCCATCGCAAATACTCTGTGTTAGGAAAGAGAAGGCACATTCAGAAACTGGAAATGACTGGTATGACTTGGTCATAAAAAATGAGGAGAGAGAGTAAGAGAGGAAGCTTGAGGAAGACGTAGCATCTAGGCATGAAGAGCCTTGGTCATTACGCTGAGGATTTTGGTCTTTATTCTTTATCCCAAGCCCAGTGGATGTGTTAAAATCCAATTGAAACTTTGAATGGATTCCTCAGGAGAAGATGGCAATTAAGCACAGAGCATTACTTAGACAAGAGATGATGGTAACTTGGGCTAAAATGGTGATTGCATCAATCTTATAAATGAAACAGATTTTTTTGGAGGTGATACCAACAATGCTTTTAGTATGGATATGGGGATGATGTAAGGGAAAGGAACATTGCCTAAGTTTTATTCCTGTGCAACTGAATGAATAGAAGGTGGTACCATTCATCACAGTAAGAACAATGGAAAAGTACCAGTCTAAGGGAAGATCATGGATTCAGTCCTGATCATGTTCAAGTGAGAAACTTTTATTTCAAGTAGTTAAATGTATAAGTCTGGGCTAAATATTATATTTACATAATAATAGTAACTGAAGCTTTGAACTTGGTTGAGATTAAGAAAAAAGTATGACATGAGAAAAAGATAGACTCTAAGAGAAGAATGTCAACATGTAATTTCTGGGTAGAAGGAGAAGAGCCTGCAAAAGATACAGAACAAAATGGCCATTGAGGTAGGTGAAAAGCCTAGTGAGTTTTAAAATGTATCCGTTGCATATAGCATTATTGAGCTTATTACTGACTATAGCAAGGGCTGTTTCAGTGAGACAATTGGGGCAAAGTCATATGGAGTGAATTGGAAAAAAGACCAGGAAATAAAGAAATAAAAATGGTGAATATGGACAATTCTTTGAAGAGGTTTAGCTATTGTGCTAATCAACTTTTGCTGTGATAATAAACATCTTCAGGATCCTTGTAGTTTAGAGCAACAAACATTTGTTTCAGTGGACCAGCTATAGTTCTGCTGGGTTTGACTGGGCTCCACTCAACTATGCATGTATTTCCATTCTGGGATCCAAGCTGAAGGAGAAGCTACTGAGATATTCTGTGCTCATAGTGGAGGATAAAAATATGAGAGAAACCAAGTCATGGTATTTAAAGCTTCTGCTAATACATGAAAATGTGGCCTTGGCCAAAGCAAACGGCCAAGCCCAAAGTCCAGGTCACAGCAAAATTTAATTAAATAATTCCATAGCATTGCACATTTCAGTGTTTCCAATTTTTTCATTTCTAAATATCTTCAGTAAAGATGTATGTATAAGGAAGATGATTGCAGCATTGACTGTAAAAATAACAAAACCTCAAACTACCTATGAATAAATGCTCACCTACAACAGAGAGACACATATTCCTCCTTCAGTAGGCACAAAAGAAAGGACCATAACATGATGGTAAGGAATATGTAATTCTATTACACAGTAGGTAAGAAAAATATTCCAATCTATCATAGCTATGAAAGGTAGAAGAAAAATAAGGAGATAATCTATAGGGAGATGAGGGGTCTAGGGAGCTTTTTTATTCCCCCTTCATTTTTTAATATAGGAAAGATTTAGACATATTTAATATCATTAGGAAGAATCGAGTAGAAAGGAAGCAAACAACTTGCTGGAAAAAAAGAAGAAAAACTGATAGCATAACTTTCTTGAACCTGTAGAAAGCTATAGTTGTTAAAGCACAGGTCTGGCCTAAGATATCCAAGGGATATACGTCTGTGTGTTAAGAGGGGTTAACACATAGATATACGTGTGTGTGTGTGTGTGTGTGTGTGTGTGATGAAGGGTTGTGTGTATTGTACACCTTTTCCTAGTAAAACACATGTTGATTTATTTCATTTATTAAACAAGTGCATATATATTAATTTAGCTTAATTTTAACCATTCTGTGGTAGGTAAGCATTTAGGTGGTTTAAACTTTTGTTACTTTTACAATCAATGCTAGAATGAACTTCCTCATTATACATATCTTTACTGAAGATACTTATAAATGAAAAAATTGTAAAAATTTAAATGTACAATGCTATGGAATTATTTAATTAAATTTTGGTATTCCACTTAATAAAATGCTATGTGATATGGTTTGGCTGTGTCCCCACCCAAATCTCATCTTGAATTGTAGCTCCCACAATTCCCACATGTCATGGGAGGAACCCAGTGGGAGGTGATTAAATTATGGGGGTGGGTCTTTCTTGCACTGTTCTCATGATAGTGAATGAGTCTCACGAGATCTGATGGTAAAATGGGAGTTTCCCTGCACAAGCTCCCTCTTTGCCTGCTGCCATCCATGTAAGACATGACTTGCTCCTCCTCTTTGCCTTCCGCCATGATTGTGAGGCTTCCCCAGCCACATGGAACTGTAAATCCATTAAACACTTTCCCTGTATAAATTACTTAGTCTTGGATATGTCTTTATCAGCAGTGTGAAAATGGACTAATACACTAAGTATCCATTTAAAATCATTTTGTACAAGACTATTGAATGACATATACTGCAGGTCATCAAGCAACTTAAACAATGTGATAATATCTATAATATATATATACAGTTGACCCTTGAATAACACAGATTTGAACTATATGATCCACTTATATGCAACTTATATGTGGTTTTTCTTTCACCTCCACGACCCCTGAGACAGCAAGACCAATTCCTCCTCTTCCTCCTTTTTCTCAGCTTACTCAGTGTGGAGATGATGAGGATGAAAATGTTCATTACAATCCAATTCCATTTAATGAATGGAGAATATAGTTTCTCTTTTTAATGACTTTCTTAATAATATTTTCTTTTCTCTAGCTTGTTTTATTGTAAGAATACAGTATATAAGATATATAACCTAGAAAATATGTGTTAATCTGCTTATGTTATCAGTAAGGCTTCTGGTCAACAGTAGGCTATTGGTAGTCATCTTCTGGGGGAATAAAGAGTTACACACAGATTTTTCAACTATGCAGGGGGTTGATGTCCTAAACCCTGCATTGTTCAAGAATCAACTGTATATACATATATATATATATATATATATATATATATATATATATATACACATACACACACACACACACACACACACACACACACACACAGACACACATATATGTATACACAGAGTACACAGAAAGAGAGAAATTAGATAGTACACAAATATGTGTAATACATGTAGTTGATCCTGGATAGGTTGATTTTTGCTTTTCTAGGCTTTTCTGGATATCCACTCTTTTTCAATGGCCTTATAATACTTTTGTAATTGGGGGAAAAGTGAATGTTAAAAATGTGTTGCTCTTCACCAGATCACAGTAGTGCAGAGCAAAGCAGCACAGCAGAGAGGTTGAGAGAACCAGCCCTGAAAGCACCCCAGTGCAACCTTGACACTGGCCGTTACTGCAGGTATGCCCTCAGGCCAAGTACTTCTTCTCTGCCTCAAGGTCCTCATCTCTAGTATAGAAACAATAATTATTCCATCAGGTTTAGTCAATATTAAAGGGAAATAACAGGTTAAAAATACTAAGCTCAGTAAACTGGCTATAGTTAGTGCTTTAAAAATCTGAACTTTTGGCCAGGCATGGTGGCTCATACCTGTAATCCCAGCACTTTGGGAGGCCAAGGTGGGCAGATCACGAGGTCAAGAGATCGAGACCATCCTGGCCAACATGGTGAAACCCCATCTCTACTAAAAATACAAAAATTAGCTGGGAGTGGTGGCATGCGCCTGTAGTCCCAGCTACTTGGAAGGCTGGGACAGGAGAATCACTTGAACCTGGCAGGCAGAACTTGCAGTGAGCCAAGATCACGCCACTGCACTCCAGCCTGGTGACGGAGTGAGACTCCCTCTAAAAAAAATAAAAAATAAAAATAAACTGAACTTTTTTTAAAAAAAAAGATACTATCTTTTTTTATCACGGAAATTATCAGTGTTGGAAAGAGTGAGGTGAAACAGGTGCTTTAATATACTATGATGGAAGTGCAGATTGGCACTGTCTTTCTGGAAAGTAACTGTGCAATATATTAATTCTCTTGTTCCTGTAATCTCAATTTTTAGGATTTTTACCTAAGGAAACAGTGCATGATAAGTAAGAGATTCATGATATTAGGATTTGAATGAAGCCTTATATATAATGAGGAAAAACTGGAAATTTCCTCAACATTCAATCATAAAGGAATAATTAAATAAATTGCAAAGATAATGTAATAAAAAAGGAAAAAACTCATAAAATTATTTCAAAGTGACTTTTAAAAATTAATAATTAAAAAAACTTTAAAATGCTGAAAAATATGATTTCAGGAGTATATATGTCAATAAATATAATAACAGGTAGTAGGAGTGTAACTAATTTTATTAAGTAATTTGCAAACCAGTTTTTTTCACACTTGCTTACAATAAGTATTAGTTAATTTTATAGTCAATGACAAATTTTTTAAAATGTAGAGACATTTTTAAAATAAAGAAAATGTATTTCCTTTGTATACTTTATTGATCTTTGGAAAGGAAAGGAAAAAGGGAAAAAATCCTTTCTAGAGAGTATATTTCAACTTCTTGTTGCCAAAGCAATCTCAGAAAAGATGGTCTCACAGACTTCCATGTCATTCAGCAAAGCAGCCATTGAAGGGGTTTTGTACAGCCTGAAAACAGCCAGGGTCTCCTGAAGCTTGGAGGGGACTGGGTAAGGCAGTAACAACCTTTACTTTATAGAGGTGCACCCACCTGTATGGTCTTCTCACAGACTTTTCCAGCCAGGCCAACCTCACAGAATGAGAGAAGGTCAAAGGTTATTTCTAAACTTGATTTAACAGACCAGATACTGAGGAGCTGGATAAATGTGGGCCTGGCTAACAGGTGCTGCATAGAGGAGCAGGAAAAGCCTGTGCTTGGTCGACCATCTTATAAGCCTGGCTTACTCTTCAGGTTTCCCTTTCTCCCGGTTTCCTTCTAGTTGAGTAACCATAGAAAAATTACTTAATCTCCTTGAGCCTCAGTTCCCACAGCTATAAAGCAGAGGTTATAATCTCCACCTCATAGTGCTATGAACAGGGGTTCTATTGGGGCAGTGCACAGTGCTAACAGTTGTATTGATCGTTAAATTATTAAAATACTTTACTACGAGTTGGTGAATAACCACTTCTGGAGCCCACCCAGTGTTTCCCATGACCATCTATCCACACCTCTCCATTACCCTCCAACCAGAGACACAAATGGGGCCTTCAGGTCTCTACTCCAGCACTATTGCCGGTGCCGTTTGGATAACCTGTGAAGAAGCCATATTTGTTGTTAAATGTTTTGGATATTATCCCCGGTTGTGGGAATAAAAGATGAACAAGATGATTTCCATGGCTGAGATTGTAGACTGTAGAGATTTGGAACTTTTTTGCAAGAAGTATATACTTACAGCACACACACACACACACACACACACACACTCAGGTCAACAGGATATTTTTCTCCCATGAGACCAAGAAATCTCCCTTTGTAAGGGAAGAAAGACTTGAGGAGAGGGTTAAAGAGCAGTGAGCAGGATGACCCCCAGAGCAGTTCTCGTAGCTGCTAGACACTGCCTAACCTGAGCTCAGAAGAGTGGGCAAGTTCAACCATTCACTAAGCCTCATTATGAAATCATCAGAAGCGGCCTTCCTTAGCCCTGCTACTTGGAAATGAAAAAGAGATTTTATATTAAAAAACAGATTTTCTTAAGAGAATGTACATGGCCTTGGATTTTAATAGATCTTCTGAGAGTTCTTGACACTGGTAGAGTTTAAGAGCACAGCTTTTGGCCTATCTTGCTTCAAGGCTAGACTGCTAACTGCTCAGAAAAAAAGGCTCTAAGAAAAAACACTTTAACTTATGATTCTGGTCTTTTCTTAAGGGCATTTGTTCCATTCCTTAGTAAAGACAGGTCTAGGACAATCTGCTCAGAGATATTTCATAGAATTATCACTAATTCTGGGATCCCCCTCTTCCAATAATGGACAACCAACACTCCTCCAGAACTTTTTGTTTCATTTAGCTTGTATGGGATAATATTGAGGAAACGGGATACCAAAACTCTAAAACAATTTTGTTAAGAAAAACATTGTCTAGATTTTCAAGAAAGAAACACATTAGTGATACTAAAGTAAATGCAACTTACACAAGAATAACTTCTTTCTTGTCCTTGATTAGTGTTCTGTAAAGAATAGCATGTGATATTAAACTGGGGCAGCTTCTGGGAGCACTGGTACTTGGTTGGAGTGAGAGCTATACTAATCTGAGTGTATTTAAATTGGAAAGAATTTAGATTTTTTTTCCACGTGCTAGATTTCCTGTCAAAAATGTGACTCTCTTAAATGCAGTATGTTCTATTCATTCTCAGGCCTTCTAAAGTACTAGGGAAAACGAGAACAAGCCAAAATCTTGTGCCCATGTCTTTTTTTTGGAATTGAGTTTGCACACCTATTATATCACTTTGGAAACCTGATGTCCAAAAGGCCTCAGCACCTCTAAAGACAATTTCATGAGCTACTATTGTTTTGTTTCTTTCATCAGGCATCAGAAAACCTTCTGAACCTCATAACCAGACTTTGGATGAGGGCAACATGCACTTTGCACAGGTGTTCTGCCTGTGACAAAGGACAAATTAAGTCTCCAAAAAGACTCATCTGCTAGCTTTTTCTGGTGACTTCTATTTCAAGGTCTTCTCTCTCTCTCCCTAATTAGCCTTCCCAAATGGACTGTTTAATGCATAACTAATCTTGAACTTGCTCTTTTCTCTGACTGAAGAGAAAATTGCACTTCATTTTGTTGAGCTATGGTGCTTATGTTGCACATTTATCAACGAGTGATATTTTAGAATTCTAGATGACAGCTGTTCAGAGTTTCCTCATTGGCAATATTAGATTGGGAATTACTAATGGTGAATATATAAACCCTCTTTTACATGCAGTCTAATCAAAATTGTTCTAAATATTTAGCTTCCTAAATTCAAATTATTTTCCAATGTATATTAGTCTAATGAAACGTTCTTTTTGGGATCTAGAGGAAAGTTGAAAGCATTTATAACATTAATCATGTGGCCAAATGTGTAATTGATAACAATATAATTCAGTGTATTGATCTGACTGTCTTCTTAGCTCTGCATCTACATCATCTTAATTTATTTCCACTATTTTCTTTTTGACAATAAATATAATACTTCAAAAAATTTTGGTCTGAAATAAATGGCTATGCTTGTTTTGTGTTGTTTCATCAAAGGAATTTTTTTAAATGTTTGCCTTATTCTTCTGCTGCAAGTAAAGAAGTGGAACAAAGTAAGCACATACAAGCTGAAATACAACTGGCAAATAGAATTCACAACGTGCTTCCTTTCAGTGATTGAAACCACACTTCTGTAGGCAAAAACAAAAGGGTCTCCTCTGTCTCTGCAAGCAGGCAGAGTTCCCTTGAAGAAAGCAGGAATCTGCAGGGGCCTGGATGATGAGGTACCAAGGGGACCACGGGCCCAGGATATTGGAAAAATTTCTCTAACATCTCTTTCTAAGAACTATAGTCCTTACCTTTTTTTAAACAGGAATCTTGCATTGAATGGATAGCACAAACAGAAGTTAAAAATCCCTAAGTTTGAGGGTGGAGGGATATGAAGCAAGGAAATATCAAATTGGAAAGAGCTGCAAAATCAAAGAATGAGTGATGACATGAAATAGATGCTATGGGGGTGACTTCACAGAAAGTGGAGGCCCTTATCATGTAGGAGAGGACGGGAAAAGAGAAAGTCCCAAACATCAGGAAATTGCAGAGATAGGTGAGAGCTCAGAAGTATACACCATTTCCATCTAGTTGTACAGATCCGTAAATGAGATTTGGTCTCAGTTTAGGCCGAGGTCCCAAGGCAATAGGTAGAAACAACTGCTTCCAGGTTCCAAAATGATATACAAGGCTATTTATGGAGAAAGTGTAATGGATGTAGTCTAAATCTGGTTTTGCAACCCTTAGCCTCTCTCAGAAAAAGAATAGAAAATGAAATTAAATGCTTGGAAAATTGCAATTAGAGAAAAAAATGTATTTAGGAATAATTGGTATAGTGCTGAGTCTCAACTCTTCCTGCACTCTCCACTCCTGACTGGGAAAGGGATGAATGTTGCCTTCTCCTGACTTCAAATCTAGTGAGGAGACTTCAAAATCAACCACCAGGAGAACCTGTGATGTGACCTCTGATACCAGACTGGTATGTGACTAGTGCCTGAGAGATCTAAAGGTTAATTTTATGGCTAGGGCTGGATGCCTACCAGGTGCTCAAAGGAAAAATGGGCTACATCTTAGGAAGCAATGGCATTTAAAAATGGAGGTGTACCACAATATACCCAGGGGGCTGTCAGATAAAGGCAAAGTGATTAGCAGAAGCACGTGCCCACATCGAGGGAGACTTCCAGCAATGGATGTCCCCAAAGAACCTATGAAGATGCTCCAGGACAAAATCAACTGTAAATGTCTATCATAGATTGATGTGAGTCAATAAGGCTTCCTCCCAACCTCTTGCCTCCCCTCCCTTCCTCTTACCTTGTCAGGGACCTGGGAAGGAGGGCAGGGGAGAAGTGACAGAGTCATGAAGCCAATCACTCCCCGCTTGCTTTTCCACCTTGGGCCCTGACAGGCCAATGCTGGAGGAGGAAAGAAATTTTAACTTTGGATGAAATTTGGAGTTTTGGCTGGACATCCAGGTTACTAAACTGAGATTACTCTGGAGATTAAACTATGTAGAAGATATTTTATTTTCTAAGAGTAACCAGGAAAGTCAATGGCACCTGCCCCTCATTTCATCTGGGACAGAGAAGAACTTGCCCTCAGAGTGGTTGTGCTTGCAGCAGTTGTCAAAAAAATTGTTTTGATTGTCCCTTGTTTGTTCAATGCAATGCTGACATAAAAATGAGCATAAACATATAAACGGTAGGTGAAAGCCAGCTGTAGAATAACTCTAGAAATGAGAAAGCATTTCACTGAAGAGAAGTGAAATTTGGAAAGCGTGAAAATCTTCTGCAGATACAAAGGCAAGAATCTGCATTGCACTTAGGAAAACAGCGGAGTAGAACTAAAGGGACCTCTAGTAACTGCATCTGCTTCCAACTGTGTCTTATGAAAAATATTATCTCTGGGCCAGACACAGTGACTCACACCTGTAAACCCAACACTTTAGGAGGCCAAGGCAGGAGGACTGCTTGTGACAAGGACTCCGAGTTTGCAGTGAGCAATGATCATGCCACTGCACTCCAACCTGGGCAACAGAGTGAGACTCTGTCTCTCAAAAAATAAAATAATAATAATAATTTCTGGACTGAAAGCCAACTTCCTTTTCTGGGGGAAAACAAACATATAAACACAGAGGTTTATATGTTATATATTTAGAGTTGTCTGCTGATATGGAAATAAGTATTCCTCAGTTAACTCATCAAATAAAAGGGAGTGACATTTGTAGATGGACAACTGATCTCGGTTCTGGAGCTATGTGTTCCATAACATGCAGAAAGTTGGTGTTCCAATATAAAGCAGTCCTATGTATGAGTTTGGGTTACAAGTTCTTCCGGAATCTAATTATTGGGATATGCTGAAAATTCCTATGTCAAGGGACTGAGAATTCTCACCCCCAGCTGAAAGTGTTCACGAACCTTGCCACACTCATTTGAACGATAACTTTAAGAGAGTCATGGGGGTGGAGTATGGGAGGGGAATGGGCATCCTGTGACTAAAAGACAAGATTAACCAGCCTGGTATATCTCATAAACCATCCCCATCGTCTCTCCACTCTCCCTCTCAATTAACAAATTATGAAAGACTATTATTAGATACAATCTTGGCTCTTCCACTAACTAGTGGAGTAATCAGGAGCAAATCATTTGCGCTTCTACACCTTGGTTTTCTCATTTGCTAAATGAAGTCTAGGACTAGAAAAGTGGTATAGGTGGCACAAAACAGATCAGTTATTTACTTACTTACTTACTTACCTACTTATTTATTGAGATAGAGTCTTGCTCTGTCGCCCAGGCTGGAGTGCAGAGGCGCCATCATAGCTCACTACAGCCTTGGACTCCCAGGCTCAAGCCATTCTCCCGCCTGAGCCTCCTTAGTAGCTGGGATGACACGGACGTGCCACCACACTCCAATTTATTTTATCTTCATTTTTGTAGTCTCGCTCTGTTGCCCAGGCTGGTGTGGAGCTCCTGTATGGCTGGAATTACAGGTAGGCTTGCGCAACTGCGCCCGGCCCAACTCTGTTATTTAAAAGCATATCCAGAGGCGGCGCGCCTGCCAGGCATTGAGCGCCTGGGACCTGAGCGGGAGCGGGCGGCCCCGGGATCCAGCAGGTGCTGAGGTTGGCAGTCTGCGGGCTGGCCAGGGGCTTGGTCCCGGGGTTCTGCTTCGCTGGCACAGTGGGGAAGCCGCGCGCAGCCGAGGCGCCGGCCTGGGCGTGGGGCACGCGGCCGAGCCTCAGCGTCTGGGACCCCGACCGGGACAGGCAAGAACCACTGTCTCTGAACAACCTAAGGAAGAGGAACGTGGAATCTGGAGAATAGCTGGCTTCCAGGCTGGACCACTGCAGAGCCAAGGCCACAGGGCACACCCTCCTCGTCATGCGTTCCCAATACCATGTGGACGGCTCCCTGGAAAAGGACTGCAGTCTGAACCCACTGGGTCGTGAACAGGTCGAACTAACTGGACTCCGACTTGCAAGCTTGGGGTTGAGGTTTAATAAAATCGTCCATTCCTCCATGACCCACCCCATAGAAACCACTGGCTTCAGCAACAGGCACCTGCCAAGCGTCTTCAAAGGCCGCACAGACCTGGGGCGGGAACCCTCCTCGTCAAGCCAGCCTGGCAGCGTATCACTGGAAGCGGCCGCTGGGCATGCTATGAAGATGGAGTCCGGATCGAGGGAGCGCTCCGAAACTACATCCCTCGGGGGATGCCAAGCAGGGGGAGGATAATTAGGAGATCTTCCGATGTCACGCCAGTGTCATTCGCTGCAGATGACAGGACACAGCGCTGCAGTTTCCTCCCGAAGGCTGGCTCCATTGCTCCCTCAACAATGGCAGCATCACCCACCTGGTGATCCGACCCAATGGCCGAGTGGCGCTCAGGACCCTCAGGGACACGGGGTTCATGCTCCCTCACAGCATCACCCAGTCCTGAGGGCCCTCCGCAAGACTCTGCCCTCCTCAGCTCAAGACCTGGCTCTGGCTTTTCCTTCCCTCCGTCCTCCTGTACAGGCTGCATTGCAGTTACGTGCTGTTCTCGAGGAGGCAACAGACAAGTAGAAATCCCTCAAATGCTGCGTTTGGGTATTTGTTTCTGGCCCGGGCTGACAAGGGAAAAATTCAGATCAGATAACCTGACTTATTTGCAAGGCTTTCTATCTTACCATGACCTGCCAGGACGACCGTGTGGGGTTTAAGGTGAAAACTCAGACGAAACTCGGGCCTGTTTTGGGGACTGAATGAGTCCTGACAGAGGCCATCACTTGGACGACCACAGCAGCCCGTCGCTGAGGGTCCCCTGGGCTCCGTGGGCAAAGCCTTGTCAGGCACGAGGGTAACTGAGGCACACGGAAAAGAAGGGCATGGAGGTTTTGTTTACAACTCACTTCATTTCACATTCTTTTAATTTCTTAAAACCCTTGTGTCATTTAAATATTTATCCATTATAGATTTTCCCCAGCTGGATTCTTGCTTTGAAAACCAATTTCTCACTCCAAAGTTACAGATCCCTGATGATTCTGGATCTGAACTCATCTACGTTATTAGGCCTTTGAGGGCTCAAGGACTTACCAACCACACAGGTGACCGTAGGCAGGTGAGGGGTGAAATGAGTCTGCAGAGGTGGTGTGAGCTTCGACCTTCATGCTGGTCTCAACGGGGAGGCGATAGGCTGGTGACAGCCCAGCAGGAGGAGATTACCCTTATTCAATAATAAATCCCAGACTGACAGCTCAATCCTAGTTTGCTTCTGATTTTTTTTTATGCTTAGGGATTAAAATATTTAAACATGATGTGTCTATCCCAAATATTTAGTACAACCATCCTATTAATTTAGAAAAAAACAATTTCTACAACACAGTAGTGAACATTTTCTGCAGTCAATACAACTAATTGGGATAGTTAATCTATTTCTTTGTCAACTTTGGAAATGACTACATACTAAAAATTACTGGTTTAAAAAAATTAAAAAATACATAAAAAATAAAAACATATCCAGAGTCTATCACTAGAGATTTGTGATTCAGTTGATAAAGACTAGGGTCCAAGAATCTACTTGTTCATACATTTAAGCTGATTCTGATGCAGATGATTACAACAAACATTAAAATACACAACCTCTAAGGTCTCTTGCAATTTTAACCCTCTCTTCTGTTCTAGTCTGTCACAACTGTTTATCGCTCACTTAGAGAATACGTGGTGCCTTACAAAATCTAGCGTGCTCGATGAATATAATTTTATTTGAAATCCATACTCACAGGTTGCTGGAATTGGTTAACAAGGATTCCAGTCATCATAGCATATTATAGCATTCTGCTGGCTGGACATGGTAGTCTTGTTTTTTCTCTGGTCCAGGTTACTTAGACGGTTGGACTGAAAGATTCCCATCACTGTGAGATTCTATGATTCTGATTCTAATTCTATCATATTATTAGGTCTACCATTAGGAGTTGCTAAGTTTTCTCTGTTACTTGGCTAAACATATGTGTACTGCCTCAGAAGGCCTCCAGGAAGTTCTCCATGTGGTTAAGAATGTTGATGTTTATGGTTCAAAAGTTATACACTCAGAGTGAAAATATAACTTTATTTATTCTCTACTTGCTATTTAAAGATACCTCAGTTTTGGATAGTTCAAAGTTTAAGCTCCTTCTAAGTATTCCCTTCCTCTCATACTTTCCAAATTGGCACCTGGACATACAGGTATGCTTATGTATCACACATACAATAAATGAATTGTCCTTAGGGATAGATACTGCCTCTGAGTCCTTGCTGGTCTCTGACATGTTGTAGCTTGTTTGGTCTGGTGCCCAGGAAACAGTGGTGGTGCCCACAGAGGTGTGGTTTGTCCCACCTGGTTCCCTCAAATGCTATGTTGGCATCCCTGCTGAAGTCAGAGCTACATTCATGACCTCTTCCTTCTAACCTTAGTCCTCTTCTGGTCTACTGCTTCTTCCATTTCCCATTCATGTCAAGGATACAGAATATTGGAGGATATGAAGAAATGAGGTGATATCTAAAGCTCAGCCCTCTAGACAGCCCACTCAGCCATTTCTGCCATCCAATCTGGCACCATGTTAGATGCAGTGCCACGCCAACTGTGGGATGCTCTGAAGCACAAGCTGGGATATACCTGCTGTCCTGGACCATGTTTCTACCACATCTTCCAAGAACTACTACCCCAAGGGGACAAGAGAGCTGACATAATCATGTCTGATGGCTTGTCTTTCTTCTCTTTACTCCTCCCAACCATCTCCTCTCAGAAATATAAGGGGCTTTCCCTATTCTTAGATAGAAATGTCCCTTGCAGCATATATTGGTCTTCTCTACATAATGGCTTATAGTAAAATTCAGTGATCCAGATTCCCTAGGCTTAGCATTTGATTTGTAAATGAAATTTTGGCAAATTTAAACAATATTTTTCCCCTCTCAACAAAGCCTGGATTTCAATATTATGTTCTCACTGTGAATTTTTTAAAATGTGGTTTTCCATTGATGGCCAAGAAATGACTCCTCTGTTCCAGCCTCCCATGAAATGAAGTCCAGTGATTTAATAAGTGCAGAGCTGCATAGCAACACGATTTCTGAAAATGAAAAACGTCAACTTAACATTTGCAAAAATATTATTCCTGTAAAAATAATTATCTAGATAGGTCTGCTTTTGGAAAGCCGGAAGCTAAGAAAATAAGCTATACAAGTATAACTGTTGCATCAAGGGCCATAGATGGCAAACTGCTTAAGATCAAGTATCATTGAGTTTACACATATTTGGTTCTCTTGCAGCTGCTACAATCATAGAAACATAAGGAATGCAGGACCTAAGTGATCCTGACAGTGAAATTTGACATAATGAAGAGAGATGATTTTTCCTAGGAAAGAGACAAGATTAACAGTATCAATTATCTCACAACTTGGCCCAGTCTAGCACTCCAGCCTTACTTCCTCCTCCTCACCCGTGTCAACCTACTCTTCCTACAAAGCCAGTGGACCCATGGACCTTCAGATCCACCAACTGCATTCCTATATCTGTGTCTTTGCTCCCACAATCCCCTCCATGGGATGCCCCCGGGCAGTAGGGCTCTAAAGATTAGCGAGCAAATTCATGAGGATTAAGTGAGTATCAATAAGCATGCCTCCTGTTTCTATCTCCATCAAACACAGGAATCATGTGTTGTTACAAGAATGGAAGTACTATATTTAGTTAGGCTCCTTTCACCAAAAAAAAAAGTGGATCATATTGGTATCTTACTTTGAGGGAAAAAGAGATTATATCCAATTACCGTTTTCTATAATTTGTCTATTCTTTTCAGAAAACCTTCTGAGTAGGAGCCACAGGCTGAGTCTGGCTCTGAGGGGGGTGGGGAGAAAATGGAAGAATAAACACTGAGCAGGAAGCAGGGAGACCACGGTTGTTACCATAGTGATGAGCATTGAGTCCGGATGGTGCTGTTGCCAGCTTGTGCTAGTGAGTGGGAGAAAACCACTTTCCTTCTGGACTAGTAGAGCTGAGGACAGAAATATCTGGGATGACCAATTTAACTTGCTACTTGACAGTCTAAATTCTATCTCTGTAGATATAGCCAGTTTTTATTAAGCACCTACTAAGTGATGCTTAATAAATGGCAAATAACAGGCAATGTGCTGGATGTATTAGAAGCTTTAATGTATGTAGACCCAGAAATTTAGGGACCAACATCCTCATTTTAAATATAAAGTAAAATTTCAAGAGACTAAATAATTTATTTGTTATTTAATGACCTAGCTAGTAAAAGGACAGGGCCAAAATTTATAGTCGGATCATTAATTTAATTCAATCTAATTTATTTTCGGTGTAAACCTATTTCCGCCAGGCCACAACTATGCCTGTCAAATGGTATGGCAGGAAAATTATATCCCTTTGAATAATGCAAACTTAGAGAATCCATGGTGGTTACCCCAGACTTTGACATTTTAGTTTTCCCTGTTTCGCAAGTTTCCTAAAAAATGATTGATGTTAAAGCTTTCTTTCCTTCATTTATAAACTGAATGGGTTTTCTGATAAATATCTTTTTCATAGGTTTGTTGGTGAACTATCATTTCTTCATTCTTAATTAAAATGATTAGAAAATGATCCTAAATGACAGGTTTCAATGTATTTGGCATTAATGTGACAGTATCAAAATTTACTGACAGTAACATTGACTTATAGACAGACAAAGTTCATGAAATTATTTCCTACATTCTTTTTTTTCCAAAATGGAAGCACCTTTGAATCTTTAACAACAATCATTTATTACCAGTAAACACAATAAACAATATCAGAAAATTAAAGACCCTTATAATTCCATTTCTAATATCTTCCTTACTCCCCAAGTAAAAACTGTTTGTGTTTACCCTTTTTGAACATTTATGCACAGTACAGTAGTGAAAAGTGTGAATTCACGTTCTGACTTTGTCACTTACTAGCTATGTGACTAGACAAATTAGTCTTTTAACCCTCAATTTCTTCTCTGCAAAATAGTAAATAATATTATCATTATTTAATATTTAAAATTAAATAATATTACTAACACATACGATTGTTATATGTAATAAATCATATAATAAGACAAATTACGTTACATGCTTAGGGCAGTACTTTAGCACTTTATAAATGGTAGCATACATATGTATGTATCTCTCTTTATACATATTGTTTACATAAATGAATTATGCTACACATATTGAGCCATAACTCTCATTTAACAAAATATCTTAAGCCATATTTACATGTCTATATGTAAGACTCTACCAATTGCTGCATAATACTCCACATTGTGAATATAAAATAATTTTAATTAAACATAATTAATTAATATTTAAGTTGTTTATGGTTTTAATCTCAATAGAAGCATTGGCAAACTGTCAACAAATGAAGAGATAAGAAATATTTTAGGCTCTGCAGTCCATTCAGTCTCTGTTGCAGTTACTCAAGTCTATTGTTGTAGCATAAAAACAGCCAGAAACAATACATAAACAAATGAGTATGGCTCTGCTCCAATATTTTCTATTTCCAAAACAGGCAGTGGGCTTGATATGGCAATGGGCTGTAGAGTTTGCCAATCCCCAATATAATGTTCTGATTGATACTGCAGTGCTTACATTTTTTTTTTTTACTTCTCCTGTTACTTGCTTTTAAATCGTACACACACACACATACAAACAATGTCTTAGTCTGTTCAGGCTGTGATAGCAAAAGACCAAAGACTGGGTGGCTTAACCAACAGGAATGTATTTCTCACAGTTTGGGAGGCTGAAAGTCTAAGATCAAGGTGCCTACCGATTTGGTGAGTACTCTCTTCCTAGATTGCAGATGGGACTTCTGGGTATGTCCTCACATGGCAGAGAAAGATAGAATGGAGGGAGAGGGAGAAAAAGAAAAAAAAAAATCTGGTGTCTCTTCCTATAAGAGCAATAATTTCATCATGCAAGCCCCAACTCTCATGACCTCATCTCTCCTTAATTACCTTCCAACGATGCGTGTCCAAATACCATCGCATTGAGGGTTAGGACTTCAATACATTAATTTGCTGTGGGGTGGAACACAAACATTCAGTCCATAACACTTTGAATAGAGAAACCAATTTTTAAATTGTAAGTCTTGATAGGCATTATACGATTTTCTACAATTTACACTCCTACAAAGAATGAGAGAAAGCCCAGGTTCCTACCTCTCATCACCTGCAGTTTCTATTGTAACTCATTTGATTCTTTAGTAATCTGATAGGTAAAACATTACATGTCATTTTGATTTGAATATCTTTGTTCACAAGGGTAAAATCTTTTCCTGTGTTTATTGGTGAACTATTATTTCTTCATTTGGGAATTTTCAGTACATATCTTTTTTCAACTTTTCTAGGTTAATATTTTTCTCATTGATTTCTGTCAGTTGTTTAGAGATGCTAACTCTTGCCTATCAAGACTTATCCACATCACACTTTCCCATTGCATCCAGCTTGACCTTTATAATACTCATTATACTCAAAAGTACTTGGTTAATGCAGGCTAGATAGCAAGGTCCATGAGGTCATGATGACTGCTTGTCTTATTCAGGGCTTAATGCCTAACACTGACCGCGGTGTCTGGTGCATATCTGGTGCTCCAAAACTGTTTGCTGAATATAATTAATAAATAGCATATATTTTGCAAATATTTACCACTGTATATTGTTTTGTTTTTCTGTTGACTTTATTATAGCATCTTTGACCACATCATTTTTAATTTTTATAACCAAATTTGTCTATTTTTCTTTGCAGCTCTTAAGTTCATTTTATGCATAGAAAGGCCTTCTCCACTCCCAAGTCATTAAAACACATTTCCTGTATTTTTTCTATTATGTATATATATATTTGCAATTAAATATCTAATCTATAAATTTTTTTCTATCTGTTTAAGGTACATAAACAATTTAATTTTTTCCATATGAAGACTATACTATTTATTGAGTGAGCTACCTCTTTACCACCAATGTGCAATGCAATCTTTATTATATTCTAGGCAGAATAGATGTATAATATACGTGTGTTTCAGCGTGTGGTAGGGTGTATCTCTATTTTTCCTGTTTAAAACTTTTTTCCCCCTATTCTCATGCAAGGACATTTCCAGGTAAATGTGGTTTCAATTTGTCAACTCTCTGTTGAATCAGTCAGTCATTCCCCACAGAGTGAGTAAGCCAGTTAAGCAGGACACTGGATGAGGAAAAATTATCTTTCAATCTGGCTTTGTTCGTTAGCTTTAAGTTGCACAGCTTAAAAAGATTCATAATCTTACCTGTCTGACCTGCTTCACAGAGTCATTGTGAGATTCGAGAGCGCAAATTGATCTGCGTATTTAAAGTGCCCTACAAATTAAAAGTTTCTGAGAAGTGAAAATTATTCATATTCCCTACTATTGACAAGTATCCAGTTATTTCATCCTGAGAAGATGACTCAAATCAACTGGAACTGGATGAGTAACATTCTGTGGTAAATGGAAGCAAATCAATGAAAACATCTTCCTGTTTTTATTCCAAGCAGGTGGAATAAGTAGTCCCGCCAAATGAATCCAATACTAGAGTGGTTCTTGGCTAGTTCTGTGCCTCTGTCATCCTGGCACACCACCTTGTCTATCAGGAGTCAGCACAGTCCCTCAGCCCTTTATTCTCTGGCAAGATCACAGGGAGGTGGGGAAAGCTCTGATGTGCTTCTCCACAGGGGCCGTGGGATGGGTTGGATGAATGTATTCTGGGTACTAGATTTGTTTCCTGAGGCTGTTGTAACAAATTACCACAAACTGGGTAGTTGAAAAAAAGAGAAACTTATTCTCTCACAGTTCTGGATGCCAGACGTTGCAAATCAAGCTATCAGCCAGGCCACATACCCTCTGGAGAATCTAGGGTAGACTCCTCCCTGGCCTCTTCCAGCTTCTGTAGCTGTCAGCATTCCTTACCTCGCGGCCGCATCACTCCCAGCGCTGCCGCCATGGTCATGTTGCCTCCTCTCTGTGTCTTCTCCTATTCTGCCTCCGATAAGGATGTTTGTCATTGGATTTATGGCCCACCTAGATAATCCAGATGATAGCCTGTCACGGTCTTAACTTAATCACATACGCATAAGGCCCTTTTTCCAAGTAAGGCTGCATTCACAGATTTAATGGATTAGGGCATGGAGATATCTTTTCAGGAGCCACCACTCAAGTCGCTACCTGTGCCCTGTATCCTAAGAGGAAGTAAATGTAAACGGGCTCTGTGCTTGCAGTGCTTTACCAACCTGAGACTCAACAGGACACAGTGGAATTAGCCAAATGGGAGCTCACTCTCAAATGATGGGCTTGAAGTTCTGACATTTTGCTATTCCTAAAATATACACATAACTTCTGTCAGATTCAAACTTGACTGAGGTTGTATTTTAAAAAGATATACATTTAATTACTTCCTCTCTGCTCCCACTCCAAATCTTCATACTCTAAATTGAAGAGTCAAGACAGCATCACCAAACTACACATGCTTCCTGCTTCAAACCACCACGACGCATTGTGGAACAAGGCGAAGGTCCCGTCGCCAGACACCTTAGCAAATCCACCCTATGTGGAAGTCATTGCTCAGGCACTTCTTACCAAGCAGTCATTATATTTTCCTAAGCAGTTCTTTCCCTTAATCTTTCAGGGCAAAGATACACCAGGACTGATTTTTAACCACAGATAGCCAAAAACTAAGATTTCTTGAGATCTAAAAACATTTCTCCTCTTAGTACTTCAATTGAAGAGAATCTCCTCTTCTGCAGGTCCCCACACTGATCTGAAGCCAAAGGCATTTATGAGCTGTGGTTGCTGGTTCCCTGGTCAAAACTCAGCTATTTTCATGTAATCCTTTCAAGATTTTTCAGATTACTCTTAAAATGTGGGCTTTAACCACCCCAGATAAAGTTTCAGGTTCTTTTTTTTCAGGTTTATGTTGTTTCTGGGAAAGGAAACCCCGGCATTTACAAAACCAAAACAAAATCAAAGTAAGTTTTGCATTAAACAGATCATTTTTTTCCCATCCCCAAATATCTATCTACCCAAAGATGCCATAAGCACAACATGGAGAAGTCAGACTTCAAAAGGTTACTGGAAAGAGCTGTAAGCGTTGCCATGGAGAACCAGTTAAAATGCATTTTATTTCATCTGCTAAAATAGTTTTTTGCAACCAGAAAAAGTGTTTAGGAAACCTTCTAATTTGGAAAGTTGGCAGTGTGGCTTTAATCAGTAGACCAGGAAAAAGAGTTCTTAGGAGGTATAGTGACTCCTCAAAGGTCCCACAGCTACTTTTGCAGAATTTGAGACTGAAATCCAGATCACCAGATCCCAATCTGGTGTTCTCTCCATTACTGTTGCATCATTTCCATTCTCTTTTGTAATAAAAATACTCCCTGAAGTGACAGCTTTAGGACTTCCATCTGAAGTGGAAGGATAGTGTTAAGAACCCAACCTCTACAGAGAGACAAGATGGCAGCGACTCTTCTGTAAAGGAACATTAGTAAATATGTTCAGCTTTGCAGGCCACACAGTCTCTATCAAAACTACTCAATCTGCCTTTGCAGCCATAAGGCAGCCACAGATCTACATGCGGATGGCAGTCTTTAATCAAAAACACTTCCAGCCAAACTTCCAATAATTTCCCTTCATGAAACTTCTATGAGAAATGAGATTTCTTGCCTTTGTGCTGTTGGTTTCAAGTCACCCTCCTCTCACACACCCAGTTGGTGATACACTTATCCTTCAGGCTCAGCTCTAATTCTCCTACCTCCTTGCCTTCCCTCCTCATCATTCCAGATGGAAGGAAAGTCTCCTTCCTCTGTACTCCCAGAGGATTTGTCATTTGTGCCACTAATGTGACCCTCTTGCTCTCATCTTCTGGCACCTTAACTGCACTGGGATTTATCTCCCTTACTAATAGGAGGGCAGGATTATTAGAATCCCCCTCTCTCAGAGCCTGGCACAACTGCCCTGCTTAAATGATAAATTCAGTTAATGTTCATTGATGGCACAATGCAAAAGTGAAAACCGATTGCCTTCAGGCTCCTCTTAAAGGTACCCCACAAATTCCGTAAGGATGAATTTGCAGATTTTACTTAAGAAAATATATTTTAACCTCAAAGTAATCTTATTACCTGCACTTAGAAAATTCATTTAGGAAGATGAATACGTGAATGAATGACTCACATGATTTTTCTGGAACACTCACTTCCATATAGCTGGTCCGAAATTATTTCAGTCCTGCATATGGCTGAAAAATCCATCCCAAGAAACACAAAGGCTCTGAGTCTCCAGTTCTAGGAGGGAGTTTCAGACCAAACAAAGACCTACCCTCAACTTCAGATCAAGCTTTGAAAGCCAACCGGTGAGGGTTCCATTTTATTTTACTGGTGTTTCACACATCCAGACCCTATAGGTACATCTTGCTTGCTAGCACTGTCATTTAGCTCTGAGATCAGAAAATGAGTCCTAAGGCTAAACTGTGAATTTAAAAAACTGGGAGCCAAGAACTCAAGTCTACATGTAAAGCCCGTAAAATAGGCCCTTCTACAATGTCAATCTAAACAATAAATTTGAAAAAAAAAAAAAAAGGCCTTTTTAAATAGCAGTGTTACAATTTCCCTCCTTTGTAGATTTAGAAATTCACAGACGGCTTCTCAATGATGTTTGAAAAAGTCTCAAAGTACTTGAAAGAGTTACTTGACATACTTCAAAGAAACTAGATGCCACTGACTCATTGCTCCCACCTCAGCCCCTTTTACTTATTCTTCCCCTCTACCTCCAGTTTTTGGTTGACATTTGGAAGGGTCATCTTGCCACACAGGAGCCAGCCCCAATTCCACATCTGAATTAAAACACTCTCAGAGTATATGCTAAAGGAACTCTAAAATCTTCAGGCATTTCCCTAGTACCCACATGCTTAGTTCACTTTGCATTTTTAAAAACCCGTCTACACACCTTATGTTTGAAAAAAGATACTGCAGTGTAATAAAGTGCAGTTTATTAAAATTTTTGAGCAGAATGTGCGAGGGGTGAGGGGAGGAGAGACAAAGTAAGAGGCCATGTTCCAAGGGACTGACTGCAATCAAGTGCACTTGAGTGGACTTAGTCACTCAAGTCCACATGTACTCATTCAGCAAAGCATCTACATAAGTAAGAGCGTGGTGCTGGGGCAGTGGTGACACCCAAGAGCATTGGTTTAAATGCTTTTAGCTCTTTGTCACGTAACACTAAACTCCAAATACTCAAGTGAGTTATTACTTCATACAACGAGAAAATTGGAATTGGTTCATTCACCAGCTCAGCATCATCAGGGACCAAGGCTCTACTTATCCAGTTGACTTCTGTCCTCAGGCTTTCCCTGCAGGGTTACAAAATGGCTGCAGCAGCTCCAGCATCAACACTTACCCAATGCTGTCTTTGAACACGGTCATGCGAGAGTAAGATGCTCTCCCCTTTTTAAGAGGGAGAAAAGAGGCTTGTCCCAGAAGCTCCCAACTAATTTCCATGATAGGTCATTGGATTGGCCAGAATTGTATCACATATCAATTCCTAAATCAATAATCCAGCCTGGAGAAGGAAATTATCATGATCGATTTAGACCAGCCACGATTCCCCCTCTGAGACCCACGGCTACCTGATACTTGAGAGTAAAATCAGAGTTTTGTTAGGAAGAAGGTGAAGGGGCAGATTTTGGTTGATAATAACTTTCAGTATATTCCACAAGGTCATATCCTTTGAGGGGATTAGGAATACAGCTTGAAAATTTATACATTCTTTACTGGCCATGGGAATTCCCTGAGAGTTTTGAGCAGGGAAATAACATGAACAAACAAATATTTAGATGTAAGGGATTTTGCAGCCTTTTATTCTGAAATTATAATTCTTGTTTCTCTACATTTACAGGTGGTAATCACTATTCATTTATTGAACAAATATTTATGGAACCCCTGCTGTTCCAAGCGTGGGGATACAATGCAAGACGGCTGCAGTTCTTGCCCTCAGAGGAGCTTACATTCTAATGGGGAAGTAAAACCAACAAAATTTCAGGTTTGGCTCTTCCTGTAAGAAAAAGGAGATAACTCAGTGAAGGAGTGGAGGTAGGACTCTGATAATGTGGCTGGTCAAGAGAAGAGGGCCTTAAGAAGATGACAACTGAACTAAGATGAGAAGGATAGGAGGAGGCCTGCCATAGGGAGGTCTGAGAGCAGAGCCTTTGATGCAGAGGGAAGCGCAAGGCCCTTAAGAGGAATGATCTTGGCGAGCTAGAGACCCAGAAAATCCTAGACAACTGTCAGTAAGAGGGAGAGTGGTAGAAGGCAAGACTGGCTTGAGTCAGGAAATAAATTTTTAAGCAACACACAAAATAAAGTTCACATACGCGGAAGGGCAGGGACCAGGCCAGGTAGGGCTTTTAGGCCATGGCAAAAGTTTCTATGTTAATCCAAGTTAATATGTGTCTACGTTTTTCCAGAATAAACAGAAGATTTTTAACAAGGAAGATTTTTGAATGTCACTTTTTAGAAGTGGGCAGGACCGGAAATAGCTTGTAATTGGTTGGTGTTAGGACAAGTGCACAGATTTTATGGGATGCTTTCAGGCAGTAGAGATTGTAAGGGTGGGACTTAAGAGTTATTTAGAAAAGTTTGACAAGACAGAGATCTGACTTCTTGAAAAATGTGCTAGGGCAGCTTTAATGAGCACATGAACTCTTGGGGGAATCTTGTTAAAATGCAGATCCCAATTCAGTAGGTCCGGGGTGGGACTTGTGAGGCTTCATTTCTAACACGTTTCAGGCAATGTCAATGCTTCTGGGATGAGGACCACACTTTGACTAGCAGGATTCTAGCAAAATGTGGCCTTAACTTGTATTTTCAGTTGTACTTTCTACTAATGTATTATATGTAACTATGCACTCTAGACACAGTAGCCACGTGTTGCTATTTACATTTAATTAAGATACTCAGTTCCTTAGTTGCACTAATCAGATTTCAAATATTTAAGAGCTAAAAGAGGCTAGTAGCTACCACACTGGACAGAGCAAGTATAAACAACATTTCCATGATCAAAGAAAACTTTATAGCACAGCACTGCTTCAGACAGAAGATAGTACTTCTAGTTTTTTAGGATTTGCTGTTATCATGTCTTCCCCCCGCCGCCCCGCTTTTTTTTTTTTTTTTTTTTTTTTTTTTTAACAGGGGACACATATTGTCTCTACCTGCTAAAATCAAATTCGTCTTCTAAGAATTAATTATCTCAAGTCCACTTCTTCTATGAGACCTTTCCTGAAACTCAAACTGGGTGTTGCTTTCAGCTTCCTTTAAATCCACAATCTCCACTTGGTTTTCCTCTGCAATGTATTCCTACTGTATTTTGCCTGCCTAGTATCCAAAGTGTCTGAGCATCCAACTCCTGTTTCTCTGGTTGTAGAACTCCATTTTCTTTGGGTTGGGGGTGGGGCACTACTTCTCATCCATTTCTCCATGTGATTCAGTTGAACCTAAGTCTATACTCCTAGCCATAATCATTAGCACATGAGCCAGATGAGAGCCAGTGACATTAATCCCAGGACATTTGCTGAAAAAATTAGACAAAAGTGTAGATAAAAGTGCCCTTTCCACTGAGGTCTCTGAGCTGTCTGGATGCCAGTCTGGACCTGCTGGCAGCCATTTTGCCATTCAATGGGCAGACCTTGCCCAAGAATGAGGACAACTCAGGGGAAAGAAAAACCGAGAGATCCAGACAGAGCTTAGATGGCATCTCATACCTGGCAATAGCTGTATTTGGAGTGTTATCTACCTTGAACATTAGTTACTGGATAGTTACAATTTCCTATTTTTGCTTCATCTAGCGTGTATTGGAGAAATCTCGCCCTTTACAACCTCTTAAGACGTTTGTTTTCTGCTTTGATATGTGGTAGTAACAGAGTACTTGCTAATTCTTTCAACTCCCCTGTGATCCAACTTTTCAACATCATAACGGCCCTTTGTTAGTCTGATTCGAAGGTTTGTAAAAGGCATTGTGAACATATGCCCACCTAAATTTTCTTTACCAATTTTAATACTCAAATTATTTTAACATGTTAATGATCTAATTTTATGGGGCCAAAGACAAGTCTCATTATTTCTCAATGACACCTATTTTTACTAACTTCTACAGATTGTTACACTCCTGTGTGTACATAACTGGGTTATTATTATTTTTTGAAACAGATTTTCACTCTTATTGCCCAGGCTGAAGTGCAGTGGCGCAGTCTCAGCTCACTGCAACCTCCGTGTCCTGGGTTCAAGCAATTCTCCTGCCTCAGCCTCCAAAGCAGCTGGGATTACAGGTGCCCGCCACCATGCCCGGCTAATTTTTGTATGTTTAGTAGAGATGGGGTTTCACCATGTTAGCCAGGCTGGTCTCAAACTCCTGGCCTCAAGTGATCTGTATGCCTCAGCCTCCCAAAGTCCTGGGATTACAAGCGTGAGGCACCACACCCGGCCTTAAGTGGATTATTTCTTTACTGCATAAGTTATCCAAACCAAGTGCAGATTTCCTAGTTAACATGTACTGTTTACCTAGCTAACCCATGTGTACCTCCCTGAATATTTATTCTCTCCACCTGCGCCTGCCTCTCAGCTTTGAGGGGACTCCTCTAAAGTCATTGAAGCTGTGTAATAGTCTGGGCCAGCAGGCTGGAGGGTACCTCCAGATCCGACTCTTTCAACCCACCCTCCCTTCTAGATCAACTCACATGGACCTTCTTAGCTTCATGTCTGAGCTTACTCCCCTCCACAACTTTGTCCTGCTTATATATGGAATCTGACCACAATCTGCCTACCTCCTAATGGGCTCAGAAGGCCCCGTGGGGCACAGGTGCTAGGAAGGTCCCTAGACTTCAAGCTGAAAGGTGCCTCCAAACCCAGATGTAACACTCACCACCACCCATCTACAATCTTCACCCTACAACTACATTTTCTAACTACAACTGGACTAAAGAAAGAGCAATCCAGGCCAGGCATGGTGGCTCACGCCTGTAATCCCAGCACTTTGGGAGGCTGAGGTGGGTGGATCACGAGGTCAGGAGTTCAAGACCAGCCTGGCCAAGATGGTGAAACCCTGTCTCTACTAAAAATACAAAAATTAGCCAGGAGTGGTGGTGGGTGCCTGTAATCCCAGCCACTTGGGAGGCTGAGGCAGAGAATCGCTTGGACCCAGGAGGCGGAGGTTGCAGTGAGCTGAGATTGCACCACTGCACTCCAGCCTGGGTGACAGAGCGAGACTCTGTGTCCAAAAAAAAAAAAAAAAAAACCCAATCCATCATGAAGGAACAAAGAACAGACCCTCACTACTCCCCCTACCCCTTCATTATGTTTTAATACATGTTTACAAAATAGGATTAAGAACTACTCTAGAGGACCATGTACATGATAAGATTATCTTTTATTAGAGATCTTATATTACATATTCCCAAAAAGATATAAAATCTTCCAAGAGAAAATATCAAAACCTGTTGATTCCAAGGTGAACAAAATGATCAAAATGAAAGCAAACATTTTCTTCCAGACAAAGGAATATCAAAACACTTCGGCACAAGTACAACAAAGGCATGGGAAGATCATGATAATGTTTTACATCACATTTTACAGCATTTTATTTTAATCAGTATTTGTAGAAAACAAGGATGCTGAGTTCTTGAACACTGCAGTCACAAACTCAAACTAAAATTTCCAAAAAAAGGAAAGAAAACACTGAACTACTTGGTCAACTGAACATCTGTAATAATAAATGTAACGAAACCTAACCAAATAAATATGCCACTGAGATCACAACTGAAGTGTATGGTTTTTAGTGTGTGCCAGAGACATTAAATTATTTAATCAGTTTTTGACTACAACCCAAAGCAAAGCATCCTCTCTGTTTCCCTGATGATTTATTCTAAAAGTAACCTTAAAAAGCAGAAACTTGCTGGTTAAAGAGAATTTCTGCTTTACCTGTGAACTGCTGGTAGCAACACAAGCTGAATAAAACCCCAGACTGACATGGGACAGATCCATCGCAAACAACCAGAAGTGGCAAAACCACTGTTATTGCATCAAGATTTTTTTTTTATTTCATCTGATCACAATTTCGAGAATGATTAAGCACACCCACTTAACCACAGACAAACTGAACTCCCACAGGAAGGTTATACATTTAAGATGCAATGAAAATACTGATCTCATTCCTGGGATTTGCTTCTGGCAACCCTAACATCTGTAGATGTCCACAAAAAGGAAGTCCTTTTTCTTTTTTTAGTTTTTTCCCAAAATATGTGGAAGAAAACTTACGGTACATGTTTATTGCATGAAATTACCCCTTGTAATATCTTTATCAACACTGGTATTGTTTCCTTAATTATTAAAGGTGAAGGAGTTTATGAATTTAACATAACAATAATCTTAGGAGCTGCATCTTGAGTGAAAATCCAGATGATAATCAAACTAAATGGTGAAAGAGAAATTGGGTTTTTATTTCTCTATAAAGATGTTGGAATGACAAGAGGTAAATGGAGGTTGAAAGCCACAGAATATGAAATCAATTATCTCAAAGAGAATTTTCAAAACTGTACATACTCAAAGACTCCTTTCTATGCTAAAATTGCATAGTCTAAATGTCGCTATTATTTTAATGTTAAGGAAACAATAATCCCAAATAAATTTTATTAAAAGCACTGTAATGGCACACGGGCTCAGAACTTCACTTTAAGGTTAGCACATACAAAAGTTGAGAACTGAATGAACAAACATATTCCTTAGTAAGATAAACCATGATGAGCTACATAAAAGTGGGTTTCAAAACAAGATCAATTTTAAAGCATTCTCTCTTTAATATAGTTAACTACTGTGAAATGGAAACAGTAGCTGGATTTTGCATTTTACAAAATCCTTGCTTCAAGTTGCAGTTTCCTTGGCAGCAGCACATTTTAATTAACAATATTTTCCTTCCTTGTTTTGTTTTCTGACATCTCAGTACATTCAAATAGTCAAAATGTTTAGAGTAACATCACCACAAATTTAATGAAACAGATCAGAATGTGGCCAGCATTGTCAGGCAAAAATTACACAATTTATGTGTCATAGAAAGTACCCACCCTCTCCCAGACCCCACAACATTCCCCCTTCCCCAAACAGTAATATGGACACTGATTTAACAAGACTTATAAAAAAATAAGGCACATTTATTTTGATATGGTAATTTTAAAATAGAAACCCCTTCTCAGAACACCTGTATTCAAATGAGCTGTGTAAAAAGACACCTTGTGGTACCTAAAATAGGTTTATGGTACCTATGGAATTGCTTCTATTTTAGTGAAGATGGAATAAATTGCACCCATCCCACATTGTCAAGTAATGAAAATATGCCTCTTTTTCTACTGTTGAATGATTCAAAATCAGGTATTTCTGGAAATACTTAGAAAGGGTAGGAAGGGAAGGAGAAGGTCAAGAGGTACATCAGAAAAAGGTATAAAAATCATCTACGTTAATCATAAGGGTGGATGGATTGCACTTTTCCACTTATTTCAACACATAATTTTTCTAACTAGTATGAATGATTGCAACCATTTTGGCCATTAGCTTTTACCCACAAACATTTTATTCCATTTCAGCCAAATAGGTGTTTTTGTAAAACTGATGATCAACACACAGATACTTTTAAGAATCTCTTCGCAACCCCCAACACAGACATAATTAGTTAGCATTTAACCTGAGATACAATCTGTTGAGAGGCTGTCTTTAAATATTTCTTCATTTGTTGCATCAATTCATACTGATGGTGGTAGTTCATGGGAGAAAGTTTAAAAAAAAAGAATCTTGATTGATAGCATGGCTTTTTTTTTTTTTTTTTTTTTCTTACTGTACTGGTAAAAGAAAAAAGAAAAAACCCACAGAATCACAGAATTCATGTTCTCACAGTAGCCAGAAGCTAAAATAATGTGCTTCTTTATTGCACGTCAAACCAAGAAAGGTATAAAAGCCAATGATTCTCAATCCAAATGTGAAAGTCAGGTTCACCTCAACTGGATTCGGAATGTGCTGATTTCCATTGGACTCAAGTTGATCTCACTTATATTCTGAGTGCCGGGAGGTGAATGCATCAAGGATAGTGATGAAGGTGTGAGACTTTCGACAATAAACTTGTTTAAAAGTTTCTGTACCAATATCTGAAAAGTAAATGATAAAATTTACATATTTAGATCAACTTTGAAGATTAGCAGCACAACTACATATTCTGTGAAAATTAGTATGAGAAGGAATAAAACAGTATGTTGAAGTTCTCTTTTGAGGAAAAAAGGGTGGATTAAATATACATATATGTTATTAAATATACATATATAAGTTCTCTTTTACAGAAAAAAGGGTGAATTAAATATACATATATACATGCTTGAACATACAGACTACGCTTGGAAGGGAACAGGAAACCAGTAATGGTCATGAGCAACATATTCTGCATTCCTTTTTGTATTGCTTGAGAATTTTATCATGCACAGGGGCTTTTTCAATAAAAGAAAGGACCTCCAATGGCCAAGAAGCTTTAAAAACATCCTCATTCTCTTTTAGTCAATACTTACCCCTAACAATGGTAGTCCTCAACCACTTTTTCCTGTTCCAACAGAGTTAAGAGAGAGCACACAGGCTCACTACAAGGAGGGATCATTATGTCATTGAGTCCCAGTCTATAGAGGTGGACAGGTCATTTGGAAAGTATTTCCCTCACCGCTGCCATGTTATCTGTCTCTCTGGATCGTATAACCCCCTTATGACTCAAGGCCTTAATGTCAGAATGCTCAGAACCAAGTAAACTTAGATCATCAACAATACAATAGAGTGCAAATACAGTATAATAAAAAAGTAATAAAAATATCAGTGCTTTCTTGGCACCAGCTCCAAGCAGGGTAGGGTAAAAGAAATGTAGAAGCTAATCTATCTAAGTAGGTTCAGGGCTCCTACCACATTTTTCTTATCTTTTTGGACCCCACACACATGCTAATTTGTAGGGTTGGAACTGAATCACTTGAGTCTGGTCTACAGCATTATTTATGAGGTTTTGGAGGAAAGCTGGGTCAGCTGAGCTGCCTGGTGAGGCAGACCTGCCTGTGTACCTAAATCAGCCCAGCTGCCTTCTCTGAGTCATGGCCCTTTCAGTGACAGAGGCAGGAGATTGGAGGTTTGTTTCCTTTCAAGGACAGGCTTGATGGAACTGCCAGAAAGACCAACTTGAAGAGAAATAAACAATAGGCAGCCAGCAAGCTGTGTTCAGACTGAGGATCTGTTTGGCCTGCACGGTGTGTTGACTCATATGCAAATCTGCATTAATCAGAAGACCAAGACCTACATTTATTTCCCAAGGGAAAACAACTGATTGGCGCTACGTACAGCTGCCTCCTGGGCTGTGGGTGGATTATCCCACTAGCCTACAGTCTCAATTTTCCCAGTTGCTTCTTTATGGCTACCTCTATAAGCTTCAGTTATTATAAACTTGCCTTGGCCTCTGTAGGACTTAGGTTTACCAATGCTGAACTAGATGATATGTGAGCATGTGTGGTTCAGGGGAGGAGAAAACTGGGGGACTGGGAGCAAGGCACTTTGTAGGCTGGAAATAGAAGGCCTAGGAAATAACAAGAGCATTGCCTTCAAATGTGCATAAATTCCAGCTATGCCTTTTGATGTCAACAAGGAAAGGAGGCTGAAGTTTTGAGAAAGTGCATTTTTCAGATGGGGAGATTCAAACTAATTTGCAGACTGATGAAACTGAGACAGTAAAGAAGCAATGAAACATGATCTTATTGTCAAGATCCTTTGCAGAAAGAGGATTTCAAAGCACACTAACAGTAAGCAAAAATAACCTTTTCAACTTACCTTTCCCTGAGTAGTAGAACAAAACAGCCCTGTGCCTTTGCTAGAGAACCGACAATCAAACCCTTTTCTGTGGAGGATCAAGGCTGCCTCATTGGAGTGCCCATTGCCCACCTGCAAATGAGCAGAATGCAGTCACACCGCGCAGACAATAAAGCAAATATTTATGGTACTTCACACACCACTCTCTCGATGTCAGCATCCAAAAGCACATTTATTTAGCAAGAAAGTTAGGCAAATTCATTTCTCCTCAGGTCCATGCTCACTGCCCATTCACCTGCTACCATTCTCTCCTACTTGTACTGAGCCAGGTAAGATTATGTTCTAAGGTTCCTTGTTAGGTAACCTCATGCCTTGGTTTCCCCTATAATCCCCGAGGACTTAGGTTTCCTTATGTCCATACATTATATATTGTTTTATTAAAGTTTATTCAAATAAAGCATTATGTTTTCGTCTTATTTTTCAAACACACACATCAGTTGAATAAACTGCACCTGAACTTAGTCCTTATCTGGTCATTGAATGACATACCATCTAACTTAAAAGTCACACATGCTTCTTTATTGAACATTAATTTTTGCTAACTGCATTCTTAATCTTTGATGTACTGATTCATTATTTTTATATCAGAGCTATTTAAATTTAGTTATGCTTTCACTTGGTAGGCCAGCTCACATTTACCAGCTTGATGTATCATTTAAATTGATACTGCAGAAGCTATTGTTGATAGGCAGGCAAAAATAAAAATACTAAACATGACAAGTCAGCTAAGAGGGTCAGTATACCTTTTCTTGCAATAAAATTTCTCATATCCATTTAAGTATCAATGTCATGAATGGTTTAGGCCTCTGAATATTTTAAAATACAATTATCTTAATAAATTTTGTTTCCTAAAGTTGGAAGGTGTTTATGATAAATGAATTAAAAATCCCTGGAAAAATTAAGAAACATACAGTTTTTGAAAAGAGTCATGTGCTGCTCAGCACTGACATTGTGATAAAACTGATTCTTTCCTCTGTTCTCTGGCCACAGACAGGAATATGCCCAAACGCCTGATCATCCTCACTAGGGGATAAGATTTTTTAATGTACTAAAGAGACATCTTTCCTGAATAGCTGCCAGAATCTCCACCACTGATTTGATTTTAATGTGCCTGAACAGTTTAAAGCTGTCCTCACCTCAGAGTCTTGGCTGGAATAACCTATGTTATGATGTTTCACACTGATATTTTGTAGGGGTACTGCTAAGATTTTGTTTGAAGGAAGAGAAGAGTCATTTAAGGAATTCTGAGTCATCACAAGACCACATGATACACACAGCAATTTTAAATCATATGATAAAAATTTCTAATTCATTTCAATACATTTAAAACACCCTGCCCATGTACTATAAAAATAACACATAGGAAAACCCTTCATTTATGGTATCATTAGATCTCCAAAAGAATAAGAAACAGGACTCTATCATGTGCCAACTGTGAAACCTTAGGATAGTAATTTCTTCTTCCTAAATATCTATTTTCTTGCCTGTAAAATGGAGGTAATGCTTGTATTATTTCCTTCATGGAGTCACTGTGTGGATTAACCTGTTGAAAATACTATGTAAGTAGCTTCACACTGCCTTGTAGGGCAGAATGCGCTAGTGCACGAGCTGTGTAGTAAGAGTGGTTCAGAGCCTGAGTGGGGAGTCAGACAGCTGGAGATCTGGATCCTTGCTCTGCAATTTACTAGCTGTGGGTTTCAGCAAAACCAGGTTTTCCTTTTCCATAAAATGAAGATGAAATGAAATGAAATAGCTTAACAAAGATCTGGCCAAATGTCTGGCACACAGGAAGCCCTTAGCATAAATTTCCTTTATTTGACATTACAACTTTGTAGCTAAAGACTCAGGGAACTCCTAAATTATATGTCTAGAGTCGTACATCAAAGTCATAACAAAGTCTGGATTCAGATTAACAGATTAGAAACCCTCTTCATTAAGCTCTTTTAAAAGCACATATCACTACTAACCTAAAGCATTTGTCCATTTTAACTCATGGGTCCATCCTTACATATCACTTGATAGCATGCATGGCTAAAATTCCTGCAACACATTTGCTCTTGGAATAATGAATATGTAAGGCCTTTATAGCAACAGAAGGGGACAAAAAATGTGGGGAGGGAAACACCTTTGGAATTCTACATTTGAATTCTACAAGAGATTTAAACCGACAATACAAAAATAGAGATAAAAGTCATAAAAATTAACTTTCACTGATAGAAAAAGTTATACTTTCTCTCAAAACTAAAATTACATCACTTTTGTAAAAACGAACTGAAATAGCAATCATCTTGTCCAAGTTTTTAAAAAATCAAATATTCATGAAAGTATCAGTTTTCAAGCAAAAATACCTGAGGCAAAGCAGCAGTTTTTCAGTTTCAAAGTCTGTCTAGACATTTTATTTCCAAGAAAACTGTTTTTCAAAGTAGGGAAACTGTGAATTTAACTTGAATATGCATGCAGGAAAACAGATACCTTCAAGCAGTCACACTGTATGCTCTAGGAGAGTAAACAGATTTTGGAAGAACTGCTTTTACATTCATTAATGCATTAGTAATATCTGGACCCCATAAAATGGGAGGATGTGGGGAAGAAAATTTACAATTTTTGAAATTGTGCCAAGCACTGTGGTAGGTAACTATCTTTGTAAAACAGATTAGATCACTTTCGAGGCTGAATTACTGAAGTAAGGCTGGCGTATTCTAAAGTTGCACAGAGAAAACCCATTGCAAACTTAATTCAGGGGATAAAACCAACATTCAGCTCATAGACTAAGCTGGGCCTCTGAGGCTCTTCCAGCAACTTGGTGGAGTATGGGGAAAGATGATTTGGTTTGCAGAATGAAGCCATCAGATAAAGCTGGGCTTAGAGAAAGCTGGATCAGACCAATGATTTTTTCTACCATGAACCATTTATGTGACTTTGAGTAAACCTCTATAAATTCAGCAAGCTAAGCTGGACCTGTGAAGAGTCCCTCTGAAGACTGAGGGTCAACCGCAGTGACAATATCAGTCATTGCTAATACCTGTTGAGCACTTGCTGTGTGCCATATCCTGTACAGAATGCTTTTCATCAATTAACTCATTTTATCGCACAACAACCTTTGAAATAGTTGAGGTGATATATAAGTTTGTATTAAAATATGTAAATATACGAGAAAATCTCTATCACAAAGCATTCTCTCTTATACTCAAATAGCAATGACCACCAGTGATCCTGGATTAGCCCTTAGTCTTCTCCCGCCAATGGATGGGATATCCTCTGTAGGTGTCCTATTATTACTGAAGACACAAGAAAAATAGACAGTGTATTCCCTCACATTTTCAGTGCTCCCTCTCCCTTCTTGTTCCCATGCAAGACAGTATAAGGTTCTGAGAAGCCATCTGGACTCAGACACACCTGAGCGTGCTCCCAGGACCACATTACTGGCTGTGTGCCCTTGACAGTTATCTATCATATCTCTAGGTCAGTTACTTTCCTATTCTGTAAGATGGGATGAAAATATTGCCTACCTTCTTAGGGTTGTTGTGAGAGCTTTAAATAAAGTTCATGTAAAGCACTTGGCACAATGCCTGGCAAACAGACAATTTTAGATATGTTATTTTTAAATATCTGAGGAATTATTAACAAAGTATTAAGTTGGTGCAAAAGTAATTGTAGCTTTGCCATTACTTTTAATAGCAAAAACTGCAATTACTTTTGTACCAACCTAAAATATCAGGAATAAGTCAAAGTGACATCAAGATTTACTCTGGCAATGTTTTTACCTCATTATTAGTGACAACTGCCGTTGTTCATGACTGAACTATCACAGGTGAGAACCTTTACTTGTCAAGCACTCATAGGGCTTACTATGTGCCACATGCTGTTCTAAGTGCTTTACTAACACTAAAATTATCTCCAATCCTCAGAACATCTCTAAGGTGAGTATTATTACCATCTCCATGTTACTAAGGAGTAGCCTGACACTCAGAGAGTTAAGTGACTTGCTCTAAGTCTCATGGTTAGAAAGCAAAGGAGACATGCTCATACCCAGGACATCTGACTCCAAAGTTTAAGCTTTTAACAGCTTCCTTCTCCTACCTTTGCACTAGCTATGAATTTGTGCTCATAGATACCTAGCCAGGAGAGAAAAGATAAAAAATATTTTTGATGTAAAATAACAAAATACTGTAAACTAAAGGAGGTAACCCCTCCAATTTATGGCTGAAAAAGGAGAGTATTGACTGATGGTTCCAGCAGAGATAAAACTATAACTTATCAAAAAATATATCAATTCAGAAACCAAGCTTTGGAAATTGTAATTTCCTTCCATCTACCACCTATCCACCTATCCATTCACCCCACTTCAAATAGGATTTGAGCCATTCTGAAAATTATACACACATGACAGTCTCTTTTAAGGAAAAAAGCAGGTGAATAGTCCTCTACTGAAGATCTTAAGATGTGAGTTATGTCATTCCTCTCTCGCACCAAAAGAAACAGTAAACTTTTGGAAACTGTAGTAAACATTATGTGTGCAACCACCGTTTGTGGGGAAGAGAGGGGCCATAACTTTGGCCAAATTCTCCAGGATGCATGGGACCCCACCCTCTTCACACGGTTAGTAAGGTGCACATAGATTAAGGCACGGCTACACATCTGGTGGGAAAATTTCTCCAACCCACTCAGATTCTTTGAAAATACCTAACACTCATCCCTAGTGCATTCTGGCAGCTGGAAAGGTTAGAAAATTACATGCTTCATTATAAGTCCTAAGATGGTATTATAACCAGTAGAAATTCATTTTTTAGGGTGCTCATTAAAATGTCCAATAATAGCTATCCTGTTTTGATCAACAAGATAAAATGACAGAAAGAAAGGGAAGGTAAATGGCTGTTCTGAGATACGTACAACAAAGGAATTTTTTTTTCTCACAATTTTCACCTTTCCAGAAGCTAGGGAGATCAATAAAGCACCAATCAATTCTTATAAGAAAGACAAATAAAGTAAAATCCTCAAACTGCCTTTTATAAGAAAAGAAGAGGCAGAATGAACAAGTGGAGAGAGAAAATCTTATTCAGTAAGTGGTGCTGATATTGAAATGATGGTTAACTATTTGCAAGAAACAGTTAAACACAAATCAAAATAAATTACATAGAGAAAGAGTTAAGATATATATATATATCATGTTTATATAAAATAAATATGTCTAAATATAAAAGCTGTGGAAATAATCTAAAAAAAAAAAAAAAAGCTGAACTACATATCACATTTCTAAAGTATTCCAAGTAGAATGGCTCCATGAAGCTGAGCTTATCCAGCTTCCTCTTTGTCCCTCTATTCCAGGCTGAACCAGCAGCTCCAGCTTCAGAAGCCTGACTCATCATCTGTCCTCCCATGAGATCCTCCCTGCATCTTCTCTACCCAATCTCCCTTCTTCTTAAATAATGGTCCTTTCCTGATGACAAGGCTTTTGCATGTAGTGTATTTCAGTGGTGTTCATGTTCCCTAGGTTTCAAACCTTTACAGAAGCTTCTTTTTAGTATCTCAAGATCTTCATAGTGTAGGGGAAAGGTGTGATCAAGGAAAAGAGTTGAAAGACAGGCCAACAGAATAGGAAAGCTAATGGGTAAGTTTGTAGATAGTGGCTGGAATGGGCAAGGCCACGCAGCATGCTGTGAGGCAGGGCTTCCAGAGATGTTTGTTCCCCTTTTCATCTGAATACAAATATACGGCATATAATCATTTTCCAAAAATTGATATAAAGCAGAAAAGCAAGATATGTCTGTCTAAAAGCAAGATATGTCTATATAAAATGTAAACTCATCTACTAATATAGAGCAATCCCTGAAAGCTTGGACTTTTAGAAACAAATTTAGTAATTCTAAAAAAGTCAAATGCTACCCTCTGAGGCCACACACAGCACTGAGATTCAGAACGCCTGATTCTGCCATTTACCACTGGGTGATTTTATTTTTATCATTTAACTTAGCTCTAACTCTCACTTTCCTAATTTAGGAAATGGAGATAACTCAGCAATTTCATGAGAAACATTTTTAAAAATTACAAATTCCTAGGCTCTCCTCCCCAGCCCTATAGAATCAGAATCTCAGAGATCTGGAAATCTGTAAAAGTCTCTATGTTTAAAATCTCCCCTGTGTGATCCGGGCACAGTGAATTTGAGGACTAGTAGCTGGAACTGCTGAACCACCTCAGTGGGTTGTCATACCTGCAGCCTGCAACTCGCCTCCCTCACTGTTCTTCGAATCTATAACCCCTTATCCCAGGAGTCAAGAAAACCAACTGAGGTTTAGAATTGAGAAACCTTTAGACAGCGGCCCAGAGGGCCAAGCAAGGGCACTCTCTATCATGGTGCTGAAGGAGTTGGTCAGGCAGGAAGACATGCGTCCTTATCATGCTAAGGTGGCCTTCAGACACATTTCTCATGAAATACTGTGGTGGTTAGGAATATGCTTACTTAAATACAGGCCAATGCAGACTTCAGGTCTTGCTTGGAACCTATGTCTATTTTGACATTATTTCAAGGGGAAAAATGAGTTGCATTCTCCAAATGAACAGCCCATTATTGCACATTGGAAGCTTCCAGCACACAGAAACAGGAACCCAAACCAAAATGCTTAGGTCTGGCTTCTGTACTTATTCATTGAGTCATTTTGGTCTTTTTTTTTAGTATAAGCATGGAATTACACTGGACATTTTGTAAGTACAGCTTTCTTTGAATCAATACCCACAACAGTTCCCTTCAATGATTATCCTTCTATTATCAGGTTAGGGAATTCTTTAAAGAAGTGGTTTTGAATGGACCAGTCCTTCCTTTGGATTACTAGTGGGCTTTTAAACAACTGTTATAAATATGTGCTAAGAGTCAAAGGCTAACACAGGAACTGGCACCAACTGATATGATAATGCAAAACTGCCAAGTATTTAGTTCTGATTATGAGCCAGCATGGTAGTTATCAATAGGCATTATTAACATTTCAGTTTTTAATCTTCTTGGTCAAATCTTTATGTTGTTAAGTTGCTCTCTATTCCCTCTGCTAAAACCCTAATCTGCAACCAAGTTGGAGTAAGTGTCATTAGGATAACAAGGTATGTTTACAGAGTGCCTTTGTTCTCAAAAGGCTTTCACAATAGGATTTCGTCTGTTTTTAGCAAAAGACCTGACACAGCAATACGTGACATTAGCCTCATGTTATAAATGGTAGCTGAGTCAGCAGTCACTCAGCCCACAGGTAGGGAGGGTGGCCCACCTGTCCAAAGGCACGAAGAGCAACGGGAAGCCAGGTGGCTGCAGTAAGTAGAGGCCAGGCTGCAGAGGACCTGAATGCTCAGTGTCTGAACCAATTCAGTAGGCAACGGGATTTTTCATCTGAGAAGTGATTAGATTTGTATTACAAGAAAATAGTCAAAAGCAGGAAGGATGTGAAGAAGTGAGTAACCACAAAAAAAGGTGACATAAAAAACAAGTTCCAGGCTTCGTTTACAGAAGGTAAAACCCTATGCTCACTGACTCTAGTCAGCTCCAGCTGCTTCCAGAAAACAATCACATTTAAAACAACTACAGTGGAGGAGCCACCTAGAAGTGAGGCTAAGGGATGGTGACCGCCCATCCTCCCCAGAAGCCTCTGGGTTCTTCAGGTCGCTGATGTCCTCTACCATCTATGCTGGGTGGTGGTAACCTCAAGCCCAGAGTATTTGATGCCCTCCACTCTATTCTTTCTGTTTCTTTTAGCTCATGAATTTATGACACGACACCTCGGGGAGCCAAAATGTAGACCTACAAAAAACCACAGCAGAATCCTAGAAAAAACATCTACACAATTCACTGATTCAAAATAGTTTTTGAGATCCTATGTGCAGACACTCTTCTTCACGGGGATATAGCCATGAATAAAGGACAAGCATAGCTCTCATGGAGCTTCTGTTCTGGCCACATATCTCTCCGGCCTCAGGGCCTTCACACTTGCTCTTTTCCTGGAGCACTCTACCCCCAGAAATCTGCAGGAGTCTCTTATTCTCTGACCTTCTTCAGATTTTTACTCCATTATCACCTCTGTGAGGCCCTCTCTACACACCTTAATCAAAATTGTGTTACCTCCTTTGAATGGCTGTTCCCTTTTTACTCCTTCATAACACTTAACACCATCTAACATATTACATATTTCTCTTACTTTTTCTTGTTTTTCTCCTCCCATTAGAATCTAAGCTCTAGAAGGGCAGGGGCATTTGTGTGTTTTATGGCAGTAACTGACATGTAGTGGGTAGGAAATAAATCCTGCAAGTTCACTGATAATGATTTTAAAAAGCCTTTCAATACACACACACGCACACACGCCTCGAGCATTTGCTTGTAGTCATTATTATAAGTCATATATGTTTGCCTGCATAGCCAAGCATAAGTTCCTTATCTCTGAAGGAAACCAAAATACTTCTCTCTCAAAAAACTGAGGATTATTGAGCTGAAGAAGGAAAAAAACCAGGGGGCCATTCTGTCCCTTCTTCTGCCTGCTTGATGGCAGGACAGCAATTTACAAATACAAGAGGTCTTCATCCCTTCCTCTCTGCCTTTTCTAGTCTAAAGACAGGCCCCTTTACAAGGCTTGCTAATTAGCTAAGAGACAGCAGTGCCAGAGCATCTAGGAGCAGACTTCACTCTTCCCATAAATTTATCCTCCCACATTTTCCTACCTTTTGGAAGCCTGAAGGTGCTTTCTTCTTTGTCTTGTCTCTAGAGGATTTATGGCTCTTTGTTAAAACATTATTTAGGCAAGGTGCCAAAACCACTGCCTTGGGAAAAAAATACTTTTGAACTTAGGCCTCTCCCAAGTGACAGGTATAGCATGTACAATATACTATTGCTATTTTTCCCCTGTTTATCTGACCTTTGCTTTCAAAATTGTCTCAACTAAAAATCTATAAAGAAAAAAAAATTATATTTTTTCTCCTATATCTTAGACATAAAGTTGTAAATCTCTAATATCCAAATTATAGGCATTTATCCTTACTTTATTGCTTTAGTTCTTTGTTCTACATTAAACATTTCTCACCTCTTATATTGTCTTTAAACATGAGCATCCTCTTCTTTTCATACTTAGGCCATTTACCATGAGATATTTTCCACAGAATCCATAACCACTTACTATTTCCAGCTAAATCTATGTCAATTTGCAATATCAAAACAGCTTTGCAACACATAAGAACAATGTCAAATGTCTAATTCTTATTCTTTCCAAATGCAATCTTTTTGATGTTAAAAACAGGTATGTATATAACTGCAGTCTAACTAAATTAAATTTCATACCTAATAAAACTTCCCCATGCTTTTCCTCTAATATTTCTTCTAAACAGTTGGTTTTCTAATGGGAAACTGAGTTGCAGTGATTCTCAAGAGAAAGGTACGAAAATACAAAGCCTCTGATATAGAAATAACTAAGTACTATTTCTCTAGCTTCTGAGAGATATTGTCTAACAAGGAGAAATGAATGGGAAAAGTCACTAGTGCTAAACTTAAGGCCCAGATTGCCCACCTACTAATGGTATTTCCTGACCTGCTCGCCATACAGAACTTAAGAGTAAATTAGTATCAGGATATACTCTAAAATATACAGCAATAGTCAAATGAAAGGCATGAAGCTTTTGGCTAAAGGTGAAGCCCTGTTAATAATTCCTCAAAGCATAGTAAAGCATACATTATTTTTTTCTCCTTTCCTTACCCCCTTAAAACAAGTACATAATAAACAGTAATTTTTTATAAGATATATTTTGAGACATACCTTTGACTGTATTGTTCTCAAATTAACCAGATGAATGTCACAAGGCAAAGATGACTGTAATGGAGAGAATTCACCTTGCAGCTCAAGGGTAGGTGAGGAGAACTTATTTGCCATTGGAATGACTGGATGATTCATGAGAGAAGAAGTTATGTGGCTAAGGAGAGAAGGATAACTGACCGACTTCTTTTCTTCTTCCTATCAAGAAAAAACAAAAATGTTTAAGAGGTCTATATTTCCAGTTCTCATCATATTAACAGAATTATCTGAGAGGGTTTAATATAAAAATATATGAATAATTTGGTTTCATTACATTTTATAAATAACAGTCTTAGAAAATACTCCATAAACTACCAAGTTTAGTTGTAAGCAATAAAAGAAAATAAACAGCACACATCTAACTCATATGTTTAAAATATATCTTCCATTGATTTAATACTAAAAATACTGAAAACATTTCCTACAAACATTTCAGGACAAGGCATACCTTTTTATGAAAATTCTCAACCTATCACAAAACTCTCAAAGTACAAGGATTGGGCTGTACATAGATTATATGTTGTGCATCATCAAATATTATCTCCCTTCTCAGGTTTCATCCACCATATTCTTGTAGTTTCATTTATACCCCTTAACAAGACCATAAAGGCATATACTGATTCAAAGCTAAAGTCCATCCATGTTACCAAATGATAGGAACTAAATGTTACCCAATGACAGAATTTAAAGAAAACAAAACTCTCAAAATAAATCCAATTTTTAAATATAAATAACATAGGCGGCATGCCTAGATCATCTGATTGTTTTCTTTCAACTTGGTAAATCATTGCCAATTGTTTCACTATTTTTATTCCAAAAGTAGAAGTGTTAAATATGTTACTGAATAGTTATCACACACTTACATAGTATATGATTATTCCATATAATTTAAAATGCTTTAGTTTTTGCTATGGTATATGGTTAAAAGCAACACTTCTGTATGTTCAAACATTAAATAATCTACTAATGTTGGTAGATTAAATATGCTAGATGACATGCAAAATTAAATCAATGACTGAGTAGAATCTTAACCTAAGGAGTAAAAACAGACACAAATAACTTAGAAAATAATTTATGCAGAAAGGTCCTTTGATCACCAGTTACATTTGAACCAAATTTAATTTTGTATCTTATTTCTTAAAATGATTACTCCATTGACATCTTCTGATTTTGCATCCTTTTTGTAATATAAGGCTCAGATAAAAGGCTTGGCTACTGATCTGTGTGAAAAGACAGGATTTATAGAGATATACAGCTTAAAATTCAGAATGTCAGATTAGCATTGCACAGAAGGGTGCTAGCAAAAAGTGACTAGCATCGTGCCAGAAGCTAACATTAGATGTCATTACATTTCAGACTATGGAGAGAGAAAAAAAAAATTTTAAGACAGCAGAGGGACACTGCAATATTAAGATACTGATAAAAAATCGGGTCTGAATGAATTGTATTAAAAGAAAGATTAAATAAAGCATATAAAATAATATTCTCCAACAACACTGAAATTTAATGCAGCTCGTAGAATAACATGAATAGAGAGGGAACAATTTCAACAAGATATTTTAAATGTACTCCAAGATCAAAGGACTTCATAATCTAAGTTAGGATTGCTGACAAAGTCACTCACGAGTAATAAAACATAAAAGATTCAAACAGAAAAGAAAACACCTCCCTCATCAAATCTGGGAAGTATTAAGTCCACTCTAGGTCAAGAAACATTCAGAGAAAGCTCTGGCTTTGTTCCACACTCTTGGAGTAATTCCTCACCACTCCAGTGAGTAGCCAGAACACTTCCTGATTAATCTTCTATACTCCAGAAGCAATAACGTGCATATATACCAATCCTCCAAACCAAATTAGTTCTTCCTAACCGTTGGTGTTTCCCCAAATTAACCACACAACAGAATGAGTTGGGGCACCTCTAATCAACATAGATTCTTGGGTCCTATCCCAAATCTACACAATCTTGAGAGGTGGGGTCCTGAAAATGCAAAGCTGAAAAGCCTCCCCAGGTGAATTTCATGGAGTTAGCCGCACACTGCTCCATGACCCTGTGCCGGGAAGTGCCACCCCAGACATCCAATCTTATAGAGAAAACAGAGCTCCCTTTAGAATCAAAAGATAAACTTTACCTTTTAACTACCTTTGCATTAGAAAAACAAGATTCAGTTTCAAAGACATTTTGATGGGAGTCTTCTAAAAGGAAACAATGTCATGGATATTAAGGACTTCAAGAATTTAAAAACTGTGTAGTTTACTGTCCTTAGAAAGATAAGGAAGTTTATAGAAGAGTTGTGGTTCACTACCCTAAGAGCACCATGAAAAAATAACACTGCTGGAGGCTGGCCAGGTTGGAGTGGCAAAGTCTCACCCAGAGTTCTGCCATTCATGTACTTTCTTATCATATTTACAGCAACAAGAGGCTCAACAAGATATTAACTGTTGAACCATCAATATTTAAATTAATCTCTACAAAGGTAACCTTTCCACTGTAAATCATATGATAAACCCAAAGTTTTAAAAACATGTTTTCTACAGGAAATTTTATGTGTTTAAGTTATAAATGAATACCCCAGCCTTGTACTTAACTAATCTAGTACTATAAACCTTATTTAATTTCTTGTTGGTTGGAAGGTTTCAGACTGTATAAGTGTAGCTTTCTCTCTGCAGCCTGTCTGACATTAAAGAAAGTTTCTAGCACCTTCTGATCCAAACCACACAAAGTACAGCTCTTCCTCACTGGGTTCCAGCCCTTAGTCCATGAGTCAGAACTTCTTGCCAGACTTCTTGGTGCCCTTTATTAAGCTCACTTTGAGTTAAACGATCCTGTTAAATCATGGTGAGATAGTAAGAGACCATTTTTTAAGTTACCCTTGTTTATTCAGTTTGACTTGAAACATGGTGGGAACTTAATAAATGTCTGTTGAAGTAAATCTATTAATTTAATAAGCAAATGCAATATAAATAAATGAAAGAAGAACACTAGAGAGGAAGGGTGGAGTAAAAAAGACAAAGAGGAAGGAGGAGAGAAAATGAAGAATAATACATTGAATCATAACATTTGGAGGTAAGTATCTGTAGCTGAAGACTGTGGGGCAGATTTGTAGATCACACATTTTGGTAGGTCTGTATGGTATTAAAATGTTTTTTTTTTTTTGTTTTTAAGCCAACTCTTTAATAAAAAATTCATAATAAAAAAGCAACCTCAAAAAACCCAAAACACATTTTTTGTTTTTTACCCAAGAAACTGGAAATCTGTGTCACCCTGGGCAGGCATTCAGTCCTATTGTGGAAACAATCAGCTGGAGCTGAGTTGTGGGTCTTGGTGGGATATGTCCTCAAGTTTACTGTAGATCTTCTGGTCACCTAAGTATTTACCCTTAAACCTGGTTGATCTCCCTTATGCTGTCACTTTTCTAAACCATATAAGTATTTAATATTTTAATCTGATCTCTCCCAATTTCTTCTCCTTATATTTAAAGGTACAACAACACAATTTTAACACTTGAACACTTACAGGGTTCCTAGCTCAGTGCCTCATTAACCAACCAGTAGCAGGAAAGGGGTAAGGATAAACCGTCAAAGAAACAAATCCTAAAGCCGTCAATGCCTGTTTTTAGTCCATTTTCTGCTGCCATAACAGAATACCACAGACTGGATAATTTATCTATAAAAGAAGTTTATTCAGCTCACAGTTCTGGAGGCTGGGAATTCCAAGAGCATGGCACTGGCATCTGGTGAGGGCCTTCTTGCTGCATTATCACATGGTGAAAAGGCAAGAGAGTGCAAGAGAGCTCATTTTTATAACAAAGCCACTCCTGCAATAACTAACCCATTCCGATGATAATGGCATTAATTCATTCATGAGGCAGATCCCCCATGACCCAAAAGCCTCCCAAAGGTCCCACTCCCAACATTACCACAATGGTAGCCAAGTTTTCAACACATGAACTTTTGGGGGACACATTCAAACCCTGGCAATGCCAAAGAGATGAATCCTATTTTCCATTTCTATTGGCTTTGAGGATGATTAGCATAAATGATGGTCAACCTCGTGCAGCCACAGTCCTCACTGGACACCTGCACATATTACACAGTGGATATCATCCAAGTCCTTGTTTTTACTGACTCTCTGCAGAATTCTCTGAGGACAGGACTTACTTCCACTTAGTCAGCTCGGGATTATTTCCATGAGGCTCTGTCATGCTCAGGGCTTCCCATTAAAATCTCTTCCTATTCAGGGAGTATCCCCCTACTTCACTTCCCTCCATCATTATTTTAGATATTTGAGTCTGAGTTGAAATTAAGAACTCTTTCTAGAAAATTCAAGTTACATGGTATTAACTTTCATCAATTAAGTGTCTTTTTAATTATTTTCACTAGACATTAAAATGTATTTTCTCTTCTCTAGTTCATTTCTTATTTAAAAGAAACCATTAATTGAAGACCCAGAATCTATACTTGAGTAAAAGAAAAATTTAATCAACATAAAAACATTAAATTAAATTTAAATCAATTACTATCCAAGGAGTTCTGAATGGGAATAAACAAATTATTTCACTTCTAAGTCAAAGCTTTATAGATTTGATGTGAAAATTTTTATTATTGCAGTTAACAGAAGTTTTATAGATTAGTGTCAATATAAAGTCATATAAGCGAGAAACTTTTTCAGGAGGAGCAAAAGACAGTAGCTGTCAGCACTCAGACAATGATTTTCCTATGCAGATTTAGTCCTTAAAACTAAGCTATCTTGTCAGTGATTGATTTAAAATATGAGTCTCAAGAATGGTATGGCTCTTGACATCTAAAGTGGATACTAATTCTTTTTTCTAAAATATTCTAAATACTGGAAGAATTTTTGCTTTAATTAGCTGTTGCTATTTCATTCAATCAACTAGTATTTTGTTTAAAGAATGTCTACCAAATATAAGGACAAATGAAAATGAAGGCAACAAGTCCCTGGAATCTAGTAGGAGGAATGCAACATGCATATGAAGACAAGGTAATAGGCAGAAATTGCAATAAATACAGTGGCAAAATGTACTCTAACAGCTCATTCATCTATGCATTTCGATATTCATTCATATGACATATATTAGGCATGTCCTCTGCCAGGAACAATCCTAGAAGCAAAGAAAGGCACATTCCCCACTCTCATGGAGTTTATGGTCCAAAGGAGGGGAGAAGACAGGATCAAATAATCGCACACTTGCAGGAAGGTGAGATGCACAGTTTGGAGGCAGCATAGGGGAAGGGCTTTTAACCTGGTCCAGAAGCAGCTGATGAAGTAAGCACTAACCGGAACTATCACCAAGAGTCTCTAAGGCAGAGGATAACAGGCCATGTGCAAAAGTGCGGTGGGGAGGAGGGGATGGAAAGTACTTGGGACTTAAAGGAAACCAGTGGGCCTAAAGCAGACACAGTAAAAGGCATGCCAATGCCAATGCCTAGGGGACATGCAGGGCCCATATCATGAGGGGCTCTGGAGGCCGTGGTAAGAAATTTTGACTTTTATACTGATAGCAATGAGAAGATATCAGAGGGTTCAACAGGAAGCAATAAAGTTAGATGTGGCTTTGAAAAAAAACAAAAAAAAAAACCATTCTGCCTTCTGGGTTAAGAACAGACATACGGCAGAAAGAGAACAGGGTGGATGTGTATAGGCTAGACCCAGGAAATACAGGAAGTCACTTTAGATTAGGGTGGTGGAAGTAAAGAAGATTATAAATTTGAAATATTCAGGCAATGAGATAGATAGGTGATGGCAATTACTCTGTGAGAAAAGGCTGATGGGGAGAAGTGTCTATCAGGCAGAACTCATGTCTGTCTTGGAGTTGTATGGATGGCGGTGGCTGTTGACTGGGGGGAACACTGAAAATGGGCCAGGTTTGGGAGAGAAGAGAGATTATGAGTGTTTTGGATATGTCAAACTTGAGGTGTCCTTCTAAACAGAGAATATCAGGAAGCAATTAGATAGATAAATCAGGAGGTCAGACACAAGCCTAAGTTGGAGATATGTATTAGTGGCTTCTACCTGTGTGGAAGATGCAAACAAAACCAGAGGAGTAGAAGAGATTGCCAAGGGATAGCATAAAAAATAAGAAAAGGAGAAGGCCAGGGGACATGCTTTGAGAGCTCTAAGATTTAATGGCTGAGTAGAGAACTATTAGAGAGATAAAGAACTGCCAGACAGGTAGGAGGAAAACCAAACTGCATAGCTCCATAGAAGCCCTGGCAAGGCAGTATTTTAGAGAGTGACAATGGCCAGTGCCAAATACTGCTGAAAGGTGAAGTAAGATGACGAAAGTCAATATGCACTGGATCTACTGACATCGGAAAGAGCTCTTTCAGAATATGATGGAGGCTAAAGCCAGACTGAAACAAATGGATTGTGAGAAGGAAGTGATGAAATAAACTCATCTCATAAACTCTGACTCAATTGGGTAGGAGAGAAGAGGATAGCAGCTTACAGGAAATGGAAATAAGAGTCTGAAGGAAGGCTGTATTCCATTTCTACTTTTAATAGAAGAAAACAGAGTGTTCAAAAGCTAACAGAAAGAATCTCCCAGGAAGTGTTGGATATGAGGAGCAAGGGAGAAAGAGAGAGGGAGAGAATGAACAGTAAAAGGATGCTGAGGTGGGTGAAGAGAGTAAGTTCCAAGGACAAGTGGTGGGACCTGCCTAGGATGATGGACTGTAAAGTGTCTTTTAAATGTAACAGGAGGAGAGATGGGAAGGGTGGGAGTAGATGTTAGATAACTGGAACAGAGAGCCCTGTCTAATGGCTGTTCTCTCTATAAAGTGAAAGGTACGATCACTGGCTGAAAAGAGCAGAAAGGACTTGCAATGGTCAGGTGCAGAAAGGAGAATAGAGCAAAAAGAAAAAGCCCATGCTCAGGGCTATCCAAGGTGGGTGGATCAATAACTTACGGAGAACTCTGAAGATAACTTTGCCTGAACAAGCATATCGTCAGGTCATTCAGGTCCAGCTGGGCTTTTGCCAGACCATTCAACACAGAGTACTAGATTTTTGCTTTGAGGAGTAAACCTCATAGAAAACCTACATATAAATACATTTTCAACTGAAGAGTCTAAGACTAGAATAAGTACACTAAGATTTCAAATAAATTTTACTAAGATTTCAAATAAAGTTTACCAAATTTAATCTCCTAAGTATATGACTAAGTTCTATTCTTTAACTTTTATTTAGCTCAATTTTTCAATTCTTATGTCTTTCAAAATAATTTCAGGAATATTTACCCAAAGTGATTTCCTGTCATTATTTTTTATCTACATAATAAGCAAACATAAAAAATAAAAAGACCTAAGTGCAAATCTTACACGATATTTATAACTGAAGTTCTCTTTCTGTGAATGTGGGCCACATCTACTATAAAGAAATCTCAATATTGGAAATGATTTTTAAAATTTTAAAAGTGGAAAGTCATAATTTCAAGTTTTGGGTGACAAAGAACAATCAATATCAGATCATGCTAGTTATTTTTTCATACCGTATTAACAGCACTTCTTTTTTCTAGTAGTATTCGAAATAGATTAGCTGTAATCTTGTTATCCTGGATACCTTGCTCAAGGCCACGATTATCATCTTGCATGAGTCTTCGATCCATGATAACTTCAATCTGACCTAACACACAAACAAACAAACAAGCAAAACTGACCAGAATAATTTAATACTGACATTCATTGAGCATCACTTAAGTAGCAGTCATGATGTATTGCTCTAAATTTCCTCTCTAGTCAAGGAGGTGGATTTATACAACCCACTACACCATGGGCTTTCTCTTGATAGTAGCTCAAAGTAGCTACTACAAATTCATAAAACAGGATAGTATTTCTGTGTTTCTTTAGTAATGTTTCACAATATCTGATAAGAAATTTAAAAGTGAGACAGGACAGATCAAAATTTAAATGAAACTTTTTTTCCAAAACATTAACCTAAAGAGTAAATTAAGTTCTCCGAAACTTTTAGTAGCACCATTTGGAATCAAAAATGCTTATGAGGTTTATTAGGAAATGTACATCACATTTCCAGGAAGTGAGATAATGCTGCTTTGTTAACCACGGCTTGAGTCTTACTGTCTAGTCCTCTATTTAGGGCACAGCTTTGAGAATTTAAGGCAGTGTTTAAAAATGAGTGGCTCAAGAGTCATGTACGGCACAAAGATGTTTTATGTTTTCTCAACATAGTGTTTTTTAAAAAATTGTATCAATATTTTACAGATTGAACAACTTCACGTAAAATTCCAGACTTCTGGACTCTTCTTCAAAAAAAAATTGAATTTAGCAACACTGGGCCCCTAACCACACAGCAACAATGCTGCCCCACTGCACATCGGGAACATGCTCTTCAGTTTGCTCAAGTCTCTAACCCTCCCTACTGGATCCCTGATGTGGAACCATTACTACTTTCAAAATCGAATTCATGTCTTTATGGCATGAGTTTATATGATCTTATCTAATGAAGGCCACAAAGAAAAATGAGAAGTAGCAGTTTTTGTGTGTGTGTGTAAGATACAGAATGCATGTATACGCCTCATGTAAAAAGTGGGCTTGTGTCAAAGGACACACCAGGAATCTGCACTCAGTTATTATCTGGCTCCTTCAGATATGTATCTCTACCAACTCTTAGAATGTAAGAAGACCAATGATACCATGTATGATAACCAATTAAAAATATGTATTATAAAGGATCAAAGCCTCTCAATAGAAAGACTTGCAAAAATTAATCAGTGTCTATTGACTATTTTCTCTCACTTTCTGCGCATCACTTTCTCTCTTTTGGAATCCTCAAAGCCACACCTCTTTATCCCCATATCTCTATCATTTCTACTCCCTTCCTTCTTTCAGGTGGTAGCAGAATAGAAAGACCATGATTCAGAAAAGGACCTAAGTTTGAACCACAACTTCCCAACTTTGCAAACGTAGGCAACTTATCTAAACCTCTGAATCTGAGTTTCCACATCCGTTAAATCATAATGATGATGGAGACCTCTGCAAAATACATACTATTAGGAGAAGCAAATTATCTTTAAAAAGAAATCTTGACATGGAATTTTAGGTCTCCTGTTCTTCATCTGAAGATTTAGGAGATTCATCTTTTTATGTTGTTCTCACAAAACCCAAACTTAACTAATAGTCTGGTTGTTGAAAGAAAAAAGCTGAAAAGAAGACAGGGAGGTTTTAACTAGAGATTATACCACATCTGACCAACAGAAAAAGTATACAGTTGGAATTGAAACCTTTCAGAGTGGAAAAGAGTGTAAGCAATACATACCACTATTCAAACTCGAAACCCCTAATGACTGAGCAGAGAGCAGTGTCAAACGATGTTTGGCATCCTGGATATAGGCCATTGTGGTCATGGGATAGACATTTGCTTGAAGAGGCAATTTGCTCAGTGTCATTCTAGGTTGAATCTATAAAACACAACAATTCCATCTACAAAAAGTGATATTTACATATGTTCTTTTAAAAACTTGAGGACAGGTGATTTTTCTTCCCAAGAGAAAAAGACAAAGCTTCCTTTTTATTCAGTGGAAGAAATAATTTAAAAATTAAAACATTATTTAAAACAATATGAAGAAAAACCACAAGGATATTAGAAAACAACTTTTAGGTGGGAAAGGTAGAACTTGTCCAGATTTTTAAAATAGGCATTCCTATTTAAATTCAGAATAAAAATGCTTAAAAGTCTTCTAGCTCTCCAATATTTGCATAAAACAAATTATAAAGGTATTAAGTATTCATTTCTCATCTAAATCTAACAAACTGCTTTTGTAATGAATGCTAAGTATAATACCTCTCTATCCCCTTTCAAGAAATATCTCTTATTATTCTTGAATTGGTTTTAATAAATACCACAGGTCTCTGCACCAAATCTTCTAAGATATTATGTTAAAATCAAATGCATATTTATATTTAAAAACCATTCAGTGCTTACTCTTTTTGATTAGTTTCAATGTAGATAGTTCCAAATTCCAATTCCTTGCAGCCTAGTACCTGAATGTTTGAAATATGACTCTACTTTTTGAGAAAGACTGTCGGTAACCCCAAAGCCCATCTGGGTCACAGTGACTGACTCTAAGCTCAGAACCCTATTATCAGTGAATCTTAATGATACCACATAAAAATGTCATCTCCTCATTTAAACTCATGAAAGTTGGATATAAAAGTGAAGAAAAGAAGAGGTACAAAGTTACCGTAATAGTTAACATGTATTAAGTGCCCATTAACGAAAGGCATGGTCCGGAGTATTTCACAAATGTGATCTTTAATCTTCCCAGCAACCCTGCAATGTCTCCCTCAAATTACTGGTTGTACTAGGTTGAATAATGCCTCCCTCTCTCAAATTCCTGTCCACCCACAACCCATGAATGTGATCTTATTTTGAAATACAGCCTCTGCAGAAATAGATGAGGTCATTCTGGATTATGTTGGGACCTAACCTAATGACTGGCATCTTTACAAGAAGAGAGAAATTTGGACACAGACAGACAGATACAAGAGGCATAGGGAGAACGCTGTATGACAAAAGAGGTAGAGATGGGAGTGATGCATACACAAACCAAGGAATGCCAAGCATAGGCAACCACTAGAAGCTGGGAAAGGGCAAGGAAGGTTATTTCCCTATAGCTTTTGGAGGGAATATGGCCCTGCCAACACCCTGATGTTAGAAATCTAGTCTCCAGAACTGTGAAAGAATAAAGTTTTGTTGTTTTACGTGATTCCATTTGTATGGCAGCCTTGGGAAATTAATAAACTGATAAAGCTACAACTGTAAAATGTTTAAAGAAAAAAAAAAAAGTAAAGCTACCTTAAAAGAATTCTCTATTTCTCCTTTCCAAACCCAATTAACTTGTAAATGTAAACTTATTTTAAAAAATGTAAAACTACCACAATCGTGTTGTTGCTACCCCGATTCCCCACTGGTGGAGCTAGATACCTAGTTTTGCCCAAGTACTACTATATCCAAAGCTTAAAAAATGGTCAATTTTAAAAGCAGAAATATTACAGACTTAAAAGTAATATTTTCTTTTTTAGTCAAACGTTCCATCCTCAAAAAGAAAATTCACATTTTTAGTTATTCGGTTTTACTAAGTTTCTCATTCATGTCTACACCCAAAAATACAAATAACTGGTTTTGTATAATTTTAAGAAAATACTTTCTTTTGTACATAAAAAAATGAATCACCATGAAGTTGAGATTTTATCTGGAATCCAAATGGCTGTAGTCGAATTAACATGCTAATTCAGAATGTATGCTGCAATTTTTATGTTTTGGAAAAAGTTTAAATTTAACTTTTGCAGGAAATCATAGAAGAGAAAATTATTAAAATCTTTTTCACCCACCCCCAGTTGAAAATCAAAGTGTTTATTGTAAAATTATTTCTATTCACAGCCAGAAATTTCTAAAACACTTGTTTTAAAAACATGCTCATGGTTTTAATGGTATTTCAAAGATATGTTATCAAACACATACACTCAGAAAACAGAGATTTAGGTAACAATCAAAAGTGCTCTATTAAATTGGAGAATTGACAACCTGATAAGATTGTATAAATCAATTTCCTTACTACAATTTGAAACATTTCATGAAAATTTTGATTAAATATATACCTGCCCATTTCTGAATAGATATACCTATGTATATGTATACATGTGTGTCTGTGTATGTATAATGGTATACACACACACACATATAGAGGAAGAGTTTTCCTGAAATTTACAAGGGCCCATTATTAGATCATACATTAAACCAATATATAGGGAACAAACTTAATAGGTATGGATCAATTCCTTATGAGGACAACTAATATAGACTTTGTATCCCCACCCAAATCTCATCTTGAATTGTAATCCCCAGGTGTTGAGAGAGAGACCTGGTGGGCAGAGACTAGATCATGGGGGTGGTTCCCCCCATGGTGTTCTTTTGACAGTGAGGGAGATCTCACAAGATCTGATGGTTTTATAAATGGCAGTTCCCCTGGGCTTTTCTCTCTCTTGCCTGCAGCCATGTAAGACTTGTCTGCTTCCCCTTCCTCTACGATTGTAAGTTTCCTGAGGCTACCCCTCCAGTCATACAGAACTGTGAGTCAATTAAACCTCTTTCCTTTATAAATTACCCAGTCTTGGGTATTTCGCTATAGCAGTGTGAGAGTGGGCTAATACAAAAACAGACCGGGCACAGTGGCTCATGCCCACAATCCCAGCACTTTGAAAGGGCGAGGTGGGCAGATCACTTGAGTCCAAGAGTTCGAGACCAGCCTGGCCAACATGGTGAAACCGTGTCTCTGCTAAAAATACAAAAATTAGCTGGGTGTAGTGGTGTGCGCCTGTAGTGCCAGCTACTTGGGAGGCTGAGGCAGGAGAGTCGCTTGAACCTGGGAGTAAGAGGCTGCAGTGAGCTGAGATCATGCCACTGCACTCCAGCCTGGGCAACAGAGCGAGACTCTTTCTCAAAAAAAAAAAAAAAAACCCAATAAGTATAATCCATCAATCCCTAATTATGTTTCCTTTCTGGTAGATAAATTCATATATATATTTTTTAGCATCAAGATATTTAACATTCATAGTGGTCACCAAATTTACCCTTTGAACAAATAAATCCTTACAAAAAGATGTTCTAAAAAAATGGTCTCCCAAATATTTCTTCTAACTGTAGAACCCGAAATTTTCTGTCAAAATTCAGTTTTATTTTAGATATAATTTGCAACTTTAAGTATACTTTTTCAAAGGATCCAAAATTAACTGGGCCATTGTTATATATAAGAATTACACACCAATACAACCATTACTTAAACATTTTAAAGGAAAAATTACCTGGTACCCATTTAGGTCAGTATAAAATCTATTTTGGCTTTTTATATCAGAAGAAATTTTCATTGCAATCTCACGGTTATATACTTTTCGGATGTCCACAATATTGGAAACTTCCACAGACTGTCCTTCTATTCCTAAATTTAAAAAAATATATATGGATTAATAGAAAGAAATTACTTGCCTCACCTTTTTGAAATATACTATACAGAACTCTTTCCAAAGTTACATTTTCTTGTTTTCTACTTCTTGTCTTAACATCTCTCATATAATAAATGCTATGACAATTTAACTTTTCTTTTTAAAAACTATCAGAAGGTAGATAGCACTTATTCAGGGGAGCATATTATTCATCTAAAGAATGAAGCAGCTGGGATGAGAAAAATGTAGATGATGTATAACATGTAAATGATTCTCTGAGTTCTAGAGGAGAAACAGGACATGAAATGAAAAAAGGGCTGCCCAGCTACAGGCCAGTCCACTTCTCATCTGCACCACCATTCCCCAAAGAGCCATTCTAGCCCACTTTTTCACCATTCTCTCCTTATAGACCAGAAATTATGAGCCAGTAAAGTTTACATTCTGCTGGTTCAAGTGACAGTGTATTATTGCTAGGAAAAGAGACAGGAGATCTAATGAGATGGTTTATGGCTGAAAGTAATATTAACATATTAGTATTTGTGGACTATAATCTGGAAAGCTCTCCAGAAGTTAAATCAATTTTAGTTGAGTTTAGTTATCTCTTAGGACTCCTTGTTATGAAATGATCCATTTTGTCCTTTGTTATGTAAAACAGAGGACAGCTTTAAAAAGTCCCTAACATATCAAACATTCATTTGGATAAGCCTCAAGTGTTTACTAGTTTCTGTCATTCTACTTTAATTGTATCTTCAGGTCCTCAGTGAGGCCTTGGGTCAATTTCATAGATAGAGAAGAGGAAATCCAACACACTTAATACAGATCAAGGGTGTATGAGATAAAAAGGAATGAATTAATGGCATTTGCAGCGACCTCCATGAGACTGGAGACTATTATTCTAAGTGAAGTAACTCAGGAATGGAAAACCAAACACTGTATGTTCTCACTGATATGTGGGAGCTAAGCTATGAGGATGCAAAGGCATAAGAATGATAGAATGGACTTTGGGGACTTGGGAGGAAGGGTTGGAGGGGGGCGAGGGATAAAAGACTACAAATAGAGTGCAGTGTATACTGCTCAGGTGATGGGTGCACCAAAATTTCACAAATCACCTCTAAAGAACTTACTAATGTAACCAAATACCACCTGTACCCCAATAACCTATGGAAATTTTTTTTAAAAACGGTGCGAGAGAGATATTACAGGACCTTCTAAAGAGAGCAATTAGGAAAGTGGTCATAAGAAGAAAGAGTGACATCATTCTATTCAATAAAGCTGACGCTTTCTGAGGTTCAGAAAGGAAAAAAGGAAAAATGCATAAGGTAGGAAAGGAGTAAGGAAGACTTTTTCCTAGGACACAAGTAGAATCCCCAGAGCTTAGCAGAAGGTGACAGCAAAGAGTTAAAGAAAGGAAGTTTAACTCTGTGAGGTTTGTGGGAAAGAGTGTAAATGCAGGCCCCATGATTGTCGGGGCTGGCACCCGTGATCCTACTGAACACAAGGCTTCTCCTCAGGACTCCGGCGCACCACACAGGTTCCCAGTGTTCCCAGTATTTGGCTGGGGCAGGGCACGCCATAGCAGGCAGTTTCCCTTCCATCCCCCTTGGGCCATACTGGATCGGTCCTTCTGGAAACAATGACTGATAAAGCAGAGAAGGTTGCTGTAGAACCTGAAAATGTGTTTAAACGTCCCAGGGAATCTGAGACTCCTTCATCTCAGAAAAGGCAGAAGATGGCCCTGTTGTTAAGGAAACAAAGAGCAGGAGACAGCCTTATTGGAGGCTCTGCCATGTCCAAGGAAAAGAAGCTTATGGCAGGAGATGGTATTCCACCAAGCCAATTGGATTCTCGGTTTGATGACTTCAGTGGTTGCAGCAAAGATGGGCTGATGCAGAAACCTGGTAGAAATGCACCTGTAGGAGGAATCATTACCAGCAATTTCTCTGGAGATGACCTAAAAGTCACAGAAATACTCCCTTTTCCAAAATGTCAAGAAGAAATTAATGCTGATATAAAATGTCAATTAGTGAAGGAAATTCAACACTTTAGACGAAAATATGAAAAACTCTTCAAATTGCTTGAAGGACTGCAAGGACCTATAGAAGTCAAGAAATGATTTTTTGAATCCATCATCAAGGAAGCCACAAGATTTATGAGACGAGACTTAATTCAGCACCTTGAGAAGAAACTGGAACAAATGATTTCTGGCTACTTGTTCAAGAAGGATCATCTCACCGCAAATGCATAATCTTGTTAATGACTGAGGAGGAAAAAAGGATCAAATTGCTGTTTTCTAGAATGGAGCAGGATATTGCTGAAGCCTCCTAGCATGTGTTAGTGAATAAAATGGCCTTCCAGAGGCTAAGACATTTCTGTTAAAAAAAAAAAAAAAGAATGTAAATGCTGTTAGTGTAGGCACCATAGATTTATCTGAAAAGTACAATGGAAATTCTAAAATAAAAATAACAATCTAGTGATAAATTAACACTTAAATGGGCTGAAGCCTCTAGGATCAGAATTTTCAGAATGCTCACTGAATTTCTTTCCGGTATATACTGCTCTTCCAACTTGAATGGAGCTAACTTCAGTTTCTTCCTACATTCATAAAACTATTATGAGTACCATCTCCATGGGTGAGGAAATGCGGAATGTTATTTAAAAAAAAAAAAAAAAAAAAGAGAGAGACAGGGCCTCACTATGTTGTTCAGGCTGGCCTCGAACTCCTGGGCTCAAGCAATCTTCCCACTTCAGCCTCCTGAGTAGCTGGGACTACAGGCATGTGCCACTGCACCCAGCTAATGCCTTTTTTTTTTTTTAATGGCCATAGTCTGAACCACTAACCCCTGCCAGTTACCTACACATGTACATTTCCTGATGACAATTATTACAAGGACCTGCAAAGATAGATGACCCAAATATCTCCACCACTATTGGGAAGTTGAAAAAGAAATCACACATATAGCTGATGATAAATAACAGTATCTTCTCTGACCTACGAAATGCATCACTCTAAATGCAAACCCTCTTTTCAGTATGCTTACATTAACCAAAATAGTTTTGTAAAGCCAAAATGAAATGTATATGGAATTTTAATAACAAAAGATAAGCATCTACAAATGAACCAAAAACATCCAAAACACAAAATGTAGCACCAAGCATGATAGTATTCACGTAATACTAGGGAGCTTAGCTGATGACAAGAAGTAAACTCTAATTCACTAAAAGAATTCATTGGGTTTTTAGTACTATTTTATGTTTTCTTCTCTCTAGATTAGATATTGTCTCAAAGATCAACAGAATACATGAAATGAAATAAAGCCTTAACAAAAGAGAACATCATTAATTTTAATTCATGTATCTCCAGAAAGCATTTATAAAAGAACATGCTTCAAGGAAAAAATGATAATTTCACACTACCTCTAGCAATAATAAAGTATTTCTGTTGAGAAAATCATCTTTCTCAACCTCAGTATTATACTCAGACCCTGTTGTGGCAACAAACACTTAAAGCTCTTTAAAAGGAGCCTTTATGTCCATTCACAATTCAGCAAGATATCAATTTAAAGTTTGTATCAGGACAGACTTTTAAAATAAGATTAAACTTAATATGCTTATTATGAACAAGCCAAACAAAACCTGTAATGGTCATAAAAGCAAGGAGGTATCCCTGAGTTCTCAATGATAATTTATTATTTTTTTAAAGATCAGTATATGTGAAAGAGTGAAAGGATTGCCAATTGTTCCTATTCTGTGTCAGTAATTCCCTAAGTTTGTACCTTTCCCAAAGAGGCTCATGAAATGGAAGGGAGAACTTCCCAGGAAGCAGGAATGCAAACCAGCAGTATCCAGTGGTCTGTTTTACCTGTGCATCACATGGCAGCAAAAATGCTATTTTTTTTACTAAAGTGGCTCCACCTGGGCATGAATGGCCAGGGCTTTCTAAGTCCCTCTGGGGGACTTAGACTTCTCTTTAACACTTTACAAGATTAGTCACTAGGGAAAGAAAGGAGTGATGCCATTCCCAGGTTTTAACAAAGAGAAATATGTGCCCTCTTGCTGCTAATTCTCTCCCCCTTGGAAGAGAGAATGGAGTTTGTTTATCCTTATTTGCATAGGCAACGCAAGGTAGAACAGAGCCAGTTCACAGGTGAAAAGTGGTAATAAAAAGGCCAAAAAGAGTCCTTCAGAAGGTCCCACTACATCAGAGTGTTCTATAGATGCTGTAGATTCCAGTCTCACACCCGGAGCTAGGATTTTTTTTTTTTTTAATCTCCCTACAGAATGTTAGCTTCTCACAGATACAGACTGTCTTACACACCATCTTTGCATTCCAGTTCTTAACAACATTTGGGGTACATGGTAAGTACTGAATCACTGTTAGACAGAAATAGCTAAGATATGAAAGCCTGTCCTTTATCATGCAGAAGTTAGCTGACATGGGAGGAAAGTAAACTGGGCTATGGATAAAGTTTAAGTAGCTGGAAAGATGAGAGAATAAGAACTTTCATTTTACATATATGTTACATGCATGTTAGAATATAAGTTCCCTAAGGCTAGAGACCATGTCTTATTTATCTTCATGTTCCCAGCACGTAGACATGTACAATAAACGTATACTGAGTGAAGGGTGGTAAACGTATGCTGAGTGAAGGGTGGCAGCTATGTCGCAATGACAGGAGCCAAGAGTTATTGATGCTTACTATGTACCATATGTTTACTACAAGCTTTACATATAATGACTCCTTTCTTCCTGACCCTAAGCTGAGGAAGAAATCACTCGCCCAAGGACAAGACTGGCAGAACCAGGACTAAACTACTACATCATCATGTCTCACTGGCAGACCAACTATTGGAGAAGGCTCAAGTTACTCTGGGACCAAGGGCTGGGAGAGGCCTTGTAGTAAGCGAGTAGAGAGAAGACCTCCAGATTTTGTTTTTGTTTTTAAGGGCAGAGGGCACTGAACTGAAATCTGATATCCTGCAAGAGCTATTTGAGTGAAATAAAGCACAAGAGGCTTCCAGACCCCAAAAACTCTTTAAAACAACCCAAAACTCTCTTTTAAAATGGCACACTCACCTTAGAAGCCAAGAAAGTAATACATATTTAATATTAAAGACAGATACTCTATTGCACAGCAGTTCCTCCCCACTGTACCTAGCTGAGATGTACATAATGGTGAGCCCAGGAGGCACACACCAGCATGTTCACTGCATACTGGCACTAGGAACAAAAAAATGGGAAGACATACTAGATGCCCTTCAACAGGGAAATGAATAAATAAAATCACATACACCCATGTTATGGAATGCTGTGTCACAAATGAGAAGAATGAGGTAACTGTCTCTCTTGGCAGAGAAACATCAGAAGAAAAAAGCTAAATGTAGCATTTGTATAGCATGATAAACTATGCTGAAAATCGACACAAACACAATACTATACTTTTCTACAGTTGTAAGACCGTGTGGTGCACGTATGCTTGCACATATATCTGAATTCCTCTCCTGAAGAGTGGATGGAGACAGACACAGATGCCAGAGGAATTTTACTTTATATCTGTAATGTGTGAAGTCAGAAGAGTACACATATATATTATTTATACCTGTATTTGTAAAATAATATTAAGCATCTTTAGAATATTTTCTGAGACAGCAAGAAGAAATAAAACCAAGTAGGTCACCGTCAGGAGGCTGAGCCGTATCACAGCTTTGGGAGGACAGAACACTCAGGCTTACAGGGTTTTAGCACCACTCTCAAAATGATGTTGCTCTTCTCAGAGCCTTCCCCCACTGGGTGGATCAGGAGAGAGAGAACAGAAAACAAAAGGCATCACCCTTTTAACTGTTGCTTAGCACCAGTCTAAGGAAACCAAAAAGCGTGCTCCCTCGTGTGGGGAGAGAAAAACTGGAGGGCATGCCGGTGCGGTGGCTCATGCCTGTAATTCCAGTACTTTGGGAGGCCGAGGTGGGTGGATCATGTGAAGTCAGGATTTGAGACCAGCCTGCCCAACATAGCGAAACACTGTCTTTACTAAAAAAAAACCCCACAAAAATTAGCCAGGTGTGGTGGTGGGCACCTGTAATCCCAGCTACTTCAGAGGCTAAGGCAGGAGAATCACTTGAACCTAGGAGGCAGAGGTTGCAGCAAGCCAAGATCGCGCCACTGCACTCCAGCCTGGGGCAACAGAGTGGGACTCCATCGCAAAAATAATAATAACAATAATTATTATTATTGTTATTATTAAAAGAAAAACTGGAGGGCAAGCCCGACACACGCCATGCCTGAAATATGAGGTAAAAGAAACATCCATGAGGGTGTAAGGACTCCAAAAAATGCAAATGGAAACCCTGGAGTCATAGCTCTGAGCAACAACTAATGACGGCCTTTGGAAAATCCCAGGCTTTTACTTCCTCTGTACCACCAACTCTCTCAGATCCTTCAACAATTTATCTGAAGCCGCCTAATTCAACCCTGAATTGCAGAATCTCAGAGTTAGCTCAACCCTCTCCACCTCTCCAGATCATTTTATTCTAGCTATTTTGAAATGCAAAGTATACTTTTCCAAGGAATATACTCATAAACCATACACCACTCTCACCACACTCAACCAGTTATAGGAGTGAGAGGCAACAACTTGGGAAAAACGACAAAAAAGAACCTCACTCATATCCCAGCAAAGTCCAGTATCTTATCAGTGGCACCTAATGTGATTAGGACAACTCATTAGATCAAGAGGGACAATAGCAAATGGCCCACGGTCACCTAGGAAAAAGACAAGTGATGGCGAGAATCCTAAGCGGCATATTTAAGTCTGCAAATAAAAGTTTAACTGAAATTTAACATAGCTATCAAATCACATAAAATAAATCTCCAAAACACCCATCTAAGATTCAAAGAAATGTCTGAGTGTCTTAAAAATACTGGCTCTCAGGCAAAGGGAACCTTGTTATCTATCTAATTGTTGCTCTCATCTCCTTTCCTCCAATCTGTGTCTGAGCAGAGAGGATGACAGAATCATCATTTTGTTGCAGAAGTAGGATAATAATAGCTATCAGAAAAAACTAGGGCTTCTGATTTTGAATATTCCCTCTTCAATATGGGAAACATTTTGTTTTGTATTTTAATCATCAAAAATATAAAAATACCTTTGCTATTATGCACTTACTTTAGTGATGTTTTTGTAAACTTTATCCAACTTAGCTTAAAGCTCAAGCTTATGGTTATTAATTAACATATACTGCTTAATTCGATAAGTATGCTTATATGAAATTCTCACAACAATGACAAACTGAGTAAGTCAACATCTAAATGTTTCTAAAAAGAAAATATTATCGTGACCATATTTAAAAAAAAAACTGTACTTATATCTGAAAGTACCAAAATAAAAATGGTAATAATTCCCACTACTGGATGATCTTTTTTTCCATGTTGACTCACTCAATTTACCATTCATTATAAGATCTAATTTATCGTCTGAGTCACTGCCGATTTCTGGGTCTGTAAATGTTCATATTGATTATTTCTCCACAAGTGAAAATGTTAACATCTGCTTTCATGAATACAAATTTTAGTAAATTTCATTCCAAGTCACAAATTTAAGAAAATGATGATATACTGCTTTGTGCCATTCATAAAACACTACTAGATAAACAGCTACTATTACTTACCAATAACTTATGAGTTAGGCACTAGTGTACCTACTTTATGCCTTTCATTTCAATAATTCTCATGAAAATGTCAAAAACTAAATCTGTAATAGGAAAGGTATGGCATTTTGATCATATGAATTGCAAATGTTGGGTAAAGATTATACCAATAAACTATGATATACTTGAAGAAGACATAATAAATGAAAAACATAAAACAAAACTGAAAGGCTTTTTGGTTTTTTTTTTAAAGTACTAATGTTATGAAACAACAGAATTTTTTGGAAGCTCTGTTTTGGAGGGATCATAATACCGACATCAGTTTTAACCTCAAAATAGATAAAATAAATAAGGTCTAACTAAAACACTCCCCTACGAGGTGAATAAAATACCTCACAACACCGGAGTTTTTTGGTGCCTTCCCCGTGTCCCAGGCTTGGGCTGGTCTAGGACAGAGGAGAGAAGTTGGCTGAACTAATCATGATATTTGATCTGCACATCTGTGGCACTGGCAGTTACTCTGAACTTACCTACTTCCTGTTTTCCCAAACATGCTCCTTTCTAAGGCACCTTTAGGCAGGAAAAGATTCCTCATAATGACCTGCCTCCATGACAGATGTTTCTTTTCCACCACTCTATTTCTTCTCCCAACTTATAAAAAAAATAAAACAAGCAGCAGCATATCTCTCACCTTCTTTAGTGGGTACTGAACAAAAACAGTTCAACATATTGGTGTCTGACTGGACTTTAATGACTAAGCAACAAATATTTCTGCAAAACACATGGTTTCCAATTGCTTGCTTTCACCAAAATTGAAAGCATACCTAATCAGGTTGTCAGGCAGTAGATCTTTAAAAATAATTGATTAAAATTAATGTTTGACGATAGATCAGTCTGTGGCTTATGGCATCTAACTCAGGAGTTCAAAGTACTGAATGATATTCCTATAAGAAAACTCCTTCAATCCCTCTCCCCCTCCCCCTCCCCCTCCCCACAGTCTCCCTCTCCCTCTCCCTCTCTCTCCACCGTCTCCCTCTGATGCCGAGCAGAGGCCGGACTGTAGTGCTGCCATCTCGGCTCACTGCAACCTCCATGCCTGATTCTCCTGCTTCAGCCTGCCGAGTGCCTGGGATTGCAGGCGCACGCCTCCACGCCTGACTGGTTTTCGGATTTTTTTGGTGGAGACGGGGTTTTGCCGTGTTGGCCGGGCTGGTCTCCAGCTCCTAACCACGAGTGATCTGCTAGCCTCGGCCTCCTGAGGTGCCGGGATTGCAGATGGAGTCTCGCTCACTCAGTGCTCAATGTTGCCCAGGCTGGAGTGCAGTGGCGTGATCTCGGCTCGCTACAACCTCCACCTCCCAGCCGCCTGCCTTGGCCTCCCAAAGTGCCGAGATTGCAGCCTCTGCCCGGCCGCCACCCTGTCTGGGAAGCGAGGAGCGTCTCTGCCTGGCCGCCCATCGTCTGGGATGTGAGGAGCCCCTCTGCCCGGCCGCCCAGTCTGGGAAGTGAGGAGCGTCTCTTCCCAGCCGCCATCCCCTCTGGGAAGTGAGGAGCGTCTCTGCCCGGCCACCCATCGTCTGAGATATGGGGAGCGCCTCTGCCCCGCCACCCATCGTCTGAGATGTGGGGAGCGCCTCTGCCCTGCCGCCCCATCTGGGATGTGAGGAGCGCCTCTGCCCGGCCGTGACCCCATCTGGGAACTGAGGAGTGTCTGTGCCCGACCGCCACCCCGTCTGGGAGGTGAGGAGCGTCTCTGCCCTGCCGCCCCATCTGAGAAGTGAGGAGCCCCTCCGCCCGGCAGCCGCCCCGTCTGGGAAGTGAGGAGCCCCTCCGCCCGGCAGCCGCCCCCTCCAGGAGGTGGGGGACAGCCCCCACCCAGCCAGCCGCCCCGTCCGGGAGGGAGGTGGGGGGCAGCCCCGGCCCGGCCAGCCGCCCCATCCGGGAGGGAAGTGGGGGGGCCCCTCTGCCCGGCCGCCACCCTGTCTGGGAGGTGTACCTAGCAGCTCATTGAGAACGGGCCATGATGACGATGGCGGTTTTGTCGAGTGGAAGGGGGGGACGTGTGGGGAAAGGAAAGAGAAATCAGATTGTTGCTGTGTCTGTGTAGAAAGAAGTAGACATGGGAGACTCCATTTTGTGCTGTACTAAGAAAAATTCTTCTGCCTTGGGATGCTGTTAATCTATGGCCTTACCCCCAACCCCTTGCTCTCTGAAACATGTGCTGTGTCCACTCAGGGTTAAATGGATTAAGGGCGGTGCAGGATGTGGTTTGTTAAACAGATGCTTGAAGGCAGCATGCTCGTTAAGAGTCATCACCACTCCCTAATCTCAAGTACCCAGGGACACAAAAACTGCAGAAGGCAGCAGGGTCCTCTGCCTAGGAAAACCAGAGACCCTTGTTCACATGTTTATCTGCTGACCTTCCCTCCACTATTGTCCTATGACCCTGCCAAATCCCCCTCTCCGAGAAACACCCAAGAATGATCAATAAATACTAAAAAAAAAAAAAAAAAAAAAAAAAGAAAACTCCTTCCATTACCAGCTACTTATTTATGTGAACAACTTTCCTTTGCACTGATATTTATATAAATAAAAATTAAGAATAAAATCATATATCATTCTAGCAATGAGTGACATTCATCAATGGATACATTATCCATTAGGAATTAAAAAGGTACAACCCACTGAGAAAAATGTTTTCATTAAAATTTATAAAATAAAATTATTAAAATAGGAACATATTTATGTTTTTTGACCAACTGCATACAAATAATAATTTTTATATCTCAATCCAGAAGAAATAAAATACTTAGAGCCTTATAACAGACTTTTAAAACTGTATACATAAATACACACACACACACACACACACACACATGATTTTTGTTTTAGAGAAGTAATGAAAGACTGACCAATAACAAGGCTCTGAACCACAAAAATACTACATTAAGATAACATTCTGTGGAGAAATAGAATGTAATTATAAGGAGAAAATAATGATGTGAAGTTTCCGACAGTTAAAGAAAAAGCTAGTGCAGGCTTTTAAAAAACACATGATTTAGTACCACTGCCCATTGGATATGCTTATTTTTAAAAGTCACCATGTACAATACACCAAAATAACATCCTTTGCAATTATTTAAATGTATAAAGAAAAACTTCAAGTCAATTAAAAAATATATAAGGGACAAAGAGTTCTTCAAATCCTTATAGTGGGGTTCTAAACAACCTTATTTCACACATTGTGATATTCTTTTCCTCCTTTCTGCCTTTCATGTGACATTCTCTAAGACCTAGCCTCTCAGTGACTCACTTCCTTCATTAAATCCTCCCCAATTCCCCCAATCCTTAATGACCATGCTTTGTCTTATAATAGTAAACTATCTAACCCATCTGGCTCACTCACTCTTGTAAGTAGATACAACACTCACTATGGGTAAGGTTCCTTGTATATTTACTCGGTGAATACTCCAAACATCCTCTGAAGCTGATTTTACTACTGTCAACATTTCAGGATGATAAAACCAAAGCCAGGTTGGCAGTAACCTGTGCAAGGTCAAACAGCTGCTAAGTGGCAGACCTAGGATGGGCCTGGGAATAAAACACAAGAGAACTGGCTCTGGAGTCTCAACTCTGAGCCATTACATATCTCCTGTGTTTCCCCCATCCCTGTGCCCTTCACCTGAGTTCAGTGCAACCCACCTTTGTAGGGGATGATGCTTCTTTGCTAAGGAGTTATGGCTTCAACAATCAGCTGCTCTCAAACAGCCCCAAAGATAACCTCTGAGTTCTGAATCTGTGTAACCAGAATGTGCTTGCAGTCCCTTAAAATAACCTTCTCTTTCATGCCTGTAGGGAATGATCAGATTCGTCACATAGCTACTTATTTCAATTTTTAAAAGTTCCAATTAACAGGGAAAAAAATCCTTAGCAGTCAATTGCATATTATGATATTCCAAAAATGTTTTAATTACCTAAGCCTGCCTAGCTATAACTTACTTAATGCTTTTTACTTTTAAATCAAACTAAATATGGAATATAGCTATGGAAAAAAATGAGAGATTGATTGCAAACCATCTTAATGTCTTCATGAATCTTTTTATGAAAATAAAAAGAACTTCAGTGAAGCTCTGAGACCTTGTTTACAAGTGGGGCAGACTCCAGGGATGGAAGCCCCAGATTCAGGCATTCTTAGAAGATGAATTTAATCACTTCTTGGCCTTTTGGCTAAGACCAAGTGTAGAAGATGAATTTAGAAGCAGGGAGTCAGGCACAAGAGATTTTATGTGAAACTAAGTTGTATGAAGACTCTTTGACAGTTATACCTAATTGAACATCTACCTTTTTTATAGATTAAGAAACTGAGTCCCTAAGAAATTAAAGGACAAACCCATACTCCTCTAGTTTGCTTAGAGGCAAAACTAAGGATTTGGATCTCCAAATCCCAATGTGATTCCCTTATAAGAGGGGTCTTCAAAAGTTTCATGGAAAATGCATATCATGAAAAAACTATGCATGGATTTCATCAAAATAAACTCATACTTACTTATTGTAACATGTCTGAACAGGATCTAGTTTGAGCACTAAGAAGGGTGAGACTTGGATTTGATAAGAGCCCCTATCAGAGCAATATAAATTATGCTAAAATTTAAACAAGAACAAACATCAAATTTATGGTGAAGCTTAGGTGGAAGTATGGTGAAATCACTGATGCTTTATGAAAAGTTTATGGAGACAATGGTCCAAGAAAATCAGCACTTTACAAAACAGATAAATTGTTTTAAGAAGGGATGGGACAATGTAGAAGACGAAGACTACACCAATTTTCAAGAAAAAAATTAAGTTTGCTCCTGCTCTAACTGAAGAGAACTAACAATTAGCAGCTTATACAATTCTGACTGAAAAATTAAAGTTGAGGAAACTTTCCACTCAATGGGTGCCAAAACCATTGCGTCCAGATCAGCTGCAGACAAGAGCAGGGCTTTCAATGGAAATTTTAAATAAGTGGGATCAAGATCCTGAAACATTTCTTTGAAGAATTGTAACAGGAGATGGAATACAGCTTTACCAGTATGATTCTGAAGACAAAGTACAATCAAAACAATGGCTACCAAGAGGTGGAAATGGTCCAATCAAAGCAAAAGAAGACTGGCCAAGAGTAAAAGTCATGGCAACAGCTTTTTGGGATGCTCAAGGCATTTGGTGTGTTGACTTTCTGGAGGCCCAAAGAACAGTAATATCTGCTTGTTATGAGAATGTTTTGAGAACATTAGCCAAAGCCTTAGCAGAAAAACACCCAGGAAAGTTTCATCAGAGTTCTTCTCCACCATAATGCTCCTGCTCATTCCTCTCATTAAACAAGGGCAATTTTGTGACAGTTTGAATGGAAAATCATTAGGCAGTCACTTACAGTGCTAATTTGGCTCCTCCTGACTTCTTTTTGTTTCCTAATCTTAAAAAAATATTTAATGGGCACTCATTTTACTTAATAATATAAGTAGACTGAAATGACATGGTTAAATTTCCAGGACCCTCTGTTCCTTAGGGATGGACTGAGTAGCTGGATTCATTGCTTACAAAAGCGTCATGAACTTGATGAAGCTTATGTTGAGAAATAGTTTATATTTTTAATTTTTATCTTTTAATTCCATTTGTCCACAAACTTTTTGAAGTCCCCTAATATGTTTAACTAGATGAAGCTCATTTTGATTCTCTAAAAGCCAAGAGTCAGGTTATAAATCCACTTATGTTTATATATTCAAAATTGCTCAGAGAAAAACTAAGCAACTCTGTTCGATTGCTAAATATGCAAGAAAATCAGTCATTTCAGTCAAAGGAAAGTCTTTCCTTCCATACTTTTTGATGTCAGTTCATTACATTTTACCTCCAGGCTGCTTGTTTTCTTTGAGTAAGATCCATTACATATAATACTTTATAATATGTTGGTGGAAAACAGGGCAGAAGTATTGCATTTAAGATGTTTCCCCTAAGGGTTAAAACATGGTTTACACACACATACATACTAACTCGCTAACAAACACCTGCCTAGGAGAACACAGTCCTTGCGCCAATGAAATGTACACGACATACTCGTTACCCACAGTGACCTAATTCTTCAAAGTAGCTGTTGATATCAGAAACTAGGACACTAAAGTCCAATAATTACAGCTCTGAAGACAAATAAGGCCACAGTTAACAATGTCACTTATTGGTATTATATTATTGCAAGGTATGTACTTTCCTTGTAGGTGCAGTATTAAATAAAACACAAGAGGATACAGGAGCTTCTGTTTGTATTATATTCTATCTTCTAATTACAGATTAACCAAAAAAGCTAAAGTAGCAGCCTATATGGTAATGTTTAAAGCTTCAATTAAATGAAAGATGATTATACTGCAAGAAAAATTAATTCCCACCTCCCTCAACTTTTCCCCCAGAAGAGTGTTATTTTCTACAAATGAAATAAATTGCATTTCATTAAATTATGGGTGCTATAAAATGGATTTATTAAACCTGACATGGGCAAAACAATATATTTCATTAGAAATTTTTTTTCTTTTTTTCTTTTTTTTTTTTTTGAGACAGAGTCTCGCTCTGTTGCCCAGGTTGGAGTACAGTGGCGCTATTTCGGCTCATTGCAACCTCCGCCTCCTGCGTTGAAGCGATTCTCCTGCCTCAGTCTCCCGAATAGCTGGGATTACAGGCACGTGCCACCAAACCCAGCTAACTTTTTGTATTTTTAGTAGAGACGGGGTTTCTTTCACCTTGTTAGCCAGGATGGTCTTGATCTCCTGACCTTGTGATCCGCCTGCCTTGGCCTCCCAAAGTGCTGGAATTACAGGTGTGAGCCACCGTGCCACGCCTTCATTAGAAATTCTGAACTGCTCTGATCTTGTAGAGCTTTTAAGGCTAGTGAGCACAAGATTTCTTCTAATTTAGTATTTTTAGAAACCTTTTGAATGCGATGTCTGAACGATAATGAAAAGGAAAACAGAGTGTTCTTTTATTAGTTTAAAAGATGTTAAGAAAGAGAGAGCCCTTCAACTGCACTTCTGATCATTTTCAGAATCTGGAGAGAATGCAGATAGAGAAACAAAAGTTAAATACCAAACCAAAAACAAAAGTAGGTTGAACTATACGGCCTCTCAACTCTGTTTCAAAATCATTAAGGACCAAAAAGTTTATATAATTTTGGAAATGTTGCTTGTCGTTCTTGATTTTGTTTTCTCCTGAAGCTTAATTTGGGCAATAGTTACTTTGGGGAGAAAAGGGTCAAAGAACAACTAAAGTAGAGACTGAGAAATGTAAGAATATTTTGTCAGGTATGCGTTAGTTTAGTTTTTAAATTGGATTTGTAAGGTTTAACAAAAATAGACACCCAACAAAGACAATCTTTAATACTAACTCATTTTCTGTTTCTTTATTCCTTGTTGCTGAGATTACAAAATCTTTTGTATAATTAACTGGTTTAGTAACCTAATACAATTACAGTATGTAATCATAAAACATTAATAGTCTCTCTCCCCAAACCCTCATTTCTTCCTGGATTGAAAATCTGGTACTAACAACAAATAGGCTCTATTCATTAATACTCATGCAAATAACTGCATCTGGTTGGTTTAAGGGGGACAAAAGTAGCATATATCCAAAACTAGTTTAGTAAATTAAATTCAAGAATAAATATTTTTTGTTATTTTATGCAATACTAGCTAAAAGCCAATCTACAACAGCATGGAAGTTGGCTGACGTTTCCTTTGCATCTAAAATGAAAAGCCACATTTTGTCTATGCATTTTGATCAATCATCCAGGTGTCTGATTTACAGGAGGCCAAAGTTTAGAATGTTAAACAACTTTCCAGTATTTCTTAATAAGGAAGACTTGGCACTAAATAACAGATCCCTGAAGACTGATCACCCTTTCAGGCAGCGTGAACGCTGATAGAGCCAAATACCCTGAAGACTTCGTATATCTATCATGGGCCTTGATTAGTGATTTCATTAAAACCACAATCAGCCAGGATTGAGACAACCCGAGTGTTCAGGCAATGGTATGTGAAAAACAGGAGAGACAGGTGAGTCATGAAGATTACTAAGGAAAGACTCTCTCCACAACCGGGCTTATCTTTTCCCAGAGGGAGATTTGTTAAGAGGAGCTCAAATACAAACACGGGAAGGTATATAGTTTGGAAGAAAGCATTTCAGGTGATTCTGGTATCTCTATTTCCTACCAACTGCTTTCATGTTGAAAAAAAAAATGATCCGGACTAGAATGAAAAAAGATTTACAGGTTACGTCCAGTTTATATATGACGGCTTCTCATTTAATCCAGGCAACTACTGTAAAACTCATCAGTGAGGCGCTCTAAGTTTGCATTACACTTATTTATCCATCATTTATTATTTTTTTCATATGCCCGAGAACACCAAGGAAGAGAAGACAAATAATCTAGAAAGGAAACACATGAAAAAAGAAAATCAAGCCAGGTGCAGTGGCTCATGCCTATAATACCAGCACTTTGGGAAGACAAGGCGGGTGGATTACCTGAGGTCAAGAGTTCGAGACCAGCCTGACCAACATGGCGAAACCCCATCCCTACTAAAAATAGAAAAATTAGCCAGGCGTGGTGGTGTACACCTGTAGTCCCAGCTACCTAGGAAGCTGAGGCAGGAGAATCCTTGAACCAGTGGGGCAGAGGCTGCAGTGAGCCGAGATCGCTCCACTGCACTCCAGCCTGGGCGATAGAGCGAGACTCTGTCAAAAAAAAAAAAAAAAAAAAAAAAAAGGAAGGAAAGAAAGAAAGAAAACTAAAGAATAAAAAAGAGAAAAGAGGCAGAGGCAAGACCAGCAAATAGAAATGGGCTACATTGAGAGCCCCTTTGGAAGGCCAGGAGCCAGTCAAACCTCAGTGGCCCGGGCTCCTGCTTAACACTATTAGCCACTGGACAGTTCACTGCCCAGAGGGAAACAGGAAGAGAGGGGGAAAGGAAAAATGACAAGCATTTAGTTCTGATGAGTGTAGTTTGCTCAAATAAGTAAATAGGCAAGTCAGAGCCTATTAATTTCCAAGTCAAGCACTAAGCTACAGCCACTAGCAGCAGAACAGGGCCATCTAGTCTACACAAACTGCCCTATGATGTGAGAACTAGAGGTCCTGGATAATCCAAGGAAAACCCAGAAGATACAGTGACATAATTAAATAAAAGCAAAAGCAATTATGCAAATATACCTGATTGAGAAGTTGGAATTTTAGGAAGAGTTGCTACAGCATTTCCTCTGAGACATAGCCCATCTCTAAATATAACTGATGAAAAACAATGGTAAATCAAACCTGATGACACAAGTTTGTGCCAAAGTGTGTGCCATGTTGTACTCCAGGAAAAACTTTTCCACTAAAAAACAATAGTTTAAAGCAAACTTAAAAATAGATCAGCATATCTTCTGTGGGGTAATGCTATAAAGTTGAAGATGTAACTTAGAGCTCTCAGGGGTATTAAATAATGGCTTACACAAGAGTACAAACAGATGATCAAAAACAGTTTCTGACTTACCAGAAGTTTTGAGAAACTCAATAGAAGATTATTTCAGAACTACAGGTTTTCCTGTAGGTAGCAAAGTGATCACAGATAACTTCAGAAGTCACATTTAGGACACAAAATTAGTGTCTAGCATTATTTTTCCCACCTGCCAGAGAACTTTTACTTCTTGATTCATCCTATGAATCATGGGTTATTCTGAAAAACCTATCATATTATTACCTAAAGAAGTTGCATGAGAAAGTTTGTCCATACCTGAAATTCTAACAAAAAGCAAATACTAATGAAATTTGAAGTTAATAAAAAAGTTAAATAAAAGCAAAATTAAATTTAACTATGAAATCAGAAAATTGAACTTCTGTGATTTAAGAGATTCCCTGAACATAGTATCCCTTTGCTTTCCCACAATACCTAAAAAGGAAACCGTGCCTACCTATACATTTATCTTTAGTTTGTGAAATCCTTTATTTTTTACCTGTATGAAGATTCAGGGAAATAGTATTTTTTCTTTTCTAATTTGTTCAACTTAGCTAACAGCAAAGATAAATTTAAATGGCATTTTTATGAGGTCTTTTTCTAAGAGTGTTGATAATATGGTAAATACCCTGGTTATTAGGATTAAATCTGTAGTTGGAAAAGCACACCATTCTACAAACAATGAATTCTAAATCAACCAACCTAAATGTGCAAGTCTTTGGAAACCACAGCTCCACTCAGACCCCATGGAATCAGTTCCATTGCCCAGGGTTAAGTTCTCAAAAGGATCAAAAGCCTATTTCCTATCACTTGGGTTCATAAAGATGCTGCTCAATACTGTTCTAAAAATGATAAACAATTGCTAGGTTTTATACTCTACTGGGTAAAGAGCTGTAAACAAATAGAACCAGCTTAGAACATTTTTCTCTTAAAGTTACATTCCAGTGATACAGGCTATATTTAAGGAAGCAGGCCCCATATATGTGTGTGGTCTATTAACTGAAAGTCGTATTTAATATAATTTCCATTTCATAAAATCAAAACACTGTATTGTTTTCAGGTGTTAAAAATAAAGTTACCAGTTAATGAGCTCAAGACCAATATGGCAACAATTAAGAGAAGATATACAGAGGAACATGTATATGTAGGGATTGAAACGTTTTACCATTTTTTATTATCAAAGGGTAAGTTTCATATTTTAAATCATATTAAAAATGTCAAGTTTAGAAAAACATCATCTACAAAAACCAACTGTTAATTTAAGAATGGCATAAGAAAAGCAAGAATTCAAAAACCATAATACATATGTTTCATAACTGCATTCCTATTTTCTTACCCTGTATGTGGTATAGTCGGACTCTATGAGTAACATGGTCAAAAAAGCAAGTCACTTCCGAATAAATCCTTCCATGTGTCACTCTGACAAAGGGCGGTGTTGTGTAAACATAAGGCTGAAAAGAAAATAATATATTTAAGAAAAATATTTTGGCTTCCAAACTTTTAAAAGAATATGTTTATTATGGTTTCAAAAATAGAAAATACGTATCACCTGATATTTGCAATTTTAAGTGTAAACCAGATCTTACAAGGTAACAAAATATGCATGTGATAAAAACTGAACGTGTTTTTTATTTTTAAAAATGCTGAAAATAGGAAATAAAAATGTTTACAACTTCACTGGTCTAGAAAGCATTCCTCCCAGCTATACAAATTTCTAACTAAAATCCTTCTATTTGTCCATATAGTTACTTATTAGAAACAGCAATCATTCTACAGAAGTTACATTTTCCCAGGTAAATAATTATTATAACCATGGTCCCAGCCCCCTAATGTTCAGGGTTTGGGACAGGTGGCAAGGATGACTACAGGGAGTCATCTAAGCAAACTGAAAGCAGGATTCAGAAACATAGTTTAATCATAGCTCGGTTTACTAAACTATAAAACATTCTGTCCTTTTACTTGAAAGAACTAGCTGAATATAAATTCACAAACTTGAAAAAACTACTTGGAAACCACTAGTTTAGTTTTTATTTAAATTTTAAAAAATGGTAATAAAGCACATAACTTATGTGACATGGAAGCAAATTTAAAACATTTATGAGTAATTATATTTTTAAAGTATTAGATACCTTAGCTCAACAATAGCATAGAAAGTTAGGCTTGCAATATGAACTACTTAAACAGTGTAAGATTTTCGGCCAGGCGCCGTGGCTCACGCCTTGTAACCCTAGCACTTTGGGAGGCCGAGGTGGGCGGATCACAAGGTCAGGAGATCGAGACCATCCTGGCTAACATGGTGAAACCCCGTCTCTACTAAAAAGACAAAAAATTAGCCAGACTTGGTGGCGGGTGCCTGTAGTCCCAGCTACTCGGGAGGCTGAGGCAGGAAAATGGCGTGAACCCAGGAGGCGGAGCTTGCAGTGAGCTGAGATCGCGCCACTGCATTCCAGCCTGGGTGAAAGTGCAAGACTCCGTCTCCAAAAAAAAAAAATTTTTTTTTCAGAATTGTGTAATTTTCTTCCAAATTTACCTCTTTGGCTAGGGAAAATTTTCTGGAGTTATTAAAATGCTTAATGGTTTACAAATTTCTTGTACCTAATTACCAAATAGCTAGAAAGTGAGGGAGGGGATGAGAACCTGGGATGATGAGTTCTGGGCTCTTGCCTTTTTCTGATGCACTAGACTGCCTCTTTCCCTGATGTTTTTTATTTTCTCTCTGTAAAAATGACAATTGTTTTATCTTTCTATCTGACATTAGAGCTATTTAAAGATAAAATGGTTTTAAATAAATTAGTTATTGGTATCTACGCATGAAATTCTATAGCACAACTACTTTTTTAAGTATAAATACAGTCAATCAAAATAAAATGTCCAATGACAAAAGCTGGTGAATGAGAAAACACTGAAACAGCTCATATTTGGGACTCACTGCCCATCCTGGAATGCCTCATATGAGTTGTAGTTTGTCTTTAATTCTTCACTGACTTAAAAAAAAAAAAAAAGAAAAACCCCAAACAGCCAAAAAAAAAACCAAAAACAAAAACAAACAAAAAACCTAGAGTCCTTACTGTAGCCTACACAATCCCTTAAAATCCAGTATTGGATTTTAGTTAGCAGGTTTCATAACTTGTGGAACAAAAGTAACTTTTTCAGGAGATAGGTCCCTAGCTAACAAGACAATAATTAGGATAACATTTCACTGATCTTGAGGTATAGAAAACCTATAAAGGTATAAAAGCAAAGGAAGAAACTCTACAGAAAAAAAAGAAATGACTACACAAAAATTTAAAACCACTATAAATGAGAAATACAATAAAATAATTAACAAACTAAATGACACAATAAGAAAAATTTTACAACATATAGGGAAAAGGATTAATTTTACCACATATAGAGTGCTCAGAGATCATCAGGACACACCAACAGAAAAACAGTCAAAGAATAGAAATAGGAAAATCACAAAAGAAATATGAAAGATAAATGAAGGTACAAAAACGTTCAACCTTACTAGTAACCACAAAAATCTTAACAGAAAAATATTTTTCTACTAACTTACTATTATAGGCAAAGCTTGTAATATGGCCAATTCTCAGTGCTTGGAGTGGGATTTTAGAGTTAATCTCAAAAAATGCTGGTGGGATTGAACATTTACCTAGTCTTTCTAGAGGGAAGATAAGCAGTACACAGCAAAAGTCCTTAAAAGACTTCAGACACTGATACAAAATGACTCTTCTAGAAAGTTATTCTCAGCAATTAATCAGAATTGCATTGTAGCATTCTTTTTGAATGCTACAAAGAAAGCTTATTACAATGTTATGGTAGTGAAGAATCGGGAGAAAAAGAATATAAGCAACATCTTAAACACAACAGTATATATTAAAATTGGATTTTTAAAAAACATACCATCAGATTGTGAGCACTGTCACAAATGAAAAACAAAATATGTACATGCAATAAGTCAAGACTTGAGAACGGGGAGAAAAGGATATGCATAAAATAAAAGACAATAAGAAATACATCCAAATGTTGGCAATGGTTTTCATGGGATTGTGCACCTGTTGGTAAATTTTAATGTTTTCTTTAGTTTCTGGCATTTTCAAAATGTGCCAGAGTTTGCGTATTACTACCTTTATAGTCAAGAGTGAGAAAGATTTGTTTTTTAAAGGGCTGAAAGTTAAGGAGAAAAATGGTCCAGTGGAAAATCTATTTTTCCCATACGGCTAGAGGTTTTGTGTCTGTATAAAATGCATACATATAAAGCTCCCTAACTCTACGTAAAATCTAGTTTCTTCCCATGTTCATTGTTTATCCTAACTGAACATTGTTCATTGTAGCATCTTAACAAATTCCAACTCTAAAAAACTATTTATCTAACGGGGTCTTGCTCCGTCAACCCAGGCTGGAGTGCAGTGGCGTGATCTTGGCTCACTGCAACTGCCTTCCGGGCTCAAGCCATCCTCCCACCTCAGCCTTCCTGAGTAACTGGGACTGTAGGTGCAGGCCACCATGCCTAATTTTTGTATTTTTTGTAGAAAAGGGGTTTTGCCATGTTGCCCAGGCTGGTCTTGAACTCCTGAGCTCAAGCAATCTACCCTCCTTGGCCTCCCAAAATGCTGGGATTACAGGTGTGAGCCACTGCGCCCAACCATTTATCTAACTTTCGACTACAAATTGCTAAGTATCAATAAGGTGATAGATAATACTGCAACCAAAAGTTCATCTATCCCTAATAAATCAACAGATGATAAAATAATGACACTCACTTATCTTTTTCCTCAATACTCTTTCAATAAGTGTTTATTCCATTTGTCATCTCATCAGTACCACTTACCTTGGCATTACCATCAGGTAAGAAGAGGTAGGCACCACTTTTGTCTCTTTTAATTGTGGTTCCATACCATGAAAATTGCACATTTACTTCATGGTGTTTACCATCTTCTTTAGTCATCATTTGCTAAAGATTAAAAAAAATAATAATAAGCAACTCACCACTAAGATGTTAAGCATGTTGCATCTGGTTCTATGTATATGACAATTTAAAAAAATAATTTCTGTACTTATCTGGTGGACCAGTGACACACAGACCACGGAGTAGCGCCACCCACAGACTATACATGTGAGCAGCAAGTGGTCAATGAAGGTGCAAAAAGCTCATGCTTCCTTTTACTCAAGAGTATTTGATACAGCTCTACTTAAGACTTTTTTCCCCTTTTGCCTAATTAATCTACACACATTGTAGCAAAAATGATAAGCATTCTATGAATTTTAGAACTATTCAGAACATACCTTCATAAGTCCAGTTTGATCAAACCGAAGTAAAACAAAGGAGTTCTCTAGTGTTATACCTTCTTCAGTATTTATCATATTCTTTATGGTGAAAATTCCGCTATCTTCTACTTTATTCTTATACAAGACATAATCAGCTAAATGTGAATTTGAACTTGCTGATTCCAAAATCTTATACACTTTCAGTCCCAATGGCGGTATATGTGCTCGAAAAGAGATCTTTAAAAGATAGGGAAGGGAATTTATTAAAGATAAATGTTATCTACTGAGAGGCAAACCATTTATATTTTTGGTAAAACCAACAAACTATCATATTTTTTAAAAAGAGAATCCAGTTGGCCCTCCATATCCACAGGTTCCATGTCCACAGTTTCAACCAATTACAGATAAAAAATGTTTGAAAAAAAAACAAAAAACAAAAAATACAAATAAAAACTATAGTATAATAACTATTTACATAGCATTTACATTGTATCAGATGTTACAAGTAATTTAGAGATGATTTAAAATACACAAGAGGATGTGTGCAGGTTATATGCAAATGCAGATGCTCCTCAACTCATGATTGGGTTATGTCCAATTAGAATTTGAAAATATCGTAAGTCAAAAAGGTGTTTAATACACCTAACCTATCCAAAATCATAGCTTAGCCTAGTCTACCTTTCATGTACTCAGAACACTTAAATTAGCCCACAGTTGGGCAGAATCACCTAACACAAATCATATTTTATACTAAATATAAATAGCTTATGTAATTTATTATATACTATACTGAAAGCGAAAAATAGAATAGTTGTATGGGTACTTGAAGTACGGTTGCTACTGAATGCACATTACTTTCACGCTATTATAAAATTGAAAAATCTAGGTTGAGCCATTGTAAGTCAGGGATCATCTGTACTATGCCATTTTATATAAAGGACTTGAGCATCCATAGATTTTGTTATCCCCAGAGGGTCCTGGGACCAGTCCTCTACAGATACCAAGGCATGGCTGTGTAACAATATTCTATAAATGTTTGATATCTTATGGGTAAACCATACATGTCTCAGTTTATCCAGAGAACCTAATAACCTAAAGTTGGTAGGCCTATCAAAAGCACTAATGTTTTTATCCAATATGTGAACCTGTATGATCATTCTCAATTGTTTGGCTGTACTCTAGAATGCCTAGAGAAGGAAATTTTCCATGAATGTAAGGGCTTTACAACAATGCCATTTCCTAATTATTAATTTTTTTTGCAATATTATGATATTTCGGTTAATAAAAATGATAAACATAATATAAATATTAAACAAGTTAGCATTAGCCATCAAATGCTTGAGGTTCAGCAGACACTGAACAGAGCATGGGGGATGCACACAGTTTAAGACATGACCCCTGCTTTCCAGGAGCTGTTGCTGTTCCATTTTCTAGATGGAAAGCTTCCTGTAAAATCTGACCAAAATTTTTATTATAGTTTACCTTTCTATCTAAAAGATGATGCATATTTAAGAGTAGCTAGAAGGTGGATCACGGGGTCAGGAGTTTGAGACCAGCCCAACCAACATGGTGAAACCCCCTCTCTACTAAAAATACAAAATTAGCCAGGCGTGGTGGCACATGCCTGTAATCCCAGTTACAGGAGGCTGAGGCAGGAGAATCACTTGAACCCGGGAGACAGAGGTTGCGGTGCGCCGAGATCGCGCCATTGCACTCCAGCCTGGGCAACAAGAGCGAAATTCTGTCTCAAAAATAATAATAATAATAATAAAAGTAGCTAGCAATAGCTTCTGTCAAGCAGAAACAATTCTTAGAGTTCCTAGTTTATGGCTGTATCTCCAGAAATGCCGTTTAAATGACATTCCAGATTTTAAAAGTCTAACCTTTCTAGTGGTACAGTGATCAGTTTAATATTGCTTATTTTAAGAAACTTTGGCACAAAAAATACCTATTAACTTGAGCACAGATTTTCCACAATTATATCTCACAAAAGAAGCATCTTAATTATTTTAGGGCATTTCTCTTCCATGGTGTGTTATGTCACCTTTGCAATGAAAACCTAAAACTATCCAAAGTTACTAAGGGTGGTATTTATCTCACTTTCGATATGCATAATTATCATTAAATTCACTTAGAGCAAAACATTCAAAATTTTATGAGTAATAATTACTGCATTACCTTAGAATAAACAGTATGCATCCTTACAAAGATATACAATATACATATGAACAACATATAATAAGATACAATATATATACTAACAAAGAAATTAACATTTTAGGGAACACAGGATCATTTTTCCTTTAGTGTCATTTGACCCACCAGTTAAACTCTCTGGTATTTACAACTTTCATCACCTCACATACACCAACATGATGGCTAAATGGGGGCTACTGTACATACACAAATTATATACTGGCTAGGTTTGTTTTACAATGCCTCCTTAAGTTCTATGGCTACAACATACCTCATAGGCTGTTTCTGAAATAGTATTTGCTGTATCCCAAACTGCGCTGACTTGAACTTCCACAGGTTTTCCTGAAGCAGAGAACACTTGCACTGTCGGGGAACTCACATAGACTGAGACCAACGAGATTCGGTCTTGTTCTAAAGGATTATAGACCACAAGGTACCTGCAAAAACAGCTGCTTCATTATTGGGATCTCAAAATATTTTTACTTCTTACATATACATATACATGTAGATATACATATACATATACATATACATATATATTTTTGAGATAGCGTCTCACTCTGTCACCCAGGCTGGAGTGCAGTGGGGAGATTATAGCTCACTGCAGTCTCAACCTCCTGGGCTCAAGCAATCCTCCCACCTCAGTCTCCTGAGTAGCTGGGAGTAGCAGGTGTAGTGCATGCTACTACATCTGGCTAATTTTTTCCAAACCCTTCATAATACTTCAGTTCATGGACAGTCATAGAGTCAACTCATGGAGAAGAATTAACAGGAATATTCTGTGAGAACTTTCAGAGAACAGGCAATTTCATCACAACAAATATCACACAGTACAAAGGGTAATTAAATAATGATTCAGAAGCCCTTTCTAAAGAATTAATGCTTTACAAATGGAAGATATTCATAGATGTGTAATAAAGCTTTTCTGTACCCCAGAAAAAGACTTATATAAATACGGTTTTATTCATCTGTTTAAAAGAATGAGCTCCATACAACTAATACCCTGATTCCTACCTAATCTCACAGAATAAAAAAAATTCACAATTTGTTTGCAATTTCATCACAATGAGTTCCAGTTAAAAATCTAATATTCATTTTAGACCACTAAGAATGTATGGCTATATATGGAAAATCACATAATTCACACATATATTTTATATACAATGGGACTTTATTATTAAAGAAAGTTGATTCTAAAAAAGGTCACTTGAAGTGAATCCACTTGTAACAGGGCCCCAAATGTTTATAGTAAGTAATGGTGAAAAAAAAAATTGATTGGGATTAGGTAGAAAAAGGAAAATGCAAACTATTAAAATAAGTTTAGGCAATATTTGCAACTACGTGCAACTTTTGGTATGAACAAAAACATAAATGAACTGAAATTTGGGACACAATTTTTCCAATATTTTATACCAGCATATTATGACATCCTTCACATAACATTTAATTTTTACATGATGGTTTTATTAGTAAACTATATTTGAAAAAATATTTAAGGACTTTATTTTTCCTAAAATCCTCTCCCAGTTCTGATGTTCAAATAATTCTCAGTTGAGGTACCCAACAGCCTTGATTTTCTTACTAGCATAACTCTGCCAGACTGTCATTCTTTCATGGCTTTGCCTGTGAGCAGAGACGTTCTAGACCATCACATTGCAGACTTCATGAAATCTGCATCCTCTGCAAGGTTTATGATTTTATAATTTATAATCAATTTGCATCATATTGTCTTCAAATGAAGAGTATTTCAAAGAGGATGTTGGACTAATAATATAACTCACTGATTCACTAGTGCATATTTTCATGATCTGAAATATTTTTGTTTTCCTATACAATTTTGTAACCGCAGGAACACACTGAATAGTTGGATAACAACCACCTCTCCCCCAATACATTGTAGCTATAGATGGTAGCACCAAGCTTACCAGTATTCTTCCATCCTGTATATGTGTTCTATATATTTTTGCTTTAATTGCATTACAAAGTGTTCATTAAGAAATAAAATGAATACCTACAGGGGCCAAAACTAAAGGGAAAAAAGACAACAGGAAAAATGAAGAAAAAGAAAGAGGATATAACACAAAATCCATGACACTAGACTTATAAATTGTTCATCAGAAGCATTTATGTTAAAGCAACATTCTGAGATACCAAAGGTGATAATGACATTAAGAATGTCTCTAATTCCTATTAGGCTTACAGTATGCATCAGGATAACAGGACCTAACTTGTATTACTTATGTTCACTGAGATTCCATATGTATACAAGAGATGAACAGATGAAACCACATAGTCACAAACATATTTACAAAGAGCAACGAATCCTCCTAGTACTTAGATAAAATCCCATTTTACGCACAGAAGCAATTCTCAAGGCGAGGGAGGGTGATGCCCTCTTGAGAGGTATACTCAACAGACTTACCTCAGAGATTTGTCAATCTATTTGCAGCCTCCCACAGCCCTCCTACCAGAGATTACATTTCGCCTGACTGTTCCCCATTCACAAACACACCTGGCTAACTGCAACGGCCAGGATTCATTATTACCAATGGGACTGTCCTATATTTCTAAGGTGCAATGGGGAAGAAAAACAGTGGTGGATCACTCATTCTCTGTACCAAAGATGTTCAAAGCAGAACCCCAGAAATGAGTGATTTACTACTGAAACCCATGTTCCCAGAGGCTTACAGAGCTAGTATTTAAAGAACTTGAGAAAATGGTGCCTGAAAACTTTGGCCAATCTCCTAATTCTGTAGTAGCCCTGAGGCATACCTAGGCACACTAAGCCTAGAATCCCTACTGGCATGTTCTTTGGGTGCTCCACTACAGCCAAAGGTCATGAAGACTGTGATACTATAATGTGTGTCCAAGCAATAAATTAGATAATAAGCATCCAGAACACTAATTCCTTCTATGAAAAAAAAGTACTCATACTTAATGCAAACAATAATTTTAACCATATATTTGGTTTTGCACCCTATTAAATCACTTTTTATAATAAGCTATGAACTAGGTTCTATTTTGTTTCATTTTAGTAGCTAATTAGTATTTGACCATAACGATGTTTCTACTGTACTGAATGATTATGTAATTATCATGCCAGGAATCTATTCAAAGACTAAATGTGTAGAGTATATAATGAGTATAATGTTGCACTAAGAAAATAATTTTTAACATGATTAGAGATTCACAGCATGTTTTTTATGTGCATCACAGAACAAATTTATCTGACACACGAACTCCTATCTATGTACATTTTAAGTAGAGTACAGAGAAAGGATGATCATATATAGATATTTCCTTTGGAAATAAGTATACAATCATAAATAACTTAATTTTCATTGTCATCACATTTGGTAGTCAAACATTTGTTATACTGCCAATATCCCCAAACATGAGTCCTTTCAGGCCCTCTAGTTGTGAATGAAACCAATAGGTTTCAGTATATCATAATATCATACTCACTTACTGAAAATTAACAATATTTGATCCACATTAACAAAAGAATTATGTTTATATCTTCAGAATGGGGAGGGTTAATTTCAATTTTAGCTGTAAGGTCAGTGCTTTTTTCTTCTCCAATTTCCACCACATCAGCATTAGCTTCTTACGTATCATCTGTCACCAAGTCACGTCCAGCCTCCTAGTTCTCACTGTGACATTGGGCCCCCATAATTCAGGGTTATGAGCAATTATCTCAGTTCTCCATATACAAGGAAAAACTCTCACCTCATGAAGAAAAAGCATTCATATGTTACCTGCCAATCAAACTAGAGGGCAGAAGATAATCTACTTTGGCTGGAGAAAAACGAATGGACAAAAATGAAAGAACATCTGTATGCTCCTATCAAACTGGGAATCACTTTATGGAAGAATCCCAGTGTAAACGTGGCTGTCCTTGAAGATTCTACTGAGGATGAGTATACTAAAAATTCCTTCACCTTTCATAGAAGTAATTCATATCATGTTAAAAAAGACAACTATGGAATACTGAATTTTCTCTTTGAGGTAAATCTAATCAGTGCCCACTAAAATGTGAACAACAGACTGGGAGCACACAGGCTTCCTTCTAGGACTGGCTGCAGTACAAAGTGGAAGGAACATGCCCCTTGGTCAGAGGGACCTTCATTCAGAGTGCATCCTGCATGCCTGGGCTGGTCCTCAGACCTGCATGGGCAACCCCTGTGGGGCAACCTTTCATTCTTCTCACTGGACATATAAGGAAACTGAGGTTCAACAAGAGCAGGAATGTTGCCAAGACAGGCCCAGGTAAAAAGTGCCACAATAGGGCTTATAATGCAATTTCACCTCCACACCCATCTTCTTAACTACTTCACTCACAGGCCAGGCATATAAGGATCTTTGTGACAGTTGTGACAGCTGAAGTTTCCTGTGGAGATTCCCTTAGTTGCATCCAAATTCAAATGTGAAGAACTTTCTCCTTAGCAAGGCCAATATCCCCAGAGAGCCTCTCTCCTCAGGAAGCTCAGATAAGCAATAAGCTATTTACATTTCAAGTATATTATATTTGTGAAAGAAAATTTATATACTGGAACACTGGAACAGAAAAAAACTTGCAATATATACTAAGGAGTTCATCTCATGACCTCACTGCATGAAGTAAGCAAAAACGATATTTGAGGAAACATTTTAAAAGCAACTTACATATTTTTATGATTGTGTAATGAAGATTAAAAAAATACATATTTTTTCAAGTTCTTTATAAGTGCACTTTAAAATCAGTTAAGCAAACACCAAAAGGCATATGAAAAATAACTGTAATTTCATGTGCTTACTATAGGTACCTAGCACAGAATAATGTTCAGTAGTTAATGAATCATCAGTGCAGAAAAATACCACTAGGAGAATTTATTACTTGTAAATAGTATCTACTGATGTGGGGCTTTATAGTTTTATCAGAGCAGTTCCATTTTGATTATTTCAATTCCTTAAAAAGTGCTTTTCAATTCTTCGAAAATATAAATTATATAATTAGTCCCTTTGTAAAGATGGGGCAAATGGCACATTCAATATTACAAAGAAAGTTAAGAATAAAGCAAAAATTAGAGCTCATTTTGTCTGACTCTTAATCAATGACAACATATTAAAAAAATCATTTCAAACAAGAATGCATTCATCTTCTCTAAGTAGCCTCATTAGTGGAATATAACCTAAAGAAAAACATTAAGCTTTATACAGTATTCTGAATATGGAAACATGAATTTACATGTTAACAGAAGTTGCAATATCTAGATTTGAAGTTCTTTTGATATATACCATTTTGTTTTCTAGGTTTAAAATATAATGCTTACCATATTGACAGGAAAAAATTCAAGACCTTAAAAACTAAGAGTGTCTTTTTGAGTTATACTAGATCTTCAAAAATCACAATTGTGTGATTCCTGGGCTCTTGAGTCAGACACATTCAAACTCAAATCCCCACCATGTCACTTAGAGTTTCAGAGGCTTTGGACAAGTTATTTCACTTCCCCAAGACTTAATATCCTCATCTATAAAATCGGGAAACAAGATTATTGTTAATGTTAAATTATAAAATGTTTAGAAAACCACCTAGCTCAGACCAAGCACAAAAAAAGAATCTCAATAACAATTCACTTCTCTCCTTTCCCTTACAAGACTCTCATGGTATCCTGACCAAGGACCCTGGCACATCATCACACTGGGTAGTACAGTGAACGATTTAACAAACCCAGGTCAATGAGCTGTCATAAATCCTTTTTTTGTGTAAGGCATGTATAAATCTAAATAAAGGAAATTAACAACAGGTGATAATACAGATATCTTGAAACAAGAATTCTGATAACATGGTAGTGGTGAGAATACACATTCAAAGTAACCACATGGCTTATGGCTAAGTTAAAAAGCAAGCAAAGAAAGGAGAGAAAGATGCTGTATGGTATGTGTAGTTATAAACTTATGAATATGAATACATAATCCCAGTCAACAAAGTACCTACAGTTTAGGAGGGAGAGGCACAGAAACAAACTGGTAAGTTCAATATAACAGGGTAGGCAATAAGACAAAGGTATGTAATAGCATGTCATGGGATGCATACGTATGCATGCAGACACACAGACACAGACACACACACACACACACACACACACACACACACGGCTGTTAGGAAGATTAACAATCTTCAGGAGACCAATCAAAACAGAAAATTAATTTTATACAAAATGAGCAGAATGTATAATATACGCAGAAAATGAAAAAATGTCACTTAGTAGAACATAAAAATGAATGGAGAGACATATCTTTCTAAATAAGAAAACTAAAATAATGCAAAAGCACAACTCTCCCAAAATTCATTCGTAAGTCTTATGCAGTGCCAACCAAAATCCCACTGAATTTCATTTCTTGGAAGAAAGGTGAGGGAAGGAAAATGATCATGAGATGGGCAAAACAATTCTATAATATACATACATCCTTAATAATAGATGAGCAAGACAAATGGTTACTAGATGCATTAAAACAATATGTCAACACTGATTCCAGATAAATGTAAATTTTGAAACATAAAAAAGATACAAAGTTAGTAGAAAAAATAAATATATAATCTGTGGTACAAAAGGTCTTTCTAGCCATAACTGAAAAATACAATGAAGTAAAAGGCTGACAGATTTGGTAACAAAAAACTAAAAATTTTTCTATCTTAAAAATGAGATTAAAGAACAAAAACTAAAAAAAAAAAAAATAGTAAAACTTGTAAAGTGCTCTTATAAATCAACAGAAATATAAACACTCTTTTGAAAAAAAGGTGAGCACTTTATTTTTGTCAAATTGAAGTTGAGAAATAAATGATGTTTCCACTTCCAGGGGAAATGGAGTAGCTGTCAACAAACAAGAGCTCTCACTTCTACTAGCCAACTAGAAAAGCCAGATAAAAAATAATAATCATTTGCCTGAGGGCAACAGAAAAACTGCTGAAGAGAGGAAAAAACTTCAGAAAAGTGACCAGCCTTCTGCAGTCATTTTCACTCTGGGGCATGCCAATTCTCAGCAAGGGAGAGGCTGTGAGTTCCATGCAAAACCTAGTGGAAAGTCTGGAAGAAATCACTGGGGAACAAAGAGATCAAAAGAGCATTTTGTGGAGACTTTGGGAGGCTTCAGGTACACAGTTGATTTTTTCATTACGACAAGTGCCAAATACTGAGGCTGCGCAGAAAGGGAAGCTTAAAACCTGAACAGAAAGCTTCTGAAAAGTAGAGCAGAGACATCTCATGACATTCCAGAACCCACCAGGGGATAGGGCCTACAGAATATAAGCAGGCTATTAGTTGAAAAATTACTTAGAAAGCCAGGTGAACAACAGGTTGAATAAATCAGTCTCAATTTAACATAGTCCTTGATTGGAACATCTATCTAGAAGAAGATATTTTCTAGAGTCTCTCTAAATTTTATGCACAATTGTCTAGTACTCAATATGAAATTAAGAGGCATCACAAAAGACAGAGCCACGTGACTAAACACCAAGAAAAAAAGAAACTAGAACTATACATGACCCAGATATTGAAGTTAGCTGACATGACTTTAAAATTATAATTAATATGGCCAAGGAAAGAGAAAAACATGAATCAAGTAGAGGACAAGGTAGAGAATTTTACCATAGAAATTAACACATTACAAAATAATCAAATGAAATTCTAAAAGGATAAATATTTACAGTTAAAAACTCCAAAGATATCTTTAACAATAGCAGAATAAATATATTTAACTCAGCAAAAGAGAAGTCAATAAAAAACATACAAATGGAAGTGGTGAAAAAAAGAATATGCAATATAGAAAAGAACGTTAGGGACACAGGGAACTCAGTGAAAAGATCTAATATGTGAAATAGGATATGTGTAGATGGAAATAAAAGAGAAAATAGCACAATATAATTACCTGAATAGCTGAGAATTTCCCAAAACTAAGGAAAGGGACTAACCCACAGATACAAAAAAACTCTGTGATCCCCAAACGGAGAAAATACACCTGGTGTGTCATGTTAAATCCCCTATGAAAAGGCAAAATCTGAGAAGCAGCCAGTAAAAATAAGATTACACTGTTCAAAGAAGCAACAATAAGATCATCAGCTGACATATCAAAATAATTAAGAAAGCCAGGAGAAAATGGAATTATATATTTGAGGTGGTGAGGAAACAAAAAAATACTGCCAGCCTAAAAATCTATATCCAGCAAAAATATCCTTAGAAAATGATAAAAATGCCTTCAGAGAAACAAAAACTGAGTGTATGGGTTACCAGCAAACTTGTACTGAAAGAAACGTTAAGTCTTCAGGCAGAAAGAAAATAATATCAGAGGGAAACATGAGATTGCAGGGAAAAATGAAGAGCACAAAGAGGGGTAAATATATAAGAAAATATAAATGACAACACAAAAAAACACAAAAGTAATAATTTCAATTAAACTATAATAAGTCATCTATGCTTTTCTATGTAAATACTAAAAGAATATTAAAATCATCTATAAAAGATGGCAAGAAAGAAGAGAAAAATAACTTGATGACTTACCAAAATATTAGCAATACTTATTGTTAGGTGGCAGCATTATAATTATTTTTCATACTTTATACATTTCTTATATCTAGCATTTATAATTTTATAATCAGAAAAAACTATAACTTAGAAATAGTCTGTCTTTCAATCCAATGATTCCTACTTTTAGAAATTTAGTGTAAGGAGGCCAGATGTGGTGGCTCATGCCTGTAATCCTAGCACTTTGGGAGGCCGAGGCAGGCAGATCACCCGAGGTAAGGAGTTCGAGACCAGCCTGGCAAACATGGCGACATCCTGTCTCTACTAAAAATACAAAAATTAGCCAGCATGGTGGTGCGTGTGTGTAGTCCCAGCTACTCAGGAGGCTGAGGCACAAGAATCACTGGAACCCAGGAGGTGGAGGTTACAGTGAGCCGAGACTGTATCACTGCACTCCAGCCTGGGTGACAGGGTGAGACTCTGTCTCAAAAAAAAAAAAAAAAAAATTAGTGTAAGGAGAAAAACAGAAATATAGTAAACAAAAAATATTTAAACTATTTCCACAGCTAAGCAATGTAAATATCTAAACAATACTATTCAAAACATTATATTAGCTAATCAATATAATATTAAATTGAGGGAACACATTAACAATTAAAAGTATACTTACGTACTAGAATACTAATAGCCATTAAATATTTATAAAGAATTTTTTAAATACAAGAAAATGTTTGTTGCATTATTAAATACAAAAGAATATTCTGAATTATATACAAAGAATAAGCAGTGAAATATAAAAATATATAAAATTCTAAAAAGAAACTGTTGTTAATAGTTACCTCCTCTAGGTTCTAGGGTTATCAGTGAATATGCTAGAAATCCTTTTAATAGCTTTGGATGTAAACACTATTCTACAGGAAGTTACGTGTTTATTAGAAAAATTCAGAACAATAACAACATCAAAAACAAACAAATTTTTTAAAGGGCAAAGGAAGCAGGGAAATCCTTTTCAGTAATAAAGACACAGATATACGGGAAATAATGTTATTTTCAAGATATACAGGCCACTACCACTAGACGCTACACAGTAAAGTGCATCTCTAAAATGCAATTATATGAAGTTAGAAAAGTAGATAAAACTCAAGTCATAGTGGGGAGTGGGTTGTCTTTTAGTCATTACAAGGAGCTTGGAGCTTTTTGTGCAGTTGATGGAAAAGGTTTAACATGGTCAAATTTTCCTTTTTAATACCTATTTCTAGTTGCCAGGCAGAGAAAGAACTTAAGGGGTGAAGGCTCAAAGCAGGACGGCGAAGTAGATAGCTTCAAGTTGATAGCTTAGGCAGGAAAGGTGAAGACAGATAGATCCATTTTTCCACTGGAAATTTAAAAATCAGATTTCCAGGTATGATAGGGAGCATAATGACCCCAAGATGTCCATGTCCTAATTCCATAACCTATGAATGCTACCTTATATGGCAGAAAAGACTTTGCAGATGTGATTAAATTACAGCTCACGGTATGGGGAGCTCATTCGGGGCTGTCTAGGTGGGCCCAATGTATTTACAAGGGTCCTTATTAGAGGGACGATCCAACAGAGAAGAAGACTATGTGACAACAGAACCAAGTGGATGGGATATACAAGGAAGGGGCCACAGGCCAAGCAATGCAGGTCATCTCTAGAAAAGGAAAAGGCAAAGAAATGATTCTCCCCTCAGAGCCGCCAGAAGGAACCAGCCCTACCAATATTTTGTTAATCCAGTGAAAATGGTCTTGAACTTCTGACCCCCAAAACTATAAGATAATAAATTTGTGTGTATTTTTTAGTAGAATTAAGTTTGTTGGTAATTTATTATAGCAGCAACAGGAAACTAATATACCAGGTTACACTATTCCTGTTGAAAATGAGGACTAACTTCCAGTTTCATACCACCAAGGATATATAAAAGAAAATCCTGAGTCCTGGAAAACAGGATGGAGGTGGGCAAAGAGTAACAAGCAAGAAGAGCTTGGGGTCCTTGGAACTGGGACCAAGCAAAGATTAAATGAAGTGGGTCTAGCCCTTTGCCCTCTCTCCTGTATTCACAAGGGAAAAATTTTAAATGATGGTTTCTGGAAGCTACTAGCTGGTTAAGTAACAAATATGGCCTGCTCTTACAAGAAAAAAAAATTCAACGCTAAGGTACAGAACACTCTTTCAGCAATAAAAATTAGAATTTTACTTGGATATAGTAGTACATAAATGCTACCCTATCTTCCTAATATATGAAAGTTTATTTCACACCTTTCTCTATATTTAGGAGAAATCATTCTTAAAATCATGGACAAAATATTATGAGCCTATCATCCCATGGAGAGCCATTTGTCCAAGGAAAAGATTCAAAAGGAAGGTAAACAAGCATGCTGCATGTGTGATCAAATGCAAATATAAAGTTGTCCTTCACAAAACAGTATGACCACAGTACCTAAAATTGCTGTTGGCAACTAAGTGATTGCTGCAAATACCTTATTCTCCTCAAATGCAAGAATTCCACAAAATATTACTAATAAACTTTTAGTTTCTAAACTAAGAATGGCAAGGAAAGTATGATATTATTAAGTAAATATTCTAGAAAGCTCTATGTTAGAAAATATTACTGGGGCAGACAGTTATGTTTGTTTATAATACTAACAGACAAAGCAGTAAGTCAAATATAAAACTGTATTAAAGGAATATTTTTGCTATATTTAAGTAAATGACTTAGCTCGTAGCAGAGTTTTTCAGATGTTATGGTAATCTTAGCAGCTATGATGATAATAATACCAACAGCTAGCACTTAATTAGCCTTAAAACAGTGCTGAGCAGTTACTTTACAAGCCTATTTTACAGAAGCATAGAATGGTTCTGTATCCTACTCATGGTTATGTAGCCATAGAAATGGTACAGCCAGGATTCAAACTCAATCCGTCAGGGAGTCAGAGACAGGGAAGGTGACCTGCTGTCTCCCTTCAGTGGGTAAGGCAGTCAGGGTGCACGTGCTAGAAGCACTGATGCAGCAACTAGAGCACTCAGAATCCCATTACCCTCCCCCTGCCTCTCTGAACAGAGCCTTATCAGACTGCTCTATATTCACCCCAGCAGAGAACCTTCACTCCAAAGCCTCCCCACCTGCAGTGCCAGGAATGGGGTAAAGGAGTTTTCCTGGAGGTGAGGATTAGGCTACTTCCCCTGGTTGCTATGATGACAACACAAGCGGTTGTTTCACTACCCAGTTCTGAATTTCTGTAAGAGGTGGTAAAAAGAAAATTTGCTACATAATAGGTCTTCATTTTGGAATACTGGAGATATTTTGGAAGACAGATTATCTTATGTCCCAGTTACTGGAAACACTTGGTTATTGTCCACAGTAGTCTCTTCCTCAAAACTTCCTTTCCTGGTGTTTATCCAAATGATTGCTTTATAAATGATTAATACTTAGACAAGAAAACCAAATGTTAACTGGATGTGACCTCGGGGATTACCTATTAATACCCGCCAAATATAGAGAGCAAATGAAACTGAAGTTCCAAAAATATGAGCTGGTTAGTGACAGAGATGGGGCTAGAATCAGTCCTCTGACTCTCATGCAAGGGTCCCTTCACAACACTGTGCTCCGGAAATTCCAGGCATCTGACAGTGAGATCTGCCTAGAGCTCAAAGGCATGGAAAGAACAGAGTTGGTATCAATGTCCACAGAATTTGTAGTTGCAAATGCAACTTAAAACTACAAATGAAAATGTTAACCCTCAAAAGTAGAACTACAAATTTCAGGAACTTTTCACAATGCAAAAAGCATTTCTAAGACCATAAATGTAACCGAAGCAGAATAAATATGTGGACTTACAATTTTTGTAAAGAAAAGATTGAAAAATTTTACAACTATTTCCAGTACACAACAGAAAATAGTAAAGTCAAATAAAAGAATAAATATTCCAAGTATTCTAAAACTTTTGATATTAAAGCAACAAAAACAAACACAAATTGTATATAATTTGGCTGACCCCAAGAGTCTTGTCACCAATTAAGTTGCTTTCTCTGAGTTTTGCCTCAAACAAAAATACCATCTGTTTTACCTAAAACATTAAGATGTTCTATTTCCTTGTCAATTCAGAAATCACATCTGTAGCCATTTTCTGAAAAGACAGCAAAAGACATTATATTTATGGGTGACTGCATAAGGAATGATGTTCAATCAAAATGTAATTTTCATCTACTGGAAGAAAATTCATTTCTCCAATGAATATAACTCTGTAACTTTGGAAGAACACATAGTACATAAACAACCTAATTTTCACAAATAAAAAGGACCTTAAAAAGTTAACAAAGTAAAATAAGACTGTTTTGTTGTTAAGGACAGAAATGGCAAAGATGTTTGTATTCACTGTCTATATCTGTGTTGACAAATGAAATCTATCCTGTGTGAGGTTTCCAGGTGAATAGAGGAGAAAACAACAAATTTTTACTAGTGCTACATCTCTTCACATTAGTAAGCCATCATATGACTGGTAAAAAATATGAAAACAATAAAACACAAACCACTTTCTACTTTCAAAGTATTTTTAGAAACAATATTGGTCCTAGGAAAGACTCCCTACTATACAACCCAATGAACCGATTAAAGATACAAAACACTAGAGAAAACATCACTCACAGTGAATGCAAACACAATGTCACAAGGGATAAAAGAACACATTTCAAAGAAAAACACACAAGCCAACCAACTACCTGTAATATTTTGAGTATATATTAAGTACCTACAACAAATCTGAAACCCTATGTTTCAGTTTGAAAAGTAACGCGATTTCACATACAATTGTCTTGCCTAAAAAAAATAAAAATTTTAAAAAAAGCGCTACTCTCTGAATAAGGATGAAATAAATAAGTCCAAAGGCTCTATTTAAAATGTTTCTTTTACCACAAAGTTGTGAGGTGTTCTGAAGTCCAAGATGGGCTTGAAGCCCTCCCTGACTTTTTCAGGATCAGGATACCTTCACTAAAATCCTTTTCCTTGTTCCTCTTGTTGTGCACGCTTTATTAATCTGCATTTAGAAGGAAAAAAAATCTAGTTCAGAAGAGTGGAAGACTTTGAAATATGCCACATCACTTTAGTCTATGTTCTGAACTGCTTTGGGTTAATAATTAGCTTTATGTTACTATTTCAGAAGACATGATGGACACTGGGAGGAAAAGAAGTGGAAAGTGGACAGAGAACTAAGTTTGCAAGAAACTGAAAACAATAAGCTACTGAAGTAATCTCACGTAACCATCAGTTACTCCCACCCCAATAGAAATCATTTTTTAAAAATCACTCATACTCCAGATATTTAGTTTACTTTAACATTTTCACAGTACTTTATACAACTTCAAGTGTTGGTGCTACAGCAATAGCAAAACAGAATCATTCAAAATTTATATTATCTAGCAAACACACCAAAACTAACACCAGCTATTCTTTGACACCACCTCGTCTTCTTTTCAAAGTTTTTCTTCAGTTACATACAGTTATGTATTTCCAAATATCTTAACTAGAAATTATTATAATCCTTTATCCATTATACATGGTACTTTCCATGACAATTCTGCCTTCATATTTTAATATATCAAAATACCTCATCATAATTCTATATATATGAGCACCTGTTTTTCCTCCCCATCATTTGCATTTTCTGATTATGGTCCTTGATGGATGAAGATGTTATTTATAAGAAACAAGCAAAATAAGTTTAATCTCACCACACAAAACACACAATTAAAACACACTTTGCAAACTGAATTCACTGTATAATAATCTGACAATAAACTAGAACCATGCAATTAGTTAATTAAGAAAGTTTGACTTAAAATATAAACAAAATCAATTAAAACACAGACTAACCAGGCAATTTAGCAGGTGGTCTCAGAACATTAAGCTACTCTGCCTTTATTTTTCAAGAAATAAAAATAAAAAATATAACTTTAAATGCAATCTATCTGTTTAATTACTTTCACAAATAAAATCTAAAAGAATTTTGTACCTAAGAACAAAATCATAGCAGACTAAATTATAAGGGCCTGGTAAGGAAGATTCTTTTAAAGTTCATGTGAAATTGAAGAAAAGAATGATTTAAAATCCTATGCTGTTAAAGCACTAAGGCAAATCCCACACTGCATATCACTTAAAAATCAATGTGTGAGACTGGTAATAGCCTAATGACAAACACTTTTCTTCGAACTTCTAAATGACAGTAAAAATATATATTTAATTATATTGTATTAGGTAGCCTATCATAAACTTTAAACTGCCTGATGCAAGAAATGCAAAAAGCATTATTTTAGGAGATGCAAGAATAGAACGATAAATCTTTTGAAAAAATGAATTCAGATGATGAGGGAAGCTTGAAGTATAATTAGGAAGCTACAACACTCAGTAAAGTCAAGGAATGAATTCTCGCAAAGAAAAAAAAAGTCAACACCTAAATACCTACATGTTTAGAGAATGTGGTACAAAAGGGTGAAAAGCACTGCTCAGCTAGCAAAGATTTCTTAAGAGACAGACATTTTTGAACAGATTTTTGAAATGATGGGAATCAGAACAAAGAAAAGCTGAGGCACCCAAGTATGGATGATAGTAACAATCAATGCCATTTAGAAGAATCAAAATGGTTTCTGCTATAATGCATCTTTTTAGGAAGCTTGCTAATTATTTTAAGCAATTTCATAATTCGCCCAAACCAATACTCTACAGAACTACAATCTCTAAACTGTGAAATCCAAAAAGCTCTGAAAAAATCAAAAGCTTTTTTATAACTCATTTGGTAGTAAATCTAAACAGAACTGACATGAAGCTTTATAGAATCTTTATTTTTTGATCGGAACATTCAGAAATTTCAAAGGAGACTGTGCAATAATATGCCACATATGCACAGTACTTTCCTAAAATTAAAAAGAATTCTGAACCCTCACATACATCTACCCCTGAAGATTTCAGGTAAGGCACTGAGGGTTTGTCTTATGGGCAGTCTACACAGTACAGTATAAATCACAGGTCACTTAGAAAAGAGACCTTGCCTGTGTAGGTTCTGAGCAAGAAAGAATCAAGAAGAAATGAAAGAGGCAAGAAAATATGAACACATACCAGTACAGTGCTGCCCAAGACAGAAATACAAAGTAAATTTGTCACTGAATGAATGAATGTATGAATCAAAGAATAAGGAACTATATTTTAACATAGGCCCACATAGTCCTACAAATAAACAGGAAATGTTTAAGAATAAATATTCTATTTTCTTAATATTTAAATAACCCAAATCTCAATTGTATATATATGCTCTTATTTTATGAGCTTTTCTTTATCTCTTTAAATTTTTAATTTTGCAGCATCTAATTATGTTTTGGTTTTAGAATATGTAGAAAATTTTTCAGTTTCATTGTGTTTGGTATGATTTTCCTAACTGATAAGTCTTGAGAACATGTTTTAAAGACATTTCTAACAACCATTACTGATTTATTCAGTATAGACCTGCTCCTAGAGTATTCAGAACACAACTCCAGTCCCTGAGCCGAAGTGGGCAAGGAAGAGTAGCTGACAGAAAATCTGGTAGCTGCTTTTTGATCTAGTTAATGAATCTAATTTGCAGATGCTGCTCCTTCCTACCCAACAACCATTATCTCTTTCTCCTTTATTGATAGAAAGCCAATTTTATTTAGGATGGCAACAGTCATAGCTTAAAAAACAAAATCAAAATGAACAACAAAAAAAACCTGCTTCCCCATGCTAGATGCAGACATGTGGCACAGTTCTGGACAATGACATGTAATTAGAATTCCAGTATGTGGAAATTCTGACAAAGTTACTGAGTCCCCAGTTTATCCCAACTGCCATGACCTTCCTCCTTTGCTCATCCCTCTTTCTGGACGAAACACAGATGTACTGTATGTAGAAGCAGGAACCATCCTGAGTTCACAAGAACAAGAGCCACAGGCTAACAGTGGTAGAGCTAACAGGTAAAAGCAGCCTGGACTTTTGACGGCACCATGGAACCCATCATGAGCCCTAACTACCTGCCTTGAAACTTGTCCATAAGAATAATAAAAGGCTTTCTTCAGAAGCCATTGTAATAAGGTTTCTGTTGTATGCAGTTCAGTGCAATACAAAATGAAACACTATACATACAAGAAGTCATATTGGGTAACAAAGGAAAGCCAACAAGTACAAAAAACTTCACCTTTAAAGAAGAAAACAATGAATGCGAGATGATTCTAAATCAAAACTTTTCCCATAAGGGTTCATCACTATGGATAAATTATTTAATTGCCTAATGATTACATGACTTTTTCTCATAATTTTCACTCTCTCCACCTCCAATTTTTAGTTATTAGTTTAGCAAACACCTCCTATGTACCAAGCACTTCTTCCATATTTCACTCAACCATTCACAACTTCAATTCAAACAAGTCATCTTCATTTACTCCATAAAACTTGAAAACACAAATTTCATAAAAACTTAAGTTAAAATCCCAGAATTTACCAGCCCTATGTTCTCTATTACAAAAAGAAATGCTAATTTAGGCATCTTTTAAAAATCTTTCTATATAACTTACACATGTAGAATATTTGACCAATTCATTACTGATAAACATTTAAGTCTTTTAAAATATTTGTTCACATGATAAACAAAGCTGAAATGCACGTCCTTTTCCAGAGTTCTCTCCACCTCCATATCTGATTATTTCTGCAGGACAGATTCCCTCTAGTGCAATTCCTAGCTCAAATGCTACTGGCAGTAGGTCATTTTCCTTAAAGATTTGCTAGGCACCATTTTGGAATAATGAACAAGACCAACCCATACCGGCAAGAGGTTTATAGCAAGTCTCTTCAGAGGACTATTACGCAGGCATTTAGTGGGTAAACACAGTCCCATGGAGTCATATGAGAACACTACCTAGCTTCAAGGATCTCAACCAAGTTTCCAGAGGATGTAAGATGTAACATCTAAGCTGAGTTCTAAAAGACAATCAGAAATTTATCAGGCAAATGGTGTATGTGTGCATGTGCATGTCTGTGTGTGTGCACATTCGGGTGCATCTAGAGGTGAAGTCTGAGGTTGTTTTTTTTTTTTTTTTTTGAGACAACAGTCTCACTCTGTTGCCCTGGCTGGAGTGCAGTGGCGCAATCTTGACTCACTGTAACCTCCACCTCCCCGGTTCAAGCAATTCTCCTGCCTCAGTCTCCCAAGTAGCAGGGATTACAGGTGCATGCTACCACTCCCGGCTAATTTTTGTATTTTCTGTAGAGGTAGGGTTTCACCATGTTGGCCAGGCTGGTCTCAAACTCCTGACCTCAGGGGATCCACCCACCTCGGCCTCCCAAAGTGCTGGGATTATAGGGTAAGTCACCATGCCCGGCCAAGATTGGAGATTTTTTGTTGTGATTTGGTTCTTTCGCTTTTTTTTTTTTTTGAGACGGAGTTTTGCTCTTGTTGCCTAGGCTGGAGTGCCATGGTGCAACCTCGGCTCACCACAACCTCCACCTCATGGGTTCAAGTGATTCTCCTGCTTTAGCCTCCCAAGTAGCTGGGATTCCAGGCATGCGCCACCATGCGCAGCTAATTTTGTATTTTTAGTAGAGATGGGGTTTCTCCATATTGGTCAGGCTGGTCTCAAACTCCTGACCTCAGGTGATCTGCCCGCCTTGGCCTCCCAAAGTGCTGGGATTACAGGCATGAGCCACTGCGCCTGGCCTGCTTTTTTGTTTTTTTTAACCCCCCAGGTAGTAAAGATGTAGAGGTAATATAACAAAAAATGGAGTGTCCAAGAATTGATAGTTCTCTGAATTTTTGTGTTCTGAATAGAGTCATTGTGGGGCTGGAGCACATAGTGCAGACTGAGCTGATGCAAGAGATGATGCGAGAGACAAAAATACAGGCACACAAGCCACGTTAAAGAGTCTAGAGTTTATCCTTAGGGTAATGGAAAAAAGAAGGGTTTTGAGCTAAGTTACATCATTGCTAATATTAGTTAAGTGCCTGCTAAGCGCTAGGTCCCATACTATGAAGTTCATACACATAACCGTATTAAACTCCGCCAACAAATGTGTGAGGCAGGGACATCTGTCACAGGGTTATTACCATCACCCAGTGGAGGGACAGTAGCAGTCTGAAGCAGGGTAGTAGCATTGAAGATGAAGAGGACAAATTTGAGACACATTTAAAAAACAGAATGAGGCTGGGTGCGATGGCTCACACCTGTAATCCCAGCACTTTTGGAGGCTGAGGTGGGCGGATCATGAGGTCAGGAGATAGAGACCATCCTGACTAACACGGTGAAACCCAGTCTCTACTAAAAATACAACAACAACAAAAAAAATTGGCCCAGTGTGGTGGCGGGTGCCTGTAGTCCCAGCTACTCAGGAGGCTGAGGCAGGAGAATGGTGTGAACCTGGGAGGCGGAGCTTGCAGTAAGCCGAGATTGTGCCACTGCACTCCAGCCTGGGCGACAGAGCGATACTCCATCTCAAAAACAAAACAAAACAAAACAAAACAAACAAACAAAACACAGAATGAAAAGGTCTAGCATGTGTTTGGATACGAGTTGAAAGTAAAAAAGACAAGATGATCAGGGTAGCCCCATAATTTATTGTCCAAACTAATTTTGAGAGTGAAAGAGGCTAATAGTGAAAAAACTGTCATATCTGGTCACTCTAAAATTGAAAGAGCTTGGGACCACAGAACAGGTTCAAGCAGGGAAGAGGAGTTCCGTTTTAAACACGGTGAAATGGAGCTGCTAATGGGCCATCCCAAGAGAGCTATCCACTTGGCCAGTGGGTCTAGAACTTAGGAGACTTTTCTCAGCAGAGACAGATGTTTGAGGAGTTAACAGTACACTGATAGTAAGTGAAGGCAATGGAATACGAAATATCACTCTCACCAGAAGTTGGTATTTTTTAAATCTTCTTGAAGAAAAACTATTATTTAGGATCTCCTATATGCTCCTGCCTCTCCACCTATTTCAGGCATTAATATAACCTGAAGCTGCAGATCCATGGTGCTGTTAAATTCTATCAAAACTAAATGGACACTTCTACCTTTAGTTTGACAATAAAATTGACAATAATGATTTAGATTTCACTACGTCTAATTGTTTCCAATGCCTTTTTAATTCTTCATTTTTAATTGCTAATTTTAATTCATCTATCAGTCAGCTGAACTGACCTCATCAAGAAATTTTTAAAATTTCTTTTTAAAAATATGGGAAGTGTGCCTGTGGTATAAGTGTTTTCATATCTGAAAATGTCTCTCTACTACCTTCACATATGAAAGATAACTTTGAGTATAAAATGATTTCAAAACTTCATAGTCTTCCTGTCTAAGTCAGTCTAGCGTTTGTTCTATATTATACAATATAGTCTTTCTGCCTGGGCACTTTTTTAATATGTCCTTTTTCCTTTTAGTTGAACTAAGTTACCATGGTGTACTCGGGGTGGCTCTTTTTTCATTTTTATTACCCAGCACTTATCCCTCTTCATCTATAAAGGGAGGCCTTTTCAGCTCAGAAAACTTTTCATCAATTATATCTTTGATCATTGCCTCTGCTGTATTTTTTCCTAAAGTTTTTTAATTCTTTTGTTGGAATCTTGTCCTCCATACCGATCATCATCTTCCTTCTCATTGTTGGCATTTGTCTTCCTTTTGTCTACATTCTTAAAAAAGTATCTCATGGACTTTTTTTTCACATCCATACCCTCTTTCAGTGTCAGCTTTACTCTTCAGCATCACTAGTGAAGATGGTCTGTTATTGCCCCTCCAACAATCTCTCCTTATCTCACTCCTCTCCTCTTCCAAATATTTTCATTTTCATTTTTTGTCATCTTTTTGTTTCAGTGTTTCACCTTGTTTCATATTTCTCAGAGATTATAACTCAAAACTTTTTGAGAGTTCCAGGTCCTCTTTTTTTAAAAAAATTTTCATCTGGTCTCTGTAATAAATCATTTTAATAAGTAAGCTACACTTCTGAGTCTTCATGCTGCACCCTATTTTTTAATCAGTCTGTAGAGCTTTTTCACAGCTCTCCTATGACAACCTTTCAATCACTTATCCTCAAAGAAGTAGACATTTACCTAGACTCTGTGTTTGCTAAAACTACCCTTGGTCCTTTTTATTTTGATATTAGCTGAAGTCCTTCTCTAACGTAGTTAGTTTATTTGACAAATATTTGTTGAACACCTACTGTGTGCCAGGTATTTGCCAGGGGATGCAAAACCAAACAAGCTCTCTACCCTCATGGAGCTGCTAGTCTACCAAGTGAGACACACAATAAGGAATAAATGACATGGCCAGTTTGTTAATAATGTCATGAAGGATGTAAAGAGGATTCAGTGATGGAGAAAAAGAGTGGGTGAATAATAGGCTCACATGCATGGATCCAGCCTGATCGCAAGTTTCCAAAAGGTTTAATATCCAAGGTGGCTGTGCCTGATTGGTATTCAGTCTTCTATACCAGCTCTGATTCTGAACAAAGGGAAGGCTTCTTTCTTCAACAAAGAATATCACAGTATTCTTGCCCATGCCACCACCAACAGCAATTTCCTTGAGCGGACTTTCCTAGCTCAATGATCTATCGTTAAGTTTCCTTGTTCCTGCCTACTTTATTTCTGGCAGATTTAGTCTCCAAATTGATTGCAAAATATGGACACAGTGGAAGCCCTTTCATCAATGTGATCAAGGCTGGCAATAGATCTATTAACAGAAAGAGTTAAAGTTGAGCTGAAAATAAAAGTTAAAGTAGAAGATCATTATGATATGTATGTGTTATTCTTAATATTTTACTTTACCATGAAATATATACATGTATCATATTCAAAATATGCAAATCCTTTGACTATGGAACCAGTAATTGGAGTTTTCATATTTTCTGCATAACCAAACATGTGATAATCTTCTGTGGTTCCAAGCTTAGGTTTCTCTAAAGTATAGCAAGAACTTAAACTCAAAAATGTTAAGAAAATCTGAGTGCAGCCGGCTTCTATATTTTTATGATTTCTTCCCAAATCTTTTGCAGTCATCTCGCCAACATTTATCAGTGACTCACCTTTGCTGAATATTTCCAAAGTCCTCAACTTCATAAAAAAGGGTTTTTATGTAATTCAACAGCGTAATAAAATGGTTTATGAGAAAAAAATAACAACAACTTGTTTAGGAATAAATAACTGATTCATGATAATCACACAACTGAAAGACTGGAGGGAGGGAAGTACATTGGCCTGCTAGCTAACAGCCTGTTAGCTACAAGGCCACATTACCATGGGCACTGAAAAGGAATGAAGAGTGTCAGTTGATCTACTTGGTCAATTAAATGAAGATGGTCAACAGAGACCTTAGGCAGGGAGGAAGAAGAGAAAAAAAAGAAAAGCTACCTAACTTCCTAATAGCCTCAAAAGTAGCACTCTTCCAATAGAAAAATATTTGTTCACTTTTCTAGTTGATATAATACCAGAATTTGAAAGCCTTGGGGGTAGACATTATGAAAAGGAAAAGGAATCATTCTCCATACTTGCTTTAAAAGACATGCAGGTTGCTTTTATTTCTAACTGCTTATCATTAATCAGCAAGTAATTGCATTTTTCAGACCAGTTCTATCAGCTTTGTAGTTTGTGGACATCTTAGATTGTGATAATACACTGACTGTCAAGCCAAGGTTTTGGTATTCCTACAACTGTTCATCATCTTCTACATTTTCATATGAGCTTTAATGGGAAACTAAGAGTCAGTCTCATGGTCTCTAGTCAGCCATCACGTAAACTGGAAGTGTCAACTATTTTTTTAATATAATAGATGTTATTTAATTTCAGTCAATGTGAGGTTGAAACAGTATGTCAGGAATTAATACTCATCATTCCTGATGTCATAAAATACATAGAAATGCTAAGGGTGGGAGGGACTGGAACAAAGGTGGAGCCTTTTCTCCTCATTTCCTCCCCAAGAGACCTTTATATTTTCTTGAAAAATTAGGCAAAATGTAATCCTGTGATGACTGAATTGGAATGGCAAACACCAAATAAGATTATTTTGTATTGCTACCAAGCCATGACTGCTCCAACACTAGTACCAACCACTAGTCAATGCAAATAATTTTTAACATAAAATTAACTAACGTAGCATCTTGCAGGTACCTTGAATTCCTTAAGAAACTTTTGGTTATTTACATAATATAACATATTCCATTCAGTCTTTTGGATAAAGCATCCTTTCTGAAAACACTCCAGTAGACTACAGACAAGATGAAAAGTGCTTCTGGATAATCAGGGAACTAGCCAACCTATACCTTGAAAAAAATCAGAGTTAACACATAACAGAGACAGAACATAGGTGAAAACATACAAATACCTTTTACAAGCAATATATATTTAAACAGAAAAGCATCCTAGAGGACAGTTTATAAACTCATCCTTCAAATCCAATAAAATTCATAAATACACTGTACTATTAATGCCTAGATACAACTAAACTAGACTGGAATACAGAATAGCTTAGTTTTTATGTGTTTAAGAGTCTCTAGGACCATCAGTTACTAATTCCCTCACCAAAAGAAAAGTTCAAAACAGCTTTATTTAAAAGGTAAAAATATCTCAGCTTTTCTCAAAATAACAGAAGCTGGAGAGGGTCCAGGATGTCAAATCCTGTATTCTATTATTGCCTTGAATTCTTTAGGATAATTAAAAAATATAGCCGACCAGTTTCAAGAAAGAAAACCTTTAATCTTACTGACTTTTTACACTCATTTTTCTGTTAACTAATGGAAAGACATTTCTATATACTAGTTTTCTAGTACGTGTCAAGGTTTAAGCTTAAACCATCATAATCCATGAGCTATTAAGGACAGTTCCTGGACTAATTATCGCAGCTAACACTTCCATCTCCTCCACAGTTGAGCACAAAGTGCGCTCCCTCTGTACACTAACAGCTCTTTCACCAGACTCACTTCTCAGACTAGAGCCGCCTTGGTTCAAGTCATGGAATCTCACTTCCGCCGTTAAGCTCCAAATGCCTCTATCAAATAATGCTGCCACAATCTGAGTGGTCAGAATTCTATTTTCCTAGAAATTCCATTTCCAAACAATAAAAATAAGGTTGCGAGTTTGGCTTCTTCATTTAAAACTTATGTGTAAACAACTGGTAGAGATATTAGATATTTTCTAAGACACATTCTTACTTGGTATAAAAATATATTGATAACATAAGAAAAGAAAAAAGCTAGCCTTGAATCCCATTAAACTAATAGATAATTAGTGCCAGAAGAATTGTTTACAATAACAATATTAAAAATACAAAATGTAGAATCAGGCTATGTTGATCATAACAATAAGTCTTACATATAAAAACCAATCTGATAAAGCCAATTCATTCAGCTATTTGGAACTATCTTTTATATCCATCCATTCTGAACATTCACCCAATATCCAATCTTAACGAAGTTAACTCTGTAAGAATGCAATGATGCTGAGATGCAATCTGAAATTTTTCAGGTCTCATGGTATAAAACTAAAATCTTAAATGGACAGTTATACAAATTCCAAGCTTTATTGAATTATGGTTTATCTTTATTTGTAACGGTCTTAAAGTTTACTTAGAAGCACTCTGGCACCCAACCTCCAAATATGAGACCAAAGAACCACCTGAGGAGAATATATACCAGGATACCACATTTTCACATAGAATGTGAACCATGTTCTTCTATGCATATCTGGTGTCTGAAGCTTAATATTCTCTTCAGTCAATATTTAAATGTATTTCAATGAATCTGTAATTACTCTTGCTATGTTGCATATAATACCACAGGCATGATGCTAGAAATAAAGAAATAATTCCTACTCTCAAGGAGTTTACAATCTACTGTGATTAACTTTAAATAATTATACTGGAAGAAACAAGCCAGCATTAACTGCCAGCCATATGAGTGACCCATTTTGGCCTGATCTAGGTAGAAATTTGGGGCTAATAGCATAATGGGATGAGACTTTGGACATCTTGGGAGGTGGGTGAGGTTACTCCGTACATGAAAGGTATGTGAACTGAGGTAGCCTATAGGTGAACTGTGATAGCTAGTCTCCGAAGATGACTACCATCATTCCCACTGCTTCCTATACATGCTCCTCACATCAGGAAATGGAGAGTAATTCCCTCCCCTTGAATCTTGGCTAACCTTAATGACTTCCTTGACCAATAGAATGTAATGAAAATGGCCTTCTAGGACTTCCAAAGCTAGGTCTTAAGAAGTCTTGCTGTTTCTACCCAGAAAACTCACTTTTGAGACTTTCAATCTTAAAACACTCCCCCTTGGAACCAGCCACTATGGTTAGAGAAGCCCAAGTCATATGGAGAGGCCATGTGTAAGTACTGGCAGCTAACAGCTCCAACTGAACCCTCAGCCAACAGGGAGCACTAACTTTCAGCAATGTATATGAGCCCTCCTGCACACTGAGCCCAGTCAAATCTTTGGGGAACTCCAGTCCCAATCTCCAATTGCCTGCAATGGTATGAGAGACCCCAAGCAAGAACTGACCAGCAGTTCTACAAAAACGTGGGAAATATAATAAATTGTATTTAAGACATTAAGTTTTAGATTAGTTTGTTAGGCAATAGTCTACTAAAACATTTGACCATCAGGTCAGACTTTCCTCAATAGGTAAGAAGAAGTACCTAGAGAATGCTGAATTTAGAAGTGACTTTCTCAGAGCTCTGTTTTTGGCTAGATTCCTCTGATAACTTCATGTAATAAATAAGGGGCATAGGAAATTGAAGACAAAAGGGTAAGAAGCTGTTGAAGTAATTCAGGCACGAAGTATGGCTTAGAACCAAAAAGTAACAGGAAAAGAGAAGATGCATTTCACAGATGAGAAAAAAAAGACTCTCCAAGTGATGAAATTTAAGGAATAATAAAAGGTAGAGGTCAAAGTAGGTTCTGGGATTTCAGAACCTAGATAACTAAAAAGATAACAATACTTTTAATCAAGACTGGCATCCAAAAGGAAAGCATGTATGGAGAAAATCAGAGGAACTTAAATTATTGGTGCTGGGAGGTCATCCAGGGAGAACCATTAAACAAGCCAATGGCAATGCGTTATGGGAGGGCTTTTCTTTTTATATCTTAGTTGATATTCTGAAGTATCTGTTTTCTACACAAAAACTACGAATCCACACATGATATAGCTCACATAACTGTGTGAACTAAATTAGGCATATCAACATGTACTAATGTCACTTTAAACAGATCTTGGACTACTTTTTAAATACTTACAAAGTTATGTTAGGTTTATTGCTATAACTAATATTGCCAACAGCATGATCAAATTTACGTGTATTATTTATATTCTATGGGTTTAAGTTAGTATTTCTCAATCTTTTTTACATTATCACCTCCCTAAGGACTCTTTTTAGACATTTACTAATCACCCACATACAATTTTAATGCCACACACAAACTGTTTACCTGTTACGTACTATATCTGTGCTTTATATATTAAAAAGAGTAAGATTTTCTTCAAATCCCCAAAAACCAATTTTCACTCTCTTGGAAAAAATATCTCCCCCATCGAGAATGCATGGTTTATTTAGAGAGATAATTTGTTACTCAAACAGGAACTGTGTTTATAACTAAAAAAAAAGCCAACCCTTACAACATTAAAGAAGACTCATGAAGAATATGACAAAGACTCACAGCCACACCTCTAAGGCTTCCAATTTAAAAACTGAAAAGGGCAATTATTTTACTTTCAGTACCTGCTAAATAAAACAATCAAATTCTTCCATTTTAAAGGCCACTATCATTCCTTCATTGTTCATCTATTTTTACTGACAGATCAGTAACTAAAATAATTTGCAGCTAACAAGTAAAATAGAGATTTTAAAACCTAAAATCTAAGAAGCCCTAACCTATAAAATGGATAATAAGCATAAAAACAAATAAGAATCTGCCAATCAGAAGTATTCCTAATTTACCAACCTACAGAAATAGGAAGTCAATATTTGATAAAAAAAGAACTGTAAAGAAGTAATAGGAAGATAAACCCTATACTATTTAAATAAAAACTATTTAAAAAGAAATATCAAAAAGCAATCATTTTACTAATAGCCCCCGAAATTCCATTTATGTTTACCTGTAGTTAAAACTCCTCAATATGAAAGCTTAAAAATATTTTTCTCTTTCATTAATATACTACATTTCCTAACTTTCTTCTTCTGGCATTAGAAAGGCAAAATTATCAATTATTGTTTGCTAAGGCAAAGACAGTGAAGGAAGGAGATAAACTAAAGGGAACATCTTTTCTTCTGACCTATTATGGTTCCAGCCCTGCCTCACTGCACCCAGCATAAGAGCACCCAGAGATGGGGCACAAATCACTTATATCAGCATATATTATTCTTATAACCAGCAAAAACAAAGATCTTCCTCCACCAAAATATAAAAAGAAAGAAAAGTTAATAGATGAGAGAACTATGCCTAAAGCCAAATAGATTTACTAATGCCAGAGTTTACTAGGAACACAATATTTAAGGAACAGGCATATAACCCCAAATGCATCAAAACATAACTTATTTTAAGACAAAGAAAACATTTTGTAATTTTATAAGAAATATTTCTTTCAGTGTCATTATCCTTTCATCCTAACTATGACCTGGCAATCTGAAAGCTCCTAAGGCTTCTGCCGTGTTACAGAGAACATTAGTATTACTAAAATAAAAAAACTTATTATCTCGTTCTAAGGAATAAGCTGTATACACCTTATGTCTCTACTTACTAAAGAAATTTAGACAACTAAGACTTTAGTCTATGCTTAACAAAAAGTCTCAACTTTACTAGCAACTATAAATTCTTTTTACATTCATTCCATTTATTTTTAAATAATTTTAATAAAATATATTTAGTTGAAATAATGAATTACTCTTTGAAATTATTGTTTTATCCTATAATTGGCAAGAGGAGGTACTAAATATCTTGATTCTGACAGTTAAAGGTTATATTACAAAAAATAACCACTGTGTGCCTGGGTCAACTAGGAAATGACCAACAAATATTTGGTTATTAAAAACAGATACCTTGCTGTTTAAAGAAATACCAATAAAACATAATGCATTTCTTTATAATTATTAGGTAGCCACCAATTAAATGCCCTGGTTTAAGGTCACTGAACACCCTTCCCATTTACTTTAGCATAAATCAATAGTGCTAAAACAAGGCTGTTTCACCAGCAAAATGACAGTTATCTAATAAACAATTTACAGTAGAAACCTTGATCTTCCAATAATAATAAAGTTTCTTCTTTCATATAAAAATAGGATCAGGGATTAATGAAAACAAGGTAGTTAAATGAAAGGTTAATCAAGAAAGGATATAATCTGAAAATTTTATAGAGATAAGAAAATGTTTTATAAGCTATATATTTATCATGCTATACCTTATATCTGTGAGAAATATTGTTATAATAATTTATTCAGCAGTCAATATACTAAGCACTGTGTTAGCTATTGGCACTGAGCATAACACAGTCATGAAAGAAAATCCATTTTTTAGGAGTTTTTTAATTAATAAATTGATTGCCTCAAAATATACGCTAACTAAAAACCAGAACCATAAAACCAAAAACTATTAAGCCAGAAAGTGGTAAACATTTGTAAGAAATTATGAATTTACCTTGGCTCCGCACTCAGCCTTATTATATTTTTTTGTGGCAGAGAATCTTGTGATTTTTGTTTCAAATCCTATAAAAATGAACAGTAATTTTTTAATTTTACTTAACACTCCATGGACTCATCCTGAAACCAGAAGACCATTCAAATTCAAGTTTAGGAGGAACAGATTAAGGACTTATAAAAAGTTAAATATCAAGGGGTTTCTAATTAAAGCCAAGCAAAACAACTAGTTATAATGCCCCAGTTGCCTTACTAACATCTTAATAGTATTCTAAAACCCTACATATTTCACATACTTTGAAATATTTATAGAAAAGATGAACATACAGGTAATTTATATTAAGTGATAAAAATTCTTTCAAATAATGTACAAAAAATTATATTTCAATGTCTTTTTTCATTAAGCTTCTCATCCTCTTTGCTAATGCAAGAACAATGGAATTACACATTTTTATGATGACCATAGATGAAATTACTAACCATCTCCAGGAAGGTATCAGGAGAGTAAGAGTCGTATGTGAGTTTGTCCTTCAAAATAAGAAGAAATGCAGAATTTCCAATTATCTTCTCCAAAACCATTAACGAATGAAAAAGTCTGTAAATCAAAAATTTTATTAGTCTGAGAAACAATTTAAAAATCTGCATACAATATTTTCAGTTTCATTACTAATAGCCAAACCACCAGTATCTTCATCTTGTATTCAAAGTGAAACCTATAATGAATCTATGACAAACCTGCTCTTTTTTCCCCTAGAACTAAGTACATCAGAAGATATAACTGACAAGAATCCATTTAAAACCGAAAGCTTTCTGGACACACCTGAAACACATAAACATAATCAAACTATGTATACTTTCTATGAATATCGCACCAAATAATAATATCCAGTAGGATCACCCCAATAACTTTGAAGCATTCTATCAAAAAAACAATGATTTGCTACTTTAGAAAAAGCTCTAACAAGGGTTTTAACAATGAATAAAAACATGAGATAATTCAGCTCACAAGAAAATTCAATTCGTATACAAGTCATACCCCAAGAATTAAAATAGATGTTTTGTTTAATTTAGTTTCATGTTCTTGTTCAAGAGAACCAGAACAAGAGTTTTTGACAGATGTGAATAATGAAATTGTCTTTATCCCTGTTAAATTTTTTGGTCACTGAAATTACTAACTATATTCAAATTGTATTTTTATGTCTAAGGAATCAAAAGTCTACTGATTCCAGACCAATTCTGAAATACATCCGCTACTGCTGAAGCATTACTCATGGAAAAAGAACTTGCTTGAAGATTTTTTTTTTTTTTTCCTAATTCAGTTACGTTTCTTGAAGGCTCTACAGACCAGGCATCCATAGGCAAATTCATATTGGAGAAGTACGTAGAAACTCCTCGCTAATCACGTTTTCAATTATATTATTTTTTCCAATACAGAAAGCAACTTTGGATCTATGCCTTGAAGACATTTTTGTTGTCATGCAACAACAACAAGAAAACCTATAAAAGAAGTTAACTTCTTTTTTGCAGAGCATTAATATTTCCTTCAGAGATGTAAGTGATCATGATCAATGTTATTAATTAAATACATTTACATGGCAAATCTATAATTTTAATGCTAAAATCTTATGGATTTGAGTTCATGCCATAATCTAACTAAACTTCCCAACATATTCAAATGTTTTCCTAGACAGCATTAAGTGTTTTCACCATACTAAAACACCATACGAATATGGTTCAGTTATGACAGCAAGACCCTCAATCTAAGTTCCTTTCTATTGTCTACAGGGCTATCTTTATTAGGCAGCCTGAATCTGCAGAGTGAAAGTCATGTTCTCCACCACCTAAAACCAGATGTATTAAAGAGTCCTAATTAAACTGAGTGAAAGCCAGGATCAATGTCTGCATCCTAAAGGCACACATGCAGCCTTCTCATAAGATGAGTACTAAAGACTACAGTATATCACTCCCCAAATGTTTTCTCAGGATGTATAGAGCTGCTTTGCTTAAAACAAAACAAAATGAAACACAGTACATTTGGGAAACATTGGGTAAAACAAAATTCTAAACGTTTCAACATTTCATTAATACAGGATTTTTTTCAGGGCCTCTAATTTCCAAACATACACTTATCCTATTAATACGGAATACGGTTCGGGAAAAATCACTTGGGAATCACAGTTTCTTAGTTTGCTGTTATGGTTGTTGTATTAAGGAGATGTTAGCATGTCTGCCACTATATAGTTTGTCTACATTTTAGGACCCTCACGCTCACCCTGTGTTCCGTTTTCTCCCACCTACCTTAATTACAAGTTAGGAATAATTAGCGGAATTCTAAAACATTTCTCTAAATGACCTCATTACCATTTCTTCTTCCCTTCTACATAAGCCACATTATCTATTAATACTTTTAAGCTGACTATTACAAACATTGTCCCAATCTAATTCATTTTTTTCATGCCATGATTAGAATTAATCTCCAAATATGCCATGATGTATTCTTGCTTTCCAGTTTGTAACTATATACACATTCGATCTATTGTTGACAGCATGCTCTCAGATTCCCCCTACTATGGCAGAGGAGAAAGAAGGGCCTGAATGCCTGATGACACTGCAGAGCTGCCATACCAGAACCAGTTGTCTACAGATTTTTTTCATATGACATAAAAATAAGCAGGACAGGATTTATTCTGTTTCTGGTTGCTATTACTCGCAGCCAAATGCACCCCTAATTCATAAACTTGTTCACAGTGATATTTCTGCCAAATTTGAATGAATAGTAGTCATCAGTCCAAGTTCAAGAGAACACCCAATACTAACTACCTCTTTGTTAATAATTCTCTAACTTATGTTTTGAAATTTCCTCCTTAAAATGTCTGTGCTAATGACTTGGTAATTGTTTATGACTTTTCAATGAACTGTGAAGTACTAACATAGCAAATTTACAAATGCCAAGTACAGTTTGAGACTTACTACCTTTTTTTCTCTAACACGCAATTCTACACGGGGAAGTTTTTATAAGCTAAAAGCAACACAAAACATATGGAGGAACCAATGATAGCTCTTCCAGACAGGTCAAGATACAAAAAATCTTCTGTAGCCAAAGCTCAATGACCTATAAGCAAATCTCTTTCGATATGACAGCCAGAGATAGCAAGTGGGCGGTGTAGGAAAATGACTTTTCTATGTCCTCTTAGGAGCTCTACCCTGGTCTGATTCTAAGCAGTCTCACTTTTAAACTCTCAACAAACCAAGCAGGCCAGGAGCAGGTAAGAAGGAAAAAAGGAGGATCTGACCTTACTTTCAAAAATGGTTTCTGTGGGAGAAATACCATCTTTATCATCTAATGAGGGTTTTCTACTTTAACCCCAGATCAACCTCGACAGGTGGGTGTCATATATATTTGCCATTAAAAAATGGAGAAGATATTCAAGATACTACTTTGAATGCATTTTTTAAGGACTGAAATCAACTAATGAAAACCCAAGAATATCTTTTTCCCCCAATTTCTAGAAAGCCAGTCAAAATATTGTAACTAAAAATTTAATTAACATTTACTACAATTAGTAATATAAGTCGTGAGTCAATTTTTTAACATTGATTTTATGTGTTGTATACGCTTTTCTCATCAAGGAGTAGTACTAAGGATATTCACTTTTAAAATCTATTCTTTAAGAAAATCACAGTATATTTTAAATGACTTTAAAATGTTATCAAAGCACAACACTGCTGATAAACAGTATCAGGAAGAATAGTCTAAACTACAGTAAATAAAATAGTCAAAACTCCTTCCCCAATCTAGGAATGCCCCCTGCACTGATCCTAATGAATGAATGGTCATCCAAAGGCTGGCGTGAGGATAGAGAACTCCCTACTACAAAAGGTAAGATTTCTTCCCCCTTATTAGGAAGCTCTGTTTGCCAAGTCCTCTGTTATCTCAGACCATGCCTATACTCATTGTTTCAAAGTCTTTAATATAGAAATAACTTAGCTTCTACTCCCTTGCCCATCTGAGAGCCCTTCAATGAGTTAAAGATGGCTTTGATACCAACACCCAGGTCATCCTTTCTCATTCCCAATGGCTTATATCATCCACATATGATAAGGTTTATAGGTCTTTTTCCTTCCTGGCTATGCTTCTCAGCTTATTATGTCAATATGCCTCTTAAAAAAAAAAAAAGAAGTATACAAGAACAATTGGATATGAAATAGGATGAGATTAAACTGACATACAATGAAGTAGGAATCTTTATCTCTCTACATTATAACTATGTTTTATTTGATGCCAAGTCCTTGGTCAAGAAGATAACTCCAGTCTCCACACTGTTATTTAGAAGAAAATAGGATCAGCTTTAAACAGTAGTAATAATATTTTACTACCCTATTTGCAGAAATGCATTGCAATAAAAAGTTGGTGCAGCTGGGACTCTGTCAACAGATTTCTTAATATTTGAATATCAGTGCTGTTTTGATACAGTAATACTTATGAGGGATATCATTGTTAATGTGGTTTGATATACACTAACAACTTCACCAAAAGATATAATCTTATTACCCATAATTTTAATGATTTTTTTAAAGATGATTTTTCTATAATTAGATTACCTGGTACCATAATCCACAACCACCCAGTCTTTTGCAGTTCCTGTGATAGCATCATGATGTTGAAACAGTCCCAAATTCCTTCTGGCTTCTGTCAGTGCCGTGTAAAGTGATGATGAGAGAAATTTATTTATCTTGTATTTGTGAGCTTGTCTCAGGGCGAAATAGTAAAGAATTTCAGCAGCCCTAATTGCATAAAAGTCATATTTTTATTTTAAAACAAACACTTTAGCTTATAATCTAAAACTTGTGACATTGATACTTTACAAATTTTTTAATCCATAATTGCAGTACAAGCAATTTATGAAAAAGATATTGGTAATAATAGTTCATATAAAACAACCAATGTATCCCGTATAACACATTTACGTTCTCAATCATCAAAGAATACCATGTCTACACTGGTATCAGGAGTCCTTGTTCTAGATGATCCTGAAAAAGAAGCCAGAACCTGTTGGCAGCAAGACAGGCTTATTTATGAATAGCACAGTGAAAAAAATCTGAAAAATTGGATAAATTTCTCTGTCCTTTCTTCTCTCCAAGAGCAACACACACATAGACCATGAACATCACCAGAATATCATTTACTCTCACATATACACATTAAGAGAAATGAGAAAGAAAGGCATGGTCGGTGAGCGGGACACTCAGAGGAGAGGAGAGGCAGAAAATAATGGCCCAAGAATAGTTCAGGGGAAAGGGTTAGTTTCAGTTTTGAATGATAACATATAACAAATACAGAGAATTTAACAATACAAACTGAAAGATGATAAACAGTATGTCGGCTGGGCATGGTGGCTTATGCCTGTAATCCTAGCATCTTGGGAGACCAAGGCAGGAAAATCACTTGAACCCAGGAGTTCAAGACCAGCCTGGACAACATAGAGAGACTCTATCTTAGCCAGGTGTAGTGACATGCACCTATAGTCCTAACTACTCAGGAGGCTGAGGTGGGAGGATCACTTGAGCCCAAGAGTTTGAGGCCGCAGTGAACTAGGATCACACTACTACACTCCAGCCTGGGCAACAGAGCAAGACTCTGTCTCTTAAAAAAAAAATGTCCTTTGTAGTATATTTTAAAGGAAAAAACCTTCAGTCTAAGAAGAACATGGGGGCTATAATTTCCACCTTTTATGTTTTTTCATCAGAGGATATGGCTCAAGATAAGTTTTTCTTAAAAACTTATTTAAAAGGAGACATGGCTTGATGAAGTAAAAAGTATAAGAAGGTTCTATACACGAAACATGTTTTAAGGACAATGCAGACAGAATCAAGGCAACTTGAAAATGTTATCAAGATTCAGAAAAGAGGAGACACTAGAAATACTTTGTTTGTAAAATGATGCATTTCTCTAAACTGTAGAAATAATCAAAGGAGAGTAAACAATCTCCACTTTTAAATTCTAATCCTTCCAAAAATCATGAAGTAACAATCACTAAGCTTGAATTAACTAAATTGTGTATCTATGTTAACGTATATCCATGGCAAATATTCCTGGTTTTAAAAGGAGTACATATGCATATCCAGACACCCTAAAATGTTAAAAAGAAGATTTGGGAAATATTGTCTTCCCTATACTTTTATATTTTATCCACATTTTGCAAATGAGCAGAGAGATGAAATATTACTATTTTCAGACAAACTTATGTATAAATAAATACATTTGGAAAGTCATAACTATTGTATGGTTTTTTGGTTTGTTTTAATGCAGCAGGATTTTCCAAATATATTACTAGCAGTAACCACAATGCCTTGAATATGTTCAATAAATTAAGATAAACCAATATTCTTTTTGGCACTTAAAAATCACTAATTCAGTGGTCCAAAACGATCTCTACATTATTGAGAATATAACCCACTTTATAACAGAAAAGTTTAGAATAGTATAAGAGATAACTGGTTGATATTCTGTAGGGTAAGAATGGATAGTCACTATAATATGTAAACATTATTTTAAATTTAATAAGATATATTCCATTACCTCAAGCAGTTATTTCTTTGTAAGAAACATTCCAATTCTACTTTTAGTTATTTTGAAACACATAAATGATGAATATACAAATTACGATTTGATTATATACTGTATGCTTATATCAAAATATCACATGTACTCCATAAATATGTACAACTAATATGTATCTATAATAATGAAAATAATTTTTTAAAATGAGACATTTTTCTGGCATATTACGAGTAACAGTAAAAGGTTAGGCTTTTGAAATAGTATTTAATAGCAGCACAATATTAACAATAAAAAACTACCATATAAAAATACAACTCTTAAATTCATAATTTTTAATAAAAAGCCTTTCCAAAATGTAACCAATGTCCACTAGTATATAAAAGACGGTAAGTACAATCTAACTCAAACATCAAGATTCATCATGAAAATGAATTACTTTACTGGTCTATACATAGAGAAAACTTTGGGAGCCTCTGGAGTAGTTTTAACTTTATCAACAACCAGCCTCCGTTAGTTACTTAGGACCATGCTCTCCAATATGGTAGCCATAGCCACACATGGCTATTGACATTTAAATTAATTAAAATTAAATGGGCACATTTCAAGTGCTCAATAGTCACATGTACCTAATGACTATATTTTGGACAGTGCAGAAATAGAACCTATCACTATAGAACATTCTATCAGTGATTGAAAGTTCTCCTGGATAGTGTCAGTTTAGTGTTTTTATGTCTTCTACAGACTTTTCTGTCTTCTCTGTATCCATTTACATTTTCAATCACTATCTGACCCATCAGTCATCATTTTTTCAAATGTTGTTCTTCTATGCAGATGACTGTGCCTATAGAAATGTGCTTCAAATAAGTATGTAAGAACTGAGATGAAGCCTAGTCTAAAGTTCTCCCACATACAAAATACATTAGTTTTGGACTGTGAACTTTGAAGCTCACGTTTGGCTGCTGGGAGGCCCTATTTCCTTCTTTGATGCTCACCTATGTTTCCAATGAGAAGCCTATCAGATTACCAGCCTGCAGACACTCATGATGGTGTCACTGAATATTAATATGGTGTGCAAATAACACAGGTAAATTAATTAGAAAAATACAAAATGTAGAATACAACTCCTTAAAAATCTAATTTAAATAAACTATTTTTTCTTCCAGAACAAAAACCCATGTAATAATTTGATTGTAGTTTGGAGACGTATTTCTGATTGCATTAAAATTTCACAATTACACTAAGTGCTTAATTAGAGCTTAACACTACATAATGTACTACATGAATGATGTATATTACGTAAAACTCTACAAAAAGATTATGATAATATAAAGTGAAAAAATACATGTAGCTATAGAAAGGTAAAAGTACCTTAAATGAGATTCCATGATTCTGTCCATTCGTTTGTAAAAGGGTCTGGATGTAAAATAGCCACTCCAGTAATGATCATCTCGATCGGCATAAGTGAAAAAATCTCCACTTAAAACAGGGAACATCGATTGGCCCTTGTCTCTCTGAGTTTCATCTGCTTTATCCAGCGCATCAAAAAAATCTGATAAAGTTCCAAACTGTATCTAGTTTTAAAAAAATGCACTTCAATTATTCATTCTATCTTAAAATTATTTACTTCTTACACTGTTAGGGAAAGTTAATAATAAATATTTAACATGTGTTTCCAAGTTAAGATGAATACATAGCTCAGATTTTATAAAAATCAGAAGCAGGGAAGAAAATAATAGTGACTTTTTTTTTACTTACATTAAGGCCCAAATTAAACTAAGGGAAAACTTATACACTTCAGCAGTTAAAAGGAGAGCTATTTAGATCTACAAATCAGTGAATATGAAAACTCCTACATATCTCTAGAATTTCAAAGTGTACAATGATTTGGGCATGGATTAATCCACATAAATGAAAGATGAGGGCAGCAGCAAAAATAAAAGACATATTAAAGTGTTCCAGAAGTCTACAATAACAGTTTTATTAGCCATAAAGTCTAGAAGAATAATTCTGTTAGCCATAAGGTATTTCATATATCATACCCTCCTCTATCTCCGTTTTCCCCCAGTTGAGTTCTTGTGAAGGAGAAGGGACTTTAAGAACAGCAGGTCATTTTAAAAAAATGAACTTACTCTACCAGTAGGTAACACTGAGTAGAAGTTAAATCCAAGGAGTGCTAAGAATGGCAAGTCTGGCTGCTTAAACACACCGGTCTTTCTGACTAATGATTTAAATCAGCAGTAAGAAATTCGTTTTTATGAGTTCAAACTATTCTACAAATCAAAGACAAAAAGAAACACGATACCAAATCTTGTAAACAGATATTAAAAGGCAGTCCTGTCAAAAATAAACAGATTATTTAACAGGGAATGTGTTCCTTTTAAAAGAAAGATGCGGATTTTGTTGTTTCCTACACACATACACACACACACACACACACACACACACACACACACACAGATATTGCAAGTCATTTTGATTCAAGGTAGCAATAGCATAGCTTTGAATTCCATCTCTACCACTTATCTGACATGTGTTTTGAGCATATTACATAACTTCTCTGTCTATCCACGTTACAGTGAATAGGGCTCTAAGAAAAAAGCTTACAACTGGCCGGGTGTGGTGGCTCACGCCTGTAATCCTAGCACTTTGGGAAGCTGAGGCGGGTGGATCATGAGGTCAGGAGATGGAGACCATCCTGGCTAACACAGTAAACCCCGTCTCTACTAAAAATACAAAAAAAAATTAGCTGGGTGTGGTGGCAGGCACCTGTAGTCCCAGCTACTCGGGAGGCTGAGGCAGGAGAATGGCGTGAACCCAGGAGGCCGACCTTGCAGTGAGCAGAGATCACGCCACTGCATTCCAGCCTGGGTGACAGAGCGAGACTCCATCTCAAAAACAAACAAAAAAAAACTTACAACCATGACTGGCCAATAATGGTATAAATTTAGCTATCACTTATTCACTGCAAAGACAAAATTGCGACTGGAACATTTACAACAATGATACTGATAAGGCAAATATAAGTGACTGTAATCTAGTTGTGGTGCAATATATTTTTACAGCAAAATAGATGATTATTTCTAAATCCTTATGTTTATATTAAAGATAAGCAATTTTCAACTGTATTCAATTTGGTGTAGCCAATGTATCTTGGCTTCACCAAACAGAGAGTGATCTTGGGCAAGTTAATCTATTTGTGCCTCAATTTCCTCATCTACAATGGGAACAATCATAGGACCTACCAGAAAATGTTCAGATAACTAAATAAGTTAAATAAAGTACTTTAAGCAATTTACAGCAAATAATACGCACTCAATATGTTTTAGCTAACACTAAGAGTATTATTACTCACAAGCATTACTAGGAAGAAGACTGTGTGTGTTTGTGTGTGTGTGTGTGTGCACGCGTGTGTGTGTGTAACCATAAAAGAAATGAGTCACGAATAGAAGGAAATATGGCATTAACTTCATATCCAGCAGATACAGATGAGCTCAGGAAAGTATAAATAATAAGAGTGACAAAATAGTCTACGATCTAAATATTTCTGAGTCTCACTTTCCTCAAACATAAAACAAAGGATTTTATTTAGACAATAAAAACCATTTTGAACTTCAAAGTTTAGAAATCTATAGCATGCTACAGAATTAGTATTAACAATAAAGTATACCCTTTGAAAATATTTCAATTAGTTTTTGGTATGAGCCAAGATAAAAATACTTCCTTCTTGGCAATGTCCCAGAGCAGTTTAGATAAGTAGCCTAGTAGGCTTTCTCAAAAACTTAATTCAATCTTTAAGGGTAGAAAAATAACTCAGTACCTGTGCTAGAGTATTTTTTAAAGTAATTATTTAAAGTAAATTTCTCTAGAAAGTCTCTTGGTAGCTCATAAAAAGTAAATATTTAGGACACCTTTAAGAATAACCAAATAAAAATATTCACATGGTTTTTACATTAAAAGGCAACAACTTTAATCTTAAATGTAAGAATTCTATCAGGACAACACATAAGAAAAATTACAAAAATTGTTAAATGATGATCAAATGGCAAAATGACTGTCTTGGCTATTCCACGTCAATTTTTCAGCCATCTGAACTCAGTTATTTACTTTTGTTCTCCAGTTCATTAAAAGAAAATATTAAATTTATGCTTCCAGTTCAGACAAAGTAACTTTAAGTATCCCACAAGAAACAGATATAACTAGATAAACTGTAGAAAGAAAAAGCTTTGAAGACATTAAAGAACTAAAGCAGCCAGAACTTAAGGGATAAAAATGTTGGAGAGAAAGAAAATGCATTAAGGTGGACCCTATACTCTACCAAATTTTCATCTTGGGGTACTGGTTCAATCATTGCACAAGACATAAAGGCCTAACACAAAGCAATGTCCTAGAAGAAGAAAATAATAAAATTTAGTATCTGGTCATGAAAAAACACTCTGTAAATGAGGAATATAAGGAAAATTCCATAATCTGATAAAGGGAATCTACAAAATTCTACAGCAAACATTATGACTAACGAATGTTTTCTCTCTTAGAAAATTATGTCTGCTTTCACCACGCCTACTCAACATTATACTAGAGGACACAGCCATTGTACATGGTAAGAAAGTAGATGGAAAGATTTAAAGCTTTGGAAAGGAAGACATATATATGCCATTACTCATATATAGGAAATCCATAAAGAATCCACAAATAACTAAAAATAATAAATAAATTTAACAAAGTTACTGGATACAAGGCTAAAATGCAAAAATCAATTGCATTAATACACAAAATACACCACGTTCATCGATTAGATGGCCCAATAATTGTAGTTATTTGTGCTCAAATCAAACCAAAGATTCAATGCAATCCCACTCAAAATCCCCTTCAATTTTTTTTTTTTTGGTAGAAATTTAAAAGATGACCTACACCTATGTAGAATTACAAAGGACTAACAGTAACCAATGCAATTTTGGGAAGGAGAACAAACTGGAAGACTTTTACTATCAGATATTAAAACCTATTATAAAACTGTAGTGTTAATAATTAAGACAGTGTGAGATGAGTCAAACAGACCAATAAAAGTGAATAGAGAGTGTAGACACAGACCCACACACAAATGCAGTCTCATTCATGATTAATGACAAAGATGACACTGTGGTGCTGTGGAAGAAAGTATGGTCTTTTCAATAAATGGTGCTGGATATCTATATAAGCCAAAATGTATCTTGATCCCTACCCTCACACAATTCACAGCAATCCATTTCAGATAGATTATAGACCTAAATGTTGAAGGCAAGACAATTAAGCTTCTAGAGGATAGCTTCATAAGAATGTAGCTTCAGAACCAAATGATAAACAAAAATTTTTCAAACAGAACAAGTTCTAAACATAAAGAAAAATAGTTATATTTGATTAATTAAAATTAAAAATTTCTGTTCATCAAAAGACAGCATGAGAAAGTGAAAATGCAGGCTACATAGTAGGAGACAACATTTGCATAACTTTTATATGAAAAAAGATAGAATTCAAAATGTACCAAAGAGCTATAAACAGTAAGAAAAAGACAACCCCAATTTAATTAAAAAATCATCAAAAGACTTAAATAGGTACTTCACAAAAGAGGATACTCAAATGGCAATAAACATATGAAAAGAGACTCAACCTCATTAACCACAGGAGAAATAAAAAATAAAACCATCCCATCTATCAAAAGGATAAAAATGGAAAACAAAAATCCTGACAATACAAACTGAGAAAGGGTGTGGAACAACTGAACCTCTTGTACAACACAATTGATGCATCTATTTTGGAACAGTTTGGCAATATATACTAAAGCTGAACATGTGCATACTCAATGGCCAAAAAATTACATCCCATTTTATACCCATGTAAACTCATAACAAGTAACCAAAACATGGACAAAATATTCAAAGCAGACTTATTTGTGATAGACAAAAACTGGGAACAATCCCAAATACCCAATAACAATACAATGAATAAACTGTGGTATATTCATCAAAAAATGAATACTAGAGATACTACACAGTACTAAAAAGGAATGAACTACTGCTACCTGCAACAGAATGGATGACTCTCGCAAACATAATGTGAAAAGAAAAAGCCAGACACAAAGTACATGTGTATGGTCCCCATCGTATAAAATTCAAGAACAGGCAACAGTAATCATGGTGACAGATGTGAAAGTAGTGGTTGCTTTTGCGGCAGTTGGTGATGACTGGAAAGAGATCTGAGGGACAATAAAAGTTCTAAGCCTTAATCTGGATGATGGTTACATGGAGACTTTTAAACTTGCAAAATTCTATGCACACTTATGGTTTGTCCACTTCTTCTATGTATGTGGCACTTCAATTTTTTAAATGACTTTTAAAAAACTGTTCTAGTAGGCAAAGGATGAAATAGGTAGAATACTAAAATCAGGGTCTAATTTTTTCAGTCAGACAGGAGACCAGATGCTTCTATGAACCAAAATCACTTCCTAGTAAGATGTAATTACAGATAAGATACTCATATATATATCCCTTCCTCTGATCACATATTCATGTATGAGCATCATCTCTCAGGAAAATACACGGATAATTTAAACATACCCCTAGGATCCGAGTTCATAATCTGATAAAAATTCAGCTGTAACAATCCTGAATAAACTTGATATTTTATTAGGTTTATTTATCTATTTGATATTACTTAGGTTTATTTAATAAACTTGAATTCTTACTAAACTATAGTTCACCATCAGCTTTCAAATTTCCTAAACAGTAATATCACTTCCTTTCTATAGTATTTTCACAGATGTTCTACTTTTACATGTCAATATGTGAAATAATAAACATGCTGAATAATTAATCTTCTTATGTAGAGTCTCTAAGACACATTTAAAAAGAAAAAAAAAAAAAAGACTTTAAAAGCCTGTTGTCCCAACACAAACAAATGATAAAAGTTTGAAGTGGTAGATATCCTAAATACCCTGATTTGATCATTATACATTCTCCGCATGTATCAAAATTCATAGGTGTCCCATAAATATATATAATTATGTATCAATAAAAAATCAATTTTGTAATTAAAAACTTGATCAAATGCAATATATGATTATTGCTTGAATTTTGACTCAAACAAAGCATGTGTTAAAAGAATTGTTTTTTATGAGATGAGGAAAATTTGAATCTGTCCAGATATGTATCATGAAATTATTGTTAGTTTTTTAGGTGTGATAATGGTATTATCGTTATATTTTTAAACAGAACTTTTATAATTTAGAGATACATACTGAAATATTTACAGGTGAAACTATATGAAACCTGAGATTGGCTTCAATATAATCCTATGGGGAGGAGTGAGACAGCAGTGTGGCATGGCTGAAACAAGAGTGGTCTTGAGTTGAAGAATGCTGCAGCTGAGCCATGGATATGGGGAGAAGGGGAACAATTTTTGCTATTTTCAGAACTTTACAGTACATTTTAAATTTTCCATAAGAAAAAAAAAAAGAGTAAGAACCATAGGCAAACGATTAATTTTAGAAGTCTTCTCACTTAAAAAAAAATGTTAGTGTATTCTCTGGACATAGGACATTTGTTTGCAAAATTCATGACATGTTCATCTGCATCTGCCAGTCATGCTACTAAATCACAAGGATGCAGCTGTCAGAGAGAAATAACAGACTTTCAATGTTGGTAAAAAAACAAAACAAAACAAAACAAGCACAACAAAAACAGTAAGTCCCTGAAGACTAAATATCACAACTTGGTAGGTACATATTTTCAATCACATAAAAGTAAATTCCTCTTTAATCCTCAAGGAGTGTTAGGAACGGGACAACTTTAGATATGGAACTATAGCATATAATAATTTTCTTCCTAATGGATTATATTTTACACAAGAATTATATATTCTAAGAAGCACTGTGATGTAGGACAAAGAAGCTAAGGATTTCTGTTTATAGTCTCATTTAATAATAAAGGTTCAATTTCAAATACGGAATCATAAATATTTTCTCCTTACCTTAACTTTAAACTTGGACTGAGAATTCATATAATCAAAAAGCTGCTGATAATTCTTAAACTGTAAATCCCATTCCGTGTATTCACAGTAGCGGAAATCATCTCCTAGTGGAGCCAGGAGAACTTTGGTACGAAAAAGCTTTGACTTCTTTCGGTACTGATCTAGTAGCATCCGAGCCCTACAAAAAAAACAAACACAAAAAAACAGCAAATATGAATTTGACTAAGAAAAAGTGAATGTGACAATTGATTAAAAAGGAAATAACCAAATTCAAAAGTACATTTTATTAAAAGAAACTGTATATTTTATCTATCTGCAAGGTTAGTATAATTTAAAGACAGATTTTTTTAAAACTATCATACTAATTTTCATTATCCTTTAAAAATATTCATAAATTCTTATCAGAAGGAAAAACTCATAGGTTTCCAATGGATTATCTTTGGAGAAATATGGTCATGTACCAACTTGGCATATAATAAGTGGGGTACCAAGGACTTCCTAAAGCCCAGCCACAGAGATTGAATACCAGATAGCCCAGGTGTTAAAATGATTTATCTAGTAAGACAATAAGGACTTCCCACATATACAGACTTTGAAGTTTGCTTTGTCTTAATATTCCTTTCTCTAATCTAAAATTATCTGATTAAACATAGAAAAAAGTGTACTTTGAACAAAACCAAAAGGGAATAAATGTTAATCTGTAACATTTTATAGAGTCATATTTCCTCTTCTAAAGAAAAAAAAATCCACACACTTGTCACCTGCCACCAATAATCTGAGTATTTGTCACAGTGTCCTTTTCAATACTGACCATCAGATAAGGATTAGGAGTTGAATTAGTTATTTTGGTTTCTACTTCTCTGGACTCTAACCAATAGCTTGATGGAATAGCTTTTGTATTTCATATTCTATTATAGTATTCTGCAGAATGTCCTTTGGAAATCACTGAATTAGGGCATCATTTAAGAAAGTCTGAGAATACAAACTAAGACAAAGGGCTTGTGAAAATGAAATTATACAAGTGGATGAACCCAAAGCAGTTCACAATATTTACAAAGACAAAGCTTAAGAAATCAGTGATTAAACGACAAGTATTTTTATAATTTTCACTTCAAGGATCATCCAAAAGTAAATTCTAATTCACAATATAAAAACTTACGAAAGTATCTCAAAGAACACCAATGACAGAATGAAGCATCTTATAAAAATTATAAACATTTAACTAAATTTAAATCTCATATGGTCCTTTTTACATTTGTAATCTCTGAAATTGCTTTGCAAATATAAAATTTTAGCAGTAACATAATACCTTGGTGAGTAAAATATAACCACAGCGTCCTTATGTAACATATAATGCTTAGTTTTCTGACATTAGCACATTACTTTATCTTTACTAGTAATTTACTAACATTCCACATTTGCCAAAACACTTTTAGGTTACTTACGATAAAAAACACATGAAGAATGAGATTGACCACATAGAAAGAAGGCTACCAAAAAAAAATGAGTAAAAATAATCAAATATATAAATCATAGATATAAGATATAATTGAGCTCCAACTAGATTTCCTAGGCAGCCAGCATAAAAAAGGGTTTACTATTAGATATAGAGTATCTTGTATACATATGTGTAAAGCACATATAAAGAAAAGAAATCACAAACGTTAATGGCATGCCTTTAACACTTCACATCTATCCTAACTCTCAAGCCTGTCCAGAAAGTGTCAACACTGGGAAAGCCAAGTAACCAGCCTGTAACGCCTGGCAGGAAGAAGACACTCACTAAATATATGGTCCAATGGTAATTGGTAAATGGTAATATGGTAAATATATGGAACCAATAACAAATCAATTGACCCAACATCACATTTGAAAACATACAGATGCAATTTGCTCCTGATTTATTTTACCAGGTAAGAAATGTCAACTTAACTGTAACCAAGAAAAATAAAATCCCCGAAACATCAAATCACGTGACGGTCAATAGAAAAAGCCAACTTAAAATATATAGTACTTGACCAAAAATGAACTTGACAAAGAATGATATTTCTTTACTTGCAAAGTAGAAGAACCTGCTGAGCTGGACATATCAAAAGATGCCATCTGTACATTATGGTTAAATTTCATTTTCTTTGGGACGTTAACAAATTGAACAGGGCTAGGCATGGTGGCTCATACCTGTAATCCCAGCACTTTGGGAGGGCGAGGCAGGAGGATCATTTGACCCCAGGAGTTCAAGACCATCCTGGGCAACACAGGGAGACCTCGTCACTACAAAATTTTTTAAAACAATTAGTCGAGCATTGTGGCATGTACCTGTGGTCCCAGTTACTCAGGAGGCTGAGGTGGGAGAATTGCATGAGCCCAGGTGATGGAGGCTCCAGTGAGCTATTGTGTCATTGTACTTCAGCCTGGGTGACAGAAAGAGAACCTGTCTCAAAAAAAGTGGGGAGCTTGAAAGGGGCCAATGAGCTGGAATGCCTGTGTTTGATCTCAATTCATCATCAGGTCAAAACGAAGGTGATATATGGATCTGAGGTAACCAGTAGAGTTAACATTTCAATACTTGTAAGAAGTTTGTTTGTTTGTTTATTTTAGAGACGAAGTCTCACTCTGTCACCCAGGCTGGAGTGCAGTGGAGAGATCTCGGCTCACTGCAAGCTCTGCCTCCCAGGTTCTATTAGTTCTCCTACCTCAGCCTCCTGAGTAGCTGGGATTACAGGCACACGCCGCCATAGAAATGGGGTTTTACCATGTTGCCCAGGCTGGTCTCAAACTCCTGAGCTCAGAAAATCCGCCTGCCTCGGCCTCCCAAAGTGCTAGGATTACAGGCATGGGCCACTGCGCCCGGCCAAGAAGTTTAAAAAGAAAAAATCTCTAAGTATTATATAGACTCATTCAACAGTATGCCCCCAGGTGCCTGGAAATCACTTTCAAAACCACTGGAACTAAATGAGCACAAGGTATCATCCTGAGGGGCAATTGTTGAAAGGTTAGATGACATAGCAAAAGGATTATAAAAAAGCCTTTTTTTCCTCAATAATGTGCCTCAGGTAGTCTCAGTAGCACCCCCCAAAAAAAGAACAAAGGGCTCACAATACTATGAATGCACTGGGACTCCCCAGCTGAAACATCTTGTTCACTTTTAAGAACTTCCCCATCCCTGGTCACCTGAGCAGAGAGTAGTGTAAATACCTGTAAATATAAACAGCTATTTGCCCACCTACACAGGCCAGGGTGCCCCCACACTCAACCCTTCCTTTTTATTACACCTTCCACCACACAATATACTGGCTTATTCTCTTATGCCTACTTAACCCAACCCTAGCTAGAAAGCAGGTTGTTCAGAATTCCTCAGTGGTTCTCATGGCTGTAGGAACCAAGAAAATGAAATCAAGTCAATCCCTAACCTTGGGCAGTTTTTCTAAATAACTATTAAAGTCACATTTTGATAGAAGGGCTCCATGACTTTAAGAAGGCTGCCATGCTAAAACACCTTCATGTCTGCCACAGTGAGAGGCTCACAAAGAAAATCTTTGTGATTCTAAGGACTCATTGAAGGTAAAAAGATCTCATTTCACCTTCTTCCTCACACACTTTTTTTTAAGTGACTTCTCTTTTGAAAATAAACTGATTTAATAGTGCAAAAATAAATTTATTTAATTTATTTAATGGGCTATATTATTTTCCTAGCAGAGTTTAGTGTTTTTATATTACACCACAATGTTTCATTTTAATACACTACTAATTTTTAAGTGAAGAAATTAAACTTTAAAAGTACCAATATTAGAAACTACATGTAAGTTGGTTTAATGAGATGCTTCCATCATTAGCACAATTTTCTTCTAAAGAAATGATTCATACCTTTGATTTTTATTTAAATGTATTTAAGTATAAATATTCCTAATTAAAGTTTACTGTAAGTCAAAAACATCAGAATGATGCAAAGATGTGTATACACCAGAGCTGGGAAGCATTCACTATTATTGAAATTGTTATTAAGGGAACAGATAATTACACTCTTTATGTGCTCCATTTCAATAAATGTGTTTTTGCAGTTGAATTGCTTTTCTTACCAATTTGTACAATAGGGACCAGAAGTTTTATTCAACAAAAGTATATGAAATCAATCAAACACAGTAGAAGGCTTTTATAATGAGGGCAAAGGAGATGGTAATAATAGTGTATTATAGGTTATCCATTGTATATTGATCTAGTATTGTTCACTTTCCATTAAAATGTAACACATAACCGGCATAGTCAAGGCTCTGGCATTTTTAAGTTGCTTTAGATCTGGTTTGAATGAATACTTCAAACAAGGATAATGTTGGCTAATAAAGCCCATTTGTTCAACCCTTCAGCAACTAGCAGCTAAGTGGCTACTTTATTCAAGATGTTGTCTTATGAAATACGCATTTTCATACCTGCTTTGGACATTTCCAGGATGTATTGTTTCTGGGGGGACTCCCCAGGGACAACCAAATCTGCCTCCAGGAAGACGTTTAAAATCAAACTGGCAGCATATTTTAGGATCAGGTCCACAAGTGTGAGGGATGTCATAGCTGTAGAAGGGCATCATGTGGCATAAAATATCTGTGACAGATCCCAGATCTAAAATAAAGAGCCAACACACAAACCTGCATTTATAAAATCTGTTTTCCCAAAAAATATTCAAAATGTCATTACTTTACACAAAGTAATGCTGATTTAGCTCTGTGCTAAATCAGCAGCCCCTTTAACTTCCAGTACATATACCCCAGCGGTATTTAATGGCCACCTGTCTGAAGGAAGATACTCACACATCTCAGTCTCTATCTACCTCTTCTATCTAAGCATAGCAGAGACAGGAAAGCCCCAGCATGAACCAGCGCCAGCTGACCAGGAGGGATACAAACTGAGCAGCCGTAAAAGTTACAGCTGGCTCATCCAAAACTATGTCCATCCCTGGCTGCCAGTTCCTGCCGTAACTGTTCCCAATTCAGGTAACAGAATTCACTGAGAGATACCATGATATTAGCTGCAGAGGCTGGGTGAGAAGAACGGAGTAAAAAAGGGATGGAAGAACAAAGGAAGTGTGGAGCATAGACTTATAAAAACACTGGAGAAATTCACTCTTGGAGAAAATTTCCTCTTATGGTGAGGAGAGGATGTGCAACCCAGGAGAATCTACAGTCTCACCCCATGTTTACCAAGAATGAGTCAGTCAATGGGACTTTTCACCAACAAAGAAGCACAGGAAAAGAAAAAGTAATTTTCAAAAAGCGAAACAAAAATAAAAACAAAACGAATAAGATATGGAAAATGAGCACTGATTCCTGATGCAGAATTACTTTTAATTAAAACTACAATGTTATCACATGTTGGCCTGGAGAGGTGAGAAGCCTACCAACAAGTGAGACTGGAGGACCTACCTAGTAGTTAAAAGCTATCTTTGCGAATATGATCCTGAGCTTTTAAATAGCCCCCGCCCTTTATTTATGTATGGATTTCCAATTTTCAGCAATGAGTATGTACTGCTTACGTAACAGAAAGACAAAAAAATTTACATTTTTAATAAGTGAAAATAACTGCTTCATTAAGAACTCGAACACGTGAACAAGCTCAACTTAATTCGAAAACATTTTTTAAAAAGCAACATGTTCAAATTTATCAGGTAAGTCCTAAAATATTCCAGTTTTATCAATTTAGTTAACTGTTATTTTCCAAATTTAAAACTATTAAAATCTATGTACTTCAGTGCTGTCAGCTGTTTCACTGAATCATATTCACAACGGTGACACTGTAGATGCTGGTCACTAATGCTTGCTATGAGCATATAGTCGCCACAAAAGGTTGTCACAAGTCCTAAAACTCTTCTCTCCTATGGATAAGGACATACTCCATACCCCACTAATTCTCCTTATGCGCTACTCTTTTGCAGCTAATTTGCATACTTAATTTTATCTGCTACATTTGGCTGTATCCGTATTTTATCAAATTAGACTGGAATTTCCCTATAAGCAAGGATGTTTTCAACATTTCTTCCTAGCACAATACTGAAATACATAAAAGTACTCAATAATTTCATACTAACTGATATTTATGGGCAATTGTTTAAGTAGGGCTTCTTCAAATTCTTTGTTTTTCAAATTAATATGCTCCTTAGCATTTGATCAAACTATATGGAATGCAATCCCCTACAAGTTCTTGTTCTCCCTACAGGTTTAATTTTCTAGAATTAAGAAACTGTATAGCTAATGCTTTCCTTACTGAAAAAAACAGGAGTACATATAAGAAAGTTACGGTCTAAATTTACAAATGATTTTTCTGAAACACTTAAGGGGTCTAGATTACACAAGAAAACAAGTATAATGTAATGCAGTAATTTCTCAAACACTGTTTTATAAACAAAATATTTCTTTCAGATGAAAGTTTACTGAGAACACAATGACAGAGGTTAGGAGCCTGGGCTTCAGGAACTACACAGAACTACATTCAAATCTCTGCTCTCTATGCATGACCTATATGACTTTTGGCAAATGGCTTCTCATATCTAAGCCTCCATTGCTTCACCATAAAAAAAGAATAATATTAAAAAGATTAAATGAGAATGAATATAAAGCAGAGGTAACATAATACATGGCCCATAATAAAGGCTCGATAAATAAATAGAAAATAAGGTGGTCTGAATTAAATAGGGGTTGAGAAAGGCAAAGGCCTCCCAAGAGGCCTAGATCTTTTCTCCTCTCTCCTAATAAAGAGCTGCACAAGTATATCCTTAGAATGCCTGCGTGGCCACAGAACACACTGTGAAGACAGGTGGTATTTTGACATTAGGGCTGTTTTAGGAGGACAGGATTAAGGCTTTAAAAAGCAATTCTTACAAGATGTAGAGACGAGAGACAGAAGGAAGGAACACTGGCTGAATATAAGATATATGACTGGATATCAGTTCTAATGCATGTTCAAATTTGTGATAAAACGTGCTTTCTAAAACAGAAGCAAGTGAAAGCATTATTGGCAAAATACTAACTCCTTATATTTATCTACTTTCTTTAAACATAAAAAGATTCTCCTATGCTCTATAAATATCTGCATTATTACTTAAAAGAATCTTGACACAGGCACATGGGAAAAATAATTACGAGAGTGACTATCTTTAGGCCACCTGATTTTTCAAGACTGACAGTGAACAAAACCCACAGTGGCATGAGTTCATAACCCTTGTGAAATAGTATCTAGGCCAAATGGGATCAACTTTCATCAAACCCTACATACCCCAATTCTGTCTCCAAAAAAACTCCAATGTTTTATGCAGTGCAAAGTGTTTTTTAACTGCATAATGAACTCTCTGGATAAGCATGTGAGAAAGTCCAGCACGGTTTAGAAGATAAGCCATTGTTGGTGAGTGTCCAAAGGGATCAATAGCCCAGCCGGACCGAGGTTTCACTCCTGTGGATAAAGATGATAAGTGTTAATTTTTTTAATTGATATATGAAATAAAAAGAAGTCACAACACATTCAGACTCATTGTCATTGTATAGTCTCCTAGAGATATCAGACCAAGGATCTACCCAGCATTATCCTCTGCCAAGTATTCCCAGCAAGATATCATGAAGGGAGGATTGTGCCACTGCCTATCCACATAGGCAGAGGATGCTCACTGAAATTAATCAGTTAGAGTTCAAATAAATACTGCCATCTTTTAGCCATTAACATCTTTTACCTATTATAAAGCCACTGCCATTAACTAGAGGTAGAGAATAAACAGGACCAGGGCCCTTCCTGGAAGGATATCACAGTCCTGTGATCTGTGGAGCTGGATAACTCTGGAACTATTACATGATAAAGAAAAGTAACGTACCTATTTCAACTTACATTTCCCAACACCAACATTAAGGACTTTTTTAGTCTGTCTTTTACACATTACAAAAGCCCCAAATCATCTTATGATACAGTGGCAGAACAGGCCAAAATAACTATACCATATTTCATTAAATCTTAAGTCATTATGATGCTGGTGCTTTCACTCTACCTACAAAGGTGCCAGTGATTTCTCATAGCTGGCTCACACCAATAATGTGAACTACTGACTAAAGATATATCTCAATTTCACAGAGGATAAAATGTAAAAAAATAAAAATGAAAAAGATAATAAATGTACTGGTTAGAATAAGATTGTTCATCTAGCATTATAAAAATCTGATGTTTTAATTATTTGGGATTCTCAAATAAAGTGTCTACTTACAACTTATAAACTGACATAAGTAATATTGCTGTGTGTATTTTTTTTCATTCAAACACCTTTTAAGCACCTTACCTAAGATGATGAAAGACCCCACAGTTACAAAAACGAGTTAAATTAGATCTTGACTCTAGTTTGCAGAGGCTGTCATTCAAATAAGTGTAACACAAAGTAACACACAAGACAACAAAGAGAACTAGAACTTTGTAAACAACACTAAAGAAGAACATAGACATGGGGAGCCAGTAAAGGACAATAAGGAAAAGTCAGGATCTACAGGGGACCAAGAGTATACAGTCAAAACTCAAAAAGAGCATATGTCAAAACTAAAAGAACTGACCACATAAGATTTGTGCATTTCACATATGTAATTTACATCCAAAAATTAAAAAGAAATATTGAACTCTATTTAGTAACTTTGGTTTTTGTGGTAGCACGGATTTAACAATTCTGAAGGCAGCTTTCATGTATTCTAAGATTGAACAAATGAGAACAAGGGAGCCAGAATTTTCACAGTAAGATAAGTAACTACAAATGTGGAAGACTGGAATGTACCCTATGATATTGCATTACAACAGGAGATATCGGTACTAACTTATGGTTTTTCATGAGGAAATATAAAAATATAGATACAGGTATCTGTATGTATATTCACAAACATACACAAATTTTCCAACTCAGTGCACTTGAAGGACCTAGATGCAATAAAACCTCAGTACCAATGACCACACCTTAGCTCTCACATCTTGGCCTCTACATACCAATCATTTTACAAAGAAAAAAAAACCTGAAAGAAATAGCTTATTCCAAGGCTGAAGCCAGGAAAGTACATGATAGCCTGGAATATATTCTTGCGTCATAAAGCAAAGAGACAGTCAAGAAATCATGGGGGCATATTAAAATAACTCAGGAAAAGACCAAAGAGGCTTCTAATGGCCAAATCTGGGACAACTGAGGTGTGAAAATAAATAATGCATTATAACCCAGTGAATATTAACCATGAGCCCATACTGATATAAATAAATAAACAGAAAATAAGAAGGAAAGCTCTTCTCTTTAGTAGAATGCCAACTAGCAATTATAGAAGGAATTAGAAAATCATCAATGGACACTAAAACATAAACATGAGAGATGGCTGAGGTATAGAATATTTATTCCCAATGTATCTCCCACATATTAATTAGAAAGGGCAAAAATTTAACACAGTGGAGAAACTTAGCAGACAAACCTTAACTAGTTGTTCCCAGTATTACCAGTACTAGGACAGAGACATCACATGCCTCCTGATATGATGCAGTGAGGACAATGGGACATCACATTACTGCAGTGATATTGTAACTAGACAGACAAACAGGTAGATAGGAAGAATACATAAATAACTTGAATCCCATCATCAAGAAACTGACAAAGTCAAATAGAGAGACTTCTACAAAAGTGGATCTACTCTTCAAAAATATAAAGATCAAGAAATCCCCAAAAAAAGACTAAGGAACAGTTTCAAATAAAAGGAAACTAAAGAGACATGACAACTAAATGCAATGTACGACCATGGATTCCATTCTTGACTGGGTGGGGGGAAAAGCGGCTTTTATAAAAGACATTATTGAAATAATTGACAAAATCTGAATACAGCCTGTGGACTACACTGTCCTACTGTATCACTGTTAACATTCCTGATTTGATAACTTTATTATATTTACGTATAAAAGTGTCCTTATTTCTTAGGAAATATGCAATGAAGTATTTAGAGATAAGGGTACAGGGTACCTCCAACTTACTCTCAAATGATTCAGAAAAATATACATATGAATCAATGTACAAGATACATGGGAGTCCTTCCCAAGTACTATGATGCCACTTATAAGTTAAAAATTATATCAAAATTAAGTTATAAAATTAAAAAAGGAGTATGTATTGTCCAAATAACAAGGACAGAATAAGCTTACAAAAAAAGATAAAAATCAGTATCAAACACTGCAGTGATGTCAAAGAGTTTATAGTGTCCATTCAATTTAACAATTATAACATCACTGGTAATCTTTTCCACATCAAAACCGTTGGATCCAGAGGGGTAGCAACCTAGCTGCAATGGAATAAAGAGTCCCTGAGACTAAATAATGTAGAAAAGAGAAAGTGTAAACTATATTTTTTAAAACTTTGATATGAAAGGAGTGGAGAACTAGGGATAGACTTAAAAAGGAACCTAGTGTCCTGCTAGGGTTTTTCTTGGCAATACTTTTTAAAAGGAGGGTAAGGGGCAAACTTAGGAAAAAGTACAATATAAGAAAAATCCAAAATTTTATAAAGAGGGCACATTTGCTAATAAAACTGGAAAGCTCATCAAAAAGATTTCATGCCTTCATGCAAGAACAAGATTATCAAAAGTAAAAGTATAAAAGTAAAAACTGTTCAAAATACAAGAACAAAGTATGGAAAACATTAAGAAGAATTAACATCAGTCAATTTTTGGCAAACCTAATAGGTTTAAAAATTAGAACATTAGTAATACGAATAGTACCTAATAAAACTGGATTATTCTAAGTATATTTAATACTATAGTTTAAGAGGAATCAGGAAATATATTTGTAATATGGATATGGTAGTCAAAAGACAACTTTAAAAGCTCAAAAAAGTTATAATAGGCCGGACACGGTGGCTCATGCCTGTAATCCCAGCACTTTGGGAGGCAGAGGTGGGTGGATCACCTGAGGTCAGGAGTTCGAGACCAGCCTGACCAACATGGTAAAACCCTGTCTCTATTAAAAACACAAAATTAGCCAGGTGCGGTGACAAGCACCTGTAATCCTAGCTACTAGGGAGGCTGAGGCAGGAGGGTCACTTGAACCCAGCAGGCGGAGGTTGCAGTAAGCTGAGATGGCGCCAGTGTGCTCCAGCCTGGGAGATAGAGTGAGACTCCGTCTCAAAAAAAAAAAAAAAGTTATAATGGTCAATTTTTATAATAAAGTTAAAAGCAGACATTAATAGCCAAAGATTAAACAACTAAAAATGCATCCCATAATCAAATGTAAAAACAGTCTCCAAAATAACATGTCCTAAATTCTTTAGAAAACAAAACCAAGTTTAGTGAGAATGATGATTTCCAATTTCATCCATGTCCCTACATGGGTGCAGCACACCAGCATGGCACATGTATACATATGTAACTAACCTGCACATTGTGCACATGTACCCTAAAACTTAAAGTATAATAATAATACTAAAATAAATTTTAAAAAAAACTTAAAAATAAAAAAAAAAGAAAACAAAACCAAGGACACTAATTCATAAGATGCAGCCAAAGCTACAATACAAAGAAATGTCATATCCTCAGATATGTTCCTTATATTTAAAAAGAAAGTAACTGGGCCAAGGGAAAATCTCCCTGAACCTGGCTTTTCTCAGCTTTATGGAACATGTAGTGAGTCTCACTCTGATGCTCAAAAGCCTACTAATTAAATTCATAGAGGTCTATGTTAAATAAAATTTATGGAAGGCCACTGTATTAGGCTGAGCAGCTGCAGTACACCCCAAAAGACCACATCAAACCAGAATACAGTCACTTGTGCTAGGTGCCACATAATCAAACTGAACTTGAATATGTACCAGTTTAAAAAACAACAACAAAAACCAGGAGATTTGAAGCAATCTGATCCACAATCAGAAGGGGCCTGGTCTACTTGAGCCAGCATGATAACGAAGTCTCCTCTGTTGTAACCCTGTAAGGGAAGTAACTTTGAAATAACCAACCTACTTTTTGTTTCCTATTTCTGCTTTTGCAGCCTTTTGCTGCCTATAAAGCCAGTCTTCTCTGCTTTGCTCATCAGAATATTATTTTTTAGATGGGATGTTGCCCTGTTCATGAATTGCTTAATAAAGCCAATTCAATCTTTAAGCTGCATTTGTTCACATTGTGCTTTTGACAATTATACCTCTAAAACTGAACAGTTTTATGATGTTGTAAGTGTTGTTAAGTGTGTTCACTATTTGGGATGGAGGAAAGAGTGAAGTAGTGAGATACCTCATATCACATGCTAAGAGTCATAAGTACATCCCCTGAGCACATCGAAGGCCAGCACTGATCTTCTCCAAGGCACCTTGAGGTAGGAGGAACATACATTCTCAGACTGACCCTGCCACATTGCCATTGTCCTCTGCCTGGACTGCAGAAATGAGCTCCAACTCCATTTCAGCAGTTTGCCTATGCTGACTCCACAGGATGAGTGAGATGGATGGGTATGCTCTCTCACAAGAGGCCTCGCTGCCACTCACCTTCACGTTGTAGAAAAAGAACAAATGAGCCAAAATGTATGTATGTGTGCACATGCACCTGTTGCCAACTCCTTGAGAGAAAAAGAAACAAAAAACAGACAAAAGGAGCAAAGAAAGAGGAAAATAAAGATAAGGTAGTATGAAGAAACACAAAATACCTTTTAGCTTAAAAAATTTTAACCTGCTCTTTAAAAAATAAATAACACAGACTAACAGTCAAATAAAAATGCCCTACAGAAAACTATAAAGAAGATAGATACAAAAGTTGTAGAGAAGATAGCTTTAAACACTTTACTATCTCTAATAAATTTGTTTTAAAATACTATCCTATCCTTGTGGAAAAAAACTTATACTGTGTTTAAATATACATATGAAAAAGTCCAGAATGCTATAATGTTATATATCACAAAACAGGTTATCTCTAAAGGGTACAGAAGGATTTCTCCTTACTTTCTGCTAGTATATTATTTTTTCCTATTTTCCCACACTGACTGCATGTTATTTAATAAAATACTGTTTAAAACAAAGAATACTATATACAATTCTTACTTTATACTCCAAGTAATTAAAATGTTGATAAGAAGGCTGGGTTTCTAACAAAAATAATACAATTTACATTTTAGATGTAAATTGGATATTAATAACTTTGGAGAAATTTTTAACATTATCAAAAAATCTACCTCCAATAAAAGACCCCTCTAAGCCTAGGATCTGAGCAATAAATTATTTCTAATGTACATAAGCTGTCACGTAATACAAGGAAGAATTCAGTACTACCTAATTCATTTTATTAAGTATCACAAACCAATAAAAAAAATACAAATGTAGTACATTAAAAAAGAAAACTAATCTTACTCATGAAAATGGATATAAAATCATAAAACCACTAAATAAATTAAATTCAATAGTACCAAAACCAAAAGGGATTTATTCCAGGAAGTCAATGACTTTTTAACTGAACAAACTGCTGTCACATCCACGGAAACATGAGAAAAACCATACAGTATTGATAGACGGCTATAAGAAAACCAGTAATATTACGTATTCACTGTTAAGTGAAAAATACTAAGAAGAAAATAATTTTCTAAACACTATAAATAGCACCTACCATAAAAATACTATATAATATGATACTTAATACAGAACAGCTAAACAATTTCTATTAAAAATCTGGAACAAGAAAGACCACTACCCTATGTCATTACTATAAGAGATGTTATCTATGCAATAAAATACTAAACAGACATATAGTCTAAATACTATAAGTATTTAAAAAGATAATTTTCATTTTATGATTTTATTACATATTTATAACTAATAAGAAATTATATAAAATATTTATAATAAAAAGATAGGATTTATACAACTTTAGACCACACATATACACATGCATATGAAAAATTTTCTTATATACTGGTATTAAATGATTAAGAGAAATGAAAAAGATACCACTAAAAACAAACGAATAACCATAAACTGGTAAAAATATTCATATAGCATATATGTGACAAAGTGCTCATATTTAGAACATACAAAGAATATCTACAAATTTTAAAAAAGGCAACAACCCTTTACTAGTATAGCTAGTAAGACTAATAAAGAATAAAAGAGAAAAGAATCAAATAGACACAATAAAAAATGATAAAGGGGATATCACCAAAAAGTGGGCGAAAGATATGAACAGACACTTCTCAAAAGAAGACATTTATGCAGCCAACAAACGTGAAAAAAAGCTCATCATCACTGGTCATTAGAGAAATACAAATCAAAACCACAATGAGATACCATCTCACCCCAGTTAGAAAAGCGATCATTAAAAAGTGAGGAAACAACAGATGCGGGACAGGATGTGGAGAAATAGGAATGCTTTTACATTGTTGGTGGGAGTATAAATCAACCATTGTGGAAGACGGTGTGGTGATTCCTCAAGTACCTAGAACCAGAAATACCATTTGACACAGCAATCCCATTACTGGGTATATACCCAAAGGATTATAAATCATTCAACCATAAAGACACATGCACATGTATGTTTATTGCAGCACTATTCACAGTAGCAAAGACTTGGAACCAACCCAAATGCCCATCAATGATAAACTGGATAAAGAAAATATGGCACATATACACCATGGAATATTATGCAGCCATAAAAAGGATGAGTTCATGTCTTTGCAGGGATATGAATGAAGCTGGAAACCATCATTCTCAGCAAACTAACACAGGAACAGAAAACCAAACACCGCATGTTCTCACTCATAAGTGGGAGTCGAACAATGAGAACACATGGACACAGAGAGGGGAACACGACACACAGGGGCGTCAGGGGCTGGGAGGCTAGGGAAGGGATAGCATTAGGAGAAATACCTAACATAGATGACAGGTTGATGGGTGCAGCAAACCACTATGGCATGTTGTAAACCTATGTAACAAACCTGCATGTTCTGCACATGTATCCCAGAACTTAAAGTATCTATCTATCTATCTATCTATCTATCTATCTATCTATCTATATATATATATATATAGCAACAATTCAAATAAAAAGAATGGGTAAAAGACTTAGAAACTTGAAAATAGGGTATACCACTGGCCAATAAGCACAACAAAACATACTCAGCATCATTAGTCATCATAGAAATGCATGTTAAAATAACAGTGAAATATCACTATATACCCACTAGCATGGTTCTAAGAAAAAAGACTCACACAGCAAACACTGGCAAAAATGTGGAACAATCAGAACTCTAATTCGTTGTTGGTGGAATATAAAATAGCACCACCACTTTGGAAAACTCTTTCAAAGTTCACATAAGCTGCAACATAAACTTATCCTATAGCCCAGCAATTCTAGTGCTAGTAAACATTTCACTCCAAGAGAAGGAAAACATATGCCCATAAAAAGACCTGTGCACAAATGTTTATCACAGTATGATTCACCATAGCTCAAAACTGAAAGCAACCCAAATGTTCAACAGGAAACTGGATTAATAATAAAAGGAAATGGATTACCAACATACACAACAAGAATGAATCCCAAAAACTTCATGCTGGTGACAGGATATAAGATCACTAACAAAAATCAATTGTATTTCTACATACTAGCAATGAATAATCCTAAAATGAAATTAAGAAAACAATCCCATTTATAATGGCAGTAAAACAAACAAAATGCCTAGGAACATATTTAACAAAAAAAGTACAGGACTTTTACACTGAAAGCTATAAAACACTGTTGAAAGAAATTAACGATGATCTACTTAAATGGAAAGCCATCCCATGTTGCTATATCAGAAGATGTGACATTGTTAAAACGGCAATATTCCCCCAGATTGACCTACAGATTTAATACAACCACTAGCAAAATTCTAGCTGATATTTTTGCAGAAATTGATAAACTGGCCTAAAATTCACATGGAAAAAACAAGTTTAAAAAAAGAACGGAAGTTGCAGAACTCAGACTTCCCAATGTCAAGCTTATACAAGCTATAGTAATCAAGACAGTACGGTACTGGCATAAATATAAGTCAAGGAAACAGAACTGAGAGTCCAGGAATAAACTCTCATAATTATGGTTAACTAACTGTTAACAAGTGTGCCAGGACAATTCAGTGAGGAAAGAATCATCTTTTCCAATAAGTGGCATTGGAATAACTGGGTATCAACATGCAAAAAAAATAAATATGAAACTCTACCTCACATCATATACAAATATTAACTAAAAATTAATATTTTAGTTAATATAACAATTATATTAATAGTTATATTAACTATTATATATTAACTATATAATATTAACTAAATATAATATTTAGTTAATTTAATCACTGACATAAATGTAAGAGCTAAAACCATAAAACTAGTTTAAAGACAGTAGTACATCTTTATAATTCAGGATTAAACAACAGTTTCTTACTATGGCATCAAAAGCACAAGCAACAGAAGAAAAACTTCCTCAAAATTAAAACTTGTGCACTAAAAGACACCTTCAAGAAAGTGAAAAAACCACAGAATGAGAAAATAAATTTGTAAATCACTATCCAACAAAGAACTTTTAACCACAATATATAAAAAAAATTCTAAGTCAATAATAAAAAGATAAATAACTCTACTGAAAAATAGGAAAATAATTAGAATAGACATTTATCCTTAAAAGATCTATACGCAGCTGATATACACATGAAAAGATTCTTAGTACCACTAGTCTTTAGGAAAATGCAAATCAAAATCACAATGAGATTACCATTTCACACATATTAGAATGACTACAATAAAAAAGAGAGACAGTAACAAATGTTGGTGAAGATACGGAGAAAATAGAAACCTCACACATTGCTGGTGGGAAGGTAGAACGATACCGCTCTTTTGGAAAAGTTTGACAGTTTCTCAAAATGCTAAACATTTTTACCATATAACTCAGCAATTCTACTCCTAGGAAGAAAGGTAGAGTCACACAAAAACTTTTAAACAAATGTGTATAACAGCATTATTCACAGCAGCCAAAAGCAAAATACAACCTAAGTGCCCATCAACTGAATAAGGGATAAACAAATCTGGTATATCCATACAACAGAATATTATTCAGCTATAAAAAGGAATGAAGCACTGATATATGCTATAATACATGATGAGCCTTGAAAATATTATGCCAAGAATCCAATCACCAAAGGCCATACATTACATGCTTCCATCTATGTGAAATGTCCAGAATAGTCCAATCCATATATACAGAAAGACTAGTGATAGCCTGAGACTGGGGCAGGGAAGGGTGAAGCTAGGAAGGGGAGTGACTACTACTGGGTATAAGGTTTCTTTGGGGGATGTTGAAAAAAGTTCTAAAAATAGACTGTGGTGATGGTTGCACAAATCTATGAATTTATGTGAAATATATCTCAATAAAGTTGTAAGAAAAAATTACACTGGGCAAAAGACACAAGACCCAAAATAATATTATGTGAGTTCATATACTAATAAATTCTTCTTCAAACAAAACTCATGGACAATGACAGAAATCAAAGAGCAGTTGGCTGCAAGTGGAAAGATGAGGGGATGAGAGACCTTGGGTAATAAATGTATAGATTAAATGGGTATGTACATTGTTAAAACTCACTGACCTCTACATTTAAGATTTATATATTCCACTGCATGTAAATTACACTTCAATAAAAACATAAAAAACATTCATAACGGAGGTTTATGAAGTGAATATTCTTGGGTTAGCATATCAAGTATTTAAGAAAAAGGGCATTGTGTAGAGAGGGTCCCCAAGACCACCTTCAGGTTTGGTGATTTGTTAAGAAAAATCACAGGTCTCAACATATTGTCGTACTCACACCTATAATTTATTACAGTGAAATGAGAAAAAAAAATCTGCAAAAGGAAAAAGCATACAGAGTAAGTCCAGAGGAAACCAGGTGCAAGCTTCTAAGCGTCCTCTCCCCATGGAGTCATACAGGATGTGTTTAAATGCTCCAGCACGAAACTGTGACAGTATGTGTGAAGTGCTGTTGACCAGGAAACTCATTACAGACTCAGTGTCCAATGTTGGGGGCTGGTCATGTAGGCACCCTCTGTTCAGCACATACTAAGAATTCAGACTCCCAGAAGGAAAGCAATTGTTTAGCACAAACTATTTTGTTTGTACAAACAGATTAAAAACAGTGAGCCACTCTTATCGTTAGGATATCCATGTTCCCAGACACTAACCAAGGGCCAATCTTGCAAGCAAGGCCTTTCTAAAGATAGCAGACCTGCTATGCTAACTATTTTCTACACGGGCATGATACCTGCAACATGCTTCCAAATGGTTCTGATAATAAGAAATACCAGCACCACTACAACAACACGGAAACAGAAAAAATTAAGTAAATGTGTCAAAATGTTAACAACTGGTAAATCTGGGTGAAGGGTTTATGAGAATATTTTGCAGTATTCTTATACATTTCTTCAAATTTGCAATTATCTCAAAATAAAAAGTAAAGAAAAAATAGGGATTAAGAATTTTATCTCTAAGGGACAATTTTTTAAAATAAGGAAATATCTAAAAATAACTTCAATAAAAAACACATATACTTACATAAAAAACTACATTATTATACTGAGATATAAAATATTTGAAAGGATTTACATACCATGTTACAAAATGCAAATATTAAATATCACATAGTTTTCTATTAGTCCCAAGTTTTTATAGTGGACATCTGATTCTATCAGTCTAGCATCTTTTTTCCCATTTCTTGTAGCAACAGAATTATTCTGTTGAACTGGACCCATTCCATGAGGCCACTCATATGGAGGACCCATTCTCATGCCTTTAGGTGCAGCTGACCCTGCTCTCCACAATTCCCTTTCCCCCAAGACCATTTCCACCAAAATGACTAGACCTTAGTGATTTGAACTCCTATACCTCTGGACACAGTAACTGGCTCAGACATAAGGAACTGACTCAAGTTGGGCCAACTAGATAAAGTATTAAAGAGAATTCCTGGTTGCTAGGTTGGAAAAATTAGTCTCGGCTGCCTAGAGCCATCTTACTCACCTTGTGAAGAAACCCAGCAAAACAAGCAGAGCCCAAAGATACAGTGCCCAGACAACATAATTTAAGTCCCCTGGATCCCTGGATACAGCAATACCTGAAGCTACCGTATCTCTGGAACACTCAGTGACATAATGAATATCTTTCTTTCCTTTTTTTGCTGAAAAAAAAAACTTAAGCTACCATAATTAGGTTTTTGCCTCTTGTCATCAAGTCTTAACATACAATTAAAATAATCCCAAAACCAATAAAAATATAGATAAATAATACATTAAACAAGGTAGATGATCCTAAAAGTGACTATAGTAAATCTCTGTAACTCAGTTTATGAGCTAAGAAATATCATAAATTAATGAAGAATAAATTATTCAACAATAATGACTAACAGGGAAAATAGTTACTCGAAAAAAGAACAGAGCCTCACTTCACATCCCGAAAATTAACTGTCCAAAATAGCCCAAATAAAGAATATACCAATACATACCTATATTATTTTCCAGCCACTGATGTCCTTCAATTAGTTGATCAATTAAGGCAAAATAATGTGGAGTAGCTTCATCAGGCATAACCCAGCCACCTGTCACAATTTCAAGCTGACCATTTTCTATTAAACTAGAGAGAAAATAACAAGAGTCTACATTAATAAATGTTAAGAAAAGTTCAAATGAAAAACTAAACAAGCATAAACATTAAGAACAGCCTTTAAATATAACCAGTATGTATACTAGTTGTCAAAAAATGTGTTTAAACCAGTGAATGAATTTCAACTTCAAGACCTCATGATAGCACCCGGTGTCTCAGGTAACCCCTGCCCTTCTGCAGGAAAAGCCACGCAGGTCATTCTGGAGGTTCCTTCCACATGGGTATAAACTCCCATACAGCCTCAAAGATTCTTAATGTCAAAAGCCACATCTGGTTGGTTTATTTATTTATTTATTTGAGACAGAGTTTCACTCTTGTTGCCCAGGCTGAAGTGCAATGGTGCAATCTCGGCTCACTGCAACCTCCGCCTCCCAGGTTCAAGCGATTCTCCTGCCTCAGCCTCCCGAGTAACCGGGATTACAGGCATGCGCCACCATGCCTGGCTAATTTTGTATTTTTGGTAGAGACGTGGTTTCTCCATGTTGGTCAGGCTGGTCTTGAACCCCCAGCCTCAGGTGATTTGCCCGCCTCAGCTTCCCAAAGTGCTGGGATTACAGGCGTGAGCCACCACGCCCAGCCCATATCTAGTTTATTTCTGAATCTTGCAGAGCACCTAGAAAGGTGTTTTACACAGACTATATGCTTGATGAGTGTTTATTGGAGGGCTGTCACTTTAAGCACATTATTTATTTCAATATACTTTTATCAAAAAATCAATATTTACTTTAGTCCTTCTGACACTGATAAGTTGATCATGCAAACTACCCTAAAAAATAACAAGGGTAAAGCTAGTAAATACCACATGACTCTGGGAATACAGATAACATCATAAAGTACTTTGCCCCAGATTCAGTTGAAATATAGGCTATACAGTTTATTTTTCATTATTGAGTGAAAGGCTCTAACAGCTTCATTACTTGTCTATTGGGTATTCCTTTGCCATAATACCATACCAGGTAACAAGATCCCTAATCCTAATAAAATTGTTTTGAGAAGATACTTTCCCCTGAGAAGAAAAAAAAAATCATTAACTATTAAAAATTTGAAATAGTGCCCAAGGAAGCATAAAAGTCAAGAATTTAAGCAAGGTCTGGCACAGTGGCTCAGCCCTGTAGTTCATGCACTCTGGGAAGCCAAGACAGGAGGATTGCTTGAGGTAAGGAATTCTAGACCAGCCTGGGCAACATAAGGAGATCCCATATTTACAAAATAAAATTAAAAAGTTAGCCAGGTGTGGTGGTGCATGCCTGTAGTCCCAGCTACTTGGAAGGCTGAGGTGGGAGGATTGCTTGAGCCTGTGAGTTTGAGGCTGCAGTGAGCTATGATTACGCCACTGCACTCCAGCCTGGGAGACAGAGTGAGACATTGTGTCAAAAAAAAAAAGAAAAAGAAAAAAGAAAAAAAAATTGAGCAAGTATCTATCTTAAGTGCCACAGACTTGCCAGCCTGCAACAAGATGGTTTGGAAAATGGGGTAAAATTTCAGAAAGAAGCAAAGCAGCTTTAAAAAGGACATACATCACTGGATGCCTACAGCTAACAGCCAACTCTCAAGCCAAATTTAGTTGAAGCAGACCAGAGGCACAGAGGATGAATAACTATTTTCCTACAAAGCATATGATAGAAGCCACAACATTAACACAACATGTAATTCAAACATATGCATGATCATATAACCAGTAACAGAGTGGATAATGGACGTAATTTCTAAAAAACAATCAAATAATAAATTCCCTGCAAAAATTAAAGAAATAAATTTATGTTGCCATGGGGATCACCAACTAATATAATTTCACATGGAGAATATGATGACTCATTAGAATGTCTAAAGAAACACAATATCCAATCAAACTTCAGATTCTCAAAGGCCCAAATCAAGAATCTACAATGAAGAAGCTGGAAATTTCTAAAAAACGCCCTTCTTTAAGAACACAACTAAATTCAAGGCTACCGGTCCCACCTTTACTGTCAATAGACCTATGCATACAATTAGTTCTTTTTCTTATCTTTCTGGTGATTGCCTGATTTAGCCACAGTCTAGAGGCTATGGACCAAACCTGCCCCTTATGCGTTATGCTTCGCAGCCTGAGATGTCAGGACAGTATGAGATTTATTATCTAATTATCAAATACGGAAACTTGACTTCATTATTTCAATATATCAATAAATAGATCTTTTGGAAAATTTCAGACATAAGTTCAGATATAAATCAAAAATAAACTCTTCGCTGATGTTGAATAGAGAAAAAAACTGCAGATTAAGAAAACTAAAAATTAAGTGGAAAAAATTTACTCCAATGATAGAACTTTTTTCATCTATATTAGTTTTAATTTACAACATAATTCCTGTCCCACAGGCATCAATGGTCTTCAAGAAAGTCAACCAGCCAAGAATTACAGTATATACAGTAACTAATTTTCCCAGCTCCATTTGTTAATAATCCATTTCTCCTCCATGATGCCTGGGATGCTACTTTCATCAAAGACTGAATTCTTATCTGTACTTAAAGGTTAAAGACTATTCTGTCTATTAATTTTGAGGAGGCATGAAAAACTTCCCACTTATTAAAATGTTTTCCAGCATTTATCTATTTTCTTCTACCCTATCTTTCCCAGTCTGGCTGGTCTCAACTGCCCTCATAGCTCAGCTCAGAGATGTCTTCATGTGCACCCAAGCTAAACTAACACTCCCACTGTACCCCCCATTCTATCTATCCATCACAGTCTTTATCAGAAACCAAAATTACCTTGTTCATTGTCAGATCTCCACTCTTTCCCTCCCGACCTCTACCCACCATTAGAATGTAAGCTCCAAGAGAGCATGGACTAGAATGTGTTTTGTTCACGTTGGCACGTCCGGCACTCAGAAGCTTGCTTGGCAGATAATGGTCATTCAAATATTTATTACATAAATGAGGAATTAATGAATAAGGCCATCAGTTTAATATTAGTATTTACCTACAGTTTTTATATTAGAAGAAGCTCACAGATATTTGCAAAATAAAATAGAAAGAGAAAGGTCAGTCAGAATGAAGTTTCAATTATCTAGGTATGAGATGATATGATCTAGAACATGGTAGTAGTAATTATGAAATATGGAGGAGGAGGAAGACGGGAGACATCACATGAAAAAGTATCAATGGTAATTAGAAAATGACTGAAGATAGATGAAAAGATTAATGCAAATATGACTTACAGTTTTAATTCCAGGTGTCTAACGGAATGGTAGTATTAATACACAAACAGTGCAATTGCGTTGAGAAAGGAAGTCACTTTGTAGTAATGCATACAAATTTGGACAGGGCTTTTTGATGACAGTGTGACATCCAAAAGGAGTTAAGTGAAAAAGAAGAGTAAGTTTAAGAAAAGGGGCCAATTAAAAAGTTAAGTTTCAAAGAACTATTAACAAAAGAGAAAATAGGGAATGATGAGAAGTTAACAAAAAACAAGCAAAAGGAGAGTCAAAGATCAAGCTGAAGGAAAATATAAGAGAAATGGAGATAAGAAATGTTAAATGACAAAAATAATAAATCTGAATTTAGCCTGAAACAGTCTAGAGAAGAGTAATAAAGAGCAATCTGTCCTTCCAGTTGGTGTAAGCCATTAAAAAGCTACCATAACTGTGACTTAGAAATAAACACATCAGTGAGTCAGAATAGGAAGTTGAAAAATAGATTTTTAAAAAACATTTACATTATTAAAATAGGCATTGAAGATTTATTTAAAAAAAAAAACTAAAAATAGAACTACCTTATGATCCAGCCATCCCACTACTGGGAAAAACTCAAGTATACCAAGGAAAAAAATCAGTACACCAAAGGGATGTACTGTTTGGACTCTCATGTTTATTGCAGCACTATTCACAACACCAAAGATCGGAATCAACCTAAGTGTTGATTTAGATGAATGGAAAAAGAAAATGTGGTATATATATAAACAATGGAATACTATTTAGTCATAAAAACCTATGAAATCATATCATTTGTAGCAACATGAATGAAACTGGAGGTCATTCTATTAAGCAAAATAAGCCAGGCACAGAAAGACAAATATCCTATGTTCTCACTCATATTTGGGAGCTAAAAAAAAAAAAAGTTGATCTCACAGAAGTGGAGAGTAGAAGGACAGACACCAGAGGCTGGGAAGAGTATTTGACTTAGGGTAGCGATTGGGAAGAGGGGTTAAGAGAAGTTGTTTAATGGGTACAAACATGCAGTTAGATAAAAGGAGTAAGTTCTAATGTTCGACAGCAGAGTAGGGTGACTATAGTTAACAACAATGTACTGTATGTTTCAAAACAGCTAAAAGAGGACTGGAAATGTTCCCAACACTTAGAAATGATACTCAAGGTGATGGACGCCCCAACCCTGACTTGATCATTACACATTCCATGCATGTAACAAAATATCACCTATACCCCATAAATATGTACAAATATTTGCATCAATTAAAAATATAAAAATACAATAAAACAGCCATTGATTTAGTGGAGAAAGAATGAGTTATATTTTTTCTTTTTAAGACTCAATCAGAGTGACTTAAAACCAGCTCATAAGAAAATGCCAAGATATTATGTCATGGAAGCCAAGGGATTCATATTTCAAAATACTATGCTCATACAGGTTTTTCAGAAAAATTGCATGACTAGGTCAAAAATAGGCAAATATATCATATCATATATAAATGACATCATAATAGTAGGCCAGAAAGCACATAGCTTTTAGTTCCTCTTAGCATAGTTTCTTTTATAAGATAGAACAAAACATCCCATGGAAGAAAAGAGACAACATTATTTTAATATGGACCATATTGTAATAGTATGATACCTGGTAGAATAATCAGGTTAGTGAGTACTCCTATTTCATTGAACTGCCTGTTTTTCCTAGGGTATTACCCTCTAATCCATCCACAAGAATAGAAAAACAGATAATAAACCAGAAGATTCTTACAAGCAGGAAGATTTGGTCTGATATAAAATATTTACTGTGTTGAGCAAAAACACTTGCCATTAACAACAACAAAACCCAAAAACATCAGAAGGACACAAATTTGCCCTGAATTCTAGAACATACATGATAAGCACTTAAGGAAGCATCTGATGAGTGAAAGAAAAACAAGAAATAGTCCCCAAAAAACAAAGAAAATTGTCAACCTAATTACTGAGAAGCATAGCAATAACCATCATCATTTAGTGATAACTACAAAACCTAGGACTAAAAGTCTTAACAGAAACAATATGTCTGGAAATACTTTAAAAAATATTTACAAGCAATAACAGAAAAGCTATGTTAACCTAAAAAAGGACCATACTTAAAGCCACTGTTGTTAGTGATGATAAAAATAAGATGAAGATGGATTGTAGCTGTACATTCAAGACTAACAATTTTTTAAAAGTAATGAGAAATACCCGTATCTATAAAAAAATTTACTTAGAATGAATACAGGCACTTCCAAGTCTTTCCATTCACAGTGTTCAACAGGTATCAATTGAACTATTTCTCTGACAAGCAGGGGAATATTAGTGGAGAAAGTTAATTAAAAACATTAGAATTTAAATTAAAATTTAATTAAAATTTAAAAAAAAGATGTGCCCACACCACAGGGTCTATTGCTTAATTTCTACCAAGACATTCTCTGTCTATTTTACATGTACACTTCATGATATTTCCTAATAAACATGAAACCTAAAGGCCAAAGTGAAAGGATATTGGGTAAGTAAGGGAAACAAAGGTATATGTTTATCTAACAAATCCAGAAACTAAGAAACCAGGAACTAATTTTCAAAATTAACAATACTTGTCTTTCACTTTTTACACTGAGTTGACTTGTAACTAATGGTAAAAGACATTAAAATACCACCATGTTTCTATTTCAATGATGAGAAATTTGATACAGAAAGCTTAAGAAAATTACTGATCAAAACTAAGCTGAGCATATCTGTCATTCCGCATTTTACCTAAAATGCAGAATTTACTGCAAAGCACAACAAGCTGCAAATCATTTTCTCTGAGTGTCACTTTTTCCCCTATGTAGAATCATCAGACATTTGGAATTTGGTCACACACAGAAGGACACACTCAAAGAGCTTTTCTCCCTAATGGGGAAATTGTTACAGACAACTTAGTAGCAAACAATGCATCATTTAGCAAGCTTCAAAGAATCACAAATTAATTTCACATGAGAAAACCAGCTGAATTTCTAATGACACATCTGGAGAAACAGGAAATAATACAAGATGACATACAGTATTTCATTCTTAAATTTTAAAAAAATTTTAAATGAAAAATTCAAAAACACAGAAGCTCCCAATGAATCAACTTATATCCTAAAGACATTCTGCTAATCAGATTGTCTGATTCATATTCCTTTCCTGGAGAATATCTAGTAGGCAGGGAAAAAGATTTGTTTTAAAGCCCCTTATATAATGATAGGAGAAACTCACTGTATACTTTTGAACATTGTTGACACATATCTATACAGATTAGTGTATGAGGAACAGAGGGCAAATCAGTCATCTCTCATCATTTCTTCCTCATTGCAATCCAGCCACATGCCCTTCTTTCAGCTAGCTGTCCATGCTGTCTATCTGCCTGGAATGTTTTCCCTTCAAATATTTGCCTCATTGGTTCTTACAGGTTCATTAGGGGCTGTTACTGGCCACCACATTCCACCCAAATCCAGCCTGAACTGTTATCTTACAGAAAATCTAACTTTTCTTCCATAACATTTACAACAAAATTTAATTGCATATTTGTATGTCTACTATCTTTCTATTCCAACAGGCTGTAAGTACCATGAGCGCAGGAATCACATCAGTTTTGTTCATCATTTAACACTGATTGTTCCTATTAGCATAAAATTGTAAGAAATGGGTACTGATAATGCAAAAAAAAAAAAAAGGCAAAAGATACAATGCAGATATTTCAGAAATAACTGGCTCATAAAAATGACAAGAAATTTAATCTCACTCATAAGGAAATGCAAGTTAAAACTTCATTAAGATGCCACTTTTCACCTATCAGATAAGAAGATCAAAAAGTTGTATAACATACTGTGATGTTAAGGATGTAGACATAAGTAGTCTCACATACTGCTGGCAATAACTATCAAACTGTAAAATGCATATGTACTTTCATCCATGCTCACTGAAAATAAGTCAGAAAATATTGTATTTTAAAATAAGAGCATTATATATACTAAAGACAAAAGATACACTAAATATATTACCAAGAGGCCAGAAAATCGGGAGTAGTTAAATAACAAGTCCCATTCACATAACAGACTTTACTAAAAGATTCTCCAAGATACATGTTTAAAAAGCACGGTACAACACCCATTAGGGATGCCTATTACTTAAAATAATAAAACAGCAAATAAGTGTTGATAAGGATGTGAGGAAACTAGAAATCTGTGCATTGCTGGTGGGATGTAAAATGGTACAGTAGTATGGAAAACAGCATGGTGATGAAAAAATTATGCACGAATCTTGTATTACACATGTCCTTATACTGCCCTTTGATTCCTTGGTGCAATTCCACATTATTCCCAGGCAGTATACCCTATAGAAAAAGCATGTCAACTTGCTTGTTCTAAAACAATTTGGGGAAAGCCCTAGAGAATAATGTTTTAGGCAACAAAGAGGACAAAATCATACAGCTAAATGTTGATTATATTGTCAGTCAAATGAAACTGCTGTACCCACCCTCTCCCCCCAGCTCTTTGTTACCTTTGTATAAAATTAGATTATAAATAGAGATCATGGATACAAACAGATGTTTTCAAAGATAAAAGTTAAAAAATTACCTAGATCTCCAAAAGTAAGAGATTAGTCAAGTTAACTCATCCATACAGTGACAGAACATTATTCAGCCATTAAAAACGATATCACAGAAAACTAGTGAAATTCATAAATGTTTATAATGTATTTTGCAAAAAAGCATGACATAAAAATATAACAAAAATACAAGAAGCACACATACAGAATTACTGCCATTTTCATGTCAATGCTTATCATGCTCATATTTATGTCTATGTAAAATATTTAAATGTTTTACTCTGCCAAAAAAATACACCTAAATGACAGTGATTAAAAAAAAATTAAACATAGAATTATTATGTGATCCAGCAGTTCCATTTCTGGAGATGGAAAGAAGGGACCTGGACAGATATCTGCACACTCATATTCACAGCAGCATTATTCACAGTGGCCAAAACGTAGAAACCACCCAAATGTCCATCAAAGGATGAATGGATAAATAAGCTGTGGTATGTATTAGGTTGGTGCAAAAGTAATTGTGGTTTTTGTCACTACTTTCAATACATACAGGGGAATATCATGTAGCCTTAAAAAGGAAAGAAATTCTGATACATGCTACAACATGAATGAGCCTTGAAGATACTATGCTGAATGAAGTAAGGCAGACAGAAAAGGACAAAAATTATATGATTCTACGTACATAAGGCACCTAATAGAGTAGTCAAACTTGTAGAGACAGAAAACAGAACAGTGGTTGCCAGGAGCAAGAGGAACGGGAATTACTGTTCAACAGGTACAAAGTTTGCATTTGGGGTGATGACAAAGTTCTAGAGATGGATGGTAGTAACAGCTGCACAATGATGTAAATGTTGTAATGCTACTGTACACTTAAAAATTGTTAAAATAGTAAATTTTATGTTATGCTTATTTACAATTTAAAAAATAGACCCACTCAAAAAAAAAAAAAAAAAACCAGCACAATGTGCATGGCATGCTATCATTGTATAATATATATGCCTATGCCTTTATGTACATGTGCATATGTTTTCCCATACATCCATAAAATAAATAAGAGCCTGGTCATAGTAGTTACCTCCTGTGAAAAGAGCAAAATGACAAGGAGACAGGAGTGGCTGAGTACCTTACTTTTCATTGTGTATCCTTTGTATATATTGGGGCATATATTAAAAAGTAAATTAAACTAAATTTTTTTCTGAACTATAAATGCTATAACCTGTGTCTCCTAAGCACTGAAAACTAACAAAACTGAGGCCAGACGCGGTGGTTCACATCTGTAATCTCAGCACTTTGGGAAGCCAAGGCTGCCAGATCACTTGAGGTCAGGAGTTCAAGACCAGCCTGGCCAACATGGCGAAACCCCATCTCCACAAAAAATACAAAAATTAGCTGGGTGTGGCGGCACATGCCTGTAATCCCAGCTACTCGGGAGGCTGAGGCACGAGAACTGCTTGAACCTGGGAGGCAGAGGTGGCAGTGAGCCAAGACTGCAATACTGCACTCAGCCTAGGCAACAGAGTAAAGATCTGTCTCAAAACAAAACAAACAAAAAAAAGTAACAGAACTGTAGCTTAAAAATAGTCATGAAAATTTATTTAAAAATGTCTTGGGACCAAGTGCAGTGGCTCACACCTATAATCCCTGTGCTTTGGGAGACCAATGCAGGAGGATCACCTCAGGCCAGGGGTTTGAGGACCAGCCTGTGAAATATAGTAAAACCTATCTCTACAAAATTATAAAAATTGGCTAGGCATGGTGGCCTGCACCTGTAGATCCTAGCTACTCAGGAGTCTGAGGTAGAGTATCACTTGAGCCCGGAGTTTGAGGTTGCAGTGAGCTATGATAGTACCACTGCACTCCAGCCTGAGTGACAAAGACCCTGTCTCTAAAATTAATTAATTAATTTAATTTAATAGAAATAAAAATAAATTTCTCATATGGTTCAATAATTTCTGCAAAGTTTTAATAAGCAGGGGATGTACTTTAAATCTTTCACTGTATAGTAAACAATACTTTATTCATAAAATACTCATTCAAAATAAGTTGAAAAATGTGAAAGACGTTAAAGAATAAAATTTAAAAACTCACTACCTTGATATATATGCACAAAGGGTTATGGGAGCCAGAGTTTTTAACCAAGTTAATTTACTTAACATTATACCATGAGCATCTTTCCATATCAAGAGAGACATATATCATTATGTTTACTGTATTGTATTATATTATTGTATTTATTGTATTGTATGTTTATATTGTATTACATTTTCTAAAATATTTTAATTGAGATATAACAATATACAATACACATATTTTCAGTCTCATGAATTGTGACAACTGTAATCACTATCCAAAATAATATAGACTACTTCCACCAATTCAGAGAGTTCCCTCATGCCCCGTTCCAATCCATGCTCGCCCACTCACCCTGCCCCCAAAAAACACTCTGACATTCCATTTCTATCACAATAGATCAGTTGAGTCTCCTCTCAGAATTCATAAAATGGAAATCAAACAATATTTACTCTTCTGTCTCTCTTCTTCTGCTGAACATTTGTGAGACTCATCCATATTACTGTGTATTTCAGTAATTTATCATTTTTTTACTGCTAGGTATTCTGTTGTATGAATATACAACAATTTTTTAATCCATCACCTGCTGAAGGACATTTAAACTGCTTGCAGTTTGAAGTTACTAGGAAAAAGCCTGTATGAAAATGTCTGTACAAGTCTTTTTGTGAACATTTTTTCATTTCTCTTGGGTAAATTGCTAGGAGTGGAGCCCCCAGATCACATGGTATATATTTTAAGTTTGGAAAACTCTTTGGAGGCTTTTCAGAAAGTCGCCCCCATTTTGCATTCCCACCCGCAACATATGAGTTTCTGTTGCTACACATTCTTGCCAACTTTTGACGTTGTCATCTTTTTTATTTTAGCCATTCTAAAAGGGTTGGAAACAGTATCTTCTAGAAGTTTTGATATGTATCTCCCTGATGGCCAAGATTTACCCAGCTTCTACACACACACCCTCGCTGCCCACCCTCCCCAACTGCTGCTGTCTAATAAACATCTTTCAGATGTTCAAACATGCCCTTGTTAATCCCTGGCCCATAATCACCATTCTCTTCTCACAACCTAAAATTCCTTCTCTGCCCTCTGACACCCACTTCTTGACTGGCTAGTTCTAGTCATCATTCAGGTTTAAGCTTGAATATCATTTGCTTCAGGAGGCCTTCCAAGACCCCCTTCTTGCCTCTATAGAAGAAAACCCTTTATTATTATACTGTGTTTAATTACATGTCTTCCCTGCTGTTTTCTGAGGGCTGGGACCAGGTCAGTCTTGCTTACCTCCTACATTTCTGGAGCATAACACAATAAATATTTGCTGAATGAATGGTAGAAGTAAATAAGGGAAGGTTTCAGAGATGAGGTAATATTTCAGCTGAGTGTTAAAAATGAGTAAGACTGAAATTATCCACTGCACAAAAGGAAAAAAATAAAAATCCAAGCTGAACACAGGCAAATTCCTAAGAAGCACAAAACGGCATGTGTCTGAGGACACCCGTGGCTCAGAATGCCTGAGTAGAGTGTGAAGCAGGAAGTGACTGGAGATAAGGATGAGCAAGTCGGGAGGAATCAGACAGAAAAAGTCAGTATGTGTCAGGCAAAGGATAGTGGCCTGTGCCTTTTGAGACTGAAGCACCACAAAGCATTTTAAAGCAAACATGGTGGGACTCACATATTAGAAAACTAACTCTGTTGATGAAATGGCAGACACTTAGAAGTGGCACAGCTGGAAATGGAAAGGCCATTTGGAGGTTTTCACAATAGTACGAGACAAGAGCAATGGAGACGAAAAGCAGGGGTCAGAGTCTGGAGACACTGAAGAGGCAGAAGTCACAGAGTTTAGGGACTAACTGGATGTCACAGGAAAGGGAGGTGGAAAGGCAGAGCACCACAGAGGTGAAGATTATTTGCCCACTATTTCTGGGGCAAGACTGCCTGGCTTGGGTCCTATTTCCACACTTACTAGCTGGGTGACCTTAGGCACTTTCCTTAACACCTCTGCTTCAGATTCCTCAACAGGAGAATGAAGATGATAAAGAACCTTAACTCAAGAGAATGCTACAGGATTGGCTGAATAATTAAACGAGTGCTTATCTCTTACTATTGCCACTAACTAGAGAACAAGAAGTCCAGGTTGGATCTTTAGATCTGGAAGTAGTCCAAATGCCTGGTAATTAAAACAACAGTGTGGAAAAGCATGCAAAATGAAGAAAACTAAGCAGTGTTCCCCAACAGGCGAGAACAGGAACATTGGGGAAGTAAGCAGAAGAGGAAATCAGAGAGGTGATGAAAAATGAATGGTCAGCAGTGCCAGAATAGACCCGAAAGTGAAAGAGCTCAAGGTCACTTCAAAGCCAAAAGAGGACAGAATTTCGAGGAGAATGGAGTGATCGATGTCAATGCTGCAAAAAAATCCTCTCTGAGGCTTGAGAAAGTATCCAAGGGATGGGCAGAGCACCTGAGAAGTCCCTCATGGCTTTTACAGGTCTCCATGACATAAATAGATGCCAGTGGTTGAAGGGAATGAGAGGTGGAAGGATAGCCGTCTCACTCAAGACGAACTGGAATTGAAAAGGTAGGGATAGAACATATGCTTTCTAAAATAAACGTAAACCACTGCTTCAACTATTAGAACTAAAGTTATTTTAGACCCTGGTGCATTGCTTTCAGTGCTTTGATGAAATGCTAAATATCTTTAGATTCTAAACTCAATCCAAATCTGCAAATGACTCTGAATATCACAAGACACACTGTAACTTCCCATTGCTCTATAAATTTTACAGCAACCTTCAGTTAAATACCATAAAATCCAACCTGTATAAAACGTATAATGAATTAGTCTGTTTAGGAAGATTAATAGTCCAATTTCTTAGAAAACCCAAGATGCACATTAGTTAAGTTTGGATTCTTATTTAAAAATGTAACATCAAATATTTCTCTGATTTCAAGAAGCAAGCAGAGATAGTTGAGAAGACAGTGGAAGGTTCACTTAAATATAAACCTAGGGGAAAAATTGTAAGAAGATAGTACAAAGATTATATAAATAAAGAGTTTGCATTCTTGCTAAAGCAATGAAACCCACCAATTTGGTGAAGATAAAAAATCTATACTAACTGATGGTACCTTCATCTCAGCACACATTTGGAGCCCCTTTTCACACTAAAAGATCCACAAAGAGAAACTGGTCAAGACTTTGGTGAATATATAAACTGTTCTTAGGTTCTAATAATTCGTGGGTTTCTCCACTCAACACTGGTCTCAATAGCAAGAGCAGATGCAATATAAAAGCTGTTCCAATATCTCAGAGCCCAGAGAGGAACAATGAATATGTAACATGCTGTGTGCTAGTCAAAGGAAATGCTAAGGCTAATGTTTCAGCTGCCTGACTCTCAATAAGGGTTCACATTTTGATGTATTATAAACATCATGCAGTATTTAACTGCATTTAGCCAAAAAATATTCAAATGTGAAGCCTAAAAAGTTTTAAAAAATTACACCACCAGTCATTTTCAAAATAAAACAAGCATAGAAAACAATACACTGATTATTTAATGGAAGGCAGCTTCTTTTAAATCCACTGGATATGTATTACCAGTAGGTACTATGATTATAATTGATTAAATTATTTCAGATCACACAAAAAAACAGAAAATATAGATGTTGTTTACGTAGATCTCTCTTTAGTTAACTAGATTTTCACTTTTAAAAGCTTATAGAGTTGAATAATAATGCTGCTGGGGGAGGGGATAAGAATCAAACAAGTCACTGCTAGAATAGATTATAAGGATCATTTGAGTTTTGTTTCTGTTAAGTTCCCACAATCAATTGGTATTCTTCAGGGACAATGAAAGCTTACGTGGAACTCTGCTGGAATTAACAGGTTCTGCTCTGCAACAGCTAGCTTGCAAATTTAGGTACAGATTTAATCCATAGCTCATCTTCAAAAAGAGAAAAGCCACTGCATAAGCATTACACTAGAAGTCACACAAAAAAATCTATTAGTAATGCCACTTAGTACAAGCTCAGAATTTAAATAACAGGAGCAAACTTAAATATCTATTAAGTTTTCCTCCAAAAACATACATTTAAGCAACTAACACTAAGAATGTTTTGTTCAAGTAAGTGGGGGGGAATGCTATTACCCTAGTTCTAAAAACAAATGTAATAAGTGAATAAAAGTGAATTATTACAGCTAGAAGAGAGAGAACTTTAGCAAATCTTGACCAGAAACAGAATTCATCTGCACTAATCTGGCTATAAAACCATTTTTCCTTCAAGCAAAATGATACTGTTCACGATCAAGCCTGTATTCCAGAATATTTTCCAATGCCAAAAAAGCTGTTCTCACTCAGAAGGAATCTGAGTGAGACAAATCTGAGTGAGACAAAGATTGAGCACTAGATTCTAATCTGCAGTCCCCTCCAATATCTTACCATATTTTATGTGTAATATTGGACTGATGCATGAAATTGCCATTTTTGTATATCAAAAGTAGTCAAATATTGGCAATTTTATATGGTTCAACCTAAGAAAAATAACCAACAGAATAAAAAAAAGAGAGAGGGGAGGAAAATTTGCATCCAGGTAGAGTCAGGAGAAACAGGCCATCCGCAGGCCATAAAATTGGCAGCATTTCTGACAGATATGGTAAAAGTAAAACTGAAATAATTCAAGTACTGACCTGCAACTGCCCTGCATGAAAAATCAGCATGGAATCCCAGCATAAATAAGAAGATTCTGAGAGATTCGGTCAACAGCTCCTAAACTGAAGGGCCAAGGGCTGAGGCAAAGCTGAGTCTTGGGACAGATACTAATCACAGACTCTTCGCCCTCATGGCACTTGTGTGAGTCCCCCTCTGCAGAAGTCTCTCTGCCCATGCACTGTGACTGCTGCAGAGGCAGTCTCCTTAATGAAGCCATGCTGGGAGAGAGCCAAGCATGGCTGGCCTCACCTGACCACAAGCAGCCAGCAGCAGACCCAGTTTCCTTCTGAGGTGGCTGGACTCTGTGAAGCAGCACATTCAGACACACATCTCCTACCTGGCTTACAGGCCACACAAAAACAAAGCTAGAGGGAGAAAGCCAGCCCCAGGCTCAGCAGCTACACCAAAGAAACAGAAAACCTTTCATAGATGGGGCACTCCTTTTCCAGATCTTCTCATAGCCCCAGCTCCTCTCTTCTCTCACTCTGTCCTATTTACAACCAGGACACCTTCCCCAACTGCTGATCCCTGATTCTCATATAATCTTGCAGGATGTAATTCTCCAACAGAGGAACTAAGGAGACGTTGTAAGTTCCTATCAGCTAGCTTTCTGGTTTGCAAGCAATACAAACTGATGCTGGATACTGTCTTGAACACACAGAACTGAAGACAGGCTAAAAGTCCAGGCTTAACAAAGGGCTGGAGGAAAATGAGAAATCATGCTGCAGGGAACACAGGGATCTTATTACAGGAAGAGTCTTGCAAATGCAAGGTGCTGTGAGGAATGACCAGTAAACATTCTTCTGTGTCTGCTTCCCTCCCTCCATCTGTCAGCCCTCACTTCGCTCTCTAAAGATTCAAAGCCCTGGGAAATAATATGCTGATTAACTGAGCTCAGGTCACAGCTGACTTGTCTGGGCTAGGCAACAAGGAAGAGGAGCTGACTTCCTTGGGTGAGAGACCACTTCCCAAAAGGAAATCAGGTGAAGTGGATGCTGGTCAGCCAGTAATAACTAGTACCCACAGCAAGGAAACTGAAAGTATATGGTTAGAAAAGAAAGGGATTCAAGGCAAGTTACACCATGTTTTGGGACAAATTCCAGGTGTGGATACAGCTGTTGCTGCTCACGGATAAATAAAAAAGGAGGGAAATACTTGGACTTACGGACAACAATACAAAAAGCACAGAAGTAAAGTTAGAACCAAATACTCAAAGCCAGAAAAGACTCAATACCAGAGTACTGAACCGAGGGAGTGGCAGGGAAGACTCTTGGGAAAAATCTCCCAAAACACAGTAAATACAACAAATTAAAAATGCATATGAAAAAGAGAGACTAGAGACACAATAACAACGTACTTGAATTCTAAAACAAATGAAACAAAAGCAGTAGTAAATCAGTAAGTACAGAACACATAAGCTAAAGAAACATTTGAATTGATAGGTGGAAATCTTAATGAAAAGTTATACTACCTAGATATATAACTTAGTGAAAATTTGAAATTTCATAAATAAAGTAAGTGAGCATGGGGAAAAAGTTACCTTCAATGAAGCATTATATAAGAAAGCTTTAAGAGAGAAGAGAAAAAAAAATTACAGTTAAAATCTTCCCATTATACGGACTGAGCACAGTGGCTGATGCCTGTAATCCCAGCACTTTGGGAGGCTGAGGCAGGTGGATCACTTGGGCCCAAGGGTTCAAGACCAGCCTGCGCAACATGGCAAAATCTCATCTCTACAAAAAATACAAAAATGAGCCACCGTGGTGGTGTGCGCCTGTAGTCCCAGCTACTGGAAAGCTGAAGTGGGAGGATCACCTGAGCCCAGGAGGTTGAGACTGCAGTGAGCTGTGATCATACCACTGCACTCCAGCCTGAGAACAGAGTGGGACCCTGTTTCAAAAAAAAACAAAAACTAAAAGAAAAGTCTCCCATTATAGAAGACTTCAGCATTAAAAATTACATATGGTATCCAGGAGAAATACTCAAAGTCTCAAATAAAAGTTAAAAAAGCACTAATGTTTATTGGGGTTTTAAAATGTGCCAGGCATTGTGCTAAGCATGTTGTCTGAATTAATTCAATCCTCACAAAAACCAAATAAAATTGGTTTCAATATTATCCTCATTTGACAAATGAAGAAACTGAGGTATAGAGAAGTTAAATAACTTGCTCAAAGCCACACAGTAGATGGGACTTGGCAGAATTTGAACCTAGGCGGACTGGTTCCAGTTCCCAGCCTTTAGAACCACCAAGCTGACTGTCCTTCAAGTAAAAAGGACAGCAAACTCAAGCAAACGAACAACAAAAGAGTGGTAGTATAACAATATTAATTATAAAAAAGAGAAAAGATGGTATCAATGATGATACATACAGTTTACAATGAAGAAAAATAAATCTTAGTCTAGGAGTGCCCACCTTGCAGTCCCTGTCCCATAGTAGACGTTCGGGAAGTGTCTGTTGAATGAATGAATGAGCTAATACAGAAGCCAACAAAGATCAGGCAAGAATGGAAAAAAAAAAAAAAAAAACATAAAATACCCAAAAAATAAAAGCTGATAGGGGAACAGTAGCAAAAAATAAGTACAGTCAGTTCTGCCATAAACACTTGTTTCAAAAATGGGAATGAGTTCCCAGGTGATTGATTACATGAGGAAATAAATTTTGCCTTGCTTATGCACAATTTAGTCTCCAAGAAACATTAGATGAAGGTACAAAACTTCACGCAGCTGAACAAAGCTGTATAAGGAATGCACAAAGCACACGCACACACCTCAAACATCTACCAGCTCCCTCAGTTCATCAAGGGTTATGAGCCACAGTCATCCACATCTGCTATTCAACTTTCCAAAAGATTTCAGCTAACCTACTTGCCATCACTTCTCAGTAATAACTCGAATCTATACTCCTTCCAATACACCCTTCCACAAGCAAACTTTAGGCCTTTTTCAAGGTAAACTGACATATATATTTATGCATTTTTTAACCAATTTAACACAGGTAAAACTGGATTAGCATCTTTATTAGGTTTCCATGTTCTGTGTGTGTCTACATCACTAATGAAGTTTTAGAGTGCTACACTCTAACGATACTTTTTCATGAGCCCTGGGTTTAATATTGCACAATTTTGCATAACATTATTTTTAAGAACGTGTATGCAATATGACAGCAAAACTGACTGTACGAAGATAAAAACAGTAGTTGTAAAATACGGAATTAGCAGATACCAAACTCTATATTCTACAAACCCCACCTTTTCAAACACCAGTAGAAGCTTCATCAACATTGATCACACATTAAGTAACAAAAAAAAAAAAAATTCAAAAATCTCTAAAGAATAAAAAGTATACAGGCCAGGGACAGTGGCTCATGCCTGTGATCCCAGAACTTTGGGAGGCTGAGGCAGGTGTTCAAGAGTTCAAGACCAGAGTTCAAGGCAGGTGTCAGGAGTTCAAGACCAGCCTGGCCAACATGGTGAAACCCTGTCTCTACTAAAAATACAAAAATTAGCCAGGCATGGTGGCAGGTGCCTTAATCCCAGCTACTCAGGAGACTGAAGGAGGAGAACCGCTTGAACTGGGAGGCAGAGGTTGCAGTGAGCTGAGACCACACCAGTGCACTTCAGCCTGGGTGACAGAGCGAGACTCAGTCTCAAAAAAAAAAAAAAAAAAAGAGTATACAGTCCATATTCTATGGCCATAAGACATTAAAGCTAGTTTATAATAAAGTATAACTGGGAAAAAATAGCACTTGCAAATTGAAAATTATTTTTCTAACATACCTAAGTCAAAAAGAAAACAGTAGTACAGTTATTAAATATGTAGGAAAAATACAATAATGAGAAAATAGCATATAAAAACATAAAAGCTAGTCAGACTATTGCTAAAAGGTAAACACACAGATGAACTTATTAAGTGGACTGGCTCATTTAGCATTAGTGAAAGTGAGTAGAAGGAATTAGGAAAGATGAAAGCAGATAGGTCAAGAGTAAAAACTGGTAAAATATAAACAGGTTCTAGGAGGGTAAGGTGGGCAAAAACCAACAAAATTAAGTAAATCAAAATGAAGAAAAAAATCAGATTCCCAAAACAAGTAACAAAAAAGCAAAAATAACTACACATGGGATAAATTCTTAAAATCAGAAACAATCTGAGTAACTATAAAATTATTTTCTTAGAAAATACGAAATATTTTTCATGCTCAAGAAGTAAGGTAACACCTAAAGACCTAAAAAAAACTTTTTTTTTAGAGTTCCGGTCTTGCCCAGTCACCCAGGCTGGAGTGCAGGGGCATGATCACAGCTCACTATAGCCTCCAATTCTTGGGTTCAGTTGATCCTCCTACCTCAGCCTCCCAGGTCACTGAGATTATAGCCATTAGCCACTGCACTTGACAAAAAATTTAAAACTTAATCAAAAAATTGCCTTTATAAAACAAATATCAATGCTTATGTGGTTTTCCAAGACAGTTATTAATGTTTAAAAGGTTGCAAACTAGTGTATCTAAACTACAGATTCAGAAATGCTGATGTGATCTGTTTAGCACTGTGTGAGTGTGTCTGCAACTCTGTGTGTGTGTGTTTATGCATGCATATGTGTGCATATCCTGGTATATTAATCTAAATTAATAGCTAACATTTCAGTGTAAAAACTCTAGGTATTTTACGTAATATTTTGGAATTCTAGTTTGTCTTGAGTAACTGGAGGGATATCCTGACAACTCTGGTTCCAGTAGCAGCACATGCCTAGAGTGGATGTGGCTAGCCCCTTTGGATGAGGTAGTTAATTAATCCCAGTACTGGTAGAAAATATACCCTTCACTTCCTAGTCAAACCTGTAAGCATTTTAAGCCTCCTATCAAGAGGGAAAAAAAAAAAAAAAAAAAAACTCCAATGGAAATTATAAAAAGTCAATTCTCCCCAAATTATCTTTAAATGTTTACATCAATTTTCATCAAAATCCAAAAAGATTACTTTTTTGATGGAGTACGAAGAATTTAACAAATTAATTACAAAGCACTTTGGCAAAATTCAATGTTCACTCATTGAAAGAACTTTTTAATATAGTTAAGAATAATGTGCAGGGAGCAGCCAAGATGGCCAAATAGGAACAGCTCCGGTCTACAGCTCCCAGTGTGAGCAACACAGAAGATGGGTGATTTCTGCATTTCCATCTGAGGTACCGGGTTCATCTCACTAGAGAGTGCCAGACAGTGGGCTCCTGAAGGAAGCACTAAACATGGAAAGGAACAACCGGTACCAGCCACTGCAAAATCATGCCAAATTGTAAAGACCATCGAGGCTAGGAAGAAACTGCATCAACTAACGAGCAAAATAACCAGCTAACATCAAAATGACAGGATCAAATTCACACATAACAATATTAACTTTAAATGTAAATAGACTAAATGCTCCAATTAAAAGACACAGACTGGAAAATTGGATAAAGAGTCAAGACCCATCAGTGTGCTGTATTCAGGAAACCCATCTCACGTGCAGAGACACACATAGGCTCAAAATAAAAGGATGGAGGAAGATCTACCAAGCAAATGGAAAACAAAAAAAGGCAGGGGTTGCAATCCTAGTCTCTGATAAAACAGACTTTAAACCAACAAAGATCAAAAGAGACAAAGAAGGCCATTACTTAATGGTAAAGGGATCAATTCAACAAGAAGAGCTAACTATCCTAAATATACATGCACCCAATACAGGAGCACCCAGTTTCACAAAGCAAGTCATGAGTGACCTATAAAGAGACTTAAGACTCCCACACAATAATAATGGGAGACTTTAACACCCCACTGTCAACATTAGACAGATCAATGAGGCAGAAAGTTAACAAGGATACCCAGGAATTGAACTCAGCTCTGCACCAAGTGGACCTAACAGACATCTACAGAACTCTCCACCCCAAATCAACAGAATATACATTTTTTTCAGCACCGCACCACACCTATTCCAAAATTGACCACATAGTTGGAAGTAAAGCCCTCCTCAGCAAACGTAAAAGAACAGAAATTATAACAAACTGTCTCTCAGACCACAGTGCAATCAAACTAGAACTCAGGATTAAGAAACTCACTCAAAACCACTCAACTACATGGAAACTGAACAACCTGTTCCTGAATGACTACTGGGTACATAACAAAATGAAGGCAGAAATAAAGATGTTCTTTGAAACCAATGAGAAGAAAGACACAACATACCAGAATCTCTGGGACACATTCAAAGCAGTGTGTAGAGGGAAATTTATAGCACTAAATGCCCACAAGAGACAGCAGGAAAGATCCAAAATTGACACCCTAACATCACAATTAAAAGAACTAGAGAAACAAGAGCAAACACATTCAAAAGCTAGCAGAAGGCAAGAAATAACTAACATCAGAGCAGAACTGAAGGAGATAGAGACACAAAAAACTCTTCAAAAAAATCAATGAATCCAGCAGCTGGTTTTTTTTTTTTTCAAAAGATCAACAAAATTGATAGACCGCTAGCAAGACTAATAAAGAAGAAAAGAGAGAAGAATCAAATAGACGCAATAAAAAATGATAAAGGGGATATCACCACCGATCCCACAGAAATACAAACTACCATCAGAGAATACTACAAACACCTCTACGCAAATAAACTAGAAAATCTAGAAGAAATGGATAAATTCCTGGACACATACACCCTCCCAAGACTAAACCAGGAAAAAGTTGAATCTCTGAATAGACCAATAACAGGAGCTGAAATTGTGGCAATAATCAATAGCTTACCAACCAAAAAGAGTCCAGGACCAGATGGATTCACAGCCGAATTCTACCAGAAGTACAAGGAGGAACTGGTACCATTCCTTCTGAAACTATTCCAATCAATAGAAAAAGAGGGAATCCTCCCTAACTCATTTTATGAGGCCAGCATCATCCTGATACCAAAGCCTGACAGAGACACAACCAAAAAAGAGAATTTTAGACCAATATCCTTGATGAACAATGATGCAAAAATCCTCAATAAAATACTGGCAAACCGAATCAAGCAGCACATCAAAAAGCTTATCCACCATGATCAAGTGGGCTTCATCCCTGGGATGCAAGGCTGGTTCAATATACGCTAATCAATAAATGTAATCCAGCATATAAACAGAACCAAAGACAAAAACCACATGATTATCTCAATAGATGCAGAAAAGGCCTTTGACAAAATTCAACAACACTTCATGCTAAAAACTCTCAATAAATTAGGTATTGATGGGACGTATCTCAAAATAATAAGAGCTTTCTATGACAAACCTACAGCCAATATCATACTGAATGGGAAAAACTGGAAGCATTCCCTTTGAAAATGGGCACAAGACAGGGATGCCCTCTCTCACCACTCCTATTCAACATAGTGTTGGAAGTTCTGGCCAGGGAAATTAGGCAGGAGAAGGAAATAAAGGGCATTCAATTAGGAAAAGAGGAAGTCACATTGTCCCTGTTTGCAGACGACATGATTGTATATCTAGAAAACCCCATCGTCTCAATCCAAAATCTCCTTAAGCTGATAAGCAACTTCAGCAAGTCTCAGGATACAAAATCAACGTACAAAAATCACAAGCATTCTTATACACCAATAACAGACAAACAGAGAGCCAAATCATGAGTGAACTCCCATTCACAATTGCTTCAAAGAGAATAAAATACCTAGGAATCCAACTTACAAGGGATGTGAAGGACCTCTTCAAGGAAAACTACAAACCACTGCTCAATGAAATAAAAGAGGATACAAACAAATGGAAGAACATTCCATGCTCATGGGTAGAAAGAATCAATATTGTGAAAATGGCCATACTGCCCAAGGTAATTTATAGATTCAATGCCATCCCCATCAAGCTACCAATGATTTTCTTCACAGAATTGGAAAAAACTACTTTAAAGTTCATATGGAACCAAAAAAGAGCCCGCATCGCCAAGTCAATCCTAAGCCAAAAGAACAAAGCTGGAGGCATCACACTACCTGACTTCAAACTATACTACAAGGCTACAGTAACCAAAACAGCATGGGACTGGTACCAGAACAGAGATATACATCAATGGAACAGAACACAGCCCTCAGAAATAATGCCACATATCTGCAACTATCTGATCTTTGACAAACCTGAGAAAAACAAGCAATGGGGAAAGGATTCCCTATTTAATAAATGGTGCTGGCAAAACTGGCTAGCCATAAGCAGAAAGCTGAAACTGGATCCCTTCCTTAAACCTTATACAAAAATTAATTCAAGATGGATTAAAGACTTAAACGTTAGACCTAAAATCATAAAAACCCTAGAAGAAAACCTAGGCATTACCATTCAGGACATAGGCATGAGCAAGGACTTCATGTCTAAAACACCAAAAGCAATGGAAACAAAAGTCAAAATTGACAAATGGGATCTAATTAAATTAAAGAGCTTCTGCACAGCAAAAGAAACTACCATCAGAGTGAACAGGCAACCTACAAAATGGGAGAAAATTTTTGCAACCTACTCATCTGACAAAGGGCTAATATCCAGAATCTACAATGAACTCAAACAAATTTACAAGAAAAAAACAAACAACCCCATCAAAAAGTGGGCAAAGGACATGAACAGACACTTCTCAAAAGAAGACATTTATGCAGCCAAAAAACACATGAAAAAATGCTCACCATCACTGGCCATCAGAGAAATGCAAATCAAAACCACAATGAGATACCATCTCACTCCAGTTAGAATGGCAATCATTAAAAAGTCAGGAAACAACAGGTGCTGGAGAGGATGTGGAGAAATGGGAACACTTTTACACTATTGGTGGGACTGTAAACTAGTTCAACCATCGTGGAAGTCAGTGTGGCGATTCCTCAGGGATCCAGAACTAGAAATACCATTTGACCCAGCCATCCCATTACTGGGTATATACCCAAAGGACTATAAATCATGCTGCTATAAAGACACATGCACATGTATGTTTATTGCGGCACTATTCACAATAGCAAAGACTTGGAGCCAATCCAAATGTCCAACAATGATAGACTGCATTAAGAAAATGTGGCACATGTACACCATGGAATACTATGCAGCCATAAAAAAGGATGAGTTCATGTCCTTTGTAGGGACATGGATGAAGCTGGAAACCATCATTCTCAGCAAATTATCGCAAGGACAAAAAACCAAACACCACATGTTCTCACTCATAGGTGGGAATTGAACAATGAGAACACATGGACACAGGAAGGGGAACATCACACTCTGGGGACTGTTGTGGGGTTGGGGGAGGGGGGAGGGATAGCATTAGGTGATATACCTAATGCTAAATGACGAGTTAATGGGTGCAGCACACCAGCATAGCACATGTATACATATGTAACTAACCTGAACATTGTGCACATGTACCCTAAAACTTAAAGTATAATAATAATAATAAAAAAAAGAAACACGCTTTCCTATTTTTAATAGCCTATGATAGTCATACAGAATGAGTTAATTAAAATTGATTGGTCAATTGCTTAAAAAAAAAAAGAATAATGTATCATATATTTCAAAATAACTAAAAGAGGAGAATTCCAACATTCCTAAGACAAGAAAATGATAAATGTTTGAGGTGACAGATATCCCAATGACCCTGATCTGATTATATATTATATGCTTATATTAAAATACCAGATGTACCCCATAAACATGTACAACTATTATGTATCCATAATAACTAAAAATATTAAAAACAAAAAGATGAGAAGGAACGTCAAATGTCAGTTAACGAAGTATATTATAAAGGCACAACAATTACAGTCAAACAGAAAAGTCCATGAAACAAGTCAAAATGCCCAGAAACTAATGCATATTTAAATATAATAAAGATTGCACTTCAAATCACTAGAAAAGGATGGACTAATTCAATCTTAGGAAGGCAGGATGGCGCAGTGTGCAAAGAAGACAGCCTCTGGAGGTGGACAGCCTGGACTACATGGAATGCCAGGCTGCCCTGTGATCCTGGACGACTCAGTGTCCTTATGTGTAAAACAATGATAACAATTGTACCTATTTCACAGAATTGTTTAGAAGATTATTAGTTACAATTTGTAAAGTGCTTAGAACAGGGACTAATACAGTAAGCGCTGTATAAGTGACATTAAATAAATTAAAGAAAACAATTCATTATAAGATAATTCTTAACTCCAGGGGATACATGGAGATCAGAAAACCTCCCATCGTAACGTATTTTTTTTAATCAGTTTTTTAAAAAGTGAATGGTAAAAAATGAAATTAGGAAGAAAAAAAGCACTATTTATTTGACCTCTAGATTGGAGAAAACTTTTTAAAACATGACAGCAAAAGCAATATCTGAAGAAAACAGAATAACAGATTTGAGTAGATAAATATGTTAAAATTTTGTATATCAAACACTAAAAGATGAAAATAAAAATCTGAGGAAAAATATGAGTTAAGGAGTATATGTATAAATACTCCTACAAATCAGTAAGAAAAAGTACAATAAGCAAGTCACAAAAACCTTAACCTGTATGAGAAAATATGCAACACTGTTACCAATCAAAAATTAAAATTAAAATTAAACTTTTCAACCATCAAATTGGCCAACAACTTCAAAAATTATATTGCTGACTAAAAAGCAAATAAATTGATACTTTCTATATGGAAGATTGAAATATACATTGAAACAAACTATACAGGTGTCACTTTAATTATATACTTAAAAAAAACTTTTAAACTATTAAGCCACTTTGACCTAGTAATTCCATTTGTGGGACAAAGTTGTAACATAGGATTTTTTTCCCCCAAGGCAGAGTCTTGCACTGTTACCCAGGCTGGAGTGCAGTGGCACTATATTGGCTCACTACAACCCTCTGCCTTCTGGGTCCAAGCATTGTCGTGCCTGAGCCTCCTGAGTAGTTGGAATTACAGGCGTGAGCACCACCTGGCTAATTTTTTTGTATTTTTAGTAGAGACAAGGTTTCACCATGTTGGCCAGAGTGGTCTTGAACTCCTGCCCTCAGGTGATCCGCCCACCTCGGCCTCCCAAAGTGCTAGGATTACAGCAGTAAGCCACTGCTTCCAGTGGAACACAGGATTTAAATGGAAAAGTTTCAAATGGCTTTTTCAGAGATGAACCAAAATCAACGAAAACGGTATGTGAAGAAATATTTTAAGTTTCAAATATAAAGCTAAGAATTTTCACCATCTAAAAATTCAATACTTAGTTCATTGTACAATTAAGCTTTAATATTACCAAATTCCAAAAAAGTTTTAAAACAAACCTTTTAACAGCATCCTTCTTCTGAATATCTATAATATCCCACCACTTTGAAAGGTAAGAGATCTCAGACCAAATAAACTTCCTCCGTGAGTCTTCTTTCAGCTTTAGGACCATGTTATTAAAAATATACTGAGTCTTGTCTCTAAAGTAGTCATTGAAAGTCTTCAACCAACCTAAATCAAGACACAAATATACCACAAAGGTCTAATTCGTATGGCTGATTTCAACTCAGTCACATTCCATTGCATTACTTTGGACATCGTTAGAATTTTCATTCATAGACATATTTTTAAATTTAACAGGTGTTTTCAATTAATGAAACTCCATTTTAGTTGTCATGGGACTCAGAAACCCACTAATATTAAAACAATGAAAACACTCTGAAAACTGCACAAATTCAGATAGAAATGAGAAAAATAAGATAGATGACCTAAGGCCAAAAAGCAGTTATTTATATTTTAATAATTATAGTATCTAATTCAATTTTTTATCTCTAAGGAATTTTTTTTGAATTTTAAAAATCTAAACACTGTTTACAAGTTGGCAGTACTGTTATCCTAATAGGGGATCCAAATTTTATCCTCTCATGCCACATCTAAAATTCTTCACCCATTAAATAAGTTAAACTAAGAAAAAAGAGATTGCAAGTATAAACTATACCTAAAAGCTTTCAGCAGACCAATAAGGTAATTACACCATAAATATGAACACTGAGAGGTAGAATTCTGCAAAATACAGGCATTTGTTCCCAAAAGCTGTTCATTATTCAATTCCTTAGAAGCACAAAGTAACACTAATCAAACAACAAATGCGAATGCATATAGGTAAAATTTTTCAAAAAGAGAACTGTAGATGTTGACAGTTTGCTTCTCCTGTTTTTTCCTCTACTTTCCAAATATCCTGGAAATTTTATCTAAAGATAGTTGCAATTTGGCTATAAGAAACATTTTTAACACCAACAGGTGCAAACATAGCACCACAAGGCAGACTACTAAAACGGCCAAGCAAAAACGTACACAGCCACCAATTCTGTCTACTGGTGGCAGGCAAAGCAGACCCCCTAAAAAATAACCCGTTCCCATCTAAAAAATCGTATAAGGAGAAGTTCCTGTATATCCAAGCTGAACTATTGGTCTATTGTTTCCAAACTTACATGTGAGAGAATTAAAGAGTAAGAGGGTCCAAATGGCTGTTTCTTATCTGTATATAGTTAAATTAATATGTATACTATATTTGCTGGCAAAAAATAAATAAATAAATAAAAAATAAAAGCCTGCCAGGGCAGAGAAGACAAAACTATTCTGACAATGTGAATATGAGCTTTTGAAAAGAGCACTGCAGCTATGACTTATTTATTCCTCTTGCTTTAATTGAAATCTACTCATCCATCCTACAATTATTTACTGAGCACCTACAATGTGGCACGTATGAAGCTATAGGCCAAATAGAAATATAATGTCAAATAGTCTTTATAGGACTTTCTTGATCTGGGGCACTTTTAACCTGATTTGGTACCAAAGAACACCTCCTGGATACTTCAATTTTTCCACATTTAACTAAAAAAAACTGTGTCTATTTTTAAAACCTCAAAGATATTTCATGAAATGGTGGTCTGCAAAGAATCCCACCTAGCTTCACCAAAGTACTAACCTGGAACACTGCCCCCAGAGCACTGAGCCAGGATCCACCTCTGGATTCCCAGGGAATAGCCCAGAAAGTCCAACCAACCCAGATGCCCTAACTCCCTGATGACCATACCAACACTACCAAGTTAAAAAACATCAAGTGCTCAGAACTGATATCATCATCAGTCTTTAACTGCCCTTTCCCACATCTGTACAATTAAATTAGGTAAAGGGGAAATAAAAAATATTCTGAACACCCAATTTGTAAAGTATACAATTAAAACACTTATATAAACTGCTCCACATCTTAAAACATATATTGGTTACCCAAAATTTCAGTTTGCACTGAATTCACTCTATGCCCTTGTTATGGACAGATCTGTGTCATATGCTGAAGTCTCACCACCTCAGAATGTGACTGTATTTGGAGACAGGTCTTTAAAGAGGTAATTAAGGTAAAATGAGGTCATGAAGATACGCCCTAATCCTACATGACTATTGATGTACTTATAACAAAAGGAGATTAGAACACAGATACACAAGGAAGACCATGCAAAGACACAAGGAGAAGACAGCCATCAACAAGCCAAGGAGAGATGACCTCAAAAGAAATCAACCCTGCCAACACCTTGATCTTGGACTTCTAGCCTCGAACTGTGAAAAAAACAAATTTCTGTTGTTTAAGCCACTTAGTCTGGTACTTTGCTATGGCAGCCCTAGCAAACTTATTCAGCCCTAGAACAAATCAGCGTCATTACCATCCAAGAAATAAAGATTGCAATGTGGGAAGAATTTATTTTATCAAATATCAACATAATATTTAACTGAATATACTATATCTACCTACATATTGCAAAACTGAGCTAAATTCAAATGTACGTAAGTAAATCTATTTCTGTACCGTGCTTTTATTATACACGTGCAACAAGGACCATGTAAATGAAATGGTTCTATTAGAATTATCGTCTTTAAGATATCACATGATATCTTTTACCTAAATTTAAAGGTTCAAACTAATTCCTAATTATCTGGCTACTAGCTAAAGAACTATAAATAGTGAAATGCCTCCAAATTAATTTGATAATAAAACTCCAGTAATCTAGCATAAAAGGCAAATTTTTAAGGGTTAGTCTTTATGAAGATTGATAAGTAAAAGTTTTTTTGTATGTTTTTTGTTAAGCACAACTATTTATTTTCAACAGTTATAATCTGTGATGAATGAACTAAGGCCATTTCAAAAAAGAGTTTATCATGGGAGTTTTCACAGAGGAATCACAGTGATTGATTAGTCCATTTTGCCTTCAACACTTCATTCACCCCTCAACAATCATGAGGAAAATATGGTAAAGACATTCACATGAGCCAAAATACAAGCTCAGAGAGGTCAACCTGAAAGCGTTCCATAAAACTCATACTGATATCACCACCATACAGCATAATTAATGAAGAATGAACTGAAAGATAGCCTCTTGCAGCTTTCAGTACTGAGTAATATAACAGTAAATTAGCTTTTATTGCTCTTATACAACAGAGTAATCAAGTATTTCCTTTTACACTGAATTGGTTCTTTCGTTTTCTAAATTACTGTAAAAACTACAATTGTATATTAACATGAGACCAACCAGAAATATAGTATTTTATAAAAAGTGGTAGGGGATGAATTTTCATGACATAAAATTATATTCCTACCTCTAGATTTAATAATCTTAGGACACTGAGTTGCAAACTGATTTACTTAAGTGGTCAATTCACAGCTTTTTTTCTTTCTGTTGGAATATCCCTGAAAATTGAACGAGGGCTAGAACAGCATTAAGAATACCTTTCAATTTATTCTTTTCCATTCTAACACTATTACCACCCATAAAAAAGCTAATAGCTATTTTAAATAAGTGGGGAAATATTTAAAACAAAGAGTGCATAATTACAAGTTCCACAAAGCAGGCATAAACCCAAATTCGATACCACTATTTTTTTTTAAGTTCTAAAATAAAAAAAGCCAATAAAGCTGGAAACTCTATTGTCTACATTCAATGTTCATGAACAATTAAGCACCTAGTAACTGTTCACAAATCACAATTTATTTTTAAAATTTTGAGCTCTCAGCCATAGGTTGGAAATCTAGAGATTATGTGGAGTTCTGATGCTCTTCAGGAACATTTAGTTTTATTTGGTTCAAGGGCATATACACTAAGTACCACCATGAGGATGTGGGCAAGAGTTACCTGGCCCTGAGCCCTGGACTCTAGAAGGACCTCCCTATTCTTCTGACTACACCCCTTTCAATTGGATAAATCCACAGGACAAACTGACCCAGAGCCTGCCCTGCCCTTCTGAGTACCAGGGTCCAGAAATCTGTCTAAACAGCCCCAGACTGGAAGCCTACTGGGATTCTTATAAGTCTCTCCCCATCAGGGCACTTAACCCTAACAAATGGGACCGACCCTCTCTAGCCTAAACAGTGGCCAAGAGGCTGTAGTTTGTAGGGGTGTAGACCTGGCACCAGGACCGCTTCAATCAAGGTCCTTCCTGGTTTGGGACAGGGCCAGGCCTGGGAGGAGAAGGCAGCTGGCCTGCCCCACAGGCTGGCTCTCCCCATACACACCACCATATTCCAGTGGGGAACTAGAGCAACAGCAATCTAAACCTACATTTGGTCTTCTAGATCACTGAGCTATTTCTCCAGGCAAGAGGAGAAGACCTATTTTTCTTTAGTAATTTATTTCTTTGATTTATAACTTAAATGTTTAAACACAGGGTATGTGGGCCTCTGTGTACTTTGCCCCAGTTCCTGCAAATTTTAGAAGCAGGCCTGAGCACACATACCACTCAAACTTAATCTAGTATCTACTGCAAACATATAAGAGCAAGAGTTCAATAAGTACTTAATAAGATGAATGAAAGGTATAGCCAAAAGGACTAGGAAAAAAGTACAAATGCAAATTTATTACTTCAGCTAGAAATGAAACTAAAGATAAAATAATACAACCATATTAGCTTTAATATGTTCACTCTCTGTTCTGATGCTATACCTAATAATCATTGTCCATTATCTTTAAGTTTCCAAAATACTTATATTTTAAGAGGATCTGTGAGCCCTAAGATGATTAAAACACCCATCCCTAAGAAGGCACCCCGCTCCACAAAGCACTGTTACACTGCTATGGTTTTGATTGCTATAATAATGATTTTTTCTTTTCTTTTTATTTTTATTAATAACGATTTTTTAAGTATATTAATTCCACTCAAAAGTTAAATAAGCACCAATCTTCAGGAAAACATGAAAAGTTTTTGAATAAAAAATAATTATATCCAGATAAATAATACATTGGTAATAAACAACACATGCAACTTAAGCCTCAAGATTTTTTTTCCATTTCAATGTGATAAATATTCTCAAATTTTAAAATAAAGTTCATTAAAAACAGAAATATCCTTTCATCTAATAATTTATTTTCTTTTTTTTAATTTTAGATTCAAGAGGTATATTTGCAGGTTTGTTCCACGGGTATATTGCATGATGTTGAGGTTTGGGCTTCTATTGATCCCATCACCCAAATAGTGAACACAGTGCCCAACAGGTAGTTTTTCAACCCTTTCCCCCTTCCCTCTCTCCCTCCTTTCAGAATCCTCAGTGTTTATTGTTCTCATCTAGTAATTAAGGTATTTTCTATGAAAAAATGACGAACAGGTTTCTTCCATCACTCCTTAATCCTTCAATATTCAACTGCAACTTCTAGTCATATACTTATGGGGTAACATACAATCTTAAATGGTATTACTATTACTCAAATACGCTGCTGATTAATTTTAATTCCAACACTTCTATTATAAGTTAAGCTTGCTTTTCCTCCCTGATAAACTGTGAAAGAGTTTTAATTAACGTTCTGATTTATTCATTCAAACATGTACCTTGCATCTAATAAGGGCAAAGCAATAAAGCTAAATGAAAACAGATTCTACAGTGAAAATATGAATAAAATGCCATGGAAATAAAGAAATGGTAAAGTCTTACCAAAAGAAAAGAAGAAAGATTCTTAGATTAGTCATCATCTGGAGAGAGAAAAAGGGTGGTAGTTCCAAATAGAGGGAAGAGCATATGGAAAAGACAGGAAGTTGGTTATGGCTGCATTGCAGGGTACATGATGCAAATATGGTGAGAAATAAATATAAAAATAGAAGTGGGAGACAGATTATTGAAAACCTTCTAAACCATTCCTGTTTCTTACAGAGAACTTTGGAGGGAGGACATGAGGGTTTTCTGACCTGTGCTTTCAAAAATAACTGTACTAAGAGTGTGAAGACTAAAAAGGCAAAGTAGAAGCAGAGAAACAGAAAATGAGACCACTGCAAAATTCTGTAAAAAATGGTTATGGACTGCAGTTGAAATAAACAGAGGGAAATAAGAGGTCAAGGAGACAAAATGAAGAGAACTTAGTAATCGACTAAGTTTCCAAGAGAGGGTAAGAAGACAGTCACAGATGAAGCTGAGGCTTCCAGAGATCTGTGAGACTTGGAAAACCTAGAAACCTGCTGATGCCTCTAAATGCTTTTGAACCCAGGTTTCCAAAATAATCTAACCTGTTTTTCTCAGTTGATTCAGTGTCATTTAATAGTTTTCTAAGCATATCAGCTTTAATTCAATGAAGATATTTGAGAGAGATCATTTTTTGAATCCATATGAAGATGCTGTCACTGGAAATTTTACCCCACACCAGAGGAACCTATTTGCATTATTGTTAGGACAGCAGGCGTTTTGTTCATCCTGCAGCCCTATACGTACAATGTACAACTGTGACCCCTTATTATATTGCTTTTCTAAGTGCCCCTTAGAAGACCTGCATACTTTTTCTCATAGCTGCAATTGTGTGATCAATCTCCAAGATAATTTCTAAATCTGTGCTAAAGCTCCTCCCCTCCCTCATTAATGATCCCATCTATGAGCATCTAACACTGACTGACAATACTTCAGGCATAGTAAGTCTTCCCCAAACAGAGCTTGGTTATTTGAAATAATGAGAAAACTGTCTAAAATATGACAGACACTGTTAGAAAGAAAAGTGACTTTCTTTGGTGGGTTACTCTTAGGGTACACGAGGGGGCTACTTAGCTTTAGACAAATACTGGGCAAATTATCAAAGTCTCTAAAAGAAACCAACTTAAAGGCTGGAAAATATTGCTAGGTACGGTGGCTTAAGTCTGTAATCCCAGCACTTTGGGAGGCCAAGGCGGACGGATCACTTGAGGTCAGGAGTTCTAGACCAGCCTGGCCAACATGGTGAAACCCCATCTCTACTAAAAATACAAAAAAATAGCTAGGCACTGTGGCGTGTGCCTGTAATCCCAGCTACTCAGGTGGCTGAGGCAGGAGAATTGCTTGAACCTGGGAGGCAGAAGTTGCAGTGAACTGAGATTGCACCACTGCACTCCAGCCTGGGCAACAGAGCAAGACTCCATCTCAAAAAACAAAACAAAACAAAACAAAAGCTGGAAAATATTGCTTGTAAATCACTTTCTAATTGTAGAAAATGTGGCAATCAGGAAAATCACTCACTATCTCATGTACTAATATAGTATTTAGGGACAGAGACATTCATTTCAATTAAGATAAATCAGAAGGAAAAGAAGGATAGGAGATAGTGCAGTGAGATGTCCACTTTTGCAAGATAGCTGAAAAAAATCTTTTTTATGGTTAATAATACTAAAGTAGTTGACATTTGGCTTGGAAATACTTAAAAGACTTCCCTCCTATATGCTCAGCCTGTGGTTTCAGAAGAATTATCCAAAAAACGCAATATGTTAAAAACTGTTACAAGTACTGGTTCTGGAAAAAGATCACTTGATTTCAAACCTAGCCCTGCCATGAACAGATCACTTATGCTCTCTCCTGCCACTTCTCCCACATCTATGAAGGGAGGGTAATTACAGACTCTGTCATGAAGTTGCTGAAAGGAGTAATGGATGTGATATATGTAAAATGCCTAGAATAGTGCACAGAACATAATAATTCCCTAAGTGTTAGTAATTATTTGTATTACCAGGGCACTGGAGAGTTTTGAAGCACCCAGGCTTGAAAGACAGACAAAGGTAACTGAAACTGAGGAGAAAGAAGAGCTATTTAATGATCATCTAAATTTCTCAGCAGCTGCTTAACATATGTGCTCCTCAAAGAATAAAGTCCAATGAGAGACCAAACCATCTATTCTTCCTCTAAAACAGAATCTCAATACACATATTTTAGAGATCTCTAAAAACAGAATTCTAAATAGCCATACAGCGCCATTTAACTCAAGTGCTACAATTTTCTTAACAATTAAGGTTGTCAGATAAAATGCACAGCCAAGTTGAATCTGAATTTCAGATAAACAACAAATAAATGTTTAGTATAAGCATGCTGCATGTGATATTTGGGACACACAAACACACACACACAAACTACAAACACACACACACAAACTATTCATTGTTATTGAAAATTCAAGTTTAACTGAGCATTCTATATTTTTGTTTGCTAAATCTGACAACCCTATTAATAACCCAAAGTCCAGATAAATGTGTTAAATTAGCTAATGCCTACAACACAAGAAGAAAAGAAATAGAATAATTTGAACTAAATAAAGTATCTTAAGAGGCAATAAAAAGAGGTAAATGGAAAAAACACAGATTTTACAATCAGGCAATCCTGAGCTTCAATTCACCAACCTCTGAGAATTTATAATTAAATTAACTGACTTTGAACAAATTACCCTAACTTAGCCTCGCTGCCCTCACCTGTTAAATGTGGCTTCATTTACCACTTTTCAGGGTTAAAAAATCACACAAAGTAAAAAATAACAAAGACCTGCAACTCCCCTGATGCCGTACAGGCAATAAATGCCAGAACTCAGTTGTTCCGCATACGATTTTAGCTCCAGAAACTAAAATTTCCCATCATGGCAGCCAAAATCAAACAATCCACTTTATCCTGCAGTAGCTAAACCAAATAAAGTACTCTCCAAACAGTGTTCACGTACAACTTCTCCTTCCGATGACCATCTCATTCTGATCAGTAAAGTTCCTTTAGCAACCAGACTTCTAAGTCTCCACCACCTCTCATCAAGTTTGTCCAACCTGCAGCCCACGGGCTGCATGTGGCCCAGGACGGCTTTGAATGCATCTCAACATGAATTTCTAAACTTTCTCAAAATATTTTGAAATTTTTTTGCGATTTTATTTTTTAGCTCATCACCTATTGTTAGTGTATTTTATGTGTGGCCCAAGACAATTTTTCTTCCAATGTGGCCCAGGGAAGCCAAAAGATTGGACACCCCTAATAGAGATATTAGCCAACTATGACTGACCAGAACTATTTTCAAATTCTAACTATACTTGAAAATATTTGAATAGAAATATTTGGAAATATTACACTGATTTCCTCATGTTTTTATTCTTTTTTTACAAACTTTTTTAGAGGATACATAATTATCATAATACTAAATGCAAACATCTGTTTCTTAATTTTACACACACAAAAAAGCAAAAAGTCCTAATCACCCTCTGAGTCAATAAAAAGTTCTACAAAAGAATTGCAAATGTACAAAAGAAAATTATTTTCCAGTGTAACTCTTGGGCCTAGGTCTTCCTACTATTTTAGAGTCATACCACAAGGGGGATTATTTTCTAATGTTCATTTCACAAATTGCTTAACTAACAATATGCTGTCCAATCTTTCATTTAGTATACCTTATCTTCTCTCCACACACTGTGACTTCTTTGAAGTAAAATTAACCAAATATTTCAGCAGTTTAACTAGTGGGAAGCAAAGAATTAAGATTATAGATACAGAGGTGCTGTAATTGTGTTTTAATCAGCTTATTAAATACAACATGAACATGTATCAATCAACTAACATTTAATTTCATGGTCTATGATTCAAAACTTTCAAAAGCATAACAGTACAAAGTTATCAGCATTTACTTCACAATTCTTTTCCAATTCAGTTTTTACTCATGTAAAACACTTAAATATTTTATGACAATTGTTAGATCTTTTCAGACTGTAACATAATTTGGAATTTTATTAAAATACAAACATATTTTGAAATTTACCTTTTCTTGAGAGATATTACCAACTCAGTCCAAAAAGAAAAATATCTATATATAGAAAAACACAGCAACATAAATTCACAAAGTTGGGGAACTAAATATAGAAAATTTTTAAAAATCTATTTCAAATATTTCTATTCCCAATAGACGAAAATCCACCGATGAAACAAACTACTATGCTAAAGCTTGTTTTAAATTGTTGCTGCAGAAAATGCAAACAAATCTCTATAAATCTCATTTAGAAAGAACACTGCCTAATTGCACATTCATTTAGGAGTATTATACAAAGATTTCCCATTATAGTGTCACATTTTGACTTGCAGTGTATGTGAACACACTTTTCTCTTTTTCCTCTATTAAAAAAGAATGGCTTTTCATGATGTGAATAATTCAGTTTTTCACAGAATAATTTATTTGTCAATATTTTACTTTTGTTAAGTTAAGGAATAGTGAAAATTATTAAGTCAGTGGATTCTTCTCTCTAGCATTTTGCTTGACAGCAAAAATCACTGTAGTTTTAAAATGTTTGTTTCTGACAATTATTTTTTCCAAGTGGAGAAGGGTTTGAGAGTCAGGGTCATTAACATCTTTTACTAAGACAAAAAGATTCAGCTATAGTTACTAGGATACCAAAAGAGATTATAGTCAGGAATACTTACTAGGGATGTCTACTCAGAAGATGACCTACTAACTAAGCAGGAATAGTAATGCAAACAAACAAACAAAAAATCTAAAAATCGAGGGCAATCCCTGCCCTCAAAGAGCTTATTATTGCCTGTTTTTAGTACATAAAATTACAAAAGAGTACTTTAAATAAGTTTTTTTTTTTTTAAGAATAGAAATAAGTAGCCATCAGGAAGGAGGGAACTTAAAAGAAAAGCCTACGCCAAAGAATAAGTCAAATGTTTCATCCTAGTTTGAAGAGTCAGATTCATTAGCTCATTAACTTATTTAACCAAACTCTAATGACTCAGTACCATGTGCCAGTTATGATTCTAGGCATTCCCAACACAGCAGTGAATAAAACAAAGTTCCAGCCCTTAATGAGCTAACATTCTAGTGAGGAGACCAAGTAAAAGTGCTGTAAATGTTTACATCTGCGAAGACCTGCAAGCGTGGAGGCGTGTGTGTGCAGTATGAGTATGTGGTGGAGGGGCTTTGAGAAAGGTCAAAGAGGTCTTATTTATTTGGCAATTATTCTATATGCCAAGTGTTCAGCTAGGCCATGAGGAGAGTGTGTTTAATAGGAGGCATATGTTCTTTGCCGCTAGAATTTACTTTAGTGGGAGATCCAGGTAAATTGTCAGGAAAGTATTCTGGTGCCCCTTGTTAGCTATGTAACCTGGTAACACCTTCATCGTGAATCATGGCACTAACCTTCATGCGTATGCACTAAATGTTTGTAAAACATTTGGCATTCTGCCCAGTAAACCATGGATTTTATTATTACAGTTAAGTGCCCATGTATGGAATAACAAGAAATGAGATTGGTGAGAATTAAAAGTTGCAGAAAAAGGAAAAGAATAAAGGTCTTTTAAAAAATCAAGAAAAGGGAAGAAGTGGGCTTCATATGAGGAAGACTCACAAGACACACTTTGAAGTATATTTATAAGCCTACAAGGAAGATTACACTATGGAATCACATCACTCTCCCAATTAAGTAACAAGAATTAAACTAAACATGATTGGCAGAAAGAGAAGGGAGAACAACTTAGATATTACAAGTGGCTCTGCCACCATTTCACTCAATAATTGAATAGTCAAGTGATTATGAGATTTATAGAGAAAAAAAATCTGCAGTGCCATAAGCCATCTAGATCCTACATTAAGTGGGAGCACCTCACCTCACTGAGTGTGAGTCTAGTAATCAAAGATACGTGTTTTTCATATGCATCCCCTAAATGCAAATATACTAACTAATCTGCACTCAAGTGAATAAATAGCAAAGAAATTTGGATTACATGTAATTTTCATCACCTTTTATAATTACTTTATAACTAACCCTGGCTTAAGATGTTACTCCACCTGTATGATCTCCATTTTACAGATACACAAATCAATGTGCCCAAGGACACACAGGCAATACACCGCAGAGCCAAGATACCTGCCTCATTCTGCCTAGCTCCAAATCCCTGAAGTCCTTCCATGATGCCCAGCCTTCCCTGAGTTTTGATTTAAAAGGTACAGGCTAAGATTAAGGAGAAAGACAATCTAAAATATATATGAGGAAAACATAACACTAACAGGTATATGTAGGAAAAGATAAAGACATTAAGATCAAAGATAGGGAAATCAAGTCAGAAGGTGAGGTGTAATAACTGCTCATCACAAATTTCCAGAATATTGATTTCATATATTTTACATGTCAGTGCACACTAAATATTGCACTGTAGTCTAGAAATCCAAGCATTTCAATATCCAAGCTTGCAGACTACCTCTCACATCCAAAAGCAGCACACACGCACAAAAAAAATGCTTCACTAAATCATGTGTCCAGACCTAAAGTAACATATTTTGTTGTCTTCAAAATAGAAAAATAGGAATATCTGCCAATAAACTAATGGGGAAAAAATGTAAGTAGAAGATAAATGAATGCTGGAAGCAAAGAAAAAAACCTTCAAATTATTAGGTTACCAGTGCTTCTGACAGTAATCATGAAATCGAGATATTAAGAAAAGTAACACACTCCTTCAAAATAAGTCTTTGGAAATACACCCCCCTCTCCAATCCCCACAAAAAAAAAAATGCTGCAACTAAATTATCTGTGACTGGGTACTCAAACCAACAAATATGTATATCAAATCCTATGTCCCATTATAATTGAAACAACTTCCCCTCATCTTGGCAGGGCGGGGTCAGGGGTGGGGGAAGGGAGGAATCTGTGGTCCCAATAAATAAACGCCATCATATGCAGTAACAATAATGATAGCAGCTACTGTTGTGCCATACATGATTCTTTCACTTTGCACCCTATTGAAACAGATACTACTATCCTCATTCTACCAGGGAAAAAACTTGGTCTCAGAGGGATTAAGTAACTTGCCTAAAGTCATCTAACACTGATAAATACAGAGAGCTGAGACTCACATTCGTATGTGCCTGAAACCAATCAACACCAAGGTTCTTAAAGCATTTAATACTGCTTCTTTATTTTAAAGATTCAAACTTTCCCATGAGTATTCTGCCTTTTCTAAAAGTAGACCTCATAGACATGAAATAATTTTCCTATGCAATATTTTTTAAAAAGTTACTAAAATGAACAAGCAGTCTCTTAAAACTATATACTGTTTTGTCCCCAAAGGCAAGCCCTTCTTTTTTGTTTATTACCATTTCATACTGCACAGATACTATCCTTGAATGGCACATAAACTGATAAAATGAGAACACTAAAACATAATGACACATAAAAGGAATATATTAATGTTAAAAGTCAGAGAATAATGTCTCAAAAATTTGAGAAGTGGCCTCTACCAGATTCTCATTAAAAGACTCTAGGCCTAAAGAAACTTAATAACCTCCTGTCTTTTTGAAGTGCAAATTTTACCTGGGTCGTTATGGGAATGAGGCACCACAAAGACTTGAAGGGGTTCAGTGTCCCATTCATTAGATTCATAAGTAATGTCAAATCCTTGCTTCCAAACTCCACCATCTGGATTGTCAAAAGAAATTAGACTGTAAACATCCAACATCTAAAAATGTAAAAGAAAAAAAATTAAAGTTTAACAATTATTAATTTAATGTTGGTAAATATTTGCTCAAAATTATTCACTGCTATACTCTGCATATGTATTTTATAAAATAAAACTATTTCTGTAGACATTGAGGAGTTTAGAGTAGAAAATATTCCATCACCATTCAAAGGCTTGAAATGCTATTTGTGCTACAAAACTACCCTGACAAATAATCCCTCCCATCCGCTTCTAATAAAAAAAAAAGTTCATTCTATTCCTTCTTCTCCTACTTTACTTCCAAAACAATTTAATAGAAATTTATAGAAAAAGAACCATGAAAAAAATTTCTGATGAAATTTGATTATGACCAGATATTTCAGCATTTTCAAAAACAGTTCTGAAAATGATATTTTACTTTGTGCTATCTTTATTTTATAGTAAATCTCATGTATATTAAAAATCTATGCCTGAACAAAAATATATCTATCTATAGCTATTCTGCCATGTAGCATATGTTATATCTACCTATCTTATCCTAGAAGTAAAACTACAACAGGGTCAACCAGGCATAATCATCTAAAAATTGAGAAAAATTTTAAAATTGAGATTTAGCTTTTATGTATCCTATTGTTTTCTAGCTTTTCAATGCAGCATTCCTTCTGGCTAATAATGTTGGGATGCAAAGGAAAAAACGGTGGGAAAAAAACTAAAACTTTACTTTTGTTCTTCATAGTCTCTATAATATTAAATGTGACAACACAACCAAACAACCTTTTGTAAAATTTAAATTATGTTAAAACTAGACTGCAAAAATCACATCCAAATATAAGTTATAAAAAAAATTTAAAGGCCAAACAAATTATATGAAAGTCAATACAAAGTATTTTAAGCCAATAATATTTATCTCCCTATGGAATATATGAGTTTAATAAATAAAATAAAATCTTCTCAAGGATAAGCTGACAAATCTTTGGAAACAAGCTGGGCAGGAGGATGTGTTAGCAGTGTCTGTTTCTTCCTTCAGTCCTGCAGCTCTCCCAGTACCCTCCTGACTTGCTCTGCCTGACTTCCATGGTTGCTCTGCAACTCCTTTCTGTCCAGCCCAGATTTAGACCACACAACAAAAATAATTTTTTTTTTTTTTTTTTGCTGTTCCCTTATCATGGATGACAACAAGGCTAGGTACTCAAGAAGTACTCAACAAAAAACTAAATAAAGCCAAACCTCACAGAAACAGCTATCCCTGTAAGCACAGGATTCTGATCCTATCAGAATCTGGCTACACTCTAGCTGATGAGGTTGCAGGTGCAAGACCTGGCCAGCTCCACTGTCCCCAGCTTCCAGCTTGGCCTGTGAGCCACGACCTCAAGATCATATCATGTTCTCTGCCCTCAGCAGTTAGTGGAAAGTACATATTCGAAAACGAGGCCAGAAGCCAAATAATTTTGTCCAACTTTAAAATATTTACCCCTTAGGATCCTTCCCCCAAAATCCAGTTTCTGGTCTAAGGCACAAGGTTAAACACAGCCTTGCCCTAATTTGCAGAGCCAATGTGAGTGAAACACTCTGAGTTTAAGAAAGGCAGAAGTCCTTTCCAATGCTGGTTTTCGACTCCATTGCCCTCTATAATAGCGCTGTCCAAGAGAAATATAATACAAACCAAATTTTTAATTTTCTAGTAAAACAAAGCAGTTGAAATTAATTTTAAAATTTCATTAATCCAGTATATCCAAAATATTATCTTAACTCATAATCAATATATAAATGAATTAAGATATCTTGCACACTAAGTTTGAAACACTGTGTGTGTACATTACACTTACAGCACATATCAAGCCACATTAGTCACATTTCAAGTGCTCAGTAGCCACACGCAGACAGGGGCTTCCATACTGGAAAGTACAGCTCTAGAATATTTCCCTTCCCTCTTGCAAAAGGATATTAAGAAAAAAAAAAAAAAGTCTAACCTTACTTTGTACAAAATCTATAATGTACAACTGATATATAATAAGAACATGGATTTTCTTGTATTCTCCAAAGGAAGGTAAAAAAAAATCTCTGGCAAAATTTAAACCTTTAAAGGTTTTCAACTATTACAGAAAATAAGACCTGAAAAGCATACAAAAAGACTGTATTCACGTAAGTATAAAATAGTAAGATAAACTGAGAGAAATAGAATTATGGAATTTTATCACTAAACAGAACATTAATGTTCATGTGACTAATCAAAATACTTTACAAAAAGAGAAACTAGAATCCAAAGAGTTTAAGCAACTTACCAAGTCAGAACAGACATCAGGTCAAATCTTAAAAAGAACAAAAAAAAAAAAAGGCCAGTGATTATTAACGAATGTATACATTACCTGCACATCTGAATTGTGACTTCCACTTTGTGAAGCAAACAGACAGTCTGCAGTGTCAACTGAGAGGGATAATTGTGAGGGCAGAAGATGTGAGCCAGCACCTTGGCTGAAATTGCTTTGTGAACTTTTCGGACCATCCTCCACAGACTCACTCAAATTGATGACTGAGTCTCTAATATTTGAGATGATCTCATTATTCTCAGCTAGCAAACGCTCCAAATGGTCTATTTTTTCTTGCAACATTGAGAGCTGGCCCTACAATAAAAAAGAAAAAGGCAGCTATATGAAATACTAATATAGATCTGCTGAGGCATACACATTTTTTTTTTTAAATTATGTGGTTGCCTACGAGGGCAGCCACTCACCCTTCACTTTCCACTTTTATAAGTGGGATCGCAGAAAGCATGAACAGCTGGCAGGGTTGAAACACCAATTTACAGCAGAAAATCTTCTCCGCGGCTGCAATCTTTGCTTAATCATATTTTAAGACGTGCAACAGAAAGACCAAAAATATTTTGGGAAATATTTCTGTTCCCCCCAAACTCAGTCCTAAAATATCTTTGGGTCCCTGGAATCACTGTACAACAGCATATTATATTCAGGTATGAAATTTTTAATTTAAGTATAATTGACTGGAGTTACTCACAAGGGTCAAAAAAGTATGAACTTGAAAAAGATCATTCCATCTCAATCCCTTAACACTAGTGGATAATCCTAAATAAGAAATATCATCTATGGAAAAATCAATTAGTCAATTCAGCCATAAGCATGAACATCTCCCAAGTAACCATACCCGAAGTCATTCAGTCTGCTTTTGCTATACTGTGTGTCTTAAATTTTTTTCATTGATCCTCACATTAAGAGGGTTGCCATCTCTGTAACATAAACCTCGTTATACAAAATAATACCTCACCTTATGAGAGCAGGGACAATCTTTACCTTGTTCACCCCTATATCCTGGGTTCCAAGTACATAGAAGGTACTCATTTATTTGTCAAATGGCCCTCATATTTCTGAAACTCAACAATAATTCTTTAGTGAATGGCCACTGTGTCAGGCATGTATGCTAGGAAGACATGCATAAGATACGGGCCCCTGTCTTTGAACACACAAGGTGATGTTATAACTAGCAAAAGCCTCAAAAAACCCACATTAAGGTTTTAAAAAACTACATGCATGGTGAACAAACAACTCTGGATACTCATTACCAGGAAATAACAGGAAAGCAGAAAGGAAAGAAGGAAGAAGAGAAAAGAGAAAAGGATAGAAAATATCCAAACGCCCAAAAGTAGGGGACTGGTCAAACGATAGATTCATTATCATGGAAGGGATGTCAGCCACTGAAAATTTAGAAATATAAATTGTTTTAAAATAGAAATGTAAGGAAAGGTATTTTCAGAAGATAAAGTAAGGAAAGGTATTTTCAGAAGTGGTGAAAAGGCAGTTTAAAAATAGTATGTATGACATGATATGCTTTAGGAAAAAATATGAAAGACCATATAACACACAAGATATAAGGTTTATACTCACAGGTTATTGGTCAGTTCAACAAGGGGAAAGGGAGAAGTTAAGAGACTGAGATCTACCAAGAAAAGGCCAATCATTTGAGCAAACTATGCCAGAATTGGCAGAAGTCCGAAGAGACTGCAACAGATTTTGGAATTAAAAAAAAAAAAAAAGTAGCCAAAATTAGCAGCAAATCACTGGGGGTGGCAGTGGTTGGGGGCAATACAACACTAGGGGTGAATATCTACAGCCTGATGCTAGAGAAGAAAGGAGCACAAGACAGCCATGTACCTTCTCAGACCTGAAAGATGCTCTCACAGGCCTCTCTACTTAGAAGCACATAACAGAAAGAGCCCCTCTACACATTAAAACTATAGTCCTTTAAAGGCAATTGTCATCTCTAAGATGGGGTGGGGTGATAAGTCACCACAAGATAGAACTCTAAAGCCTGTTTATCAGCATACACAGAGACAAGAAAAAGTTTTAGCACAGGTCCCATCCTGAAAGACAAGCCCCACTGCACCAGTGAAAGGCAAGAGAGGGAGCACACATCACTTTACAACTGGAAATGGCAAAGCAAAGGAAATGGGAGATGAGTGCAACACTAGTTCAGGGCTCAAATAGAGAAGCTAGTTGAACCATGTAGATTCCAGATCCTCAGAGCTGTCGAGTAGTATCGTCCTATAAACCTTTACACCCTTCTTTGTAAGTGCACATCAACATTGGTTACAAGTGATTCTCCATGAAAAGACGAAAGGGGATCCCTTGGCATAACCCAAAGTTCAACCCAAAGAAGCTAAAAATATTTGAGTCAGGTACAGTTGATGAATCTGTATATATTTTCCTAAATACATATGCTATCAAAGGCTGTCTGAAATAGGGGAAATGCTTTTCTTCACTTATCACAACACCACAGACTGCAGCTTTTGAAATCCCTTCTGATAGATTCTGTTGAATAATTCCAATACTGAAGATACAAATTTACCACAGCAGGTAATGGTAAATCAAGTTACTCTTATTACAAGCAGTATTAGAACATGTTGATTCATCTCGCCAGCAGTACAGCTACACATCTTCATAAAATAAAACATTACCTTAATCTAAAATGCCATCACCACAGAGCTTTTAAAGATACCACATTTTGTCCGGGCACGGTGGCTCATGCCTGTAATCCCAGCACTTTGGTAGGCTGAGATGGGTGGATCACCTGGTCAGGAGCTCCAGACCAGCCTGGCCAACATGGTGAAACCCCATCTCTACTAAAAATACAAAAATTAGCGGCTGAGCGCGGTGGCTCACGCCTGTAATCCCAGCACTTTGGGAGTCCGAAGCGGGCGGATCACCTGAGTTCGGGAGTTTGAGACTAGCCTAGCCAACATGGAGAAACCCCGTCTCTACTAAAAATACAAAATTAGCTGGACATGGTGGCAGGCGCCTATAATCCCAGCTACTTGGAAGGCTGAGGCAGGAGAGCCACTTGAACCCGGGAGGCGGAGGTTGTGGTGAGCCAAGATCGCACCATTGCACCCCAGGCTCGGCAACAAGAGCGAAACTTGGTCTCAAAAAAAAAAATAGGTAAATAATAAAAAAATAAAAATTAGCTGGGTGTGGTGGCATGCACCTGTAGTCCCAGATACTCGGAAGGCTGACGCAGAAGAATTGCTTGAACCTGGGAAGCAGAGGTTGCAGTGAACCAAGATCGCATCACTGCACTCCAACATAGGCGATAAAGCGAGACTCCGTCTCAAAAAAAAAAAAATACCACATTTTATCTTATACTTACAATATTATAATACTACAAACTTAATACATGAGTGCCCACATTTCTCCAGATCTTTCTGTACTTTGAGGAAAAGATCATTTTAGAGCCATATACACAGCAAAACTGCCTATAGCTCAACAAGTACACACTGAATAAGAAGACAACCCTTCCTGGGAATATTTTTATTATGGCTTTGGTCCCATAATCCATGGATAAGAGTATTATTCAAAATAAACATTAGCTAGAGGAGTTAGTTCATGAAAAAAGGATCCTACAGCCATTAAAGATGACTTTCAATCTCATTTAGCTTTAAAGATATCATTAATGATCAGTACCTGGAATTCTGTACTGAATTAAGTACATGGAGAAAATTATGGCCTAGGGATATATGCACACAATGGTCTAAAGAACATCATTTTTAAAATTATATTATGCGGTGGAATAAAGTCTCCCTCCAAACAGGTGAAATTCTTGAAATGAACACCCTCATAAGCAAATTCTGTACATGTGACAGAGAAGAGTGGAATGACCTTAAAAGGATGCACTTGTAGTCTGCATTAAAGAAACAGAAATCATAGATAATGCTTCAATTATGCTGAGAAGTCAAAGAATACTTATAGTAACATTGAAAAAGACAATTTTCTGTAGGGCAAGAAAATCACTTATGAGAAAACTACTTTATTCTTTGATTTGCTAATCAGTTCTACAGGGAGGCCACAGCATTGCACCGCTCAGGAGTGGGGAAGGAGGTCATGATATTTGATTTACTCCGCTTTTAGTGAAAGAGAAAAACCAAGCAAAAAATCACATATCAAATACCTTTGAGAGAACAAATTTAGAGTCTACCACAAGGTAGAACAGGCTCAGTTACCACTCAGTCCTATGAACAAAATCAATCAATGTGTATCTACAGCTAAATCCGTAAATTTATTACATAATTATTTGCCTCAAATAGGACACTACCCGCTGGTATTGGCCTCACTGTGATCCTTCCAGCATGGCTGAATCTGTGTATCTTCTCCTGCCTTCCTGGAAAACTGTGTGCCTTTCCTTCTCCCTGCTTCAAAGGCCAACCCTCTGCCGAGCAACAATCCCATTTATCTCAACTGCTCCAAGGCTTTGTTCTTTGCCCTTTTGATTAAACCCTCTCAATATTGCTCAATCAAGTTCCACTTCTAAAAGCAACTCATTCTCAGTAATGTAACATGTTCTATTAGATCAAACTATACGAAAATGCCATTCTCATAGGTAAAACATAGTCAAATATCACCAATTTCGTAAGGTTGAACTTAATATTTATTATATGCTATATACATCTAAAAAAGTCAAACTCTGTGCTTCCACCCTCCTGTGCTTAACCCCATGTGATGGTTAATTTGGGGTTCAACTTGACTAGATTAATGAATATCCAGATAGCTGGTCAAACACTGATTATTCTTCAGGGCTTCAGTAGGCACTGGGCCCATCCTTTATCTACTCAAAGTGAAACCCAGGTGGTTTAGCAATTGATTAGAATTATTGAGCTGCCCCAGGTGTATCTGTGAGAGTGTTTCCAGAGGAGACGGTGTGTGAGTGGACTAAGTGGAGAAGATGTGCCCTAAATGTGGTAGTCACCATCCAATCAACTGGGAGCCCAGATGGAATTAAAAGGCAGAGAAAGGGCAAATTCTCATCCTCTCTAAGAGCCTGGCCGCTTTTCCTCTCCTGCCATTGGATGTCAGAACTCCAGGTTCTCCAGCCTTTAGACTCCAGACTCACACCAGTGGTCCCTGGGCTCTTGCACCTTCCACCTTGGACTGAGCTCCACTATTGGCTTCTCTGGTTCTAAGGCCTTCAGACTTAGACTAAGTCCTGCTACCAGCTTCTCTGGTTCTCCAGCATGCAGATGCAGATGGCCAATAGTGGAACTTCTCAGTCTCCATAATCAAATAAGCCAATTCTCCTAATAACTCCCTTCTCATGTGTGTGTGTGTGTGTGTGTGTGTGTGTGTGTGTGTCCTATCAGTTCTGTCTTTCTGGAGAACCCTGAATAAAACATCTTACATTCCCATTCCCCTCCAGGGCCCCACCCACTTCATGTACCGGGATTATCAAAAGTTTCTCTCTACTCATTATCCCCCTTCCTTACAAACTCCCATTCATTCATCTGCCCATTACAATCAGCATCTGCTCACCACTCCACCAAAACTGACCTTGTAAAGTTCCCAGAGGCTCCCATGTTTCAAGCCTGATGAAAAGCACTCTGCCCTTACCTTATCCGTCATCTCAGGGAGTATTAGGCACAATGGAGCACTCCTTCCCTCTGGAAATGTTTTCTTTACTCATTCCCAATACAACATGCCCTAGGTTTTCCTCCTGCCAACTGTTTATCAGTCTCCTTTGCTGGCTCCTTCTCTCCCAAGCTCTAAATGTTAGAGCACCTCAAGGTTAGCTTCTTGAGCCTCTTACCTCTCTATACTCTCTTACATGATCTCATCCACTCCATGATTTAAATTCCATGATGTCTCCCATATTTGTATCTCCCGCTGAAACCTCACCCCTGAAAAACAGACCCATATATTCAAATACCTGCCTGATGCCTCAAATTGGCTTTCAAACTTAAGTCCAAAAATCATCCTCCTCAAAAAGACACCTACAGTCCTCAGATCTCCAGTAAAGGGCTTTAATCTCTACCTAGTTAGGCACCCTCAAAATCAAAACATTGTACACCACAGTCAGTAAGGACTGAATATCTCTTTCTCTCAACTTAGCTTCACCTTCATCTTATCTCCGTTCCAAGCCAGCTCCTCCCCACCCTACCCTAAAACCTTTGTACATGGTCTCTGTTTACATAATGCTTCAACTCTCATGCCAAACGTCACCTCTGCATAGCCTTCCCCAGCCAGTCTAAAACAGGCCTCCTCATGTTATGGTTTATCTCAATTTATTTCTTGTTTCCTCCACAGTGTTATTACAATTATCTATTTTATTCATGTATTGCTTCCCTCTTTTCCTCACTAAATGAATCCCTATATTGACAACAGGCACCATAGCTGTTTTACTCAATGTACTGTACCCTGATGCCTACCTACCTAGCACACAGCAGGACCTTAGGTATTTATTGGGAGAAAAAAAGGAAGGAAAGAAAGAAAAATGGCATGTAACATTTTTTTCTAAGTATTCAATGTTTTGGCATACAAACCCACACCAAAAATAATACAAATAAAAACAAAACACACCATTTTTGAAGAAAGAAAATCCAAAAGAAGTCTTCACTGCATCCCAAAAAGTAGGTAAGAATGGGAAGGAAAGAGCTAATTAATAGGGTGGTTTTCATGGGCTGTTTGGGAAATAACATAGAATGGGACCCACGTTGGCCACAGGATGACAACCATGACCTGGTGAATAGAATACAATATGTGGCTCCCTTTCTAGAGCAAAGATTATGGATTCTGTACAGTCCAATCAAAAGTTTTCCATTTTCACTACCATCACTAACCTGGCTCAAGAGACTATTATTTTCACCTCTTGTGGGGAGTGAAGGAAGTTTGGAAAAAGAACCCCAAGATAATTCTGGACTATTTCCTATCATGGTAGTGATATAAGATCTGCACTCAACCAAATCAAGTTTCTAGTTATAAGAGCTGTAGAAGATATATATGTTTATAATATACCCACCGATAGCAGCATTCAAAAGAAACAAAACTTTACCCCAAAGTGTATGCATGTATCTGAAACTTAGGATCTATACCACCTTTCATTTATGTTTTTTTTTTCCTTCAAATCTAATTGTGTTAGATTCAACATATCACTCCAACACATCAAGTTCTTTCTGGACTCTGATTATGTCATCAAATGTGCCCACCATGTAAGAGCAAAGATTACCTTTATCTTTAATGACATCCTTCACCAGATAAAGGTGGAAGCAATTCAGCTTAATGGCTAAGCATTGGCTCCTGTTCAGGCTATCTGGCTTCCAATACTAGTTTCCGCACTTATTGGCCATGTGATCTTGGGGAAGTAACTTAATCCTGGGCCTCAGTTTCTATGGGCAAAATGCAGATACTAATATCCATTGCTTGGACTGGCTGTGAAAGAATTTAGCACAGGACCTGCCAACAAGTAAGCAGTGAAGAAAGTATTATTGCAGCTGCTGCTACATAGTAAAAGTATGGCTTTTGAAAAATCACTTTGAAGGGTACTACAATATGCACCTCCAGATAGTATGTGTCATAATTAAGAACAGACTCTGAAGCCAACCAAAATTTGAATTCTGGCACCACTACTTACTGGCTATGTAACTCTGGGCAAGTTCAAAGTTACATAACTTCTCTGTGCTGCAGTTTCCTCATCTGTAAAATGGGGAGAATAATACCTAACTCATAGGGTTGTTATGAGGATTAGTTAGTATATGCAAGTAAATTTAAATAGCGCCTGGTGCAGTAAGCAGAATAATGTTTAGTCAAAGATATCCCTGTCCTAATAATCCCTGAAATCTGTGAATACCTTGCCTTACATGACAAAAGGAATTTCACTGATGTAATTAATTTTAAGGCTTTGCAGATGGGAAGAAAACCCTAGAATATCTGAGTAGGCCCAATGTAATCATAAGGAAAAGAGGAAAATGGAAGAGTCAGGCCAGAGAGGGAGATGTGAGGACACAAGAAATCAGAATGATGCTATTGCTGGAAGGCAGCCTTGAGCCAAGGAATGCACTCAGCCTCCAGAAGCTGGAAAAGGCAGGGAAACAGATTCTCCCCTGGAGCTCCAGAAGGAATGCAGCTCTGCAGACATCTTTATTTTAGTCCAGTAGGGCCTGTTTCAGACTTCTGACCTAAAGATCTGTATGATAACACATTTTTCTTGTTTTACGCCACTAAGTTTGTGGTGATAGCAGCAATAAGAAACTAATATACTTAGCAAATAGTTGGCCCTACAAAAATAAAGCTTATATTCTTATGCTTAGTCCTTTTTAGAGAAATTCTTGCCCAAATCTCCATCATCAGAGCTGGAGAGCCATGACCCTAAGGAGCTGTGAGCCCAAGCAATGGAGGGTGAGGCCGTGCAACCTCATAAACTGTCTTCCAGGGGCATAATTTGGTCTAACAAGGCTCTACACCTAACTTTGAATAAAGGAGTTAAGAAAAGACAGAGTCACCCTTTATGGTTCAAAGTAATTTTCAGAAAAAGCAGCATCAACATCTTTATCTTAGACTGAGTTTTAGAATCAATCAATTAAAAAATTTTAAGCCATTCTGGAGCCACAGTAGGGCATATGGAGTAAAAGACTGCAGTTTGCCAGGTAAAAGCCATGGTAGCTTGGACAGGAAGGGAAGGAACATGAAAGAATGACAAGAAAGATGAGTTAGGAATGGGAGGGGCAGGAAAGGAAAAAAAATTGGCATTGAGTTTTTTGCTAGGGCAAGGGGGAGGATTATGGGTGGCATTTTAGAGGAACAGGCCCACAAGCCAGTTACTGGGGAGGAGACAGAAGGGCAAATGTTATATTCTGAAACTATTAGATAGCTGAATGGTGGTGTCAGTGAACATGCAAGTCTGGAACTCAAGAGAGAAGTCAGGGCTAAATATATAAACTTGAGTGGCCAGAATAAATATGAATTTCAAGCAATGGGAACAAATGGGATTACCTAGAAAAGCGCAGAGATCTGCCTTTTATAATTTAAAATGGCTCACCAGGCGATTCTCACACATCCCCAGTTAAGAAGCGCCGCATTAAAGCTAAATATAGGAACTGCGATTTGGTAAAAGAGAGTCTGTATTTCCAGCAGGGGTGTCATCGTTATTGCTGCAGTCCCTGGTCAGTCAACCACTATTCAATCTCTACAGAAAAACCCTGCCTTTAGTCAGATCTCTGGAACTTAACAGGAAGGCTTTTGGGCTTGATAAAATGACAGGTAACCCTCCAAGCGCCCACTCCACCCCTTAAGATGTGTAGTGCTGAGGCCAAAAAGAGTGTGAACTGGGGCTGTGGCCACGATTCTGTATGTATCTCCACCTGTCTGTCAATGAGCCACAAGCCAGTTATAAATAACCTTTTAATGGTATTTTCCAGACTCAGAGCCTAACATGCCTGAATTTCTTCCAAATTGTGCAATTTGTCTTTGTGCAGCCACTTGTCCATTCAAAGAAATAAATGCCCTCACGATGTGAGCACAAAAAATACGTAGCTACAGAATACCTTACCAAATTGCAGAAGCAATATACTCTTTGCCCAGGCAAATCATTTTTCATAAATCTCACACCTGCCTAGGTATGACAGTAACAGAGGCTGCTCAGATGCAGGTAAGAGTGCCAAATGACTGTGAAGGGAAAAGCTGGGACTCCAAGCCCAACATCCCTTGTTCTGGCAGAGCACTCAAGGGACTCATGACTACTGCAGCTGGGCCACCAACTTAGTAGCTGCCAGAATCACTACACAGGATCCAAGCCCTGACCTCAAATAATAGCATCTCATTCCCTCACCACCCTCCTCCAAAAATGTGGTCAGGACTCCAGTTGCTGACGTTTTCTACAGGTTCCAGGAGACAGCACCAGCTCCACCCTATGAGTTTCCAGATGTATGTTTAGATTAGAACCATATGGCCCTATCTGCACCAGCCCAATATGGCTGCACAGAAACTACCTCCTGTTGAGGCAACATTTTAGACATCAAGCTATTACATAAAATGAGACTATGCAAAACAGATAACCACTTAAAAGTGAGTGGAAGAAGGGTGTATAACTAGGGCAAAATGTGTAGATTATAAAATTTTAATAAAATGCAGTTTTATTACTTACAAATCCATTTAATAACTGCAATTAAGTGGCACTAAACATATTAACTGTTGACTAACAGAACTCTTTCTTTAATTCAGCACTTCCCAATCTGTTCTATGGAACACTATTCTTTGCAGGATTTTTTTTTAAAAACCACACCGACTTTACTTCTAAAACTTATTTTTAATTTATATTCTTATGCTTAGCACTCTGACAGAATCTGTCAACAGTGTATCCCACCCAAGAACTTGCATGAAGGTTCATGTGATATGCTTTCAGGCCTTAACAATTCTCAGCTAGCTAAACAGGGTCATGTTGTTAACACATCATATAGGCAATGGTTGCTGGTCTATGTTGGTAATCTGTCTTACATGTTTGACAAATGCTTATCTTTGTACACAAGGTTACTAGGCACTATCCATTCACACTACCTAAACACATTTACCATGAATTAATGCCATGTATTGCATGTTAGGATATGCTAACAAAAGTTCTGTCAACATCTTATAATTTTAAACAAGTAATTTTGACAAACAATTTCAAAACAAAAAGAAAATAATTGTCAGTAATCAACCTAAACAGTGTTGGCCTATTAAAATAAATGCAACTGACATGTCTGAGATCGTTTTTCATACAGAAATAGTTTTGGAAAGCCTCTGAAGGCAGGGTTGTATTAAGTAGATAATCAACCCCCCTTCAACCTTATTTATACTAATCATCTCCTGAATAAGTCCCTTCTATTTCTTATTGACAGGGGACAGGTATTTAGGCAAGTCTCATCTGAATTATTATAAATTCTGAATTTCCAAACTACTCTTTATACAAGCACTACAGACTCTAAAGTTTTACAAATTCTTTCCTATTGCCTTTCTTTATAAAAATCCATCTGTAACAACTGGTCTACAAGGGCAAGGTGAGACACAGAAGCAACAAATGCAGTAGTAAGACATAACATAATACATAAAAATACATTAATAGCAAACTTCTAAATATCATACCATTGGTTATCAAAGATGAGTTAAGGATACAAATTTCTGGAGTTCTTCTCAAATCTCTTTTGTTTAAAACAATTATTGGTTGGATCTTCTACCTAAAAGTAGCAAGAAATATCCTATACATCAAGTGTTGTTATTTGACCCTACAAATTTTCCAGAGGTAGCCCAGGGTCAAAGACAGTTTTTACTTCTCCAGTTCATGGGGTCACCTACCAGCCCAACAGAAGGGAGTTTTTCTTTACTATCAACAAGAGGCAGTTTGGAGGGTATTCTCAGAAATCTGTCTGACTTTCAGAACAACTTTCAAACTTCAGCCCCCTATTTGGGGTGTTGCATTTTGATCCTTAATAAATCTCTCTCTCCCTCTCCACCACCGGGCTGCCCATCCTCCCTACACACACAGACACACACACACACACACACACACACACACACACACAATTTATGTTCTGTCTTAACCCAGAAAAAAAATAATTTAGTCTTATCATTTGTGCCAAAGATGAGAAGGGTCTTTTTTAAACTCTACTAAAACGCTTCTTTGAAATCCTTCCTTCTGATCATCTTATCTTTTCTTAGGTAAGCTGATCCATGAGCTGCTGGTTTCTGACAATTTGAACACAAGCTGCTTTATTTCATTAACATCTGCTACAAAATATTCTTAATGTAAGATGTGCAGCTTTTGGTTATCAGAAATGTACTTGGCCCTGCCCTCACTAAGCACAGTCCCCAAGTGAGCTCATTCATTCTCGGCTATGCTGATGACTACCAGATCAGCATCTCCCTTCCCTGATCTCTCACTGGCTTTCCAGCCCACTTGATTATTTCCACTAACATCCACGTCATCATAAATGAAATGAACTTGACTTTCCAGATCAGCTTGTCCCTATCTCCTTCTGCAAATAGTACAACCAGTCTCCAACACCCCAATGGAAAAAGGTAGGAGAAATTTTCTGATTCAAGCCACTCATCATTACCCTTGATCAAACCTGTTAAAAAGCTTTGGTCTTTCTCTTTACAAAATGTCTCCACATTTTTCATCCTCCCGATTCTAGCCAATTCAATACTGGTACAGGGATTTACTGCCTTATGTCTATATTACCTCAAACAGATTCTCAGCTGCCTTCCTACTTGAATCTTCCTACACACAGCTACCAGAATAATCTAGATTGAATATTCTCTTAGCTCCTTTCCAGGTCTGAAATTTTCTACAAAATTAATTCTCTCACACTGCTTTTCTCAAGCAGCTTCCTGGTATATTCAATAACTTGGAGTGATTCACTACCATCTAACTCATAACTCTTCAGACAAACTCTCAGGGCAATTTGCAATCTGATCCTGAACTACCTACAGTGTTTTCCCAACTACTCTTCACAGGCACCAAAGATTCTAAATCAAGCCAATCTCCTCCAGGATTCAAAGCCTTCATAAGCACCGTACTTTACACTAGCAATTTTCTTTCTCCCTTCAAAGTATCGTCCCATAGGGAAAGCTTAGCTTCTTTACCCTCTCCTTTAGTCAACTTAAGCCAGGCCATCACCAAAACTTGTTTCTGTTTTTGAGTTCTCTTTAAGGCCTTTGTCTTTATATCAGGAATGTAAAATAATATCATTGACTCTTGTTTTAGTCTTAGCTCCTGTATTCCCAGAACCTAGAACAGTGCCTGCTACATAATAGGTATGCTACAAATCTCTGTCCATTGGTAACAACTAGCATTTACTGAGCACTTACTATATGCCAGGCAACATTCTAACCTCTTTAACTTCTAATGAATAATAGCACTTAACTGGCTCTAATAGTTTCACAAACGGCAGTTTTGTTTCCCTAAATAACTAAAAAGTTCTTTCAAAACAAGTAACATATGTCTACCACAATTTCCATATTACCTAACCCAGTAAATTTTCAAATATATGTTGGATATGGGTATAGTACAGTGGAAGGCCAGTGAATTATAAGTCAGGATGCATGTCCCAGGTATCCTGTGACTGGGCAAATTGCTGAGGTCTAGTTTATGTGTGACTCGGTGCCCTTATCTGAAAAATCAAAGACTAAAAATTACCTGACCTGGAAGGACCCAGCCTACTCTACAATTCTGTGCCTGAATTTTTCATGACTTTTCTGGAATGCTGGTGACTGTTAAAAGAATGACTGCTTCACTGGATTCTAAAAACACCAATTCAGGACTTTATGTAGAAAATGATTCTAAGAATGATTCACATTCTCAGTCTTCAATGTTCCGATGCTCTACAGGTAAAATGTTACCACCAAGGCCAGGACCCATAAATGCCACATTCCTCTACATCTGTGGTATGAAGAAACAGAAGGGAACTGCTGCAAAGTACATCTTCAGCCCCGAAGTCCTCACCCTGAAGGGAAAGGCTTCTCATCACAAAGGAAACAAAGCACTATCAGTTCTAGAAGAAGCATGGCAGTTTGAGGAAACAGTAATTGTGAACGACCAAAAAAAAAAAAAAAAACCGGCAAAACTTCATACTTTCAATCCTGAGTAGGCACAAGGGACCAAAATGTTGGTGCATAATGAGTTGTAAAATGATTTTTTAAATAATGAGATTCAAGAGACAGGAATCAATAACTTCTATTTCCTCTGACGCTAACAAAAAGGGAAAGGAATTAGAAATAGACAGAAAAAACAAAAACTACATATCAGGAAGTCATGGTCCAGAAGTTAAGGAAACTGAAATATAGCATGATTCTCACCAGCTGGAATATAAGAGACTCCACTTGCTCTAATGCTCAGAATATTTCCTTCAAGTGGCACAGGTGTAATTATCAAGATTATCCCTCCTTCTTATGAAGCCAAACTACCTGACATATACTGCATGGTATTTAATATCATAAAATTGAAAACACTATGTACTGGTTTTCTTTTTTTTAACATTTTTTATTTCTTTAACTGACAAATAGGATGTGAGGGCGATCTGGCTGCGAAATCTGTCACCCCATTGATCGCCAGGGTTGATTCGGCTGATCTGGCTGGCTAGGCGGGTGTCCCCTTCCTCCCTCACCACTCTATGTGAGCCCCTCCTGAAGCTGCATGCTCAGTCGTAGAGGATGACCATCCCTGATGGAGGACGGGTCTTCGGTCAAGGGTATACAAGGAGCTGCACTCCCCTGCTGGAACCTCCAAACGAGCTCTAACTGACAAATAAAAATTGTATATATTTATCAAGTATATCATTTTGAAAAATGCATACATTGTAGAATGCTAAATCAAGCTAATTAACATATGCATTACATCACTTATTTATTCTTTTTTGTGGTGAGAACACTTAAAATCTACTCTTTGCAATTTTCAAAACTACATGCTTTATTATTAATTATAATCAGTATGTTGTACAATAGATCTCTTGAACTTATTCCTCCTACCTAAAATTCCGTATCCTTGTTTACTGGTTTTCAATTTTTGTAACCAACCTATAGTCAGAGTACATAACACATTCAGTCACAGAATGAAATGTAGATGATATAAGGTATGTTGATGTAAAAAAACTGATGGCTGAGGGAGGGTGAGAAATGAGAAGGAAGAGAAATTGAGTGGGAGAAGGCTGAGAAGTACCAAATTCCTTGACTGACAGAGTGGGGAGTCACTTTAGGCCTAAAGTTGATGAATCAAGAAAACAAATGCAATTACATCATTGAAAGCTGTTAATGTATATCAAACAGAAATTGAATACAAAACTTTTTTAAAAACTGGGAAGAGTAGGGGGTATTGAGTTAAATTCTTCATCTCTTATAAAGGGAAACAATAGCTCAAAATTGAAACAAAAATCAAAACAGAGGTATATGCATATATTTAAAGAAGGAACCACACATGGAACATAAAGAAATGGTCAGAAGTGGGACTCAGAGAAGAGTGGACTAAAGATGGGGAAAAAAGGGAGAGGGATTCTATTGTCAATGTGTACCTTTCTATGTCATTTGAATTATTTCTATGTGCATTTATACCTTTTACATGTTTAAAAGAAAAAAAAAATCATTGGTAAAGTCCCAGCTCTCCGGACTCCTCACTGAAGCCAATGAAGTGCACCAGCAAGAACATAGGACAGGGTCAAATTTAGAGTCTTCTCTGCTCTTGGAAAAAGCATTTAATTTCTCTGGACTTCCAAAGGCACCACCTGCAAAGGAGGCCAGTGGTAAATCCATTTACATGTGAAAAATACACAAATGCATACATTTTTAAATGCAAAAAAACAAATACTTAAAAAACTCTACTTAACACTAACCTTAATACTACTCGATGAGACGCATTACCCCCATTTTGTTCGGACTCAGTATACTGCAATTTAAAGATGATACTAAAATCTGTGAGGACACAAATGGGGTGTTAGCCTGTGTCACAGCAACACAGCAAAGAAAGTGACATATAATCTTTAAAAGTGAAGAAAATGATGAAAATTAGCAAGAACTGCTCTTTGATAAGCAGAAGAGCAGGCCAGTACCTCTGCTGACAACCTGAAAGTACCCTGCCTCCAAGCTGAGCAACGCTCAGGATCCCAGAGACCGGCTGAGTTCCATCTTCTATTTACAGCTTATGAAGAAGATACCTATACCTGAGCTCTCCCTTCTCAGGACTAACTAACCCAAGCAATCAGACTGGGCTCAGAATTAAGCCCATCTGTGAATTACAGCAGATCCAAAAAGTCATAAAGTCATGGTTTTCAGTCTTGAAGCTATGGATCAATTTTGCCTAGTTCATGGCCCAGAACCTTCCTTCCCAGAGCAGTCCTACAGTGCAAAACCTTCAGGTGAAAGAAGAGAAACAAACTCATCAAGCATGTCGATGCTCTAGCATCAAAGTTCCCCAAGGATACCTGGAAATCTATGAAACATGTAGATAACACAAGTTTTAAACCACTCTCTAAAAACACAAAGTTTGACCAATGCTTATCTAATAACCAATTTACGAGAATTTTGTTTGTCTTTAATTAACTCACATCTACTTTAACAGATCTAACAATACTATTTGCCTCCAATATTAACAATAGAGAAATATAGTTTAAACTAGGGATTGGCAAACTCTGAAAAGGGCCAGAGAGTAAATATTTTAGGTTTTGTGAGCCAGTTTCTGTCTTAACTACTAAACTATGCCACTGTTGTGTGAAAGTGGTCAGAGACAATTGGTAGATGAATGACCATGGCTATGTCATGAAACATTATTAAACCACTTAAAAATGTAAAAACCATTCTTAGCACATGGCCCTATAAAGACAGGTGGCAGACAGATTTCACTCATAGTTAGCTGACTCAGCAGAGTTCAAAACCAGAGGCCTTGGAGACAAAAGAAGGAAGATTATTTGTCAAGAACTTCATTCTTTCCCTAACCTCCCACCTCCACCCCACTTTCGTAAAAAATGCTATTTAGAGGACAAAATGAAATGATCAGGAGGAAAGTCTCTATCCACTCTCCTTATTTTCCAGTTTCTTTCCCTGCTTTTTCTCATCTCAAGAAGATATTTAAAATGTTGTAACCAGAATCATCAAAATTAACAGAAATAAAAACAATACACTGAAAAGTAAACAGTCTGCCTGAGAAAACTGCAGACATTTCAAAACATTTTTGCAGACAATTTTTATACTACCTTATTAATCAATATATCTTATCTTCCTATGCTAAGAGGAATAAATCTGGATAAGTGCCAACCTGTAATTCAGCTGGAAGAAAGTAAAAGATGATCTATTTACAATGACCTGACCCTAATGTTTTTCTCAGAATACACACGTCCAATTGGAAAAGAATTTTTTTACGTTCCATTATAAGAATCTTCCATTTTTTCCTTCAACTTACCTATGAACATAATCTATCCTTGAAATTTTTTGTAACATACTACAATCTAGAATCCTAAATGTGTAAGTGAATTTCAGGCATCCTGAGAAAGAATAGAGTTCACCCATCAAAAAATGCTAATTGGCTTTTTGAGCTTCGGCCTTTTGATCAATCCTTCCTAAAACACAGAAGTGCTAACGACATGTACTGGGTATAAAGAAGAGGCCACAGCCAACACAGTTTCAACAGGGATGATTCCCACTCCCAGAGGATATTGAGAGCAGTGTCTGGAGACATTGTTGGTTCCTACAACTAGGGGTACAGAGAGAGAACAGTGATGTTGGCAGATATCGGGTAGACAGCAAGGATGCTGCTAGACACCCTACAACGCACAGGACAGCCCTTAACACGAAAGAATTCTCTGGCCCAAAATGTCAACAGCAAAGAGGTTACAAAGCCTGGATAGAGGCAGCAAATGGTAGAGTATGTCCAGTTTTAAACTAAAGTACTTTCTCTTCTTTAGAAAACAGTATGTTAGATTTAGAAATTTAACATTAAGATATTTAAGAGATACCAACCAGGCGCAGAGGCTCACGCCTGTAATCCCAACATGTTGGGAGGTCAAGGCGGGCAGATCACGAGATCAGGAGATCGAGACCATCCTGGCCAACATGGTGAAACCCCGTCTCTACTAAAAATACAAAAATTAGCTGGGCATGGTGGCTTGTGCCTGTAATCCCAGCTACTCGGGAGGCTGAGGCAGGAGAATCGCTTGAACCCGGGAGGTGGAGATTGCAGTGAGCTGAGATTGCACCACTGCACTCCAGTCTGCCAACATAGTGAGACTCCGTCTCAAAAAAAAAAAAGATATATACTAGATACCTACTATCCACCTGTCTGCATAAAATATAATTACCTTAAACAGGGCACTCTTTCAGAAAAGCTATGATATGACCTCAAGTGACAGAGTTCATCAAACCAAATGATTTACTTCCTCCCTATTATAGGCACATTTAGCTATACTCACTAAAGCACTAGATGTGAGCTCCATTTCAGTACAATTAATCCTCAAACCTGTCTGAATTTAAAAATGGTTTCAAACTTAAAAATAGCAGCTTGGCTTGATAACTGAAACAGAAACCCATTTTAGTTAAAATGTCCTACTTCCTCTCCTGATTAACCTACTAATAACAACTGAGAAGCAAAAATCACTATTTTAGAGTTCTTCCTCCTTGCCTTAGTTCTGCTCAAACTTTTATAAAAGCTGCTGCTATCAGGAACTTTTACCAAGACAGAAGGGATAAAAAATGCAATAAGGCCTTTACAATCCAGCAAATACAGGTCATCAGAGCTGCTAAATATCCTTTCATTTTCTTAAAGATTACAGAAGTTGGAGAACAAGGGAAAACTAAGACTCCTGAATGCAAAAAAAGCTAAGAATAAACCAGGTGATCAGCAACAGCTAGTGAACCACTCATTCCAGGAAACTCTCAACACTTCAGTCCTTCAAAAAAGACTAAAGTTTTCAGTTATCACAAAAAGCAATAGCTGACTCAAAAACAAATAAAAGTGGTCATTTTAGCCACTATTTTGCCCACAGCCCAGACACCTCTTAATGCAAATTAAAAGCTAAGAGAGAAAATCCCCTTCCAATAATACAATTGTGACATCTCCCTGACAAAAATATTTGTTTAGGCCCTGATAACAGTGTTCATCTGGGAACAACACACCCAATTCAATTTAAAAAAAACAAAAAACAAAACATAAACTACTATCTTCAGACCACAGACAGTCATGAGTATCTGGCCCAGTTGGTTTACAGGAAATAAGTTTGGGTCTTAGTGAAAAATGCTGATCAGGAAGAGACCCACAGGGCTGTTGGACTGAAGAGGAGTTAGAGGACACCATCCTCAAAAGGCTCTAATGTTTGTTCTTGCATTCCTAAATGCTGGATGCACTATCAACGTTCCATCACTTCCCAAAAAGCACAGATCTCCGCATTATATCCCAGAAAATAAGACAATCTCCCTCATACAAACGTGAACAAACCCCAGCACCAAGTGCTATTGTTTATAAATAGACTGCACTCAAGGAAGGGGAAGGAGATCATATTTTCCTTATATGTCATTCTTAAGTAAGATTTACAGATTTATGAAAGCAAGAAAAAAACTGGGGAATCAAAGTCCTAGTTATATGTATTGCCATGAGTCAACTTTCATTAATAACATCTACTATGCTGGACTCTTAAGTACTACTGATGTAAAGTATGTAAGCACATTTCTGTATGTGTATTACAGTAAGTTAAAAAAAAAAAACACAAAAGGCAACTGGGAGCAGTGAATCACACCTATAATCCCAGCACTTTGGAAGGCTGAGGCAGGAGAATAGCTTAAGGCCAAGAATTTGAAACCAGTTGGTCAACATAGTAAGACCCCGTCTCCACAAAATAAAAATTTTAAAACTGGCTGGGCACAGTGGCATACACACCTGTAGTCCCAGCTACTCAGAAGGCTGAGGTGGGAGAATGGCTTGGGCCCAAGAATTCAAGGCCACTGCAGTAAGCTGTGATTCCATCACTGCACTCCAGCCTGGATGACAGAGCAAAACCCTATCCCAAAGAAAAAAAAAAAAAGGTATACAAGTTCTCACCTTCTAATGGCTTTCAATCAAATGCTTATTTAAAGGCATTCTCACTTTCTCACTTGATAAATGTTACATAGGCAAAAAGATAAAGTTTTAACTTCACTTTCACATTTTCCATCGGAGTCTCAATTTCCATATTTTAAGAGTTAATATTAATCTCTACGGTCATATGCTACACTAATTACTTAAAAAGTGATCATTTGTTATACAAAACCTGACTCATTAATTTACTTCTCCAGATCCAAACATCAGACTAATTAATAAGACAACCCTATTATACACACCATAGATAGTAAGCACCTTGTGAAATCTGCTTGTAAGAAGTGATGACTAATTTCAGGGAGACCTTAACAAAGTTTCTCCTTTCCATCTGCTCAAATTCTTCCAAGTTATCATAAAGCATTTTCAAGACATTAGTCTCTGACCAACCTCTCATTCACAGTGGAATTTTTATTAATTTTCTTAGCTGAGATTTATTAACCCTGAAATATACACACAAGTTTCAACAGATTAGGCCCCCTGTTGCCTCTAGTCCTCCAAGGAATTCCTCCCAGAAGCAGAAGCAAGGCTTCGGAGTGCTTCAGGATAGACTTCCAAAGAATATCTTAGAGGCAGGCAGCTGTTCCGGGGTGAGAGAAACTGGAGCACCCTCGGCCAGCCCACTCTTGCCCCAGAGTCCAGCCAAATGGTGGAAAACACCAGAGTTGTGAGAGAAGAGAAAAAGAACAAACCCCCGCTCTCCAAAAAAACAACAAATAGATTGCTCTCAATCTAGGATGGTCTTTAAAAATATCTTGTTTACAAGATAGACCTAAAGCCTAGTGAAGGTTCCGTATCAACTGAAACCAACTAAATGGGCAATTTAGAGGAACCCAATACCTATCTAAATAAACCGTTCTACTAGATACCAAAAAATGACACATAGTGACCGACCTGCTTGGCTCTACTAAAACTCAAGAATTCAATACCCAAACTTGCCAAACAAATGTATTGCAACCTCCTTTTGCTATGTTTGGTATTATTAAGAATAAGTTAGAAGCAGTGAAAAAAAAAAGAATCAACTCAAGTTCTGGATGCTGGACTACACAATGGTTTTCATTATAATGTTTAGCTCTGAAATGAGCTCAAAGACATTCTGGGAAGGGTATAAATCTCTAGCAGTAAATGTTTCAGAAAAAGGACCATATTCATTATGGCTTCAAAATAAAAGTTCCTTTAGTCATAAGCTAAGGTACCAGAGAGCAACATGCTCTATACAGGGGGCAACCAACCCCAGGGCCATGGACCTGTTAGGAACCAGGCCACACAGCAGGAGGTGAGTGGCATAGCAGGTCAGCAAGCATTACCGCCTGAGCTCCACCTCCTGTCAGATCAGCAGCAGCATTAGATTCTCATAGGAGCACGAACCTTATTGTGAACTGCGCATGCCAGGGATCTAGGCTGCATGGTCCTTATGAGAATCTAACGCCTGATGATCTGAGGTGGAACAGCTTCATCCCCAAACCATCCCCCGAAACCCCCGACTCCCCCCATCCCCACCCCTGTCTGTGGAAAAACTGTCTTCCAGGAAACCAGTCCCTGGTACCAAAAAGGTTGAGGATCACTGCTCTATATTTTACATCAGATCTTTCCATAAGCAAATGGCAGCCTAAACAGTAGGCAACAGATTCCTAAGAGGCAAGACAACTCAGTGGCTGGGAGCCTGGGCTACAAAGGCTACCTGTTCAAATCTCAGCTTGCAGCTGTGTGATCTTGGGCAAGCTAATTAATCTCTCCGTGCCTCAGTGCCTCAGTCCCCTCGCCACTTAAGTTTTACCCTGTAAGATACGAAGGCTAATGTCACACACATAACGGTTAAGCTTACAGAGGGGTCTTAGAATGTCTATCTGCTTGAGGATTCAGTGGCCGTCCAAGCACTTAAAGAATACCTTCTTTCTGCAGTGAAAATCCAGTACAGAAAATCTGAGAAAGGCAATCTTAAATGCAAAATGTTCCACCTCCCAGTTGAGTACCAACAGCCTTCCCCTCCAGCAGCCACTTTGACCTTTCATCAAATGCTTTACGCTTAAAGCAGAACTTCAGCCTCTCATTGAGGACTAAGGATAGATATTACAATACTGGAATTAGCTTTGCCTAAGATTTCTCAGTAACTGAATGAGTCACTCATGTCTTTAGATTCTGAACAGAGAAAATGTCAAGGTTGCCAGAAAACCCAGGTCCAGATGTTTGCATAAACCATTTTCAAGTGATCATCAAGCCAAAGCCAAAGGACATTATTTTAGAAAACACTTTAAGTAAAAATATCACTTTTTATGATTTTCCTGTAATGGAGGAAAATCTGAAAATGAGGTTACTGGAGGGAAAAAAATTACAGTAATTTCAACCCCAAAATTACACAACATATCAAGCTAAGCTTAAAACTCCTTACCTTTTTCCAACTGTTTTCTTCAACCTCATCAAGAAGCACTGGACAAGCTCTGAGCTCAAGATTTAAAGATGCCCTCAGTGCTTGTTTCTATTTTCTCTGTCATACTACCTAGGGGAAGCAGAGGCTTTTAAAATTTTGATACATCTCTCTGCAGCAAGATTTTTAAAACCTCTCACCGACAAAACATGTTGAGTGCTCTGTATTGATGACAGCATCCATAAAAGGGTCTTTTTTCACTTTCACAATAATTCCAGTAAAGTTTTTACTTTAATCTCAATTAAATTCAAGCCATTTGCTCTAGCATAACACAAAAAAAATGGCAAGGATATTCTTTGGTCATTTAAGTTATCACAAAAGAGAAAAAAATATATATCAACTTCACGTCTAGGCTTCTCTTTCTCGTAAGTCAAGTAGGAATAGTTAGATTGCCCTGTCAGGGTTTGAGTTCTTCAGGTTCATTCGTTACAGAGCACACTACACACTACACAATACCCAGTTTCACCGCAATTTCTGAAGTGCACGGGTTATATTGGCAAGTAACTTGAAACTGAACTCGCACATGCCGCGCGGTGGATACCCTTCCAAAGGGAACAGACTGTGTCCGCTTTGCTTATTTTTGGTAACTTTAAATAAGACTTTGGATGGGTCGTCTTCCCAACTCATTTACCAATTTAACCACTGGACGCAGGACTGAGCGCCCCACAGCTTTCGGCCGGAGTATAACACGCGCTTCCCCACTCGGTTCCCCCTGTCTGCCACAAACAAACCAGATGTAATAGCTGAAGAATGACGACACTAAAATCAACCTAGAGATTCACATCTAAAAGGGCCGCAACACGAAATAAACTTCTCTCTCTTCAGAGGCAGCGGGGAAGAAAAAGAAAAAAAAGCCTAGGTGGGTTCGGTTTGATCCATTTCCGCGACTCCGTGCGCTCAGGGGCTCTGGGCTGGTGCGGGCGGCTTAACCCTGTGAGAGCCGAGAACGACCCCACCGGGATACGCGGGCCCCGGGCTGGCGGGGGGTGCCTCACGCCGCGCCCGTTCCCCCGCCAGCAGGTGCCCGAAGCCACCCCAACAGGCCGGGTGCGAATGCCGGAACATGGCCACTTTCCTGAGCGGGATGATGCCGCCGCCGCCGCCGCACGCCGCCCAGCACTTTGTTAACTTGGCGCGCCCGGGCGAGGTGGCTCCCAGGAGGTGATCATTGCCGTCCGAGAGCTACAGAGCCCCTGGCCTCGCCCAGCACGGGTGTGGGGCCGCGGCGGGAGGAAGAGGTTGGGTAGCAGCCGCTAACCAGGGGCCCGCACGCCTGGCCCCTCGGAGCCCCGCGCCCCCTTCCCAGGTGCTTACCTGAGGGAAGGAGCCCTCGCGGCGCGGGTTCCTGGGGTAGTCTAAGTGACCCCGGTCCAGCATCAGGTAGAGCGAGAAAATCACCACACAGAAGATCGCACTGCCGAACACGGTGAACTGGCGGCTTAACTTCATTTTCCTCGATAGACTCGGGGCCAGGACACTCTCCTCAGCCAAAGGAGACAGCGCACTGTGGACTCTAGGAAGCAGCCGCCGGAGGCTCCCTTCTCCCGGGCTGCGCGACCTCCGCGCTCTCGGATGCGGGTGCGAGTCCCCGCCTTGCTCCGCACCTAGTCTCCGGCGCCACCACACGCCCTTGGCCTTCGCCCTGGCCTGCCGCCCTCCCCGGGGTCGGGCGCCCCTCTCGAGGCGAGACTCGCCGGCAACTGGGAAGGGGGGCCCCCACAAACTTGATCGCAAGCTCAGCGCCGACCTCCGGCAGGGCGCGCGGGGCAGGCGGAGGAGAGGTCGCTGCCCGCACTTCCTGCCACCGCCGCCCCAACTGAGTCGGCAGGAAAAGTTTTCTCGACGAGGGCAGGCGTGTCCTCCTCACCCAGGGGAGGCGCGGGTTCGGCAGCTCCCGGGCCGGGGCCGCGCAGCTAGGTCAGAGAAGCGGAGGGGAAAGGAACAAGATCGCGAGGAGCCAAGCCCTACAACTTCTGGGCGGGACGGTCGGGCCCGCCCCCGCGGCACCGGCACCGCCCCCGCCTACCCCGACTGAGCCCCTTCGTGCTGCTGCCGCCGCCGCCGCCGACGCTGCGGCTGGGCCGATGTGCACCCCGGACTCCGGGGCTCACGGATTGATGAGTTTCCTCAGAGCTAGCGTCCGCTCGCCAGACTCTCCCGCCCCCCGCCGCCCCTACCTTCCCCCTCCCGGACCCAGGCTCCGCGGGGAGGCGCAGGGGGCGGGCGGCGGCAACGCGGAAAGAAGGAAAAGGAGAGCAGGGAGGAAAGGACCGTCCCCGGAGAGAAGCCCGCTCCAGCTGCAGCCGCTAGCCCCCTCCCTCTTTCCCGCCCCACAAACGCGGAGATGGCGGCGGAAGCGGCGAAAGGAAGCGCCGGTTCTCCAGCGCCACTTGGCGCTCCAGCACCGCCCGCCACGAGCAGGAGGAGACAGCGGCGGCGCAGCAGCCGCTGGGTCAATAGGCGCCCGCAGCGCCTGAGCCGAGCGGGCGGCTGGCCCCGCCCCCTCCCGACGCTCCGAGATGAGGGGGCGGGCCCCACGGCGCCCAATCACAGCGCGTCGCCCGGCGGACCCGCCCCGCGCCTGCCTCCCAGTGTCCCGGCGATAGGAAGACCTCACAGGGCTCTTGTGACCTGGCAGGCAGCTTTCTGGGAGTTGAGGCCTTCGGGGGCGTTCAGGCGCCAGCACCCCCACGTCCAACAGGGGTTGAGCTTACACCCCACTTCCCTTTGTTGCTCAGGTTTCCTATCCTAGGACACTCGGGCCTGGCGTGCCTGGAAGAGTACTTGGTGACGGGCTGGAGGAAATGCAAGAGAAGAGGGCTTGCACATTCTCTTCGGGCTCACTATTTCCTCCTTTGGTGACAGCCTGTTAAAACCTGGGGGAAAGGAGACTGACAAAGGGCCGTCCAGGCACATGTAGAAACATCTGACTACGAAATCCATGAGTGTAATCTGAGAAGTGATGCTTCTGCCAGTTATTGATTTATTGCCTCTCAGCTCCAAATTCGCCCTTTTTGACTGCACTGTAAAAACGGATCTGAGCCTTTTAAACAGTTTTTCGTTTGCCTTCTGGGACTGAAGCTTTATCAGCAGAGGGCGCTGAAGAGACATTACAGAAAAAAAGGATTTTGCTTCCTGATTTCTGTGTATTGATAAGCTTTTGCAGCATACCTGGCTTTCTCCACTGCCAAGGTCCTATAGTGCTCAGTAACTAGCAATTTCCTCTCACATGCCCAACTCTAGGAGCTTTGTAGAGGAGGTGAGACACTACCCCATGAATAACTTCCCTGGCACCCTAGAGGCATTTGCAGCAAGTTGCAGAGGGCACATCTTCCACAAGCTTTGCAGACGTAGCCCAATGGTGACTTCTCTGCCATTCAGTGAGCCAGGTCATGCCCTCTCCAAAAACGTCTAGATCTTAGCCCTGGGAGGAATTGGGGAGGTTCTTCATTGGGCACTCTGTCTCTCAACCCAAGAGTTAGTTATAAGGTTAGCTCCTTATAGCTGCTGTTGCTATATTCTTTAAAGTTCTCTTCTTGCTAGTGAATCCTTCATTACTCTAATCCTCTATTATAGTTAACAATTCTTTTTATTAAGCCTTCCCTGTCCCGGGAGTAGTCCCAAGAAATAGACCTGCAAAGATGGGATTAAAGGTCAGTTTGATTGAGGTTTTGAGCTTTAGCTCCTTGCCAAAGGGAAATGTAATTCATGACATGCTGGGCATCTCAATTAAGCAATTACCTGTGGTTGATCCTGATGAAGTGCCAACTGAAGCCTGTGCCTTGGGGCCCCAAGTGGCTGCTACACTTGACTGCTATGGTTATAAAGATGACTAGAAAGACTGGTGTGGGATGGATTCTTTTGCGTGCTTTTGAGTGGTTATAAAGAGAAATGACAAGCACAGGTTTTTTAACTCTCAGAGTTATGGTATGAGAACCAGAGATATTCTGCAGAATTCCAAAAGCTCTGGTTTATTGTAGCAACAAGAATTATGCTGAGAATCAAACAAAATTTTAATTTTCATGTTACTGAATTATAACTGCTATTAAATTCACACATATTCTGAGTTTTTCGTGTAAAATGGTGTTATTTTTTAATAATAGAATCTCAATACTTGAAATGGGTTGGACCCAGATGAAACCGACAATCTTAAACACGCCAACTCTTTCTCTTATCAGTGGAAGTAGGTTGCCCTCCAGTGTCTAAAGAGACTAGCCTTGCTTGAAAACCTTGACTATAGAGGATGCCACTATCTAGATGGGCTCCCTGATTTCAATGGGGATGACACGATCTCAGAATAGCAGAAACCAGGCAGCACATAACCAACAAAGACAAGGTGGGCGCACATGTACCTTAAAGGGCAGCAGGAAATCAGACTGCCTTGGCTTACGGAGCTGCTCTGAGAACAAAATAGATAGGCAGTTGAAATAGATTATTGCTTGATATTTATAACAGGTAAAAAGATCTAAGTCAGGTAGCCAAAACCTGACTTGAGTCACCACAGTGGATAGTCACAGTCTCTCAGTTCTCAGACCTAAGTCAATTCACAGACCCATAGTCCCTTGGTTGAAAGAGAATCTGTGTTCCCTTTAAGAAGGATCTTGCACCTTGGCTACAGTACACATGGCAAATTCTTTCAAGCTTTCCCCAAAACGACATGTGGCCATTTACTAGTGAAACTGCATTGGCGAAAAGGAAATACACAGATCATTTGAGGTTTACTAAACACTGGCTCTGAGTTGATGCTAATTCCTGGGGACAGAAATCACCACTGTTAGTCCACATACCAACTATGTGGCTACTTTCCCAGTGTAATTGGAATATGTATTAACAGCATAATTTTAATGGCAAAAACAGCAATTACTTTTGCACCAATCTAATAATTGTAACAGACATACTTAGCAACTGACAGGATCCCCACATTGGGATTTAGCCATAGAATGAGGGCTATTATTAGGGAGAGCTAAATGGAAGCTCCAGGAGCTCTTAGAGCTTCCACTTAGCTCACTAAACACAACACTGCATGGCTGGCAGGAATTGCAGGAATCAGTGCTATCATAAAAGTCTTAAAAGGAGTAGGAGTGGTGATACTTACTCTCATTTAATTCACCAGTACAGGATACATCTAGTAGAATAACTGTGGACTCATAAACTTAATCAGGAAGTGATTCCAATTGCTGCTGCTGTCTCAAATGTATTATTTTTACTGAAACAAATCAACATAGCACTTGGCACTTGGTATATAGCTACTGATGTGGCTAATGCTGTTTTCTCTATATCTGTTTGTAAAACCACCAGAAGCAGTTGGCTTTCTCATGTTAGGGCCAACAGGATACCTTCACAGTATTGTCTTGGGGGTATGTCAATTCACCTTAATATAGTCCACAGAGATATTGATTGTCTTGACATACCATCAAATATCACACTGGTCCACTACATTGACAACATTATGCTGATTGGACCTGATGAGCAGGAATTAGTAAGTATTTTAGGTGCTGTAATAATATATATTTGAACCAGAGAGAAGGAGATAATGATCTTGAGTATGAGATGACAACTCTAAAGTGGTCACTTCGGATGTGGGATATGTTCTAGGATGGTAAAGCTATATGAGGACAAAACCACTGAGTCACTGAGAGATGAATCCAAACAGATGGTGTGGGTTAGCAATGGTTAGGATTTGGGGGAAAAGGGGCAAAGTGATTGTTGCAGGGACTGGTCATACCAATCACGTGGCCATGGAAGGAAAGTGGTATAGGCTGAATGTTTCTCTTTAAAATACACGTGTTGAAGTCCCAACCCCCAGTACCTCAGAGTGTAATAGTATTTAGAGATAAGGTCTTTAAAGAGGAGATTAAGTTAAAAAGACGATTAAGTTAAAATGAAGCTGTTAGTAAGGCCCTAATCCAATCTGACTGGTGTCCTTATAAGAAGAGAGAGAGACCAGGGATACATGCACACAGAGAAAAGACCATGTGAGGACAGATTGGGATGGCAGCCATCTGCAAGCCAAGGAGAGAGGCCTCAGGAGAAACCAAACCCGCTGACACTTTGATCTTGGACTTCTAGCCTCCAGACTGAGAAAATAAATTTCTGTTGTCTAAGTTAGCCAGTCCTTAGTATTTTGTTATGCCATCCCTAGCAAACAAATACAGAAGGCAACCACCCAGCTGATAGAAAATACTAGGTAGGTGCAAAAGTATTTGCGGTTTTTGCAGGTAATGGCAACTGTGATTTTTTAAAGGTAATGGCAAAAAAACCGCAATTACTTTTGCACCAACCTAATATTTGCAAACCACATATTTGTTAAGGGACTAATATCCAAAATATATAATGAACCCACATAATTCAATAGTAAATAAATAAATAGCCCAATCTTAAAATGAACAAGTCACCTGGATAAACATTTTTTCAAAGAAGACATACAAATGGCCCACAGCTAATATTAAAAGGTGCTCTAGGTCGGGCACTGTGGCTTCTGCCTGTACTTCCAGCACTTTGAGAGGCTGAGGCGGGCAGATCACTGGTGAAATCCGTTCTCTATTAAAAATACAAAAATTAGCCATGTGTAGTGGGAGGTGCCTATAATCCCACCTACTGTGGAGGCTGAGGCAGGAGAATCGCTTGAAACCAGGAAGCAGAAGTTGCAGTGAGCAGAGGTTGCACCACTGCACTCCAGCTTGGGTGACAGAGCAAGACTCCATATAAAAAAAAAAAAAAAGGTTTTCTAATCATCAGGCAAATGTAAATGAAAGCCACAATGAGATATTACCTCATACCTGTTAGGATGGCTACTAGAAACATGTCAAATAATAATAAGAGTTGACCAAGAAATGGAGAAAAGGAACCCTTGTGCACTATTTATAGGATTATAGACTGGTAGGCCATTGTGGAAAACAGTATGAAGTTCTTAAAAACTTAAAAATAGAACTACCACATTATCCAGCAATCCCACTCCTGTGTATATATCCAAAGCAACTTCTCTTTTTCAGAAAATTAATTTGGATGATCTTGATCACTTATTTACTTTACTGAAATAAGATTTTACTATCACTTATGAAAAAGCTGTATGTTTTCCTATTGTTACTAACATATGAGTCTTTAGGTCTCCAAAAGCTGACAATAGCCATTCCAAGAGATGTGAGGTGTTATCTCATTAGATAGCTGCACTCCCATTTTCATTGCAGAATTATTCACAATAGCCAAGATATGGAATAAACCTAAGTGTCCATCAACAGACAAATGAATAAAGAAAATGTGGTATATATAAACAATGGAATACTATTCAGCTTTTAAAAAGGAAGGAAATCCTATCATGTACAACAACTTAGATGAACCTGAGGAACATTATGTTAAGTGACATAAGCCAGACTCAGGAAGACAAATACCTCATGATCTCACTTATACTGGTATGTGGAATCTAAAGAAGTCAAATTCATAGAAATAGAAAGTTGTATGGTGGTTGCCAGAGGCTGGGAAGTGGAGGAAATGGGGGGATTTTGGTCTAAGGGTATAAACCTTCAATTATTAGATGAATAAATTCTGGAGAGCTAACAAACAGCATGGTGACTATGGTTAATGATACTGTATTGTGTACTGAAAATTTGCTAAGAGGATAGATCTTAAGCGTTCTCATCATCCACAAAATAATGGTAATTATGTGAGGTGATGGATACGTTAATAAGCTTACTTGTGGTAATCACTTTATAATGGATACATGTATCAGAACTTCATGTTGTACACCATAAATATATACAATTTTTATTTACCAATAATACCTCAATAAAGCTGGAAAATAGATTGATAGATAATTGATAAATTGATGATAGAGATATACAGATAAATTAGATGATAAATACATAGGATGGATAAATAGATGAGATGACATAGATGACAGATAGAAAGATAGATAGATGATAGATAGATAGATAGATAGATAGATAGATAGATAGATAGATAGACAGACAGACAGACATTCTGGTTTCCCCAGGACCTTCAGAACAAACCTAGGTGCCTATCCTGGGATACAATCTTTTCATTTGGGAAAGATATGAGAAATTTTATCCTCCCTTTGGATCAGAGCAATTATCTCTGTCATTAGGGAAACAAATTGCTACAGATTTAATCCTTATGCTATGAGAAAATTTTCTAGCAAAAGTGAAAGCAAACATTCTCTATAGTGTACATGTTTCTGGGGCTCAGGAGGCTAGAGCTTTTTGTAGGAACACTGAAAATAGAGGGAAGGGAAGGTACATGAGGGCAGAACCCATATCATAAAGGTTCAAATTTGATTGCTTCTCCAGTACATAAAGCTTTTGTGACTTTGGGAAAGTTACATAATATCTCTAAGCCTCCATTTTCCAACATATTATATTGGGGTAGTAACAGTGATCTTTCAGCCTTGCTGTATGATTGCCACAGGTAGTGACATATTGGGAGAGCATTCACCAGATACTTCCATTTACTCTGGGAAAGGGAAAGATGGGTGCAATTGAGAGGTGAGTAGGGGAGAGAACATTGGAAACAGCTGCTATGGGACATGGAGAAGGAAGTCCATGTGGATAATTGGAGAGCATTGATTTCTCATGGAGCAAGTTCACCATTTTCTCCCTTGTCATCGATCTATGGCTTGAGAGCTCAATGAAAGTGTACTGTGAGCATAATCCAGGAAGAACCCCTTCTACCAGGATGCAAGAACAACGGCCACCCAAGGAATGCTCCAGGTTGGGAGCATATCATAGATATCTGTCATTTTTCCTACCCACTGATATACATTTTTGCAGTGAAGATTAAGTTAAAGTGAGCACTCAATGTAATTTTGAATAGGAAAGGTCTCGAAGGAGTGCTTGGGGTGAGGTTTCTGGAAGGCATGAGGTCTAGCCCCATGCTTCTGGTGATAAGTCTGTATGTGCACAAGAGCCTCAGCTTATATTTGCTAACAATAGGAAAATCTATCTTTTCTGTCAACTGATACTCTAAGTCTGTCTGAGCTCCTCAAAGGCCTAAATAGATCATATCTAAGGGGGACAAATTGGAAAGGAGTAGGACAAAGTTCTAAAGCCTAAAAACTTGAGAAAATTTTATAATTGTGGTTGCATAAAACTATAAATGAATGCGGGTTTAATCCTTTTCTCCACTCAACCTATTGTGAGAATCAGTCTGTCAAAGCCCTGAGCATCCTTACACATTCTTTCTGGGTATGCTAAGAATGCAAGGCCCTGACCATTATTTACTTGTGTCCTCTCAGGGTTGTGTTTGCAGGGAGCAGCCTTGAGCAACAGAGTAATGTCTTCTCCCAAACAATGAGCAGACTGACTTACCACACACTGTAAAGCAGTAAATTCCTCAAGCTCAATATTCCTTTGCTGTGACAAATCCACTGTGTATGTTGCATCCACCTGGACCCTTTCCCTCAGACCCTGTGGGATCTGGGGGACATGAGAAACTAGCACCGACATCAGGCTCAACATCTTCCTGTCTCTTTAACATCTTCCTTTGTCTCTAATCAGGGTGTCTTGTGTTTTCCACTGACATCCACGAAACAGTAGTGACCCCTCGACCTTTTACAGATCTTGAAATTACCCACCTACCTCAGAGACTCTTCATATTGTTGGCATAGCCTTTACCTCCCTGTGCCTTTCTTCCCATGAAAGGAAGCTGCAAGAGAGGATGAGTCAAGTAGCATAATACACTGCTGAGAGAGACATAAGAAGGTAAGGGAAGGAGAGCTGGAGAAGGACTTTATTCTTTATAACCCTTCTCACTATTTGAAATTATGTATTGACTTATTTTATGTCTATCCTCCCAATAGAATGCAAGCTGCTACAAGTCAGAGACCTTGTGATTCAACATTGTATCTTAGTGAGTAAAATAGTGTCTAGCAATATTGAGGCCTAATAAATATTTGTTGAATGAGTGAATACTAATCTTGGTCCTGAGCTACCAGTTGATGTGGATTGGTGGTGCCCATTATGAGTTGCCCTGGCTCGTAATAGATGTCTGTTTGCTTTTGAGCTGCATTTAAAGCTATTCCTTTTGTCTTTGTGAGTCAGCACTAAATCTTTATATTCCTATAAAGTGAGCGTTTCTTTAATAAAAAACGCTTTAAAGATAATTTCTCCCCCAAATTATTTTACTAATCATCTCGATCACGAAAGGAAGTCCAATATAGGGATAGAAAGAAATGAACACCATATAATGCATCTATGCTCAGTGCTTTATTTATGTTGCCTCATTTAATTATCATAACTCTGCAAGACTATTATATTAACATCTATTTTACATATAAAGAAACTTAGATACAGAGAAGTTAAATAACTTGCTTTAGAATAGTTAGCTACTAAATGGTATAGCTTCGTTTTTCTGGTTTCAAAACTCCTCTTTTGATGCAGCATTCTATAGAATTATGATACTTTATACCTCGTATTACAACGAATAGATTTTTGAAAATAACATTTAGGAAGTGTATTGCTCAGATTAAGTGTAAAAATTAGTAATCATTCTAGGTATTTTAAGCAAGAAGTTATTTAATAGAGGATGCTTACAAAAATCCATGTCAGGATTGAAGAAATGGGCTGTAGACCAAGCTTCCAAAAGTGATTCCCCGTATAATACCAAGTGACCTATCAGTGAAGCTAGTACCTCTGAAGACTACTGGAACACTGAGTTCAAGAACATAACCCTATGACAGAAGATGGAGTCAAAAACCTACTGCTGTCAACGGCCTCTGCTGCATATTGTCTTCCAGGAGGCTGAATAATGGACCATGGAACACTGCTGCAGAAAAATGTTTCTATGACCTTAATTCTAAGAGAAATGCCACCAAAAGTGGTCAGGAGGATGCCTTAACTTCTTTTCTCTTAAGTTTTGCATGAGTGTATCGAATTGTAGACCTAATTCATATCATAGCTCTACGTGCAAAGAAGTCTAGGAAATGTTTTAATTTTCCAGCCTCTGAAGTACAAAAGCCACCATAAGAAGAGAGGAGAATGGACAGTGAGTGAGCCAGCCTGCAGTACTTACCATAGGCAGTATTTGTAGAAATACAAATACATCTACAGAGAGAATGGAATAAAATGTTTAAAACTGTCTCTTTCCAGAAAAACCTATATTATCTAATATATGATTACTTATTTGAACTCTGAACTCTTGAAATTACAATCTTTATGGCTATGATTTATCCTGGGGAAAATATCCTCTATGTACAGTATAATTAGGGCTAATAATATGTCTAAATGTGCACTTATCAGAGATGAGAAAATTATTTGTGATGTAGGATCATCACTTTCATTTTTCTACAAGCCTTTGTTTGCTGTCACTACAATTGGCCTAATTTGGGGGAAGAGGAGGTCTATTTCCAGCCAGACTAGGCCTTTCTATGGATTCTCTTTGACTCTGATTTTCATATGCCACACAATACTCAAATAGGAAAGGCTTAACAACTCTGTACTCTAAAGCTTCAAAGACACTTAGAACATCCAAACATTTTACATGGAGAAAGGTAAAAAGATTTGCCCGAGGTCTCAAGGAGACTAGACTAGAAGCCCAGTTCTCTGGTTCCACGTCTAAAGCTTTTTCATCACAAAACCAAGCCTTAGATTGCATGCTATCTAAATACAGAATGATGTGTGTGTGTGTGCATGTGTGTGTGTGTGACTCCACTTATATCAAGTTCAATAACAGGGAATAAGCTGTATCTTTAGAGAAGCATACTTACATGTAAAGCATAAAGGAAAGCAACAAAGCACTAAGCATCAATGTCTAGTTCGCGGTGGAAGAAAGGAGTTGTGACTGGGAAAGGGCACATGGGAACTTCAAGGGTGAGGGCAAGCAGGGCTCACTGATGCATGCCTATAGTCCCAGCTGCATGGGAGGCTGAGGCAGGAGAATCACTGGAGCCCAAAAATTTGAGTCCAGCTTGAGAAACAGAGCAAGACCCCATCTTTAAATAGAAATTTTTAAAAAAATTCTAAAGGGGGTGATGGAAATATCCCAGGAAATTCAGTTTTGTAGGACTTAAGTTTTTTTTCCTAAGTTTTGAAACCCAATGTAATGTATTTGACATTTTTGCCTTTACTAATACTTAGTTTTAGTACCTATTATATGACAGAGCCAGGCTAAATGCTGGATTACTTCCTTTAACTCTAACAAGAACACTCTAATAAAAGCACTATCACTATCCTCATTTTGTAGATGAGAAGACTAACGCCCAGCTTTTTACTAACTTGCCCAAATCCACACAGTTCAATAGCAGAGCTGAAATTTAATCCATCTGATTCCACCCCTCTGCTCGGCTAGCCACAAGAAATTTAGTAAGTGAGAAAATTATAGACACCTCTTTTTATTAGTATTTTATAGTCATAAAAGTTATAGTTATGAAAACCATAGTAATAATACAAAAAATAGGATGTAAAATTACACACATATACACACACATAATTATGATTACATCGATGTTAAAAATATATGTGCCTAGGTATAAAAGACCACAAAACACTGATAAGTTAGGATGATGAAATATGGGTGCTTTTTCCCAATCTTCTCTGTTTTCCAAATTTGTTATGAAGTGGTTGCATTAAATTTACAATGGAAAATATGTTCTAAAATAAACTTCCCATTTATTTGAAACATAAAATTTCATTTCTGTTCTTTTCTTTCCTACAGCTTTGTATAATCTTTAGAAAACTCTTCTGCTCAATGAGTGACTTCATTACTAAATTGATGGCACCGGATCATTCTAGCTATGCAAATTACAAACCCACAGCCAGCTGAGGAAAAGGCAGATAAAAGATTACATTAAAAATTAAAGCAATGTGTGGAGATATGGAGATAATGTGCTTGCAATTAGTTCTACATATTTAATATTTATGCAATTACAAAGCCAGTTATGATAAATACAGCATTAAATCTTGAGTCCTATTCCTTTTGCCCTCTGACATTTTTGACCTTGAACTGAGACTGCCCAATAATACATTAAAAAATGACTGTGGGAGAAGCATTTCCTTTCGCCTATGAATGAATGATAAATGCTTATTTCTTGGAAGGTGATCTCATTTCTCCCTAGCTTTTGTTTATTTTCAATGCCTTGCTTTTTTTTTGGTTTTTGTTTTTGTTTTTTACTCTGGCATATTCTGATCACCCTTGAAAGCACTGGGTTTTCAGTCTTCCACAGTTTGGTTGTGTTGTTTTCTGGTGCTGCTGCTGTGATGTGTTTTCTGTCAGAGGAAATTTACAGGCACATTAGCCTACTTGACAGGCACAATGAGCCACAAGGCTCTCCTAAGGAGAAACTTCCACATGCTGTGGCGAGATTTTCTGTCTTTCCATCTCATCCTCCCTCTTTAACCTTAATATAATATACCCCCATGATTCCGATATAAACCCCAACCACTTTCCCTTACGGGTATTGCTTTGAATCCTGGTTTTAATTCTCTGATTCCAAAGAAGATCATTATACTGCTTCTACAATAATTAATTCCTATTTCCATAACAATCTGACTGCAGCAGTTTGTAGATAAAGCCAATGTCTTCGCTTACAGCCCTATAGATACCAAGTAAGGAATGGATGGGGAACATTTTTTTTTTCTTCCTGTGATAAGTCACTGACACAAAGGGAGGAAAATAGTATCCAAGAAGTATGCAAAGAAAAAGCAATAGAATTAATTTTTTGGAGGATATTAAGAGACAAAATTATAAAACAATTTACTTTTCTTAGTGTTTCACAGATCAGCAAGAATTAATAAAATGTATTAAAAATTCAGAAACATGGGCAGGGCACAGTGGCTCACACCTATAATCCCAGACTTTGAGAGGCTGAAATGGGCAAATTACTTGAGCTCAGGAGTTCAAGACCAGCCTGGGCAACATGGTGAGACCTCGTCTCTACAAAAAATACAAAAATTTGCTGGGTATGGTGGCACATAGCTGTAGTCCCAGCAACTCAGGAGGCTGATAGTGGGAGGATCACTTGATCCCAGGAGGTCGAGGCTACAGTGAGCCATGATTGCACCACTGCACTCCATCCTGGACAACAGATTGAGACCCTGGCTAAAAAAAAAAAAAAAAAAAAAATTCAGAAACACAAAATGAGACAACTGAAGAGGTAAACTGTTTTCTTGGCAGATTCCTGATAAATTAGAATATTCCCCCAAGGTCATTAAAGAACAAAAGGCCTGTGCATTTTTCATTTCATATATATTATTCTGCCCTTTGGGAAGTAAATTTGCTAAAACAAAGCCTTTCTGGTACATTCATACCCTGACTTGATGCTAAAGATATTTCTTCAATTTAAAATCTTCTGCCTTTTAAATAATTTTGAGGGGTGATTTTTGTTTTGGTAGCATTCCTTTTGTCCTCCTTATGTGTGAACCATCAGCGTGTAAGTATGTAACCTAGAGAAGTTATTTAGAATAGACCAAAATCACATGTAAGTTTCTTGCTTGATTCTCTGCCAAGAAGCCAGAGGTATTTTCCAAGCCAATCCATAATATTGGTCGGAGCTACTCCATTTGTTGAATGAATAAACAAATGAATGAAGTTTGCATTATCAGGAACCCAGGAGTGGGTGGTTTTTCAGTGGACTCATTCTTTAGAAAATTAACTAAGAACATTCTTAATTTGGTCCCCGTGCCCTTTTCTCTTTCTTGGGCCATGCTCTCCAGATGGTTTCACGGAAGTCAACTGCAGCTGTGTTCTCATCCATGCCTTCTGTCCCTTCTCCCCTTCAGAGTTCAAACAAGACTCTTGTTTAGCTCTGGCAGCTTGGTGGGTCCTCAGAGAGACTGACTCATTTCTCATGCTCCCCTGAGGTCTCTGAGTGAGAGAGAAGACCACAGATTCGCTTACGTAGAGTGATTCTTCTTTAGTCCAGTTTTCTCCGACTATGGGGAATCTCCTCTCTGCCTTTTGCTCCTCTGTAAAGACTGTGAAGATAGAGGTTGAGTTTTTAACCTTATTTGTCAGGAGGATGAGCGGTCCCTCCAGCTAGTCCAAAGCATTGGCAACAAACCCCATAAATCCTGCCCACCATAGAAAAGCACAGAAAACCTGAAGAACAAGGATTATGCACCCTTATACGAAGAAAACCAAGGCACCAGTCAGTGGACTTTTATATACAGCTATTCTCCATCTGAAGATCTTTAGAATAGATCCCATTTATCTAGGGTGATTTGAGTAAGATTCTTTTTCAAACAGGGGACCAATTTACACAACACCTCAAGGCGTCTTTAAATTCATGTTTTATTTGTTTTGTTTTTTAATTCACAGGGTCATAAAATAACAGCTAAAACTTTCATAAACAATATACATTTATGCTCATACCTTAGCCAGTGGGAGATTTTCTCTTATTTTAACACTGAATTATTTTAACAAATGATTCTCAAATGCCTAATTACGTGCCAGGTGGGCCCTGCTGTAGATGCTGAAAATACTGCATAGTGCGTTTATTAAACCTGCAGTGTGCAGACTGCATCTAGACGCTGAGAGTTCTTGGGACCTTCTGATAAACCGTTCATATTTTCTGTACCTACTTATACATTAAACTGTACTGAGGTAAGTTCTCCAAATCGTGGAATTCAGCTGCCTCCCAAATCCTCCAGGACTAATCCAAAGACAACAGCCTAGTGGACACATTTTCATTGGGATGAGTGTCTCCAGGAGCATGATTTTATCAACTCCTCAAAGTCAAAATACTGAGGACTTTTTTCTTTCAGTATCAAGAACTCTTTACTGAAACTAACCAGTGCTCAGGTAGATGAGCTGCCTAAAAGGAAACTAAAACAAGGGAACATTTGCCAGCCTGGATGTCTCGCTCAGAGCTATCTGGGGAGCTACTATGAGATGGAGGGAAAGGGAGAGTAGCTCACCTAGAAGCCTGGCTGTCAAGAGAAAATCCAAGCCCGGAGCTTTTCCCCTAAGAACCCCTATGACATTTTATTCTTTAAATAAATCTTTTCTTCCTCTCTTTAGGTGAGAGATTGACATTTTAAGATCAATCATGCCTCTGCTTTGCAGACTAAGAACAAGATAAATGGAAAGTAAGCAAAATTTCCATTTTTTTGAATAAAAATGCTCAAAATAGCTGTATCCTAAATCAGTACTTTCAAAAAGGGATGCTCTTCCCCCAGTGGTCATTCTCATTACTATGGTTATCTCAAGACCTTTTGATGTCAAAATTTCACTGTTTTCTCTAAAAGAAGCATTCTGAACATTCACCTGCTGTTTAAATAGCAGCAGAAAGCAAAGGAATTTCACACCACATTTTTTCCATCATAGCCAAGGATGTTTTATCCCTTTTGACACAGTCACAGTTTTACCAGCTTTTTCAGCCCCTTACCATAAGTTTCAGCGTTTTTAGTATAGGCTACAGCTGAATTCTTTCCTTCTGTTTATGTTATTCAGTAACTTCTCTTCGTGTTCATAATGACCTTGTTAACAACTGGCTAGCCTCTCCTAAAACCAGATTTGTTTGGTGCTTTTTTAAAATCATTTATAAAAATAGTAAGGCTCTTAGGCCATTCAGTCAGTCCATAGACATTTATTGTGAGCCTACTATGTGCCAGGCATTGGATTAGGTGCTAGGTACCATGGACTGCCAGGGAGCATGCTGTGGTGAGGAGCACTGGATGAGGCTTGAAAGGTGCCACTTTAGAATCAGCCTTACTTCTGACCAGTGTGCAGCCTGGGCAAGGCCATCAATCTCTGGGACTCCAGTTTTCTAACCTAAAAAATAAGGGGAGGGAGAGGAGAGCTGCTGTTCAGTCTCTCATATTCTGTGATTGCTTCTGGTTTAGTGAACTCAGTGCAGTAGAAACACAGTGGCCTCACAAAGATGAATGCTTTAATAAGCCCTCCTAAAGCGTCCTAATTCTAATCCAAGGGGTAGTTTTAGTGCTAGGACTTACGCTTTTACAAACACCCAAGAAGACTTTTAAAGAAGGGGTATGCGTAGATATGTTTTTCACTTTACTGCATATTTGAGCTATTCTCCCCCCAAACGCTTGTCCTACCTCCCAGATGCTAGGTTGTATAGGAATTAATCTCCGAGCTTGAGGGTCAATTAGAATTCCAAGCATCATGATCTAATCTTCCCAGGATAATAATAAATCAGAGTTACAGAAACAAGCTACATAGCCAAATAATACTGAATCTACAATAGTGACAATTCATCAGGGGACATTAAAACTCCCTAATTCTGTGGCATTTCAGTATTTCCAATAGTTTTCAGTGTTTGTTCCTCACTGCTACTGCTATTTCTTTATTTGTATTCACAATAAAATCAATGCTTTCTGTTTGTACGATATTGTATTGTTACTTATATGCAAACCATTAGATACTCTTCTAATATCATGTGAGAATTGCTTTATTTCTTCTATCTTCTCACTATACAAATACATTTTATAAAATACTTTAAAAATGTATCTAAACTTGCAAAATATGCAACACTTTGTATTGGGAATAGGCAGTATGATTCCCCAATTTCTGACATACAAAAAGGGAAGAGAAAACCTCATATTGCTTTTTAGATCTCATCTGCCTGAATTTGTTTAGATCATTTCAATTTTGTATTTCAAAAAATAGTAACTTACTTTATACCATTGATCAGAGAGAGGATACTTTCTTGCTTCCATTTCTAAAAACAGATCCCACATACACATCACACATTAAAAAAAATGAAAAACAGGTAGTAAGGTATGAGTTATATTGAGTAGCTCTCTATTTACCTGACTTCCTAATAACATTTCACAGCTTTCTCTTCTTTCTTTCCTCCCTCTCACTATATATATCAGAGCTGATGACTGACTTTTACTGCTGCCTTTCATGCAAACTCCTCAGGCTTGCAAATCAGCTACTGATTCTGGGAACCGTCTCCCAATCTCCCTCCCTGGCTCGCACAGTTTCCTGATGGGGCTTTGGAGCAACAAAGAACACACACTTTGTACAGCATATTGATTTGAATAGTAAAATTCAAAGGTTGATTTTAGACTCCTTGCTTCAGCCCATATCAGTCCCTGTGGTGCTTGGCACAGGGCAGCTGCCCCCTAAACATTTTGCCTATTGAAAGGATGGCAAAAGAGCATCCTGGACAGGTGACACAAAGAGAAAAGAGGTATAGAAATGTGTGCAGCAAAGCCTTCCTGCAAGCAGGAACTCTACTTCCCATTTCAAATATGGTTGCCTTTTAAAAATAACATTTCAAGATACTTTATCTTTGTAAAATGAGTTACCTTCCCTAATAATGGTCCAGTTTAATAGTCTATTACACCTATCTGTTGACCTTTTCATAGTACTTTACATTCACATTCACCTTCATTTTGCCTGACCAAAACTTGTGAAGCATATTTACTGGGTATACTGGGATGTATGCACATGTATCCAAATGCCATGCTGATGAAGAAACATGGAAGAATGGAATGATTAATCATGGCAATTAGCATGTTTGAGAGCATACTACATACCAGGCACTGTACTAAGTACTTTATCACACACACATAGACACACACACACACACACACACACACACTCCCATTTAACACAATTATTTGAGATACAAACTATTATCAGCTCCATTTTATACTTGAAAAACTGAGACACAAAATGTTAAGGGCACATACCAGAAGGTGTCAGAGCAGACATGCTAATCAAGGCACTGCCCTCCATTGCCTAAAACTGAGATGCTCAGCATCACCCAACAAGTGACATGATATACGTGTCATTTGGGAACCCAGTTCCAAACATTAACTACATGAGTATTACTGACAAACTTCTGGATTTTGTGGCAATTCTATTTCCTTGAAAACACGAAAGTTCCTAGAGTTATGGCTCCTGAAAAAAAAAATTAAACCTCTGGCCCTTGAACTGTGCTGGCTGATATGACAGCCACTAGTGCCACATATGGTTATTAAATTAAATTAAATTAATGTAACCCCTCAGTTGTACTAGCCACATTCCAACCACTCAACAGTGCCACATGGCTAGTGGCTACTCTACTGCCAGCAGAGCTATGTGACATTTCCACCATAACAGCATTGTTGTTCTAGGAAACAGATAACTGAGTAAATACAACAAAGCAAATGATCCTTGAGCCCCTCAGAAAAGGATCTCACATATATTTCCAAGGAAGGATATTTATTGAGTGCCTGCTCTGAGCCAGGCATGGTGCTAGGTGCTGGGGGTGATGATCAACAATGATCAATAAGGATCAATGAGGTATGCATGATTTCCACCCCTTTTGGAGCTCATAGTCCTGCCAAGCCAGGCTCCAGTGAGAACACTCCTTTGGTAAGAGAGGTTCAACTAGTAGGAGGCATAAAAAACCTACTAGTTTTTTATGGGACACCTAACCCCGACTTTGGGGCAGAGGTGAGGCAAGGCTTTCTGGAGAGGGAAAATGTAAACTAGGGCCTTGACTGTGAGAAGCCTCATTAACAAAAAAGAGGGAAAGTGTTTCTGAATTAAGGAAGAGTCTGTAGGAAGACTCAGAAAGGTGAGAGAGCATGCCATGCTTTGGAAGAATTTAAAGAAGTCAGTAAAATTACTTTCTTCATCCATTCCATCTCTTGAGATTAGAGTTTTGATCATTGTTTTAACATTTTATCCAAGTTACTTAGCACAGAAGGGAAGGCAGTAGGGAAGGAAAAAACAAAGGATCACTTGGAGCCAGATGTGGCTAATAACTACTATAGCCTCCCACCATCCCACATGCTTCAGTGTGAAGAACGTGCATGGACAGTAGCCTTGGATTGATTACAACACAGCAGTCACCTTGGATAAAGGACATATGCTGGGTAATTTACTAGCATTATTTAGTTCAATCCTCACCACAAGCCTACCTATTTCCCGACATTCACATTTGCATAATTGGAAATTGCTACAGAAACCCATGAGATAGAGCAACCTGAACTTTTGAGCTCTTTGTCTATGTGCTTAAATACCAGGCTATACAGGCTTCTAGGTTATTGTTACTGCCCTAGCCCTGGCTAGTACTAGCTGTCGTGACCAGCTAGAGAATTGATTTAACTGACATGAAGACATAGCAGGTAAGCCAAAGAGAAAAACTAAAAAAACTTGTATTGCAGAGAAATTTGTTTGCACCAGGTAAGTGTAATCAAAAGAAACAAGTGCCTTTGGAAAATGCCCTACCTTTCTTCCAGAAGTCACCTGAATAATGATCAACAATTTACCATTTGTTTAACCTCAGTAGAAGAATTTTGTCTTATCCCTAGAGTTTTCCAGGAAATTAGGAAACTAGGAACACTTGTACTCGTTGTCCTATCTAGCAATGATCAAACTAACTCAGAACATTTGTGACCTACGGTGAGCTACTTCAAGCAAACTTTCTTTACAAAGTTCCCTCTAAGATTGCCTCAATCTGCTGAAAACTGTTTTACGATTCTACCTAGCTAAAATTTCAGTGGCGCATATCTTCAGATAAAACACTTCATTCACATCAAGCAGTAATTAAATGTGCAGGGCATGAAATAAGCAGCAAGTTTGGCTTCAGAGCCATCTTGCAATCTGTAAGTGATCCAAGGCAGACCATATGCCTTTAAATCTAGATGACTGCATACATATCCAAGAGAAACCTAACTGCCACTACTGCACAGCAAGAGTCATTGAAAGATGAAAAAAAAGACAGATTTATGTAGCTTGTCTGACAAATATATGTTAATGTATATGTCCAATGAGACTTGGTAAACTACCCTTAACTTTATTTTTGGGTTCTTGATTCAGTTCTACCAGAGAAGACATTCAAACTGACAACTCAAACCAACAGTATTCTTAAGTAGTCCATTGCCGTGGAGTATGGTAAGAATTTTTGTCTAAGAAGGGTTGCCACCCTCTTCCTTTAGTTCCTTGAACAAACTCCTCCTCCACTCCACAAAGGGGCTCCCCCCGTCTGTGCCTCATACCCTGACTCCTGAACAGGCTTGCCTGACCTGGCAGAGTGATTGATTCCATCATCAACATGTGATGCAGCAAGGCCAATGTGAATCTTCCTTGGGGTTGCTAATACAGGCATGGGAAGGTTCTCCATCTCTGGGCTTACTAAACTTGGTGAATGTAAGAGTAGATTTGCTGGTGGTGGCCTTGCCACCCTATGGAGAGAGCCTGTTGAGAAGAAATCAAGTAGGAAAAAGCAGAACTGAGAGATGGAGAAAATCAGAGTACTGAGTGCATTGTCCAGGTCCCTGCATTCTGTCATGTCTGATGTAACCTCATGAGCACTGAATGAGTTAAACCATCTGGCAATACAAGAGATGCTCAATAAATGTTACTTTCCATCTCTCCCTCCTTCTTTGACTTTGGCAGCTGCCAGACAAGGATTAAAACCATCTTTGGCAGCCAATGCTTCTGTTTCTGGCTTTCAGAGGAAAGCCAGTAAGATAGAATGGAAAATAATGAGCACAAAGTCACACCCTAAAACAATGTAAGCTCCCTCTGCATTTTACCAATATTCCTTTAAAAACAGCCATTCTTTGCTCAGTGCACATCTCAGACATCAGCCTAGCCAGACTCAAGCTGATACAAGAAAAAAGAGACAATTTATTTTCTGGAGGAGGAAGGATCTGAATTGTTTAAACCCTAAAGTGGAACCTACTGCAAGATGCAGACTCCAAAAGCACATCAACAGGCATGCAATTTTCTTAGGGCCAATTGTATGAAGGCACCAATCTGTGTTTGTCTGGCTACTTGCCAATAGCACCATCCTAGAGAACAGGCAATCCACAGTGTTAAAAATATAGAATTTATCAACTTGACATGGTGTTTAACCTCATGAAAACAAAAGCGTGTGGTGGTAATTGATGCTAAATATTAATGGTGATTTAAAACTCAGTTATGATGGGGAAAGTAAAACCACCACTACTAAATGGTATTTGCAAAATACGCATCTTCTCGCCCCTGCACAGTTGTGCAGATAAACCATTTGTACAAAAATGCTGGCAGTTGACGATCAAATTGGGTTGTTAATGTGGTACAATCTGTGCAGTACGAAAATCTTAAAGGTAATTTCTGAGACCTTATGTTTGTGATATTTCCAGACTCAATAAGCAATGTCATAAAATCGTAGAATTTAGAACTGGAATGAACCTTAACAGATGAAAGAAACCAAGGCTCAGAGAGATTTAATGAGTTGGTAAATGGCAAATGCAGGGACTTCAAGTCATGTCTTCTTGATTTCGTTTGGACATCTCTCTGTTACACCTCATCTTATAAACAATAGCACAGCATATTAGAGTTGGCAAAGATCCTCTAAACAAGCTAGTGTAACCTGCTAATTTCCCCGTGAGGAAACGGGGCCCAGAGAGGTGAGGTTCTTGCCAAAGGTCAGAATGGAATTAGGCTAAAATGTATTGACCTCTAGACCAGTGCTCACTCCTTAATGCCATGGATAAACACACTTTATCAAATTTAGTTGTAACCACAAATCATCCCACCATTTAAATTCTGTCAAAGGATGAACAAACTCACAAATATCCAGTCATCATCAGGGAAATCCTGGCAATGTGTAAGGTCTGGCAGTAAAATGTGTGAGAGTAACAGAGTCTCTGAGTCAAATAAGTATACGGTCAAATGTAAGTAAACAACTGAGCTGAAAAACTATAATCTGCCAGGTGTGTTGTGGTACTTTATCTCTTTCCACAGTCACTGAAATCTAAGGGCTGCAGCTTTTTCTGATACTGAAACCTCATTGGCTTTGGCAAGAAGACCCTTGAATGGCCTAAAGCATCAGTTCCCTTCTCAGTTCTTGGTTCCTAATTTATTCTGATATGGTAGACGAGGTATTTGTGTTGTTGCAGTTTAAAGTTCACTGCTTTCTAAATTCCTGTAGGATATGTGTTATACCAAGTAGAGACTGCATAACTGTAAATAAGTCTCTTTCTGTGTGTGTGTCTCTCTCTGTCTCATTCTCTCTCTAAAAAATTAGAGGAGTTAAGTCATTCTATCTAAGGAACAGGGGGAAGGTGAGAAGCAAGCCTCTGAGTTGCCTGTCCGCCTACAGGAGAACATTAACATTGTTAATCAGCATTACAGGCTTGGCTTTGCTTCCCAGGGAAATGGCTGGTAGAGATATAAAATGTTTCAGTCCTTTCCAAGCAATGTTGTCCTTGGTGATAGCCACGAAGGAGGGATTTTTTTTTCATTTATACCTTTTTGCAACCTTGTAGTTTTGAATGGCTAACAATAAGAACCAAATTAATGTCAAATCAGGTTAAAGAAGAATTAGCAACTTCTTGCTCTATACCCAACATTGTGCTAAGCCCTACCAGACATATGAAAAATAATATGGTCTTTGCCCTTGAAGACTTCACCATTTCTTGGAACAACAATATTTAATAACAAAAACAAGAAAATGTTGCTGTACCTCGGGTATAGTGAATTCCGGTAGGGCTGACCCCCTATCCTGTGCGGCATGACTCAGGGAAGCAGTCAGAAGGCCAGGAAGGAAACATGGTAGCTCTGAATAGTGAACACTAGGGCTATCTCACGTGAACCCCATGAGCAGATCCATCCCAGATACCCTGTGACTTCAACCAATCTTTTTTTTTTTTCCTCACCTGTTTTGGCTTTCTGTGACCATGACTCTTGAGGCTGCAGTGTAAAGAATTCCTCTCCCCACGCTCTATTCTTTAGTCCACCTGGGGTCTGTTGCTATGCGTCTTAAAAGCAGTGTTCCCAAAGTCTTAGAGAAATGGCATGAGTGAGCCCCATCATTTCTTGCTCATAGCACCAGGACCTTCGACTCAGGGACTGTTGTGAATCTGAACAGACCTTTCCTGTGATCCTGAGTGATTAGCCAGATCAAATCTGTAGTCTTCACTCTCTCATTCCTGTGAGTGAAATGTGATTTTTGTTATTTTTTGTTGTTTTCCTTATTTTTCATCTCCCCAGATAGTACCTTGGTCTTTTATGCAAATAATTTTCCTGATGGGTACACCTATTCGTTCTTCAGTTATATTCTGACTTGTCTGAGTCTTGGGTAAACAAAGCAGAGGCTACAGCCACCATCTCTGAAAAAAAATATATAGTGGTCAGTCAAACCATTAATCCCTGTTGGAGCAAAGTAGATGTGCCTGCCTGCCCTCAGTTCTAACCCACTATCTCAGGCTCTGTTACAGTTACTTTCAAGAACTTTGGAGACAGACTCAAGATGTTGTGTTTTTCTAAATAAGTTATTTAGCCTCTCAGAATCTGTCCTTCCTCATCTCTAAATAGAGACAATAATAATCCTACCTCCTAACGATGTTGGGAGGATTAAATGAAGTAATACAAGCAAAGTGCTAAATATTGTACTTGGCCCATGAGTGAATATGCAATATTGGCTTTTATTTTCATCATTGTTCTTAATCTTAATCTGGATATTCACTTTAGTTCAATTTCACTATATCAAAAAAATTTTGTAAGTCAGAGGAAGGCTACAATGTGATCAGCCAATAGTAAAACGGAGGAAGCATGCTGACTTCAGTCATCCATAGGCATGGACCTGTAACAGACAAGCTCTAACAGAACTTTTTATTTTTCAATCAGCACTATAACAATACCAAAAGACAAAAATGGCAGTAAAGTACTTACTACTCCCCCACCTAACAAATCAACCACTATTTTTCTATATTCTTTATCAACATTGTCTATACTCAACCATAATTTTGCAGTTGCTCTTAGAACAGTTTGGATTCATCCAAAAAGCAAATAGTCCCCTGATGAGCAAGTGTTGACTGCCTACTAAGTATCAGGCCCTATCCTAAGGAAACAGGAACACACCACTACACTCTAGCTGGTGAGAATGGACACCTTGAAAAATTTACAGTCAATCTAAATAAAATATTGTTTTTTGTTTTGCTAGCATGTCTTTTTTTTTTCACAGTGTAAGGATTTTCACATACTGCTACAGAATTAGAGGAATAGTTAAGAAACAGAAGGTAACGCCTATTTCAGGGCTGGTAGTAAAATATAGAAGTGACTAAAGAAGGGCTGACCAATTTATGTATACTAGCGGGGCCCACTGTAAGAGGCATTAGGAATTATTTATGTTACAGAAAAGGTAAAGGTAAGAATAATACTATTAAAAGAAGAAGAATAAAAGTGGTTCATGTAACATATTGTGCATCATGGGATATCAGCAATAGTGATGTCTTAGAAATAAACAGAAATAAAGAGACAATAAAAATATGAAAAAAGGACTATTTATGAAATTGAGGCCTTAAGGAAATGAAAGAAAAGAAAAAGAAGCTCAAAAACTTAAAGTTAAAATCATTTGTATTTACTATTACTTTAATGTTGATAGGTATCACAAAATAGGAAGTGTCAACCAAAAAAGGGAAATCTACCCATTAACAGAATGGGAAGAATACAATGACAATTTTTAAAAAATTGTTAAATGCCCAAACAAAATAACAACAAAAACTCCCTAGAAATAAATAAATGGGAAGCTTTTTGCACATTTTGTAAGATAATTTTCGAATCCTCTTTTTTACTTTGAATGGTCTTGCTGCTATTGCATTTCTTATGGAAATCACATGAACAATTACGATGTACACAGGCTACACTGAGATCTTACTGATCCATGTCTTTCTGAGAAGCATTCATTCTCATCAAAAAGAAATGGTACAATTGATCATCAAAATGATTAACCTTCTTAGATCTTAGCAAACTGTCACCCAGAAATGAGAGAGTAAATGTATTTTACTTGCCTTAGATGATTACCTAACACTGCTAGAGAAGCAGCATGTGAATTATTGTTGGGTCAGAGGGTGGCATAGGTTGAGTATTGGTGAATGTTAAGTCTTTCTTCTGGTCAGTTGATGTCCATTATTCACTAACAGGAGGGACAATTTAATTAATGTCAATTGTTTTTATTAAAAGTAATCTTGCAAAAAATGCCCCTTAAACTATCTTAAATCTTCATAAATTGAACACTAAAAATTATAATTCCAATGCAATGGAATACAAATCAGCTGTTAAAATAACACAGACACACACAAATGTATTTTAAAATGTTATGGGAATCACATGAATAATTAGTATATATATATATACATCTCACAGATATGGAAAGATATTCAAGATAGGTATTAAATGTTAAAATTCTAGTTATACTATTGTATCATATGCATAGTTTGATACTCTTTTTTAAAAGAAAAATACAGGCCAACCATGGTGGCTCAGGCCTATAATCCCAGCACTTTGAGAGGCCAAGGGGGGAGGATGACTTGAGGCCAGGAGTTCGAGACCAGCCTGGGTAACAAAGCAAAATCCCAGCTCTGAAAAAAAAAAATAATAATAATTAGCTGAATGTGCTGGCATGTACCTGTAGTCCTAGCTACTTGGGAGGCTGAAGCAGGAGGATTCCTTGAGCACAGAAGTTCGAGGTTACAGTGAGCTATGATCATGCTACTATACTCTAGCTGGAGCAACAGTGTAAAACTCTGTCTCTAAAAAAAAAATTAAATTAATAAAAGGAAAATACATATATGTATAATTATTTCTGGAAGGATACACAAGAAATTATGAACAGTGACAATCTCTAGGAGTAAGACCATGGTAAGGAGTATATTTGTGCTTTTCAGCTTATATACTTTCATGTCTTTGAGGTTTTTAACCATGAGCATGAATTACCATAATACAAACTATTTTAAAACCGAAAAAAAAAATTAATACAAAATCTGTAAATGCAGTGAATGGCAAATATCAAATATATCAAAGAAAAAAATGAAGGCTTAAGAAAGTGAAATCATTATTTAGTCCAAAAAAAGAGATAATTTTCAATAAGAAGAAATGTCGTATGACTCTAAAATAAAACAACCAGAATATAAATGCTAAACAATACATTAAACACATAAGTTGCCATGTGTTAGCAGCATTAAACTACAAACAAAACTATGAAGCGAATGGTTCCCTTTCAGTCGATTTGCTTTAATTATCAAGAATCAAATATATAAATGGAACTTTTCTCAAAGAACTTTATGAGTTTCCCTATGAATATGCATCTAAAAGACAGAAGGCCTCTTTTCCTTCTTCCTAACCACACTCACGCACACACAGCTCTGCCATGCACTATCAACATATGCTCACTCCTGAAGAGAAATTTAATTTCATGACCCACCTAAAATATCGACATCTAAATGTAGACATTCTTTTCACTGGAATAGCTGCTGCAGCCATACTCTTACAAGGTAAAGAAACACTTCAAATGAACATATACATTTTTTGTGGCATGTCAAATGGTCATTTAACATGTGACACGTGCAAAAGGATAGACAGGCTTCAGGGTGAGAGAAGCTCTTCCATTGCTTTACCCGCACTGGGCCAAACTGTGTCTGTTATCATCAGATGTGTCAACTGTTTCACTCCTTTCAGCATTCATGTTGAAAACCACAGGGGATTATCAAAATGCCTAACTTTGTTATAACAATGGAAAGAAGAAAATAAGAATGCCTGAATCCACACTGGGGAATGAATATGCAGGATCATAAATAGGTAATTAGACCTACAAATATCATATAGTATGGTTCTAAACATAACCCCCAAATCCTTCACCAAAGGAAGCCTTGAGCTGGTCCCATTTGAATCTTCTCTCATGTCCTTTTCTGCCAAGTTCCACACTGGCATAAGAAAAAGATCTCTTCCTTATATAAAAGATTTTGTGTGTTTACTGGTAAATATTATTACCAATGATGATTCTTATAACCACTTATTGGCAACCTAGTATATGTCAAGCACCGTGCCAACCAAACTGCACATATTTTCCAAATTATCATAACTCTGTTTAAAAAAAGAGCTCAGAGAGGTCACACAGTTTAATAATTATCAAGACTATGAAGGCAATCAAGTTGGTTACCTACAATGGGATCAGAAAATAGGGTGGAAGTGATACAGAAGGGATACAGATATACTCTTCACATAGTTTTAACTTTTGGAAGCATGTTAATGTTTTACTAATCAAAAATAAAATTAAATCAACCAAGATGAGAAGGGGAAAACTGAAACAAAAATTAAACTGCAATTTTAATTCAAATGTATGCCATAGCTAAACTGAAGCAGGCAAAAGAACTAATTCAAGTAATTTATAAACACGGTATTTGACTATGTATTGTCAGTCTTCGTTGGGGATGTAATGGAATAAATACTAAAAACAAATCCTGAATTCTGTTTAGTAGGTTTATTTATTTATTTTGTAGTGATATGGGCAGAGCAATTTGGGGATCATTTTAGGTGCATTACAGAATTAAGCAAATGAATAAATGTGCTGATGTTGTTGAGATCCAGAGTTCTCACTGTGGAAGAAGGAACTTACAAATATAGAACTGAAAAAGACAATAAACAATTCTATGGGAATGAATTAAAATGAAAAGGATCAGTGTGAATTTATGACTTCTAAAATATGCATATATGTGTATAGGCATATATAAGTACCCATGTATATGTATATGTATATGTAGAGGTGTGCCTGACTGTGTCTACCTACATGCACATATTTCCTAGCTCTGGCCACTGAAAGCACCTAGAAATAAAGCCACCACAGTAGCAATTAGCACACTTATCATGCCTATTTTCGTATCTAATATTTCTCCCTAAAAGGAACTAGGGCTTCTCAGAGAAATGATTGATTACAAGATTGGAGTGGGATAGGTACAAGATGAGCCTACAAAGTTTTGTTACAACAAAAATAAAGTACTAGAAAAAAAAAAAGATGGAGACCAGCTTGAAGGAGCTGATACTGGCCAAATCTGGAAAATTTTTAATGACAAAATAAGTGAGTATAGTAATGAATTATAAACCAAATTATAAGATTGAAGTCCATGCATTCATACTAATAATAAATATTAATAGATAAATCCACAAGTAAAAAGTGAGGCCTCTTGCTTACAGTAGACTATTGTGTCAAGTGGCAAATGTAGAAGAAAGGCTGGAGTTGAATAATTATTCATTTGCAAAGATTGACTCAGGCAAAAGTCACCAATGAACGCTAAACATAGGGGAAATTTTGATGGGGAGCAGGATGTTTTTCAGGTAATCCTTGGGTTTCTTATTCGTTACAAGGAAAAAAATAATTATACAGTGAACAAATAGTGTAACAGCTTCACTGTGTCATCAAAATTAATATCGCTAATGAAGAACAAATGGAAATCATTTGCTTCCAGATGTGATACATTGAAAAAGACACAATGCTGCTTATGTGATATTCTAGCCAGGAGTTTATAATTTGAGTTAAATCATGAGGAAATGTCAAATAACTCCAAATAAGGAATATTGTATATTTTTGTGTACTTCAAAACATCAATATCACGGAAGACAAAGAAAACCTGTGAAAAAATTTTAATGAAAGGTTAATAATTCAATGCAATATTTGATCCTAGACTGAACTCCACCCCCACATACTGCAAGAAAAAATGCTGTAAAGATGTTAGTTATTGTGTTAATGGATAAAACAGACATCTAGATGGTAGACTAGGATAAAATTGATTGTTATATTTACTGAAGTTGAACATCATATTGCAGTTATGTATATAAAAGTGTCTATTACTATGAGATATACATTAAAATATTTAGGGGGTAAAGAGCATGATGTGTAATCTCAAATTGTTTAGAAAAAAATATGTATATGCAGACACATACACACACTATGTGGAGATAGATGACAGATATTTTCTTACATTAAGGAGTTAGCTCAGCTCAAGAATGAACAAGATTTTAACAGGAAGGACATAAGATCGTGAATTACAGCACATTTATTTATATATAGCTTCAACATTTTATGTTAAATAAATGATGATATGTGAGAATAAACAAACTACTTCACTTTCCATGGTACAGATATATCTTGAGAAGACAAAAAGCAAAAATTACAATGCTTCTCTAGAAACAATCACTGTATTTTATTTTCCCGTGAGTTACCTAAGAAATTAATCCAATTCTCTACTCCATTTTAATTGTGTCTTTCCTTGTGTCTCCTTTCCTCATTGTGGGTTAATAATAATGCAAAGATTCTCTGAATGCCAGGAACTGCAAACACGCCCATGTGCTCATCCACTTAGATTTATTTTATTTCAGTTTTAGGATTATTTTATTGTAATTATATTAAGCCACTAATTTGTAATTGAACTAGTCCCAAATGAAGGACTAATCTCTAAGATCGTTCAGTTAGAATTTTTACAAATAGTCATATTCAAGTATATAAAATTGATTGAAACGCCACAAACCCCATGTAGACTATAGTATCCTAAGGCAACTTTTAAAATATGTATGTTCCTACTGTATACTTTAGGCTTTACTTTTAAAACTATTTTATTATGGAAGTGTTCAAACATATACAAAAGTAGAGAGCATCATATAATGAACTCTCATGAACCTATAATGCAGCTTCACCAGTTATCAACATGGTTTCAACTATAAGCTCAATTCTTTTTTTTTTAATTTTGTATCTCTTGACTTTCTCCCCAGTGCGCTCCTCCCCCACCCTTGGTAACCATAATTCTACTCTCAACTTGTAAGTTCAATTTTTTAGGATTTCACATGTAGGTAAGGTCATGCAGCACTTGCCTTTCTGTGCCTGGCTTGTTTCTCTTAACATGATGTCCTTCAGGTTCATCCATGTTGTTGCAAATGACAGGATTTCCTTCTTTTATAAGGCTGGACAGTATTCCATTGTGTACATACATTGTGTATATACCTAAATTATTATTGAAGCAAAGCTCAGATACTATATTATTTCATTTCATTTATAAATACTTCAGCATGTGTCTATTAGGAAAAAGTATAATTATTACATCAAAATTTTTTTTTTTTTTTTGAGACAGAGTTTTGCTCTGTCGCCCAGGCTAGAGTGCAGTGGCGTGATCTCGGCTCACTGCCTCCCAGGTTCACGCCATTCTCCTGCCTCAGCCTCCCGAGTAGCTGGGACCACAGGCGCCTGCCACCGCGCCCAGCTAATTTTTTGTATTTTTAGTAGAGACGGGGTTTCACCGTGTTAGCCAGGATGGTCTGGATCTTCTGACCTCATGATCCACCCACCTCAGCCTTCCAAAGTGCTGGGATTAGAGGCGTGAGCCACTGCGCCCAGCCTACATCAAATATTTTAATAATAATTTTAAAACAATTTTAAATTGAAATTTTACTTTCAAATTCTTTTGTCTTTGTCTTTATGGCAGTTCTTAATCTTTCTCTGATCTCTGACCCTGTCAGTACAATATTGAGACATACGAAGGCAGAGGCATTGCTTAAAGTCCAAGAAACCTCCTCCAGATTATAAATAGCCTACAGAGTTATGCTCAGAATCTGAAGCTGCGTAGCCTTAACATTTTAAAAATCACTTCATTGTAAAATAAATGCAGATAGACCAGGCTAGATGAGTGCATAGCTTAACGATTTATTATAAGACAAATGTCCTTTTAACCGCCTCCTAGGTCACCTCAAAAGCCTCTCATGCGAACTGTCTCAACCACAGCCATTCCCTTCCCAGAAAAGCAGCCAGACACCTGATCTTTATAATTATTCCATCTTGCTTTGCTTTATAGTTTTATTATCCAAGCTTGCAAACCTAGATTTGATGGTTTAGCCTTGCACATTTTTTAAAATCTTGGTATATGTTTCTGAAGCTCCATATCCCTTAAGACAGACTGCATGTTTATCGTATTGAATGTTCACTACCTTTCCTATCCATGAAAAGTAATTAGGTTTTATTGCCTTAAACATTCTTTCCTTCAGTGTATCATTACTACAGCTAAAATATATTCAACCAAACCCACACAATGATTAAAAGCAAACACTTTTTCCTGATGTAAGCAGACAAATTAGTCCAAAACACTTTGATCTAGATTGAGGTGGGAAGCACAAAGCATATTTTTATAATCTCAGTCAACACTAGAAAACCCCACAGTAAGTATTTCATTGTATTTTGAATAACTTCTGGTGGCAAAGTTTCCTTAGTTGTCATGACAATATTAACAATCTTTATAATATGGAAGCAATTAGAGTACCTTGGAGATTAAAAGGAAAAAAATAAAGAAATGAAAACTTCTAGAAAACAGTGTTGATTTAGGATAATTAGGGAGAAACATGGACTGATACCTTTTTATCAGTTTTAGGTATAACATTTTTTGAAAATTCTTCCATCTACACTATCATTGATTAGGAAAGCAATGTGGTTCAAAATGACAGTGTGTGATTGAAGAAAAATATGAAAAAGGGCATACATTAAACTATGAATCCCCATTTTTGTATCCTCAGTCTTTTGAATGTCTGTTATGCTTGCACATCATGAGACAAAAGTTCAGAAGCACAGCTTATGCTGCAAAAGGTATCCATTTCAGATAGGGTGTCAGCAAAAGCCTTCCTCCAGTAAGAGAGTAAAATAACACATTGTGATATATTTTTCTTCATTTATGTTTTAGAGTCAGACTTAGATTAGAAAGAAACTGGGAAAAAATCTCTAGCATTAGTATCCGTATTTGGTAAAGAGGGTAACAATAACATTACATCAGTTGATTCTTGGTAAATGTTTTGTATCTTGGTGAGAGTGATAGGTCCTAGAATTTTATTCTTTTCTTTCCTTTCAAATTTCCTTCCTGCTGCAAATCTAATCCACTAGAAGAAAAAAAAAATGTGTAATTGATTGTCCATTAGCTCTAATATACTATTAATATAAAAGTTATTTTCTCCCTTTTGAAATAGTTTTATGAGACCTGAAAGAATACTCCAGATTTTAAAATTTCTGAAGGTTCTAATAAACTGTAGCATTGTTTAATGTTGGTCATACTTATTACCCAAAAGACTACTAGGTGAGGAGATAACCATGGTACTATTATCATGCATTTACATCAACTACTTTTACATTAACCTATATTTTTCCATCAGTATTAGATATGAAAATGTAGGCACAACTGAGTAAACATATAAAATGATGAGGCATTTGTTAAAACATGGTATAAATTTACTTCTCACTAAATCCTATCACATATTTTTCCTTAAAAACATAATGATTAGAAGTCATTGTTTATCTGTGGGATCTTGATATTACTTTAAGCTCTTGAAGAGCCTAGCAAAGATGTGACCTCTGTCCTAAGTTTTATATTTCAAATTCCTCTAAGAGGGATAAAAATGACTTCAAGATCTGGCCACTATTTCTCAGCTGTCAAAAATGTCTTTTTTTCTGGTGGTAGAGAAATATCATATTGCACTGTTTTGTTTCAAGGTCATCTGTCAAGAGTCTCAATTTACCTGCAAGTCTTGATGGATCTTAAACATCAATAAATGACCCATTTCTACCTTGCAATATAAAACTGAGTCTATTCTTGTGTCATCTAATAAGACTATGAGTGCTTTTTTAGCAGCATTGGCAGTAAATACTCAAAAACATCGCATCTAATTCTTTTTTCTTTCTCTCTGGAGAGAGGACTAAGATGTCTCCTCCTAAGGAATATGAACTCTCTGGCATCATCTCTTTGTCAAACAGTTCACCTCATAATGAAGCAATAACCTTTCTATATACAGAATCTTTAAAAAAAAAAAAAAAGTGTGTCCCTATTGCGAGAGAGGCACTATCTCTGCCTGGATTGTCCATAAGGCATCCCTTTGTGTGCTTCCTCTCTATTCTCACAGAATGTAAAGCATTATTTCACACTGATATACCAAACAACCATCTGGACCACACAGTCGTGGGTAGTTTATTAAAGGGAAGTTTTTAAAAAGGAAACGACAAGAACCCATTTTATTCTTTACATTGTAAGCATAAGAACATCAAATGTCAATGAATTTATTTTTGTGTGATCCTGAGTACCTCTTTGCTGTTGTATGGAACATTCAACATTTCTTTTTGCCCAGGAAGCCTAAATAGGTTAGTATATAACCGGATAAGTTATTTAATATGTTTTCCATAATTATCATTGATGCTAATTGTTACAACATTTTGTCAAGGCACTATATTTTAAGTAAACTGGCTCTCTCCATCATATCCCCCTCCATGCCATTATCTTTTATCCAACAGAGAGCCAGAAAATTCATTTATTTATTTATTCAGCCATCAAAAATATTTGTGGAGTACTTTCTACATGCAAGGCACTCTTCTTAGTGTTAGAGAGTATTCAAAGAAGTTATTTTTTAAAAAAAAAAAAAACCCTTGCTTTCAAGGACCCTAGGCTTTGATAGAGACAGTAAGATGTGCTTTCAAAAACCCACAGTAGAAAGCAATGCTATTTGAGTGGTAAAGGGAAGGCAAATATGTATTGATCATCTAAGTGCATTCACATGTGATCTCATATAATTCTTACAGCAATCCACCCCCAGGAGTATTATTATCATCCCCTTTTTTTAAAGATAAAAAATGAAAGAACTTCCTGAAGGTCATAGGATTTTAAAGTGGATCTCTCTGAGTCCAAAGCTCATGCTCAGTCTGGCAGGAATACAGGCTCAAACTTTCAGGAAAGGAGAAGGCCTATGCTGATGTGGTCGGGGACACCAAGGCTGGAAAGAGAAGTGAGGTTTGGAGAGAAGGTATTCCAGGAATAAGGCACAGGGAAAGAAGTGGGGTGGGAGAGAGAAGAACTCACTTGAGGAACAGCAAGAAATAGTGCAGACAAGTAGTGGAAAATCAGGCTAGAACTAGTAGCTTTGGGCTCGAGGAGTAAGACCATTTAGTGGTGAACTGTGAAGATTACAGTTTTTTCTGCAACCGGCAGTTCTACTGGAACATTCTGATCAAGGACATGGGATAAAGAATGTCATTTTTCAAAAAAAAATTCTGCCAGTAGAGTACAAAAGCATGACAGAAGGAAGAGATACAATCTATTCCATCATTCCTGGTGCAAGCCACATTTCTGGGTTGGCCCAGGAAGCTGCCAGTCATGCTTCCTGTGGTTTGCGGTGAACATGTTCATTCCTTCTTGTGTGAAACTGGCAGTTCCTTCTTAGGTCTAAATGTGTCATGTGGAAGTGCTCCCATGGCGACACGAAAAGAGAAGCAAGGCAAGAAAAAGAGTCAAACTTGTTTTGCTGTAATTCAAATAATAATTTTACTCCCTGAGTAAGCTCAGTTTTTTCATGCATTTCTTTTTATAGTAAGGCCAATGTTTATTCTGGCCATGAAAGGAGGAGAGAGTCTGGGGTCATTGCCACTTCATAAATACCCTTCACAAAAGCATACCTAATAAAATTTCTAGATGGTCTAGATGGAAAGGGTCAGAAGGGTGGCAACCAGCTTAAAAGGCAATGGCATTACTGAAGTTTCTGTAGCATACTAATTGAGGTTGATGGTAGGAGTTCAGTGCTAGGAGACATAGATACGTCCAGATATTGCAGGAGTGCCCAAACCCTGAACCTAAACCACTCTCAATTTTCCTTTATCATAGGGTATTCCTGCCAATTGTGTATTAGAGTCACCTGGAGAGTTTTGAAAATATACCCATATCCAGGCCCCACCACCAAGAGGTTCTGAATTACTTGATCTTTGGGCATTCCTCCCCATCAACACCTCACCCCATTTCTAAAATGAGGTTTAATTTACACAGGGTAGTACACATAGATTTTTGGTCTAAAGTTTGATGAACGGGTGCAGTTTTTTAAACTTAGATGCCATAAAATTCAGAGATGAACATTCTTTGACCTTCAATTTGCAGGCTGAATTCTATAAGGATAGGGGAAATTCGGAGATGTAGCAGAAATGGAAATAATTGTTCAAATTACCTTTAAAGGGTATGTTGGCCTGCACTTACTCAGACAGTACAGTTTGGCAATGCTCACTATATATAATCCTTTTCATTTTATGTTATGTATGCTGAAACACTGGATTCACACTGCACATCAGTTAACTCTGGGAAGACAGTGCATCAGGAGGCCAGAAGATTCTTTCCCTTTGTGAGTCATATCACCGACATAACCTGAAAGCTTGTTATAGAGGAGCCAGATTGTATAAAAAAGTGAGTCCAGAGGGCTGTTTTTGGTGGTACAATCTTGGCCCCAATGCTTTAATAAAGACCCTTGGGTGATCCTGTTATTATGCTTGGAAACAATGGAAAAGGGAGCTCACAGGGGATTCTGGCAGCAACAGCATGTCTAAAGGCAAAAGCCTTGCCTTGTTTTGTGCTTCCAAACATAAGATCATCTGCATGGAAATATACCAGGGAGTATGAAGGAATCAAACCCAGAAAAGCATTAAGGTAGGGAAAATAGAACGAGGAACTTAGGACATTGTTTGATTGCCTTGTCACAATTAAAACTGCTTTGGAAACACTCATAAGGGAGAAGAGCAAGAATTTCATTGTTATGAAAAGAGTGATTTTGGTAAACATGCAAGCAATTAAACATGCAAGATATAACTTTATTGTCTGATGTTTATTCCTGGCATTCTTTCTGGTAGAACTGATGACACACTAAAACCTAATTTCTGGAACCAGTTTTTGAAAGCTCAGATTTTAAATTCTTATTGGTTATTGACAATGAGCAAACTCTTAACAAAGCATAGAAACCACACAGGATTTCCATTTCAACATTAGGCCTGGAAAAATATTGTCATAATTTTAACATTCTAATTTCAAAGGGATGGTAAAAATGAGTGAATAAATTTTATATGTAAGTTATCTAAAAGGAAGATGTTAATATTTGGAAATGTAGGCATACCAACAAAACACATATTCATTTCCCCTCAGTGCCTATATATAATTTACTATAGTTTCACCTAGTTTGCCATACTAGGCCAGGCTCTGAGAAAATTTCCTGACATGAATTATCTCATATAACACAACACTTTTATGGTGTTGGTCCTGTTTTTACTATTCCCTGTGTTACAGATGAAAGAACTGAGAAGTTAAATAACAATTCCAAGGTCACCTACCTAGCAGAGGCAGATGCAGGACTGGACTCCAGGCAGTGCTATTTCAGACCCAGGGAGAAGCACAGAATTAATATGTCAAGTTCCCTCAATCATGTGCAATATACAGCATCAGAAATATACTTCATGGCCCCCACTGGAGCCTGTTCAGAGGCAGGATAGGGAAGTCAGGGATTTGAAGCTCAACCCTGGCCTCACCTCCCCTCACCCTCTAGGGCTTCGTCAATCCTCACAAGAAGTATCAAACAATGAGGTAGGTTTTTTTTTTTCTTCATCCCCTCTCTTCCCTTCGGGCAGCAGGTTCAAAGTGACCAGAAGGACAGTCGTAGCTGTAGACAAGGATGGCAGTTGCGGTGGTTCCCCTCTGCGTATGACCCTGGAAAGCAGAGGATGATTCAGAACAGTGTCAGCAGCAGGCCCCGGGGAGGTGGCTGTGCCTGGGCTTGGATGAGTGATTCTGAGGAGGCCTCTCTGTCTCTGCTGTGATTTGTCCCTGTGCCCTTAAACCCACTATTCAATTTTTGGACCAAAGGACTGTTTCTGGAGAAATAATAGTGAGATGTAATACTAACTGCAGGTGTTGTTCTAAGCACTTCACATTTATAACTCCTTTCATCCTCGTTAAAAAACCTGTGAGGTAGGTAATAGGGTCACCAGCTCATCCCTGTTTGCTTAGGACTTTCCTGATTTCAGCACTGAAAGTCCTGTCACAGACAAACTGGGATGGTTTGTCACTTCAGGGAGGTACTGTTCCCTATAAAAGATAACAGAGGCCAAGAGAAGCACAGTGACTTGCTCAAGAACACAGCATTAGCAAGTGCAGAGCCAGGATTAAAGCCAGATAGTCCTACTCCAGAGCCTGCACATAACCAATAATAATATATAAATATACTTTCTTGAGGACAGGGGAAACTTAAGGATGGACCAATAACAATGATGATAATATCATCCCAAAGACATTTGAGCCAGGAAATCAGAGAAGAGAAGAGGTTACTGGGAAACTGTGCTAGTCAGGCCCTTTGTTGACATTGTGTCACTGAACTCTGACAACCCTGAGTGTTAGTGGGTATTATTTCTGTTTTGAGGATGAAGAAACAGAAATTCAGGAAAGGTGAGTTTTGCTTACAATCATAGAGGTAGATTTCAACTAACTCTTGTTGTTTCTGAAGTCAATGATACTTCATTGCGTCTGTCTACTTTTAACAAGAACTAACATTTGTGGAGCACTTTATAGTCTAGAAAGCCCTGTCACATGCACCAACTCCTTTGATCCTCGGGAGCCCACCTGAGGTGAGCATAGCAGTAACAACATTTTCACTTACACATGAAGGCACTGTGGATCTGAGAGGCCGTGTGTTCTCTGAGGTCACAAGGATATCATGTGGCTGAATTGAGACTAGAAACCAGGTTTTCTGAAAAGCTAAAATTCCTTTATTCTTTCTTCCTAACCTTATTAGAATATATCCTATAGGATATGAGTGAGCAAGGGGGCAATACAGTGGATAGTGAACTCTAGTTCCAGGAATAAAAGAACGATAGAAGTCGTAGGCGAGGAGGCAATTAACCATGGGAACTTCTAAATAGGCAAATAGGAGCAAGGAGGGAAGAGGCCTTGACTTTTTGACATTTTGGCAAAGATCAGAACAACTAGCACACACTGTGTAAAAAAAATCCTCTGTCTCAAACTGATTCATTCATTCAATAAATTCTTAATGAATGCTTAATGTGCGAAGCAAGGAGGGGTCCAAGAGTGAGAAATATGGATGCAGGCCAGCTAGACACACTGAGAGCATGGTGTGGAGAGGAAGCAGTAACACTGCTTTTCATGCCAATCTTGGCTCTTCTTACACTGGCTAGAGGTGGGGGACAGCTAGTTTGCCAGTTCGTGGTGTAAATTCTCCCACCTGTGGCTGATTGTAAGCTATCAAGGTGATGGGAATTGGCTCACAAAATTCCTGAAAATTTAACAATCAGTTCTCCAGGCTCAGCACACTGCTGAAACCATCCCCTACCCCACTCACCCTACCCTCCTCACATAGTTAACAGTGGAAATTATTATTTCTTACAAGTTCTAAAGGATTTCAGGAACGGTTTCCAGTACTAGGAGGGGAACATCAAAGCTGAGAAACTGCACGGCAGTTTGAGTTTTAGCCCAGAGTGACAGAAGTCAAGGCAAAGGAATTCAGTAATACTCCAAAGCACATCTATTGAGTCTTGCAAGAAGACAGGCTGAAGCAAATTTAGAGCCTGCTGAAGATCTAGAAGTATGCATCCCCACTCCAAGAGATAGACCACTTCAGCAAGCCCAAGTTTTATCACATGAGATTCTTACCTGGGAGACAAAACACGGTGATCCATGAATGGACCACGTTGGTCTGCATTTGGCCGAAAATACACCCTTAAAATTGTCAATAAGTAGATTGGACAGAGAGCAGGGGCTGGGTTCAGAAAGTGAGAAACTTCCGGGGAGAGAATGCAGGCGAGGACCCAGAAGGCAGAGTGGGAAGAACACCAAAGCCTCATGAATCCTACTTCATAATTTTGCCTGAGGCTGGTGAAATATGCACATGTTGAGCTATCAACAGATATAAAGGGATAATGTAATAAAACCTGGTCAAAAAATAAAGTAAGGTAACATGGAAGGACTTCTGGTCTCCTATCTTTTCTAATAACCTTGCAAAAGACATGTGACAGCAAATAAGAGTTTACAGCTGTATGGCTTCCCATAGAGATTAAAGGCTAGGCTTGGCAATACTCTGCAGTACTTAGCAGCATGTGTGAAATTACTCGTGGAAATGCTTCTCATTCTGTGCATTTTATTTATTTTTTTAACCATAGTATGAGACTGAATTCTTTCTAGATGCAGTAAAATGAACCACCAGATTGTTTTCAGGGATAGCACAAAAACCTCTACACACTTAACTAAAAAACATTAAAAGTGATGTTTGGTACTACATAAAAGTTCCTGAAGACCTGCTCAATTGGAAATTGTTTATGTAATGCTTGAAGGCATTTAATAGTCAGAAATGTTGCAAATTCATAATGAGAAATTGGTCAAATGAGTTGGTGGTGATAATATATTAATTCTTTCATTAATACAAAATATATAAATAAAACAGTACAAGATCTTTGCTTGTTAAATAAATGACACAAAAAACCAACAACCTAGATGAGATGGCACTTAGCCTCAAGGATGAGCCTATATCCGCTGCTATTCACACAGATGAAAAGATGATGGTAAAGGACAGAAAGCACAAAACTCAAATATAGTAGTTTATCATCATCTATTTGCCAATAACACATAATGTTTGACTGGTTAAATAGCATAACTAACATATGCATAAAGGCTCTTCAGAAACAATACATTAACATAAATTTTGGGCAACCTGGGATGGTTTCTACAACAATGTCTCAAATAATAAATTCAGTTAGACAAGAGTATATGAGAATATACTTCAATGCATAGCCCTATTTTGTAATTCTTGGCTACAGTATCCACTTATCCCCCCCCATAATTAGAAATTACAATTTGACAATATAACAAATGAACATCAAAATTCAATAGAGGCTTCTTTTAGAAGCTAGATTTTCCTCTTCTTTATATATTTATTACTACAATCATGCCCAGCTGTTATTCCAAATGACACTAAGTTCCAATACTCTGATAATCCAAGTTCCTAATTAAAATTAGAAAAAAAATTACACCCCACTACATAAAAAAATCAGAGACCCTCACAACATACAGTTCAAACAAGTTACCTGGAGAGCCTAATTTGACTACTATTTTTGTTTGTTTTCTTTAAATTATAAAATCAACATAAAATCAACATCAAGGAAAATTGTTGAAAAGTTGAAAAAAATCGACTGTCTTTCTGGATACCAATATAATTATTTTCCGTTGCGTATCTGCTATTGCATTCTTGAGCCTGGTGCATACATATCTTATATAGTCACAATTGTAGCACAAACGCAAATGTATATTACTTTGATTATTTTCATGAATGCCTTTTAGTGGTTGTTCACTGTTTTTATTTTCCCCTTGGTGAATATCCATTAAGTACCTAAAACAGTACCTGGCACGTTGTAAATGTCATAAATAAATACTTTAATAAAAGATGGCTGGAATGTTAAAGTGCCCAGAAGCTCCTAAAAGGATGTTCAGTTTTATGCTAAACTGAATGCCCTCAGATTCCAGGCAGAGCAGAGCCACAGTCGCTACTGAGAAAGAGTGAGTTAATGAATCACTCCATCCTTTGCACTTTCTTCTGAGCTGTTTCAAGTCTCTTCTCTGGCAGGATGCAGCAGCCTCAGGCCTGATAAGAGCTTCAGGTTCTGCCAGTGTGGCCTTGGGCTTGTTATTGAAGAATATGCCTGCCGTTGATTGTCATGGCTTTAAGGGGACAAGGAGGACACATTCTTCCTTTGCAACTACCGTTTGCTTTCCTCTGATAATGAGATCAAGCAGCCCACACTCTGGGCAATTGGTCCTAGTGGGAGCAAACAGGGACAGTTGATAGGAGCGGCAGGTGATAGTGAGGACTGGTGGGGCTGAAAGAAATCCATCCCACTTCAGTGTGGTGCAGCATGAAAAATGAACATGGGCTTCACCTGAATGGGCCACACTTTCCCAATGCCAATGTAACTCTGCTTCAGGTAGTTTCCTGTGGCGGCTGCCTGAATTCAGCGTACTACATTGTAAGGTGTATGAGTATATTGAAATCACAGGCACAAGAACAGTCCTGTATACTTTCTCCCCTTGCCTGGTCCTCAATTAGGGTTGTGCATATTAAGAAAGTCAGTAAATTATTCTGATCACTTTCTATTGAACAGAATAGCTCAATATTATCTCAAATACCATGTGAACAGACTGACTAAATTAATATAATATTTCGTGGTTATTTTGTGGAAAGAGTCTGGACTTATGATTTAGACAAATCCAGGTTCAAATTCTGTCTCTGACACATAATACATTGTATTATGTCATATGACCAAATTTCTTAGTACCTCAGTGTCCCATCTTGGAAAATGGAAAGAAGAATGCCAACACTGTACAAGTTTGTTAAATAAGATAACATATGTGATACTTTGAAGTAGCATTAGCAGCACACAGTAGGCACTCAGTCTCAGTTTTCTCCACATCTCCAGAGATCAGCTAAGGCCTTGGGAATAATATGGTTTCCTGTCCATCTTCCTATGCTCTGTTAGAGACAGTGATCTTCTAGTTTAAAAATCATCATAGAAAATAGAAGTCTACGGCCATTTCAGAAATTTTGAAAGTTTGTTAGAAGTCTCTAATGCCCACTGCCTCTTTGTAATTATGTGAGATCAGTTTGGAGATTCATTGTATTTATAGCATGTGTGCAGCTGATCCAAGGAAACACCAGACTCGACCAGAAGACAGATCCTAGGCCTTCACGGGGTAACTTAAACAAAGAGAAGCCCGACAGCAAATCCTGCAGAGCTCAGATTTCCTCTGATAGAATTCAACTCCAGACATAAATTACATGGTGCTTACAAGGCAAATGAAACACAATCTATCAAGATGGAATCACCAAGCTTGCACCTCGCAGCCAAAATGGATGTGATTGAAACAAGTTTTTTTGCAGATTCTTATTTCAGATTCTGACATTTTCTTAGAGCTTGTTTAAAAGTTTTCTGAAGTAACTGAAAAGTAATTGTATTTTTTGGCAACATAGAATCCCTAGGAAAGCACTTAAAATGCAGCAACTGCTGGCATGGAAGAGGAGACTTGCTTGATTATAGATATTCTGCCAGAGATTTAAAAGTATACTGAAAAATTGCAACTGAATTATCTGACTTTATGCAGATAACACCTCCTTTGCCTTCAACACAAGATGTAGTTAATTTACCAGTCTACCAACAATTCCTAACCAGCCTACTCTTGGAATAAATAAGATTTTAAGAAAATGAGTGATGAAAATAAATAATATAAGATTTTAAGAAAATGAGTGAAAACTTCATAAAAATATGAAGTTTCCAGAAAATGAGTGAAAGGATAAAACTTGAAGGATCTCCTTTATGTGTACATTAGGCAAGTCCAAAAATTATGGTGATGGAAAGCTAAGCTCAGCTGCTGTATTTGGTTTGTCTTCTTGTTTACTTGGTTTGTTTTGTTTTTTGTTTAATTTTTCCTAATGAGCCACTTGATTGCTTTTTACTTTGTATGGTTTATTTATTTATTTTTTATTATTTTTTTGAGACAGAGTCTTGCGCTGTCACCCAGACTGGAGTGCAGTGGCGTGATATCGGCTCACTGCAACCTCCGCCTCCCAGGTTCAAGCAATTCTCCCGCCTCAGCCTCCCAAGTAGCTGCGACTACAGGAACGTGCCACCACACTTGGCTAAATTTTTGTATTTTTAGTAGAGACAGGATTTCACCGTGTTAGCCAGACTGGTCTCGATCTCCTGACCTCGTGATCCACCCACCTCAGCCTCCCAAAGTGCTGGGATTACAGGCGTAAGCCACTGCGCCTGGCCTGTATGGGTTTTTAATTATACAAGTAATATATTTATATATTCTTTTCAAAAATAAACAGAACATTAATTTGAAAGGTAATATCTCCATTGACTACTACTATTAATTTTGGTGTCTGCTCCTGCCCCACTAACAAGATTGGCATATCTTTTTCCACATGCAGATAATATATCTTACTTTTTTTTGGTTGGGCTTTATGTAAATGGAACTATACAATGTGCATCATACTTAAACTTGCTTTATTCACTCAACAAAAATTTTTAGATCATTCCTTGTTCATATATATTTCATCCCTTTGAATTATTCTATGGTACTCCATTATATGAATATAGTAACTTTTAATTGGTCATTCCATTATAGATAAACATTTAGATTGTTTCCAGTTTTACTACAATTAACATCCTTACATGCTTCCTTATACATATTTGCTAGTGTTTCCCTAAGCTAGCTATATGGAAGTGGTAGGAGCATTTAAAAATTTAAAATTTGTAGAATGCCCTCTGAAGAGACTATATTACAACTTACTAGCCATGTGTCTTTGAGATAGTTACTTCCCTTTTCTGTGCCTCAGTTTCCACATCTCTAAAATGAGGGTGATTAGTATCTACCTCATGAGTTGTTCTTAGTATTAAAAGTGTAAATGCATGTAATGTGCTTAAAACAGTGCCCAGGACAACATAAACTGATGTATCACTTCTTATTACCAAGACACACTTCTACTAACAATGCATGAGAGTGCCTATAGCCCCACATTCTCTCCAGCACAGTCAACTATCCAGTTGTTTGATGATCTCCCATCACATGGGGAAAATATTATATCTCCTTGTATCAACCACCCTGCCAGGTGTGAACAGGTCCTCAGCTTTCCTCTCCAGCATCCTCGTAAGTCTTCATGGGAGAAAGGGGCTAGGCTTGGCAACCGGTATCCTGGCAGCTCATGTGGGATTCCTTATCACATCTGCAGTGACTTGGTGGGACACTCATCATCCACACAGCCTGCAAACAGTGGTCCAGATGGTCTTTATACTGCCTGTGGGTTAGGGAAGGGCTGAGCCGGGGGCAGCAGTGGCTGGTGTGTTGTGTGGTCCTTGTGGGTGTCAGGGCCATAAAAGGGAACCTCAAGTGCAGAAATGTACTTTCTCCAGGCTGTTCACTCTCCTTGCACCAGCATCTATTCATTAAGAATTAACAGGACAATCATGCCTGAGAACCTGTCGTGTGCTCCTGGTGAAATGAGAGATGACAAACAAGGAGATACCCTACCTTGGGGCAGGATAGGCCTTTAGTAATTCCTATCACTGGTGTATAGGCAGATAGAAGATGATATTCTACACAACTCATTTGCATAGCCTCATCTAGTGAATTTCTTATAATAAAATAATTTCTGTTTTACTAGAATGTAGCTCACTATGCTCTTGTTTCCTGACATAATATCAAGTTCTTTTTTTTAAATTATTCTAAATTTTACTCTAAGATTAATTATGCTCTCCATTAGTTGACATGTCTTAGCATCCACTATTTTGGCCTGGCCAGCAGCTATTTTCTCCCCAATGCTGCCTAAGTATCTATCAGTTGATTTGAGAAATCACCTTAGTATTCATTAATTCATTCAACAAATGTTATTAAATACCAAATCCATGACAAGCATTGTGCTAGGGTCTAGCAATAATGAGGAAAAATAAAATTTTGCCCTTGCCCTAAAGCTGCTTACAGTATAGGGCTGCATTTCCTAAAGTGCACTGCAAAGAAAACATGTTCCTACCATTGCTACACACACACATACACACTACATGATCAAACATATTTAGGAAATCCTATACACAGGGCACATTAGCATATTAAAAGCTCTGAGTGTCTGGAGATAAAGGATCATATGGTATTTAATTTGATTTCACCCAGATAAGTTTAGGCATACCTTTTGAGTAACACCTGTTGACAGTTCAAGAACTAGCATTTCTCAAAACGCTTTTCTGGATATCTTGGCCATTCTAGTGGAAGAAGAATTTGAGGAAAACTCTAGGATCCTAGATTTCCTAAATAGGTTATTGAATTCAGAGTGTTTTAAAGAGAGAATGTTATATATTTGAGAATATTGTATATATGTTCAAGTTATGCATTATTATCATGTATATAATTGCATTTAAAATTTCTAAACTCCTGTTAGGAAGGTTTAAAGGATATCATAACAGACTACCTTTCCCTGAAACTGTATGACTGTGCTTCAGTGGTTTTCTCCTAATTTTGAGGGCTCTGGGAACTGTAAACTATCTGGGCCTTTTTCTTTCATTGTTTTCACTGTTGTAATTAGCAAGATCTCAGAAAGATCATATGGTTAGCTGCCTGGCATGGGTTGGAAGCAGGAGTCCCCATCCTTCTGGGGAGTGAGGCTTACTGTTTTCTAATGCCTGGAACTCATTGAGGGATTCCTGATAGCATCTGGCTCTGTCACTTTCCTGCTTGAAATACTCTTGAGCAGCTGCCCCTCACAGCAGGGTGGCTCCAAGTGACTGGCTGGGGATCCCTGTTGTAAATGACAGCTGCAGGGTGATTTTGGTCATGGCTGCCAAGAGGCAGAAGTCGAGTGAAAACATTATAGAATTTTTATTATTCACTGAGACAGTGTGTGCATGGCCAAACAAAGAGGGCACCAGTTGAACGCAGAAAAAAAAAAAAAAAAAAAAACTTTGGGTCTGTTTCTTTTTTGAAAGGCTCACTAATGTCTTTTCATTGCCAGAAAGTGAAACACAACAAAAGGAAACAGAAGACACATTGAATATTTTAGTCTCAGCCTATCCTGCCTAGTTTATACATCCTTTGCCTGAGAAGCTGAATACTACTGCTGCTAATAATAACACCTACCATTTATGGAGCACTTACCAGATAATCAGGCATCACTGTTTATAACAATTGTCTGAATTTATCTTCCCAATATGCTTGTAGAGTAGCTGCCATAGCTGCCATTTTAGAGCTGAAAAACCTGAGATTTAGGGAGGTGCATAAGTTGGCCAAGGTTGCATAGCCAGTAGCTTGTAAAACAGACCCAAACTGAGACCAACTCAAACACGGACTTACTCAAAATTCCAAGGCCCTGACCCACAACTGAGTGAGTTTCTAAAGTCCAATAATAGTGACTGTCATTTAAACAGAGATGGCTTTTCTGGTCAGATCACAGCACTAAAAGAAGATGGTATTTCCAAACAAAAATAAACAACAGAAAATGAATTTAGTGATTGAATTTCATTTTGGGCTGCTAAATTTCAGTGTACATCGTGTCTGCTTTCCCCTTCAGTAAATAAAGCTAAAGATATTAAGCAATCATTTTGGACATGAAAATAACTACGGAACATATCCCAAACCTCATGGTTTCCTTTAAGATAAAGGTGTCTTGATTATTGTTTGTTTCCGTACCTTGAGCACCATCTTGTCCCCTGACTGCACTGACAGGAAATGAGGATCATTCAAACCCTCGTCTCCCACTGAGGGGACAGACTTGGAGAGTAGAATATGTATGTGTGAATTGGGCCTGAAGTTTGTGGAATGCAGTCATTATGGGAGGCAAAGCTTGTAAACGTCATGATTCCTGGGGAAACGGAAGACGCTGTGAGGGAAATGAAATTCAGGTTTCTATCCATGCTGATGGTGTCATATTAATGCGAAGAGCTGGCAAGTGGGTGCATTTCCTGGGAGTGCTTTTCCCTCTGAACACTTCTTAGGATTTTCTTTATAGCTGCTCAAAGATTTCCCTTTCTTTTCCTTTCTTTTAGAGATTAAAAAGCGATTTTCTTTTCAAATGGCTCAGCTCCAGTGTGAGAAGTACAGCAATGCCCTGTTCTCTTTCACATGCCTCTCAGAGAATGGAGAAATTGGAGAATATTCTATTCATCTCTGGCCACCATAGATGGTTTGACAATGGTATCAGGAGGTCTTCAGAAGACCTTTTGGCTGAGAGATCACATATTGCTTCTCTGAAATTGTGAGGTGAGCGGCTCAGGCTAGAAGTAATTGTGTTTTTCTTGTGCTCATGGTTCTCACAGTTCATCCTGATTTCTTCATTGCCACGTTTTGACACTGAAGCTTCTTTTTCGATAGGGCTGAATGCTGAAGGCTGCTGCCCTCCATTCTCACTGCAGCCAGAGATAAACTATTGGTCAGTATTTGAGATAAACTTTTATTAGAGTGTTTCCATTAAGATGCCTCAAGGCCATTACGTCAAGGAATGAGAAACATCTATCTTGTTCTGGTTTAATTGCAGAAAGGAAGGTTGGTTTTATATGCTGTAAAGCTACTTTCAGGGAACATAGAGTTTGATATCTATAGTTACAGGGTTTCATTTTGTTGAAAACTTCAGTTTCTCTTAACACTGCTGAAATTATAATGCAGTTTCACTTTATGAGACTCCTGAAATGGTGGTTACAGTCACTGCCTGGTTTACCAAATTGACAATGACATGTACAATATGAAGTGTTAGAAACCAACTCAGCTAGATTCACAGCAGCAGTCCACAGGATTTGCTCGCCCTGCCTTAAGCAAATGTGAGGAGAAAAGGGTTTATGCTAAACGCTCATGCTGCTGCCTAGAGGAGTTCTCTGCCCCACCTTGACCATGTTGCTTTTCTCCTTAGCAGCTCCCTAGAGTCCACCCACACCTTCTTAGTGCATCAGTCTTGAGTTCTTGACAAAGATGCTCTGATGAACTAATCACCTTTACTTGTTCTTCTTTAGCGTTTCCTCATTCTCTTAGCCCAGATCAGTTGAATGTTGGCTGCTTGGTAAAGAACATACCCAGGTGAAGAAAAGTCTGTGTCCTCACCTCCTAGCCCATTTATCCGGCATTTTTGCTTCTAGTTTTACCGAAGCCTCCGAGGATCCTAGATAGAGTCTGAGCCAAGGAAGCTTCAGCTACTGCTGCCATGACTACCTGTCCCTCGAGCACCATCGTGTTCCTTGACTGCACTGACTGAAATGAGGATCAATCAATCTGCAGGCCATTGGTTCACTGAAACAGAATTAACACTTATTTTTTCGAAAGGAATTTTTTCATTTGAAAACCAAGTGAACATCAAACAGTATCAAAGCATAGAATCTGACAAGTTTAAGACCTTTGGCCTGGCCCTTTCCTCTTCGGAATCAGTGTTTTCCTATTGGACTAGTCATAGAGTTCTATTTCTTCAGAGTATGAGGAGAGATGATTGGCATACCTCAGGGTTGTCAGTTCCCATTAGGTTCTCTTAATGCATTCTTAAGATGTACCTAGAGAAGCCCTTTCTGAATCCATCATTAATCATAAAATGGCAAAATTGTGCATACTACAAGTATGTCAGAGCATTTCAATCTAGGTTTTAAAAAAAGGGATCTTTCTCTTCCATGCCCCCCAAACATGAACCTACTCATCTTATTTCATTAGAGCTAGCTTAAAGTGACAGAGTACCCAGTTGAATCGCATTTTGAAGCTAGCTCTATTCCACCCTTTGCATTAACCAAAATCCCAACTCTTATATTTTCCCTGGTATCGAGTCTGGCTCTATCTCCCCTTTATTATAATCCAATTAATTGGTCCCAGTAATGGAAGAGCCTCTAAAGATGTCTATGTCAGTTCTTACTTCATTGTTATAAATAATCAGGGAGTTCCATCATACCATTTATATGTATATACATAAATTATTTGATGTCCCACTGAGATTTTCCGCTCATTAAGGCCACAGACTGTGCCTGTTTAAGAGTCTAATCTAGAGCTATAACATATATATTTGGCCCCTAAAAACACTATTTAATGACAATTTTGTGGAACTGAAGAATTGAGAAGCACCTTAGTAAAAATCTGGAGTTATTACTTTAAAATAATGAGTTATTTCCTTTTATGCATAATAGATTGACTCTAGGAAGTTTAGACATTTAAGAATAATATCATTTTGGAAAGGAAACATCAGAAGCCTACTAAACTAGGAATTGGTGTAAGTAAAAATCAACCTCTCATAAAATTCCATAGTATCTGTACCTTTTATGGCAAATACTAATTTCTATGTAGTTGAAGGCATAGACATAAGATTCCTAAGGGCAGGATCCCTGTTGCAGTCATCTTGATAAATTCCTTATATTTACATAAACACTATATTCGTCCATTCTTCATGCTGCTGATAAAGACAACTCGAGACTGGGAAACTTACAAAAGAAAGAGTTGTAATTGGACTTACAGTTCCACATGACTGGGGAAGCCTCACAATCATGGTGAAAGGCAAGGAGGAGCAAGTCATGTCTTACGTGGATGCTGGCAGAGAGAGAGAGTGAGAACCAAGTGAACGGGGTTTCTCCTTATAAAACCATCAGATCTCGTAAGACTTATTCACTACCATGAGAACATTATGAGGAAAACCACCACCATGATTCAATTATCTCCCACCAGGTCCCTCCCACAACAATGGGAATTATGGGAGATACAATTAAAGATGAGATTTGGGTGGGGACAGAGCCAAACTATATCATTCTGCCCCTGGCCCTTCCCAAATCTCATGTCTTCACATTTCAAAACCAATCATGCCTTCCCAATAGTCCCCTAAAGTCTTAACTCATTTCAGCATTAACTTAAAAGTTCGCAATCCAAAGTCTCATGTGAGACAAGGCAAGTCCCTTCTGCCTATGAGCCTGTAAAATCAAAAGCAAGTTAGTTATTTCTTAGATACAATGGGGGTACAGGCATTGGGTAAATACAGCCATTCCAAATGGGAGAAATTGTCCAAAACAAAGGGGCTACAGGCCCCCTGCCAGCTCAAAATCCAAGCTCAAATCTTAAAGTTGCAAAGTGATCTCCTTTGACTCCATTTCACGCATACAGGTCACACTGATGCAAGAAATAGGTCCCCATGGTCTTGGGCAGCTCCACCCCTGTGGCTTTGCAAGGTACAACTTCGCTCCCAGCTGCTTTCATGGGCTGGTGTTTTGTCTGCAGCTTTTTCAGGTGCACAGTGCAAGCTGTTGGTGGATCTATCATTCTGGGGTCTGGAGTATGGTGGCCCTCTTCTCACAGCTCCACTGTGCCCCAGTAGGAACTCTGTGTGGAGGCTCTGTCCCAACATTTCCCTTCTCCACTGCCCTAGCAGAGTTTCTCCATGAGAGCCCCACCCCTGAAGCAAACTTTTGCCTGGACATTCAGGCATTTTCATACACCCTCTGAAACCTAGGCGGAGGTTCCCAAACCCCAATTCTTGGCTTCTGTGTACCAGCAGGCTCAACACCACTTGGAAGCTGCCAAGGCTCACACCCTCTGAAACCACAGCCCAAGCTCTACATTTTCCCCTTTCAGCCATGGCTGGAGCAGCTGGGACGCAGGGCACCATGTCCCTAGGCTGCACACAGCACAAGGATCCTGGGACCTGCCCATGAAACCATGTTTTCCTCCTAGGCCTCTGGGCCTATGATGGGAGGGGCTGCCACAAAGTTCTCTGGCATGCCCTGGAGATATTTTCCCCATTGTCTTGGGGATTAACATTCAGCTCCTTGTTGCTTATGCAAATTTCGGCAGCCAGCTTGAATTTCTCCTCAGAAAATGGGATTTGTTTTCTATCTCATCGTCAGGCTGCAAATTTTCTGAACTTTTATGCTCTGCTTCTCTTATAAAACTGAATGCCTTTAATGGCACCCAAGTTACCTCTTGAATGATTTGCTACTTAGAAATGTCTTTCACCAGATACCCTAAATCATCTCTCTCAAATTGAAAATTCCATAAATCTGTAGGGCAGGGCAAAATGCCGCCAATCTCTTTGCTAAAACATAACAACAGTCACCTTTGCTCCAGCTCCCAACAAGTTCCTTATCTCCAACTGAGACCACCTCAGACCAGATTTCATTGTCCATATCATTATCAGCATTTTGATCAAAGCCATTCAACAAGTCTGTAGGAAGTTTCAAACTTTCCCACATTTTCCTGTCTTCTTCTGAGCCCTCCAAATTTTTCCTACCTTGGCCTGTTACCCAGTTCCAAAGTCACTTCCACATTTTCTGGTATCTTTTCAGCAGCACCTCACTCTTGGTACCAATTTACTGTATCAGTTCATTTTCACACCGCTGATAAAGACATACCCAATACTGGGAAATTTACAAAAGAGGTTTAACTGGACTTAACAGTTCCATGTTGGCTGGGGAAGCCTCACAATCATGGCAAAAGGCAAGGAGGAGCAAATCAGGTCTTACATGATGGCAGCAGGCAAAGAGAGAGTGAGAGCCAAGTGAAAGGGGTTTCTTCTTAGAAAACCATCAGATCTTGTGAGACTTATTCACTACCATGAGACCAGTATGAGGGAAACCACCACCATGATTCAATTATCTCCCATCAGGTGCCTCCCACAACAATGGGAATTATGGGAGATACATTCAAGATGAGATTTGGGAGGGGACACAGCCAAATTATATCAAACACCATATCTTGCACAAAAGTATCTAGTGAACTTTTACTAAATTAATGAAATGGGAAGGGGCTGTGGAGCCATAATTAAATGGGTGCTGGTGGAACTGGCTTTAATAATATATGATCTTTGTAGTTGGTTTGGGCCCTCTTTCTACAGGTCAGGGCTATGTAGTAAAGGTCAGGACTTCTTTCCTACACTCTCCTATTCTCTTCATCCCCTCCCTGAGCTATGTCTGAAGGACCGATTCCTATTTTTTAAATTTTATAAATATTATTTTCAACTTTTTAACTAATAAGGGCATATCACATAGAACTAATCCTTACTTTGGACTTTTGTTCCCTTTTCTTTATCTCTCGTCTTTCACCTTTCCTTTCTCCCTAACCCCATCTCTCTTTCCACTCCCATCTCTTCGTCTTTTTTAAAAAAACCTTTATTTTAGGTTCAAGGGTACATGTGTAGGTTGGTTATATAGGTAAACTCATGTCACGGGGGATTTTTGTACAGATGATTTCATCACCCAGGAACTAAGCCTAGTACTCAATAGCTTTTTTGTTCTGATCCTCTCTCTCCTCCCACTTCCACCCGCAAGTAGGCCCTAGTGTCTATTGTTCCCCTCTTTGTGTCCATGTGTTCGAATCATTTAGTTCCCACTTATAAGTGAGAACATGCAGTATTTGGTTGTTTGTTCCTGCATTAATTTGCTAAGGATAATGGCCTGTAGCTCCATCCATGTTCCAGCAAAGACATGATTTTATTCTTTTTAATGGCTGCAGAGTATTCCATGGTGTATATGTAGTATATTTTCTTTATCTAATCTGCCACTGATGAGCATTTAGGTTGATTCCATGTCTTTGTTACTGTGAATAGTGCTGCAATGAACATACACATGCATGTGTCTTTATGGTAGAATGATTTATATTCCTTTGATAAAACTTGTAATGTGATTGCTGGACAAATGCTGCTTTTAGCTTTTTAAGGAATCACCACAGTGCTTTCCACAATGGTTAAACTAATATACGCTCTCACCTGCAGCGTGCAAGTGTTCACTTTTCTCCACCACCATGCCAGCATCTGTTGTTTTTAGACTTTTTAATAATAGCCATTCTAACTGGTGTGAGATGGTATCCCACTGAAGTTTTCATTTACATTTCTCTAGTGATAAGTGATATTGAGCTTTGTTCATATGCTTGTTGGCTGCATATATGACTTCTTTTGAAAAGTGTCTGTTCATGTCCTTTATCCACTTTTTAATAGTTTTCTTTTATCGTAAATTTAAGTTTCTTATAAGTGTCTTTGTCAGACATATAGTTTGCAGATATTTTCTCTGTTACTATGTTGATAGTTTGTTTTGCTCTGCAGATGCTCTTAAGTTTAATTAGATCTCATTTGTCAATTTTTGCTTTTGTAGCGACTGCTTTTGGCATGCTCATCCTGAAACCTTTGGCCATGCCTGTGTCCAGAATGGTATTGCCTAGGTTGTCTTCTAGGGTTTTTATAGTCTGGGGTTTTACATTAAGTCTTTAATCCATCTTGAGTTGATTTTTGTATTTGGTATAAGGAAGAGGTCATTTTAATCTTCTGCATATGGCTAGCCACTTATACCAGCACCATTTATTAAATAGGGAGTCTTTTCCTCATTGCTTGTTTTTTTTCAGCTTTCTCAAAGATCAGATGGTTGTAGATGTGCAGCCTTATCTGGGGACTCTCTATTCTGTTCCATTGGTCTACATGTCTGTTTTCATACCAGTACCATGCTGTTTTGGTTACTGTAGCCCAATGGTACAGTTTGAGGTCGGTAATGTGATGCCTACAGCTTTATTCTTTTTGGTTAGATTTGCCTTGGCTATTTGGGCTCTTTTTAGATTCCATATGAATTTTAAAATAGTTTTTTTCTAGTTCTGTGAAGAAGTCATTGGTAGTTTGATAGGAATAGTACAGAATCTATAAATTGCTCTGGGCAGTGTGGCCATTTTAATGATATTGATTCTCCCTATCCATGAGCATGGAATATTTTTCTGTTTGCTTCTGTCATCTCTGATTTCCTTGAGCAATTCTTTATAGTTCTCCTTGTAGAAATCTTTCACCTCCCCAGTTATCTATGTTCCTAGGTATTTTATTCTTTCTGAGGCAATTGGAAATGAGATTGTGTTCCTGATTTAGCTCTCAGCTTGGCTGTTATTGGTGTACAGGAATACTAGTGATTTTTCATATGTTGATTTTGTTTCCTGAATCTTTGCTGAAGTTGTTTATCAGCTGAAGGAGCTTTTAGGCTCTAGATATAGAATCATGTTTTCTGCAAACAGCAATAGTTTTACTTCCTCTCTTTTTATATGGATGCCCTTTATTGCTTCCTCTTGACTGATTGATCTGGCCAGGACTTCCAAAACTATGTTAAATATGAGTGGTGAGGGAGGACATCCTTGTCTTGTGTCAGTCTTCAGGGGGAATGCTTCCAGCTTTTGCCCATTCAGTATGGTGTTGGCTTTGGGTTTGTCATATGTGGATCTTATTATTTTGAGGTATGTTCTTTCAATACCTAGTTTATTGAGAGTTTTTAACATGAAGAGATGTTGAATTTTATCAAAAGCCTTTTCTGTATCTATTGAGATAATCATGTAGTTTTTGTCTTTAGTTCTGTTTATGTGATGAATCATATTTATTGAATTGTGTGTGTTGAACTAACCTTGCTTCTCAAGGATAAAGCCTATTTGATTGTGGTAGATTAGCTTTATGATGTACTGCCGAGTCCAGTTTGCAAGTATTTTGTTGAGGATCACTGCATCAATGTTCATCAAGAATATTGGCCTGAAGTTTTCTTTTTTGTTGTACTCTGCCAGGTTTTGGTATCAGGATGATGCTGGCCTCATAGAATGAGTCAGGGAGGGGTTCTTCCTCCTCAATTTTTTGGAAAAGTTACAGTAGGAATGGTACCAGCTCTTCTTTGTACATCTGGTAGAATTTGGCTGTGAATCCAACTGGTCCTGGGATTTTTTTGTTGGTAGACTATTTATTACTGATTCAATTTCAGAGCTTGCTATTGGTCTGTTCAGGAAATCAATTGCTTCCTAGTTCAGTGTTGGGAGGGTGTTTTTGTCCAGAAATTTATCCATTCCTTCTAGGTGTTCTAGTTCATGTGCGTAGAGGTGTTCATAGTAGTCTCTGATGGTTGCTTGTGCTTCTGTGGGGTCAGTGGTAACATCCCGTTATCATTTCAAATCATATTTATTTGGATCTTCTCTCTTTTCTTTATTAGTCTAGCTATTCGTCTATCTTATTAATGTTTTCAAAAAACAAATTCCTGGATTTGTTGATATTTTGAGTGGTTTTTGTGTCAGAATCTCCTTCAGGTCAGCCCTGATTTTGTTTATTTCTTGTCCTATGCTAGCTGTGGGGCTGTTTTGCTCTTGCCTCTGTAATTCTGCTAGTTGTGATGTTTGACTATTAATTTGAGATCTTTCTAACTTTTTGATGTGGACATTTAGTGCTTTAAATTTCCCTCTGAACACTGCCTTAGCTGTGTCCCAGAGATTCTGATATGTTATACCTTCGTTCTCATTAGTTTCAAAGAACTTCTTGATTTTTTCTTTAATTTCATCATTTACCCAAAAGTCATTCAGGAGCAGGTTTTTAAATTTCAATGTAATTGCGTGGTTTGAAGCTTTTGCTATTTTTCTTACACTGTGGTCCAAGAGTGTGTTTGACATGATTTCAGTTCTTTTGCATTTGCTGAGGATTGTTTTATGTCCAATCGTACGGTTGATTTTAGAGTATGTGCTATGTGGTGATGAGAAAAAGGTATATTCTGTCGCTTTGGGGTGGAGAGTTCTATAGAGGTCTATCAGATGCATTTTGCCCAATATTGAGGTCCTGAATATCTTTGTTAATTTTCTGCCCGATGATCTTTTTAATACTGTCAGTGGTGTGTTGAAGTCTCCTACTATTATTGTGTGGGAGTCTAAGTCTCTTTGTAGATCTCTAAGAACTTGCTTTATGAATCTGGGTGCTCCTGTGTTGGGTGCATATATATTTAAGAGAGTTAGGTCTTATGTAATGCCCTTGCCTTTTTTGATCTTTGTTGGCTTAAAGTCTGTTTTGTCTGAAGTTAAAATTGAAACTCTTGCTTTTTCTGATTTCTATTTGCTTGGTAGATTTTCCTCCATCCCTTTATTTTGGGCCTATGGGTGTCACTGCATGTGAGATGGGTTTTTTGAAGACAGCATACCATTGGGTCTTGCTTTTTTATCCAGCTTGCCACTCTGTGCCTTTTAATTGGGGCATTTAGTTCGTTTACATTCAAGGTTAGTATTGATATCTGTGGATTTGATCCTGTTATTGTGCTGTTAGCTGGTTATTATGTTGGCTTGTGTGTGTGGTTGCTTTATAGTGTCACTGGTCTGTGTATTTAAGTGTGTTTTTATATTGGCTGGCAATGGTCTTTCCTTTCCATATTTAGTGCCCCTTTCAAGATCTCTTGTAAGGTGGGTCTGGTGGTAATGAATTCCCTCAGCATTTGCCTATCTGAAAAGAATCTTATTTCTCCTTTGCTGAGGAAGTATAGTTTGTCTGGATATGAAATTCTTTGTTGAAGAGTTTTTTCTTTAAGAATATTGAGTATAGCCTCGCAATCTCTTCTTGCTTGCAGGAATTCTGCTGAAAGGTCCACTGTTAGCCTGAAGGGGTTCGCTTTGTAGATGACCTACCCTTTCTCTTTAGCTGCCTTTAACATTCTTTCTTTCATTTCAACCTTGGAAAATCTGACAATTATGTGTCTTGGGCATGATCTTCTTGTGTAGAATCTTGCAGGGGTTCTCTGTATTTCCTGATTTTGACTGTTGGCCTCTCTAGCAAGGTTGGTGATGTTTTCATGGACAATATCCTGAAATATGGTTTCCAAGTTGTTTGCTTTCTTCCTGTCCCTTTCATGGATGCCAATGTAATTTGGCATTTGTCAATTTGGCCTCTTTACATAATCCCATATTTCTCAGAGATTTTGTTCATTCCTTTTCTTTCTTTTTTCTTTACTTTTTCTGACTATCTTATTTCAGAGAACCAGTCTTCAAGTTCCAATATTCTTTCCTTGGCTTGGTCTATTCTGCTGTTAATACTTGTGATGGCATTGTGAAATTCTTATAGTGTGTTTTTTAGCTCTATCAGATTAGTTAGGATCTTTTTTATACTGGCTATTTGTCTGTCACCTCCTGTAACTTTTCTTTTCTTTTCTTATTTTTTGGGGTTTTTTTTTTTTTGAGACAGAGTACTTGTTCCATCGCCCAGGCTGGAGTGCAGTGGCATGATCTTGGTGCGCTGCAACCTCGGCCTCCAGGGTTCATGCAATTCTCCTGCCTCAGCCTCCCAAGTAGCTGGGATTATAGGTGTGTGCCACCACACTTGGCTACTTTTTGTATTTTTAGTAGAGATGGGGTTTCTCCGTTTTGGCCAGGCTGATCTTGAACTCCTGACCTCAGGTGATCCACTCGTCTTGGCCTCTCAAAGTTCTGGGATTACAGGCATGAACGGCCATGCCCAGCCTCCTATAACATTTTACTGTGATTCTTAATTTCCTTAGATTGAGTTTTGCCATTCTCCTGACTCTCAGTGATCTTTGTTCCTATCCATACTCTGAATTCTATTTCCATCATTTCAGCCAATTCAGCCTGCTTAAGAACTCTTGTTGGAGAACTACTGTAGTTACTTAGAGGACATAAGACATTCTAGCCATTTGAGTTGTCAGAGTTCTTGCATTGGTTCTTTCCTATCTCTCCATGTGGGTGTTCCTTTAACTGCTGAGCTGTCTCTGATTGAAGTGGTCAGGGAGGGGCAGGGTGGTTGTGCTCTAGTCCCAGGTCAGACAGCTCTACCCACTGAGGAGAATTGAGGACTCGGACCATTTTTCTAGGCAAGGTAAGCTCCCCTGGCTTCGTGTTGCTCTTGAGTAGGCAGGCATTGCTTTCCTCCATTCTCTGTGGGTTAAGTTGTTTTTTTGATGAATCCCAATGAGCGTACCTGGATGATTCAGTTTAAGGTGCTGAATTTACTTGCCCCTTCTATTTCTTTCCATGAGAGTAGAGCACACTGGTTACTTCTAGTCAACCATCTTGTCCAGCCTCCTCTCTCTTTCTATTTCTAAAACCGTTTCTACCACACTGATTCGATTTCTTTCTATAGAGATGAATCACAAAGAGATGAAAAAGAGATAAAATAGGTAGATACATACACGGAGTAGAATGGAATATACAACACAGTTACGGGTCCAGTTTGTGTATACTTTAATGTCCTTTTCATGGGATATTTATTTAGTAATTTTTAAAGAGAAGTTTGTTTTCATAACAGGCTTTCCAGTTGTGTGATTAAATGTAGTATAATATGACAAAAACAGTTATAGGATGTTCATGATATTCCTGGGTAACTGAAAAAATCTTAAACTTAATTTCTCCTTTACTTTCACAAACATTTATTAAATACCAACTATATGCCCAGCAACATGTAGAACAATGAGTATACAAAGCTTTGAAGATATGTTTTTCCTCAATAAGCTCCACAAAGTGGGAAGGTGAAGAAATGACAAAATCTCACCTCAAAAAGCCCAGGACAACACTAGCTCTTCAGTCAAATTTTCTAGGAACTGGAACGCTTTTACACTGTTTATGGGAGTGTAAATTACTTCAACCATTGTGGAAGACAGTATGGCAATTCCTTAAGGATCTAGAACTAGAAATACCATTTGACCCAGCAATCCCATTACTGGGTATATACCCAAAGAATTATAAATCATTCTACTATAAAGACACATGCACACGTATGTTTATTGCAGCACTGTTCACAATAGCAAAGACTTGGAACCAACCCAAATGCCCATCAGTGATAGACTGGATAAAGAAAATGTGGCACAAATACACCATGGAATACTATGCAGCCATAAAAAAGGATGAGTTCATGTCCTTTGCAGGGACATGGATGATGCTGGAAACCATCATTCTCAGCAAACTAACACAAGAACAGAAAACCAGACACCACATGTTCTCACTCATAAGTGGGAGTTGAACAATGAGAACACATGTACACGGGGGGGGGAACATTACATACTGGGGCCTGTCGGGGGGTGTGGGGCTAGGGGAGGGATAGCACTAGGAGAAATACCTAATGTAGATGACAGGTTGATGGGTGCAGCAAACCACCGTGACACGTGTATACCTATGTAACAAACCTGCATGTTCTGCACATGTATCCCAGAACTTAAAGTATAATAATAAAAATAATTATAGGAACCAACCTTGTTTTGTAGGAAAGTAATGCACAAACTTTTTATTCCAGCACTCCAGGGTGTGTGTGTGGTTGGTGGGCGGGGTGGGTGAGAGAGAGAGAGAGCGCCTCATTCACCTGGAAGACACTGCCTTCAAACAGCTCTCCGTGGAAGATGGTTTTTTGTGCACAGAGAGTCTACTCCCTGAAGAGGGCATGGAAATGAAATGATGTTGTAGCTGCTAATTCACTGGCTTTGGAAACCATGTAGATAAGTAAGGGGTAAGAACATAAGGAAAATAAGGCATATTCTCCTTAATATGGTAGGGCAGGGGTATTGAAATCCAAGTAAGATATTTCTCAGGAAGCAGTTCTGAATTCTACACACCACTTGAACCAGTACTTAAGACCTCAATTCCACACTAGAGAGTAAGCTAAGTTTAGGCCTCAAAAATATTTAGGCCCACACTAAGCCGAGTGTAGGAAAACTATTTGCCGTATATATAATACCTCTTTCTACAAAGAGCTCCTTCAAACTAAAAAGAGTCAAAATAATAAAAATTGAGTCAAAATTTCTGTATGAACAACTCATATAAAAGGGCATACAAATAGCTCTTTTAAAAGGTTAAAAATATTCATCTTCACTGACAATAAAATAAAAGCAAATTAAAATTAATCTGATTTATCATTTTTATCTATTGGATTGGAAAAGATCCAAATATTATACAGAATGTGAGGAAACATGCACTCTTGTACATTACTGATAGGAGTGTAAATTGACATAACCTCTTTGGAAGACAATTTGTCAATATCTCACAAAATTACAATGCACATAACATTTTATCCAGCAATTCACCTTCTGGAAATTTAACCTACAGAAATGTACAAGGTTACTGCTGCAAGATTATTGGTAAGATCAAAAAATGTCTGTATAATAGCACCATTATATGCTATATCCATACAATAGAACACTAAGAAGCATTAAAAAGCATAGGGGGACTGTTTAATCTACTGATTTGGGATGATTTTCAAGATATATTTTTATTAAATATAGTAGGTATTTGGTATGGTAGTAGGTAGTAGGTATGGGTTTGCGTAAATGTCATTTTTAGGGCAATGACATGTATATGTATCCACCATTACAGAGTAGTTACATTGCCCTAAAAATCCTGTGCTTCACTTACTCATCCCTCCCTCCCCCAATCCATGGTAACTACTAATTCTTTTATGTTTTAAAAAATGTTGTCATTTATCTTGATTCACACACTCATATTTCTCTGTTTCTCTGGGGGCAGGAACACTGACAGTGATGTCTGCTGTATCCTTCTCTCCATTCCCGGTATAATCTAAACAGGGGACCCAGAGCTCCTGTCCCTGAACTGAGAGTACTGTGCTCACTGTGTTTGCATCCCTTCTATTCAAACAAATGGACTATTAACTTGAAGCATGATATTTTCAGAAGTTAAATAAATCTATGGGAGAGCACTTAAAATTAACGTTCAGAATTATTGTCAGAGGACCAATTTTCCTCCAACAAAAGTTTATGCATCAACAGAACAATTCCAAGTCATGACAGAGCACGGAGCCAGTTTCTCATCCTTTCAAACTTTAGTGCTGACAATAATACTTAAATTTTATGTTTATATACACATGCCTACTGCCCAATTTGGCTGCTGTTTCCTAAAAAGCTGGTAAATGTATGCTGACCAGTGTCTTCAGGCATGGACAGAAAAGAAGAGAAACTTCGGCAGATAGAAGCTGTAGCACCCAGAGAAAAAATTAACATTCATAAATTATTTTTGACATATACTTTTATGATTAAACCAAATATATAAGGGAGGGGGGAGGACATTTTGTGGATGAATCTTTTGCTATAGCAAGTACATCTTGCCTTCTTAAGAATAGGTGTTAGCCTCACTCATAGGTGGGAATTGAACAATGAAATCACTTGGACACAGGGCGGGGAACATCACACCCCGGGGCCCGTGGGGAGGTGGGGGACTGCGGGAGGGATACCATTAGGAGAAATACCTAATGTAAATGATGAGTTGATGGGTGCAGCAAACCAACATGGCACATGTATACCTATGTATCAAACCTGCAGGTTGTGCACATGCACCCTAGGACTTAAAGTATAATAATAAAAAAAAAGAACAGGTGTTAGCTCAAAAGCCTCAAGTTTTGTGCTTCAATTTTAGCATGGGGTTTACTTAACTCTCACTGTCTTTGGAAGTTCTTCCCTTAGCAGAAAATGTTTCAAGCTAACTTGACTGCCTTCTCTTGGTTGAATCTTTTCTTTACAACGGGAAGGCAGTAGAAAAGATTTGGGAAGGCTTTAACCAAATAATCAAAACTACCTCCCTCTCCTTTCAATCAACTTTTGGTCTCGACTTTAGTTACTGCCAGAGGGTAAATGAGGGACAAATGAAGGAAATGCTCAACTGTTTTCTCTCTGCTTGAACTCATCCCTTAGGAGAGGCTGGCTCATGCCCTCTAGACCTCGGCAGGCAGGATTGTGCCTTCCTTCCCCACAATTCTCTGCAGGAATTTGTACATTCCCTGAGAGTTGAATAAGTGCTTTTAAACAGGCAGTGTGATGGTTGAAGCTTGGAGTGAAGCCCATTACAAGCTGAAAAGAATTCCCAGCTGCATTTCACTAGTCCCTGATCCCAGCTGCAGCAATGCACAGGGCACTCTATTTCTTAAGCCCTGTACGTATATGTACATATTCACATCAATACGTATGAATGCACGACTTTGACACAGTTGGGAAGCCCTGAGTCTTAGAGATGAATTAATTTTCTTTGTAAGACAGGCCTGAATACCTATAGGTACAGCATAAATACATTATACTTCTCTGTCTGTTAAATTGTAAAGACTCTCAGTATGATTTCAAACATTTGGGGTATTAAAAGAAATCACAAGCACAGGTCTCCATGTCAAAGCAGATAAGGGCATGGAAACAAAAAAATAATTTTAGGTAAGTCAAAGAGTATCAGCATACATTAAGAAAAAAAGCTATGAGGTTTAAAGTAGATTCATGATTAGTGTATTAAGGGACTTCTCTCTGGTCTAGGATAGCATGGAGGAAGTGTGAATTTCTTCCTTACTGGGGAAAATTATTCTGATAAATACATGCTGAATTTCCCCTTAAGATTATACTTAAGCAAGGCAGAGCTACTTATACAGAAATGAAAAGGAGAAATTGGAAGTGAGTTATAGAAATAAGGCAATATTCTTCTAAAGAAATAGGAAAATTAAAACTTTGGGTATCCATCATTTTTCACTGAATTAACAGCCAATAAAGCTAAGGAGCCTAATCTAAAGACAAAGTGAGAGTTAAAGGAACATGATTTCCAAATTTCTTAGACAGCGTTTAACTGATAACCAATGAAGCCCATCATTTACCACTTTGGTTACAAAGCATAATCAGTCAAAATAAAAGTATCTGACCCTACATCCCCCATCATCATTCAAACATGATGGCATTTGTCTCCTGACCTATATTACTCATCATTTGGCACTACCGGTAACCCATGAGGGTTTCTTAAGTGCCTGATCTAATGACCTCCAATTTCTTTACCAGCTTTGAATGCCAATTTTCCCCAAACCCTAGGCTGAATTTTGCTTCCTTTGCTTTACTGGTTTACCCAAAGTCATCACTCTCTGTCAATTTAGGAGCTTTTGAAACATTGTCCTCCATGGGATCATTCATATCCTCATAGAAAATCTTAATATATGAAAGGGGTCTTAATGCTAAAAGAGCAAACAACAAATTCCTCAACAAATATCAGGTAAAAAACTTAACAAAAGCTAAAATGACCACATGTCTAAATGTCCTCAAAAAACCTGAACAGGATGGAGGGGGCAGAAAGCAGTTTAGGAAAGGCAATGCTGTGCCTAGAAAGACGGATGACATTTCAGCCCTAATTGTCCGTAATTTTCTCTACATTCATTATGCTCATTCACAAGCCTAGTATTATTTTGGTATCATTATTCTGAAGATAGCCTTGTTTTTTAAAATACAAGAAAGGGATTAAAAAAAAACTCATCCTAAGCCTGTCAGGCAAACTGTTCTCAGAGGAGAAGAGTGGTTGACTCTATGTCAACAGAACAATTCATTACATGCGATTTCTCCAGAGCTAGAAAACCAATGTCCAAAGTGTGACTTTTAGTCCCTTTGTCCTCACTATTGACAGAGGGGTCAAATTTGTGGTTTGATTGCTGAGTTTGTGTTGGGTCAAAACTCCTTGGAAGCAGCATTTTTATGATGAGAGCTAAACACGCAGCTTTAGAGTTTTGCTCAAGGTCAAAGGGGGCACCTCCATGCAACAAGCTTCCTGTGAAAGCCCAGGGCACCAGCAGAATCAAAGCTATCTGCTAAGGCATATCAGGCAGTCAAAAGCACCCAGGAAGCACTGTTTGTAGACAATTTAGGGAATTAAAATGAAATAGAAGATATGGTCCCTTCCTTTTAAGAGTGTGAAATCTAATGGGGGGAATACAATACACAGGCAAGAGAACGGGACAGTTACAAATGAAAATAGATAGAAACATTTACAGGATAGCAGTAGAAACATGCAAAGATGTTCACTGCTAATTGGACATGTACAGAGATATATACTGTTGTGCTAAAGCCACCTGGGAGTTGCTGAAGAACAGTCTGCGAAGATGTGACCTTCATAGTGTGAAAAGTATGATTTTTAGAAGGATATTGAAGCCTCAGGTCAGATTTCCCCAGCTGTGCATCCCCCCATTCTCTACCTGGTGTAGAGAATGACTGAACCCAAGGCCAGAGAATGTAATAGGCGAGGAGGCAGATACTTGGGATAGAGGGGATGGAAAAGGGATTAAAAGAAGATGAAGGAGATACTCCATGGAGAATCTGTCAGCAATTGATATGGTGAACATGTGCAGCTCCTCAAAAGGCTAGAAATGTGTCACCATCCCTACAGACAAGCCAGAGGAAAAAGTGTCAGCCAGACTAGAAGCACCCATCACAATGTGGATTCTGTCCACAGTAGGTTATATTATCTGAATGTCAATAAGTAATGGAATAATCTTAGGAATTCTTTGTAACATTTGCCTGGCTGAGGGAGGAGATAAACTGTTATACACCCTCCCACGCCCTGTCCCTGGTCTATAGATATGCCATTTCTACCAGAATGGAAGGTGGAGGCATCAAAGTAAGCCATGGTGGATCAACCAATCCGCTGTCTTGTAAAGACCATCTGACTATCCCACCTGCATCACTTCTTGGTATGAGGCATAAGGCCCAGATTACAGAGATGCAGACAGTTATAAGTGTTAGGTACTTGGTGGAGAGAGGAGTTGACCTGGATATGGCATGCTCACAGAGCACAGGGAGCATGACTTAACAAATCTACCTTTGGTTACATTTCCTGAGGTGTTGTCCAAAGACCTTTCTGTACAGTTTGAACCATAAACTGGATTTTGGTGAACAAACATGGTAGGTTATGATAAAAGCATGCTATTTTTATTTGCTTTGAAATTGCATCCTAAACATGATACTTCAACCAGGGTACAATCTCCCAGGTTTAAACTGCAAAGGACAAGGAAAAGGGCCTACAATTCCTGAGGCTGTAGGTCTCCCTCTTCTTGAGGCTTCACTGTGAAGTAACATTGTTTGTCCTAAATCTAAAAGAAAAAAAAAAGGAGGGAGGAGCCAAGATGGCTGAATAGGAACAACTCCGGTCTACAGCTCCCAGTGTGAGCGACGCAGAAGATGGGTGATTTCTGCATTTCCATCTGAGCTTTGAAGGGAGCAGTGGTTCTCCCAGCACGCAGCTGGAGATCTGAGAACGGGCAGACTGCCTCCTCAAGTGGGTCCCTGACCGCTGACCCCCGAACAGCCTAACTGGGAGGCACCCCCCAGTGGGGGCAGACTGATGTCTCACATGGCCGGGTACTCCTCTGAGACAAAACTTCCAGAGGAACAATCAGACAGCAGCATTCGCGGTTCATGAAAAACCGCTGTTCTGCAGACACCGCTGCTGATACCCAGGCAAACAGGGTCTGGAGTGGACCTCTAGCAAACTCCAACAGACCTGCAGCTGAGGGTCCTGTCTGTTAGAAGGAAAACTAACAAACAGAAAGGACATCCACACCAAAAGCCCATCTGTACATCACCATCATCAAACACCAAAAGTAGATAAAACCACAAAGATGGGGAAAAAACAGAACAGAAAAACTGGAAACTCTAAAAAGCAGAGCGCCTCTCCTCCTCCAAAGGAACGCAGTTCCTCACCAGCAACGGAACAAAGCTGGATGGAGAATGACTTTGATGAGCTGAGAGAAGAAGGCTTCAGATGATCAAACTACTCCGAGCTATAGGAGGAAATTCAAACCAAAGGCAAAGAAGTTGAAAACTTTGAAAAAAATTTAGAAGAATGTATAACTAGAATAACCAAGACAGAGAAGTGCTTAAAGGAGCTGATGGAGCTGAAAGCCAAGGCTTGAGAAATACGTGAAGAATGCAGAAGCCTCAGGAGCTGATTCGATCAACTGGAAGAAAGGGTATCAGCAATGGAAGATGAAATGAATGAAATGAAGCGAGAAGCGAAGTTTAGAGAAAAAGGAATAAAAAGAAATGAACAAAGCCTCCAGGAAATATGGGACTATGTGAAAAGACCAAATCTACGTCTGATTGGTGTACCTGAAAGTGACGGGGAGAATGGAACCAAGTTGGAAAACGCTCTGCAGGATATTAGCCAGGAGAACTTCCCCAATCTAGCAAGGCAGGCCAACGTTCAGATTCAGGAAATACAGAGAACGCCACAAAGATACTCCTCAAGAAGAGCAAATCCAAGACACATAATTGTCAGATTCACCAAAGTTGAAATGAAGGAAAAAATGTTAAGGGGAGCCAGAGAGAAAGGTCGGGTTACCCACAAAGGGAAGCCCATCAGACTAACAGCGGATCTCTCGGCAGAAACTCTACAAGCTAGAAGAGAGTGGGGGCCAATATTCAACATTCTTAAAGAATTTTCAACCCAGAATTTCATATCCAGCCAAACTAAGCTTCATAACTGAAGGAGAAATAAAATACTTTACAGACAAGCAAATGCTCAGAGATTTTGTCACCACCAGGCCTGCCCTAAAAGAGCTCCTGAAGGAAGCACTCAATATGGAAAGGAACAACCGGTAACAGCCGCTGCAAAATCATGTCAAAATGTAAAGACCATCGAGACTAGGAAGAAACTGCATCAACTAATGAGCAAAATAACCAGCTAATATCAAAATGACAGGATCCAATTCACACATAACAATATTAACTTTAAATGTAAATGGACTAAATGCTCCAATTAAAAGACACAGACTGGAAAATTGGATAAAGAGTCAAGACCCATCAGTGTGCTGTATTCAGGAAACTCATCTCACATGCAGAGACACACATAGGCTCAAAATAAAAGGATGGAGGAAGATCTACCAAGCAAATGGAAAAGAAAAAAAGGCAGGGGTTGCAATCCTAGTCTCTGATAAAACAGACTTTAAACCAACAAAGATCAAAAGAGACAAAGAAGGCCATTACATAATGGTAAAGGGATCAATTCAACAAGAAGAGCTAACTATCCTAAATATATATGCACCCAATACAGGAGCACCCAGATTCATAAAGCAAGTCCTGAGTGACCTACAAAGAGACTTAGACTCCCACACATTAATAATGGGAGACTTTAACACCCCACTGTCAACATTAGACAGATCAACGAGACAGAAAGTTAACAAGGATACCCAGGGATTGAACTCAGCTCCGCACCATGCAGACCTAATAGACATCTACAGAACTCTCCACCCCAAATCAACAGAATATACATTTTTTTCAGCACCACACCACACCTATTCCAAAATTGACCATACAGTTGGAAGTAAAGCTCTCCTCAGCAAATGTAAAAGAACAGAAATTATAACAAACTATCTCTCAGACCACTATGCAATCAAACTAGAACTCAGGATTAAGAAACTCACCCAAAACCACTCAACTACATGGAAACTGAACAACCTGCTCCTGAATGACTACTGGGTACATAACGAAATGAAGGCAGAGATAAAGATGTTCTTTGAAACCAATGAGAAGAAAGACACAACATACCAGAATCTCTGGGATACATTCAAAGCAGTGTGTAGAGGGAAATTTATAACACTAAATGCCCACAAGAGAAAGCAGGAAAGATCCAAAATTGACACCCTAACACCACAATTAAAAGAACTAGAAAAGCAAGAGCAAACACATTCAAAAGCTAGCAGAAGGCAAGAAATAACTAACATCAGAGCAGAACTGAAGAAAATAGAGACACAAAAAACCCTTCAAAAAATTAATGAATCCAGGAGCTGGTTTTTTGAAAGGATCAACAAAATTGACAGACTGCTAGCAAGACTAATAAAGAAAAAAAGAGAGAAGAATCAAATAGATGCAATAAAAAATGATAAAGGGGATATCACCACCGATCCCACAGAAATACAAACTACCATCAGAGAATACTATAAACACCTCTATGCAAATAAACTAGAAAATCTAGAAGAAATGGATAAATTCCTGGACACATACACTCTCCCAAGACTAAACAAGGAAGAAGTTGAATCTCTGAATAGACCAATAACAGGAGCTGAAATTGTGGCAATAATCAATAGCTTACCAACCAAAAAGAGTCCAGGACCAGATGGATTCACAGCTGAATTCTACCAGAGGTACAAGGAGGAACTGGTACCATTCCTTCTGAAACTATTCCAATCAATAGAAAAAGAGGGAATCCTCCCTAACTCATTTTATGAGGCCAGCATCATCCTGATACCAAAGCTGGGCAGAGACACAACCAAAAAAGAGAATTTTAGACCAATAACCTTGATGAACATTGATGCAAAAAATCCTCAATAAAATACTGGCAAACTGAATCCAGCAGCACATCAAAAAGCTAAAAACTCTCAATAAATTAGGTATTGATGGGACGTATCTCAAAATAATAAGAGCTATCTATGACAAACCCACAGCCAATATCATACTGAATGGGCAAAAACTGGAAGCATTCCCTTTGAAAACTGGCACAAGACAGGGATGCCCTCTCTCACCCCTCCTATTCAACATAGTGTTGGAAGTTCTGGCCAGGGCAATCAGGCAGGAGAAGGAAATAAAGGGTATTCAATTAGGAAAAGAGGAAGTCAAATTGTCCCTGTTCGCAGACGATATGACTGTATATCTAGAAAACCCCATCGTCTCAGCCCAAAATCTCCTTAAGCTGATAAGCAACTTCAGCAAAGTCTCAGGATACAAAATCAATGTACAAAAATCACAAGCATTCTTATACACCAACAACAGACAAACAGAGAGCCAAATCATGAGTGAACTCCCATTCACAATTGCTTCAAAGAGAATAAAATACCTAGGAATCCACCTTACAAGGGACGTGAAGGACCTCTTCAATGAGAACTACAAACCACTGCTCAAGGAAATAAAAGAGGATAAAAACAAATGGAAGAAGATTCCATGCTCATGGGTAGGAAGAATCAATATCGTGAAAATGGCCATATGCCCAAGGTAATTTATAGATTCAATGCCATCCCCATCAAGCTACCAATGACTTTCTTCACAGAATTGGAAAACACTACTTTAAAGTTCATATGGAACCAAAAAAGAGCCCGCATTGCCAAGTCAATCCTAAGCCAAAAGAACAAAGCTGGAGGCATCACACTACCTGACTTCAAACTATACTACAAGGCTACAGTAACCAAAACAGCATGGGACTGGTACCAAAACAGAGATATAGATCAATGGAACAGAACAGAGCCCTCAGAAATAATGCCGCATATCTACAACTATCTGATCTTTGCCAAACCTGAGAAAAACAAGCAATGGGGAAAGGATTCCCTATTTAATAAATGGTGCTGGGAAAACTGGCTAGCCATATGTAGAAAGCTGAAACTGGATCCCTTCCTTAAACCTTATACAAAAATCAATTCAAGATGGATTAAAGACCTAAACGTTAGACCTAAAACCATAAAAACCCTAGAAGAAAACCTAGGCATTACCATTCAGGACATAGACATGGGCAAGGACTTCATGTCTAAAACACCAAAAGCAATGGAAACAAAAGTCAAAATTGACAAATGGGATCTAATTAAACTAAAGAGCTTCTGCACAGCAAAAGAAACTACCATCAGAGTGAACAGGCAACCTACAAAATGGGAGAAAATTTTTGCAACCTACTTATCTGACAAAGGGCTAATATCCAGAATCTACAATGAACTCAAACAAATTTACAAGAAAAAAACAAACAACCCCATCAAAAAGTGGGTGAAGGACATGAACAGACACTTCTCAAAAGAAGCATTTATGCAGCCAAAAAACACATGAAAAAATGCTCACCATCACTGGCCATCAGAGAAATGCAAATCAAAACCACAGTGAGATACCATCTCACACCAGTTAGAATGGCAGTCATTAAAAAGTCAGGAAGCAGCAGGTGCTGGAGAGGATGTGGAGAAATGGGAACACTTTTACACTGTTGGTGGGACTGTAAACTAGTTCAACCGTTGTGGAAGTCAGTGTGGCGATTCCCCCAGGGATCTGGAACTAGAGGTACCATTTGACCTAGACATCCCATTACTGGGTATAAATCATGCTGCTATAAAGACACATGCACACGTATGTCTGTTGCGGCACTGTTCACAATAGCAAAGACTGGGAACCAACCCAAATGTCCAACAATGATAGACTGGATTAAGAAAGTGTGGCACATGTATACCATGGAATACTATGCAGCCATAAAAAATGATGAGTTCATGTCCTTTGTAGGGACATGGATGAAATTGGAAATCATCATTCTCAGTAAACTATCGCAAGAACAAAAAACCAAACACTGCATATTCTCACTCATAGGTGGGAACTGAACAACGAGAACACATGGACACAGGAAGGGGAACATCACACTCTGGGGACTGCTGTGGGGTGGGGGGAGGGGGAGGGATAGCATTGGGAGATATACCTAATGCTAGATGATGAGTTAGTGGGTGCAGTGCACCAGCATGGCACATGTATACATATGTAACTAACCTGCACATTGTGCACATGTACCCTAAAACTTAAAGTATAATAATAAAAAAAAGAAAAAGTATAAAGTATCCCATGAACCCACTCCAACAAGTTTCCATACAAATTCTACCTGACAAAACTTCACCCATGTCTGGGCACGGTGGCTCATGCCTGTAATCTCAGCACTTTGGGAGGCCAAGGCAGGTGGATCACCAGTCAGGAGTTTGAGACCAGCCTGGCCAACATGGTGAAAACCCATCTCTGCTAAAAATACAAAAAATTAGCCAGGCGTGGTGGTGAGCACCTGTAAATCCAGCTACTCAGGGGGCTGAGGCAGGAGAATCACTTGAACCTGGAGGGTAGAGGTTGGAGTGAGCCGAGATTGCGCCATTACACTACAGCCCAGGCAACAAGAGCAAAACTCCGTCTCAAAAAAAAAAAAAGAGGAAGAAAAACACAACTTCACTGGTTTACACTAAAGATTCCTGATTATGTCAAAAAGTATATATTAAATAGTTCCTAAAAGTATAATCCAGTTTATCTTCAAATAAATACCCCCAAGAGACCTCAGAGACAGAGTTCTTCTCCCGTTGCCTTTTTATACAAAATCAATTATTTTAAACTACATAGACAAAATTAACACCAAATATCATCAGAAAAAAAGTATGCTGAAAGGAGAATTAATGATACACCCCTGAAAAGATGCATCTATCAATATTTCTCTTTAAGTTATTACTTTAAAAATTATTTGTTTCCTTTCATGATGTTTGCATTTCAGAAAGCAACTTTTAATTAGTAATCTTTTCTTAATTAGGGTTAATTATGGGAAAAAGAATTTGTTCTAACAAAGAATATTTTGCAACTTGTGCTTTTGCAAAAATGAACACTACAAGTGACATCAGGAATAGTGAATTGCAAAACAGCAGTGGCAGAAAACCTGGAGATCTTTCATGAAAGGGTTAGAATTATGACAAGCTTCCATCCTTATAACTAGCAGCCTTCAACCCACTGTGTGGGTGACAGCCTTGAGATCAAGTCGGGGCCCACATCATTATGTGGAGAACCTCATCTGCAGAGCAGGTGTCAGGAAATAGCCCAGAATCCATATAATTTTCTTCACAATTAAAATTCTTGCTAACAGTTTATAAGTGGATTCATAAAAGGTTAATTCTGCAGAGAGCAGGAGGGAAATAACTATTAAAAACAGGACAATCACAATTCACCACAGGAACATTTGCCAACATAAAATTTGGGCCCAAGGTACTAATATTGAGCTGTGGATTAGAGCCTTTAGTGTGACTACGGCCATCTACAATTAATTTAAAGGAAATGATTTCCTAATTAGGATTGCCACCCATCTAGAGCCTGCGGTTACAAAGTAGGAAAGGGAAAAAGAAAAGTAAAAACCCACACACCTCTGCACACTAATTTCATGATCCTTTCTATTTTTAATGTTCAGCTGGTTTAAAGTAGCTCTAAGAAAATGAGATCTACAGCCTTAAAATTTAAGTATGGCATTAATTCTCTTTTTCAAAATTAGATTATTGATTCTCTAAACATTTGGTTGCTAATGAGCACTTGTCCCTAGGATAGTTTTATTGCATGATACTGAGGCTGTATTGAAATTAGGAAGGACTGAATTTCACTCCATGTTTTCTAAGCATCCAAATATATGGAGCACTTACCCTTTGGGGCCCTATCTGTTCCTCTCCCATGGAAAGAAGTAAAGAGCATGGTGAAAAGAACACAGACCTTGGTGTCAGGGAATCAGGGTCAAGGGTTCAATTTCATCCATGACTAGCCATAAAACCTTAGACAGACCACTTAATCTCTTGAAGCTTCAGCTTCCACATTCATACAAAAGGGATAATTACTATCATTGATATCTATCTTAAAAGTGATAATGAAGATTAAATAATATAGTACATGCAGAACCAACTGACACAGAGAGTAGCAGATGACTTGGTTGCAGATGTTTATGCTGGCATGCAATAGGAACTGAAAGAGTTGTTTGTTCCCTTGCCACCAAAGAACAGTGAGCTAGCCAGGAATCTTTTTACTCCAAATAATAGCAAATGCAGCTCAAAATGGCTTGCACAAGAAAGAAATCCAACAGCTCACATCTCAAAAAGTCTGGGGATAAGGCTGGCTCTAGGCATAGCTTAATCCAGAGATTGAAATCATGTCCTCTGGCTCATTTCTCTATGTTCCAGGCTCAGTTTTTCCCAGTGCTGGCCTCACACTCAGGCTGGACTCCCTCAAGGCAGCAAAATTGCTACAGTAGTCCAAAGCTTCACATCTATATGCTGGTATTAATATATCCTATGAAATAATGACAACAACTGCTTATATGTATTGACCTGTGTCAGGTGCCTTTCTGAACAATTTATAGGTATACTCCCCACTGCAATCTCATTATGCCTATTTTACAGATGAAGAAACCAAGACTTAGAGAGGTTAAGCAACATCCCCAAAGATCTTCAGCTAGCTGGAGAGCAACCAGGACTGGAACCCAGTCTGGAGCTAAATTTTGTTCTTGTAACTTCTTTGCTGAGTTCCTCCTCTTACAGCCCCAGCTAAGAGCTGATGACAGCTATTGGTTCGAATTGGGTTATGTGCCCCTTCTTGAACTGATCACTGTGGGCTGCTGATGACAGGATATATTGATTGGCTTAAAGCAATTAGGACTCATCCTGGAGCTAGGAGTGTGGCCAGTCTATTGACAACACATGACTGAGAAAGGTGGAGAAATACTTGCCCACAGTGACTAAGAGAAATGGATACCAGGCAGCAAACGGCAAATGTTCCCTAAAAGGACATACATAGAAGCTGTAGGCGGAGTCTCCAATAGGCTTACAGTTTAGAAGGAAAGCAAAACAGGTATGCAAGAGCCACAATTACTTATAGCGCTGCAGCAGGCTACTCACTGTCGTACCATCAGTATGCCTGCAGGTGGGCACTGGATGGTAAGACCCCATTCCTGGCCTTCATCTGCCCTGAATGCCTTCTCACCCATTTCCATACATCCATTAATTCTACAGATAACAGAACACCTACCTTGTGCCAGGCATTATTGGCACTGGGAGTTCCTGAGTGAACAGTTGAGGGCACAGTCTCTGCTCGCAAGCAGAAGGTGGAGGAGCCCTATTACAATTAGAGTGCAACAAGCGGTTACAATAGGGAGCTGTGGTTGGGAAGGTGCATGGGGAATGTACCAACCTGTAACAGCAGAATCTAACCCAGGCTTGGGTTCAGGACTGGTTTCCAGGAAGAAATGATATCTGAGACTCAAAGGAAAATAAAGAGTTGGCTAACCAAAGGTGGATGCAAATAGGAGCTTAGAAACATCCATCCTCTCAATTCTCTGGCTGGCTCACTCCTGTGGAACCCTATGGCAATGGCCTCCCATGGCCTCACTATCCCCAAAGCCTCAACTGGAGCTCTCCTAAAGAAATCTAAAATCTGATTAACTTAATCACATATGCTATGTAATCACATATGCTATTAATCACATATGTTAAAGATTTACATATGTTTTGTGTTGGGTAGGGTTGTGCTGTATTGAATCATGCTCCTGAAACCCTAGGGTTCCACTAATTTCTCCGGGGCTAAGGGAATGAAAGTGAGGAGTGGAGATGGAAGATCTATTGCTTGGGAAGGGTAAAGATGCTGAGTGGGGAGACTTGTGGGTCTCTTTTTCCTGATTCAACCCGATCAGCTCTGCTTTTATGTTTAGTAAAACATTATAGTGGAAAATATAGTTATATGCTATTGTGGGACAAGGTTCAATGGCTTAAAAAATAAGGTTTAAATAGCTCTGAGGTAGAATATGAATTTATTAGACAGAGTTCCTTAAATTTGTTGTTTCTGAACATTTCTCTATATACCTCAGTGATTAGGTTCTTGGCTAGAAGTATAACCATCATTATGACACATTCTCCATGAGAAAGCTCTGACTTGGCTTACGTATGTCAGATTACAATGCCTCCTCCACGAATGCAGCTCTCTATAAAACTGTCTGGGTGGCAAGTAAGATGGAGAAGTTCCATTGTGCGCTGTTCGATTTCAGTGAAGGGGTGAACTTTTTGCTCGTTGTGATCAGTGATGCTTTCACAGAAGAAGTGGCCTCAGAACTGCATTTTGTTGGATTTAAATTGTTATAGTTAAGAAAAAGGAGAACTTTCCAGCTGAAAGGGAAAAAAAACTGAGAAAAAATGGGGTCGGGAATGCAAAGCTATGTTTGGACAACAACAAGCAGAATAACTTGGCTGGAACCTGAGTATTGTGTGGAGGACTTGTCGGAGATTAAACTGAAATGCTAGCTTGGGTAAACACAGTACAGGGGCAAGAATGACAAATGATTCACCTTCCCTCCTCAGAGCATTTGTAGGTGCTGTTCTCTCTATGTGGAGTGCTCTTCTGCTCTTCCCCCAGATCTCTGTATAACCTTCTCATTGTTCAAGTCTTTAATCAAAGTTATTTCTTCTAGAGGTCTAGCTTGATCAACCTGTTAAAGCAGTGCCACCTCTCCTTTGCAGCTTACCCTCTAGCGCATTCATACATTTCATTTCTTTTCATAGCATTAAATTATCTTGTTTGTTTGTTTACCTGTTTACTATCTTCTTACTAGAAGACAAATGAAAACAGGAATCTTTTCTGTCTGGTTCACTGCTGAAACCCTGGCACTGAGTGAATGCAGGGCACATAGTAGGTGCTCAATAAATACTTGTTCAATGAATGAGTGTGTAAGTTTTTTTAGTCAATGGGTAATGAGGAGACATAAGAGTTTTGAGTAAGGGAATGAGACAATCCCAGCAGTAGTAAAGAAAAGCTCACTTGAGAGCAGATCTTATGAAAAGAGGCAGTATGAGATTAAAGGCAGGGAGATCAATTAGGCAGCTATTTTCATTGTCCAAATAAAGGAGGATAACAGTCTAAACTCAGGCAATGGCAATAAGCATGGAAATATGGGATAGATGAGAGAACTCTGAAGGTCAAAGGCAGATTACATGAGGACTGATCAGATATGGAGAGCGAAGGACAGCTGAGAATGGAGAGAACAGTGGTGCCTTGCTTAGAAAGAGAGACTTCTGGAAAAGGAACTAATTTGGACAGAATTCAACTTGAAGCATCTTGAACTTCAAGTGCCAAAATCTGTGGAAATTAAGTAGGAAATCAAGTAGGCAATGTGTGCCCTTGCTTGGAAAGAGAAGTTAGGGGAGGAAATAAAGATTTGAAAGTGGTAATTGACCCCTTAGTAGTGAATAAGGTCTCTGAGGAAAGGTGTAGAGTGAAAAGAACAGACGGATGAGAATAGAAACGTGCAGAGGGCTGTATTTAAAGGATAGGAGAAAGGAAAAGAGCCAGCAGGATATGGGATGTGGGAGGGGTATGATTCAGGAAGGAAAAAGTAAATTGGGAGGAGATAGCATTTCAAGGTGGTCACAGGACAGACCTTATGAAAAGAGGCAGTATGAGGTTAAAGGCAGGAGGTCAATTAAGAGGCAGAGGACAACAGAGGTTGAGGATAAGAACCCTCCCTTTCTATCCCTGAAATGGGGAAAGCAGTGTGCAATGCACTGTACCGTTTCTCATCACTAAGACCCTCTGCCGCATTGCCACTCTTCCTGGAATCCACATCCATTTATGTGTCAATTCTACAGCTTAAAACCCCAGTTGCTCCTTAATGCCTTCCTGCATGTGATTTTTTCTCAATACCCAAAGCCTTATGTTTGAGATCTAGTTTCAATCTCTTAATCGCTAGACATTACTGAATACATCAAGAATAGAACCATGTAAATCACAATAACCATAATAATGATCCATAATAGTTATCATTTACATCTAATCTCATTAACACTGCTATAGTTTATCATCGGTGTGGACCTATTATACAGCACATAAGAAAAAAATGATAATGACTTCTTTTTCCTTTTACAAAGTCATGGGCTATATTTTGAGTCTTCTCTGGAGTATGTCCCTGTAACTCTTTTTTTCTCTTTGCTGAGATCTCACTGAATTTAAATGAATGTGGAATCTTTGGTTCAGAAGAAAATATGATCACACAAAATTTATGCAGAGTCATAACTAAGGAATGTTAGACCTTTCACCCCTGTCTTCAGGATCCCCCTACGTGATAACAAGTTATATGAAAATAACTGTTGCCCTACAGGACTTTTAAAATTAGAGTAATCCAACTCCTCCTTGATCTGCCACACTTACTGAGCACATGCTATCTGTGTGCACAAGAAGTGTGAAGGATTTGAAAGGGAAGCACCAGCCTTGGGCAGGTCTCAAGCCTGGGGAAGAGCATGCTTGATATAGCAATGATTATGTCATGAGAAGTGAGCAGAGACCTGCAGCCTATGTCCCTGAGAACTTGAGGTGCTTTCTAATACCAGTTTATGGGCAGCAAAGGATGGGACAGTCAGACCATCAGTCAGGCCTGGTACAGCTAATGCAAAAGCCAGAGAAGAATGAGGGTCCTTGTCAAAGTCCTGGATTCTTTGGATTCAAAACATCAGGTATCACTAGGGACAAAATGGATGAGAGTACAAGAGTTAAGCAGCAACTGGGCTAAACTAGTCCTTCTGGAGAATGAATGCCAGTGGTGTAGCAGGGAAGCTGAAGTCTAATGCCCAAGAGGAAACATAGTTCCTCTCCTCATTTTGATAACTCTTGGCATTGGTCCGATAAGCATGCAGGGCAAGCATGTTGGTTGGTGTTTAAAAGATAAGAAGGTAGTTGTTGCCTGGAGTACATGTCTATTCGAGGTCTTCCAGGAGTCACTTGCAGGCTTTCCCACTCTCTGAGATGTAGAAAAACTTTCTTCATATCCGTAAGCTCCTAAGTAGAGACTTGAAGACCCACACCATAGTTAGCACACATTTCCAGACTTATTTTTTATGGTTTTCTCTGTCTCTACTGTATCTATGTATGCATTTTAGGTTCCCACAGAACTAACCCAGGTGCAATACCCCATCCCTCATCAATTTTTACAAGAAACTCAGTCACACAGAGTATATTATAACTTTTGCAGTTTTATTGAATATTTGTGGGGTCAAAGGGCAGGGGTTGGTCACATCCATTCATTTATTGAGTACCCACTATGTTTTAATTACTATTCTAATTGCAATAGATATGGTAGTGAACAAGACATACATAATCCCTGTCTTTCTGGAGCTTCCAATACGGCGGGGGAGACCGATGACAATTTCCAAGGAGGGTGTGGCCACCTGCCAGCTTCCTTTTCTCCAACCATTTCCCCTCTCCTTCTCTAGAGCGGCTCTGTCATGTAGCTCTCTGAAGCCTGTGATCTGATATATGACTCTGTAGCCCCACCACATTGCTTTGTTTTTCACAAACCTTGGAATTCTGACAGAATGTCAGAATTTTGTTACACAAGCCAAATATCTCCATTTTGTTACACAAGCTTCTCCAGTTCCATGGAGCCAGACTGACAAGAACTGACAGGTCACTGGGCCATCCTGCTGCCAACTGGCAATGTTTAGGAGGCTATGTGGGATGATGGAATCAACAGAGAAATTTGGGATCAGAGGACTCTGGGGTCAAATTTCTGCCTCTTACTGTTTGTACAACATTGAGTATGTTACTTACTCTTTCTGGGCCTTGATTTTCTTTTCTGTAAAATAGATCATTATAAACTTCCTCTTGTTGTGATGGTGAAGACCAAATACGACAAAGCAAAGTCCCAAGCACAGGATAGGTGCTCAAATATAACTAGTTCCTTTCCCCTGGGTTCTAGAAAGATTCTAAAGTATACAATGAAGATGAATTAATCAGACCCCAGGATAGGAGACAAGAAGAGTCACATGGTCAATATAAGACGAGGAAGGTTAGCACTTGCTGCACTTTAAGGCACAACACGAGTATTCATAGATCACCCACACGGCCCTCTACTGAACCACGGGGTGACTACGCTCCTGTACTGTGAACTGGGTATGGGGCTTAACTAAACCTGCTGCACACCCTGGGGCTTAAGGTTGTAGCTCTCCCTCCCATTCCAACAGAATTGGCTTAAGATGGAACTGAGGCAGAAGTAAACCTGCAAAGGTAGGCCATCAGTGGGCCCATGAGTGAAACACTGGCAAAGACAGAGGCAGGGCAGGTTGAGAAGATACTTTGAATGCTCAGATGAAAGTCCCATCTGGGTGAGAGTCAAAGCCATGAAATATGCTCCAAGAGGGAAGGATGCCCCAGGTAGCCAGGCTGGCAGAATTTTTACATCCAGGGTAGAAGGAACACGTGACTGGCCTTGTGGTGAATGGCTTGCCGGGGGCTGAGAAACTTAGAATCTCCAGCTGGCAAGGACTCTGGAAGGTCATCCGGCCCAAGGATGACCTTCCGGAGCCCTTGCTAGCTGGAGATTCTAAGTTTATTCAGTTCTTAAACCTGCTCTGGACCTAGCACTACTGTATAAGAAGCCCCCACGTTTGAACTAGGCCAAATACTTAAATCTACAGGTGATTCTTGTGGCCTGGGGTGAGGGCAAGAAATTCTATATTTCAAACAAGCTCCAAGGAGATACCTACACTGCCAGTTCACAGACCACATTTTGAGTAGCAGTGTCCTAGGCTGACTCTCTGACAGATGCTTGAATCTTCTCTACTGTACTTCCATCAAGAAATCATTAGACGTACGCTTGATTATCTCCTATTAAAGGAATGTCATTTCCTCTGATGGGGTTCATTCAAACTTCATCCCTTCCAGCTGAACAGTTTGTGTGCGTATGTGCATTTCCTAAGTCCCATTATTAAGTTTTGCAGCCTAGTCAATCCTTTGGTAGCTCTGGCAGAAAATGCTTACTTATGTCTTTACACCATTTATCACTTTAAAGGTTATAATGTTAACTTAGGTTTTCGGTAGAAAATACAGATGAATAAAGGGAAACATTCAGAATATCCATAATACTACCAACTAGAGATACCTGCTGTTGAAATATTGGAGTGTTTCCCTCTAGCTCTTCCTTATTTTGATCTAAAATCTGATTCCTGTGTCTTTTCCTGGCAAAGTGTCACAGAACAAAGCTCAGCGGGGGCCTTTTCTCTGACAGCTTAGGACAATGGCAACAATTCTCCACTGGCTGATGCAGGACAACCGGCCTTTCCCACTAACCCTGTGGCTCCCGCTCCTCACAGGAGCAAAGTTTGGGCAGAGATGACAGGGAAGAAAACCCAGGCCCACTGGGTGACGATGACAATGCTGACATTGAGCTGGGGGCTGTTTTTCTAGTCATCAGGATAGCTTTACAATGAGCCATTCTGTTTCTTTTGCTTGATACTGCTTGTCACCAATAAGTAAACATTTTAAGAAGTCTGTGACCACCAAACAGAATGTTTTTCAGTGGGCAAAGTAGATTGGCTCATGGCCAATTATTTCCTCACCCTCACTCAGTTTCATTAGTATTATGATCAATTGAGTGTGGACTCTTGCGTTAAAATGCCTGCATTCACATTCTGGCCCCATCGTTTATTACTAACTCTGAAACCTTAGACTAGTTATTTAACCTCTGCTGCACCCCAGTTTCTCATCTTTAAATGAGGATAATGCTACTACCTACCCACAGGGTTCTTATATGGATTAAGTGTGTTAATATGCCTGTTGCTGAAAACAGTGTCTGACTTGTGGAAAGACTGAAGTAGATGATATCTAAAATGCATGCATACATAAACAGCCACAAAGTCAAGCTTAATGGTTAAGATATATTGGGATAAGGAGATAAGCTCGGTACTTATTTGCATATTTTAACCTCAAGAAATAATTTGGTAGGAAAAGGCTACCAAAGTGCCCAGAGCTAGCTGTGATAATGAATCCATTCTGCCTCAGAAGTCAGGACCAAGCTTGTTATCCACAGCCCCAAATCCAGCTCCCCTGGAAGGAGCTCAGTGGTCAGAACAGTGCAGGGGTCCATAAATGTTGGGCAGGAAGGACTGCTGTGGCCACCTCCTTTACCATGGCTGGGCTAATTCTGCTTAGTAGGCAGCCTTAGAGATGGCCCAGGATACACAGTGAGAGACTCGGGAAACCAGTTAACATTTTTGAGTTAGTACAGGTTCACTAGGACAAGCCGTTGAGGATTTCATGTCACTCCCTCTGCGTGCTGCTGAGACCTCTGGCTGAGCAGCAGATGCTCCAAGTCTTGAGAGATGTGCTGAGTCCCCTGGGAGTCACTGGCTCCTCTATGGGCAATTAGTGCATTACTACAATTATAGCTGGTTTTCTAGGAAGCCACTAAATGGCACCCTGATGACTAGAAAAAGATAATTTTCAACCCTATATACCTAACTTCCTATTAGAAAATTACTTAGACACTAGACACAATCTGGCACATTAATTAATAAATTCGTTTCTATGTTTCCTAATCCAGACTGTAAGTAGTTTACCCCATGCCCTGATCCTTGGATTTATAACCCTTTCTCATTTTCTCCCCTTTATCCATCCCTTTATTTTTTAACAGCTTGACTGAGGTATAATTGACACACAAAAACTATATATATTTTAAGCATACAATCTGATAATTTTGACATACAGATGTTCCTTGGTATCTGCCTGGGATTGGTTCCAGGCCCCCACGAGGGTACCAAAATCTATTCACTCATGTCCCACAGTGAGGCTTTTGGAACTCACATAAAGGAAAAGTCGGTCTCCCATATGTACAAGGGTTTCTCATTCTGTGAATACTGTATTTCTGATTCAAGTTTAGTCGAAAAAAATTGACATGTAAGCAGACCCATGCACTTCAAACCCATGTTGTTCAAGGGTCAACGTACTTTAAATTGTCTCTAGACTACTTATAATACCCAATACAATGTAAATGCTATGAAAATAGTTGTCATACTGTACAGGTTTTGATTTGTATTATTTTTACTGTTGTATTTTTTTTATTGTTTTTTTCCTAAATATTTTCGATCCCTGGTTGGTTGAATCCATGGAGCCATTTTATTTCAATCCCATGGATATGGCTGGTCAACTGTATGTCATCTGTCATCAACACCAAAGTCAAGTTAATGAACCTGTCAAGTCCATCACCTCCCAAAATTTTATCATGCCCGTTTGTAATCCTTCCTTCCTTCCTTCCTTCCTTCCTTCCTTCCTATCACGGTCTCAGGCAGAATCCTAGTCAATCACTAATCTGCTTTCTGTCACTATGGATTAGTTTGCATTTTCCAGAACTTTATGTAAATGGAACCATATCATAGGCACTCTTTTTTTTTTTTTTTGTCTTAGTATACTAGCTAGGACCTCCAATATGATGTTGAATAGAATATGAGTGGCAAAACCAGAAATCTATATTTTGTTTCTGATCTTGAGGGGAAAGCATTCAGTCTTTCACTCTTAACTGTGCCTTTTTGATAGGCTCCATTTTACTCCTTGTTTGATGAGAATTTTTTTAAAAATCAGGGATACTTGATTTTGTCAAATAATTTTTCCACATCTATTGAAACAACACAGAATAGGTTCATTGAAAGGGTTCATGACTTGACTTTTGAATGCTTTAACCAAGCTTGCATTCTTGGGATAAACATCACTTGATCGTGACATATTATTCTTTTTATCTACTATTGGATTTGATTCACTAAACTTCTGTTTAGAATTTTTGCATCTATGTTCATGAGGAATCTGGATTAGTAGTTTCTTTCAATGTCTTTGGTTATGGTATCAGAATAACATTCTGGCAGCATAGAATGAGTTGGGAACTATTACTGTCTTTTCAGTTTTCTGGAAGAACTTTTATAGAATTGGTACTGTTTCTTCCAACAGTTTGTAGAATTCACCAGTAAAGCCATCTAGACACAAAAATTTGGGAAAGGGGATTGTCAGGGAGGGGGGACTTTTAATTATTAAATCTACAAATATATGACTATATAGGTTATTCATTTCTTCTTCTGTGAAGGAATATGTTGTCTTTCAAGAAATTTACCTATCTTAGCTAAGTTTTTAGATTTATCAGCATACAGTTGTTTATAATATTCTCTTATTATATTTTAACATTTGTAGAATTTGTAATCATACCACCTCTTTTATTTCTGATGTTGGTAGTTGGTACTCACTGATAACTCTCTTTTTATCTTGATTATTCAGGTTAGAGGTTTATCAGTTTTATTGAGCTTGTCTAAGAACAGGCTTATAATCTTGGTAAATTTTTTCTATTGTATTTTTGTTTTCTATCTCATTGATTCCTGCTCTGATCACTATTATTTCATTTGTTCTTCTTACTTTGAGTTTTAGCTGCTCTTATCTTTCTAGATTTTTTCAGGTAGAACTTAAGATCATTGATTTGAGAACTTTCCTTTTTTATAAAGTAGATGTTTAGTGATGAAATTTCCCCACCAGTACTGCTCTAGTGGCATTGCAAAAATTAAAATGTATTTTTTTCTTTTTTATTAGTTCAAATGTTTCCTAATTTCTCTTTTGATTTTTTCTTTGATCCACAGATTATTCAGAAGTATCTTATTCAATCTCTAAATATTTGGGGATTTTCCAGAAATACTTCTGTCATTTTTTTCTAATTCAATTACACTGGCTCTGGAGAACATACTTCTTATGACTTGAATCCTTTATAACTTTATTAAGACTTATTTTATGGCCCAGAATATGATCTACATGTCCAGTGTGCATTTGAAAATAATGTGAAATTTGTATTCTGCTGTTCTACAAATGTCAGTCAGGTCAATGGGTTAAAACTGGTTTTCGAATCTTCTGAATACTTCCTAAATTTTGTCATCTTGTTTTATCAATTACTGAGAGAGGGGTGTTGAAATCCCCATGACAATGTAGATTTTTCTATTTCACCTTGAAGTTCTATCAGTTGCTTCATGTATTTTGATGCTCTGTTATTAGGTGAATTACTGTTTAGAATTTATGTATCATCTTAATAAACTGACCCCTTTATAATTAAGAAATAATTTTCTTTATCCATTATAGCACTTCGCTGTTTAGGAATCTATTTCACTTTATGATATAGTAGTAACATAGTAGCTGGTATCTTGGCATGCCTTTTTTCATCCTTTTAAATTTAATCTATGTGTGTCTTTATATTTAAAGTAAGTTTCTTGTGGGTGGAATTTACTTGGGTCCAACAATGTTTGTCTTTTAATTGGAGTATTTAGGTGATTTGCAATTAATGTGATTGTTGGTACGGTTAGGTTTACATTCATTATCTTATTTGTTTTCTATTTTCCCCATTGCTTCTTTGTTCTCTTTTTCTTCTCTTCTCCTTTGTTTTTTTAAGATAATTTATTAACCTATTTAATTTTTTATTGTTTTCATTTATCTCCTTAGTTGTATTAAGAGTTAGTCTGCTCTGGCTGCTATAATAGAATATCATAGAATGGCCAGGCACAGTGGCTCACGCTTGTAATCCCAGCACTTTGGGAGGCCGAGGCAGGAGGATCACTTCAGGTCAGGAGTTCAAGACCAGCCTGGCCAACATGGTGAAACCCTGCCTCTACTAAAAATACAAAACTTAGCTGGGTGTGGTGGGACACACCTGTAATCCCAGCTACTTGGGAGGCTGAGAATCCCTTGAACCTGGGAGGCAGAAGTTACAGTGAGCCAAGATCACGCCACTGCATTCCAGCCTGGGCAACAGAGTGAGACTCTGTCTCAAAAGAGAGAAAAAAAGGAATATCATAGACCGGGTGGCTTAAACAGCAGATATTTATTTCTCACAGTTCTGGTGGCTATGAACAAAGTCCAAAATCAAGGTGCTGGTCAAGTCAGCTCCTGGTCAGGCCCTCTTCCTGACTTGCCTTTTGCTGTATCCTTGCATGGTGGAGAGATGAATCTATGGTGTCTCTCTTCTTATAAGGGCACTAATATCATGGGGCTTCACCTTCACCCCATTAAGGAGATAGAGCTTTATAACCTCATCTAAACCTAATTACCTCCCAAAGGCCCCACCTCCTAATATCATCACATTAAGAGTTAGGGCTTCAATATATGAACTTTGGAGTACAAGAGTACAAATATTCAGTCCATCCCACTTCCATTTCTTCCCTCCTGGTCTTTGTAGTATGGTTTTTCCATGTTTTACTTCTCCTGTGTTTTAAACTGTATACTTTATTGCTATTTCTTTGTTTAAACACTCAATTATCTTTTAAATAAATTTAAATAATAAGGAAAAAAATGGTATATTTACCCATGCAGTTGCCATTGCTAGTCTTCCTCAATTCCTTTTTGTACATCTTTTTTTTTTTTTTTCCTATCTGGCATCATTTTTTTTTCTGCCTAAACACTACCTTTAAGATTTTTTCTTGTGGGATGGATCTGGTGGTGAATCCTTTTAGCTTTTGTGTGTCTGAAAATAATACTATTTTTCCTTTATTTTTGAAAGATATTTTCGCTGCACATAGAAGTCTAGATTGGCAGCTTTTTTTCTTTCAGTACTTTAAATATGTTGCTTCGCTGTCTTTTAGCTTGCATTGTTTCCAGTGGGAACATTCTCATCTCTAACTTTGTTCCACTTTAGGTAGTGTAACTTCCTTTACTGGCCATTTTTTAGTATTTTCTATTTATCTTTTTGAACAATTCAATTAAAATGTACCTTGGTGGAGTTTTCGTCATGTTTCTTGTGTCTGAGATTCATTGAGCTTCTTGGATCTATAAATGTATAATTTTCATCAAATTTAGAACATTTTTAGTCTTATTCTCCCAAATATTTTTTGTCTTCCTCCCCTTCAGGACTCCAGTTACACATATATCAGTGTGCTTAAAATTGTTCCACAGCTCATTTAAATATTTATCTGTTCTCTGTATTTCATTTAATATAGTTTCTATTATTACGTCTTCAAGTTCACTAAGCTTTTCTTCTGCAATATGCAATGTGCCAATAATTCTATCCAGTGTATTTTTCGTCCTACCCATTGTAGTTATAATCTCTAGAAGTTTGACTTGAGTCTTTTAAAAATCTGAACCTTTTGAACATATAAAATGCAGTTATAATTGTTTCAATGTTCTTATCTGCTAATTCTAACATCTGTGTTGGTTCTGTGTCAGTTTAGGTGGGTTGATTTTCCTCTTTATTATAAGTCATATTTCCCTGTCTCTTTGCATGCCTGGCAATTTTTTATATACGCCAGATCTTGTGAATTTTACCTTTTTGGGTACTGGATATTTTTGTATGCCTATAAATATACTTGAGCTTTACTCTGGAATGTGTTATTTTGAAATGGTTTTGATCTTTTCAGATCTTACTTTTAAAATTTGTTAGAATTAGAGCAATATTCAGTCTAGGGATATTTATTCCCCACTATTGAGGCGAGACTTTTTGTGTATTTTGCTCAGCTCCTTATGAATCCTGAGGTTTTCTGTTCCGGCTGGCAGGGACAAACACTTTTCTCAGCTCTGTGTGAGCCAGGTGCGGTTCCCTCTAATCCTTTTGAAGGTTTCTTTCCCTTGCATCAGGTAGTTTCCTCCCAGACATGCTCTGCTCAGCACTCAACGAAGCCTAGTCTGCAAATCTCTGGCGTTTTCACTCTGTGCAGCTGTCTCTCCTCTGGCGCTCTGTCCCATGATCCCTGGACATCCAGCTCCATCTCTCTGTCTTTTTTTTTTCTTTTTGAGATGGATCCTGGCTCTGTTGCCCAGGCTGGAGTGCAGTGGCGTGATCTCGGCTCACTGCAACCTCTGTCTCCCTGGTTCAAGCGATTCTCCTGCCTCAGCCTCCCGAGTAGCTGGGATTACAGGCATGTGCCACCATACCCCACTAATTTTTGTATTTTGGCCAGGCTGGTCTGGAACTCCTGACCTCAGGTGATCTGCCCACCTTGGCCTCCCAAAGTGCTGGGATTACAGGTGTGAGCCACCGTTGCCGGGCCCAGCTTTATCTCTTCAACTCCAGGATATCACAAAGATCTAACTGGGTTCCCTTTCCCCGTGCCTCACCCTGGAAATACCCTAAAGGCAGTATGCTTGGGTGATTGCAAGGTTCACCTTTTTGTTTCCCATCTCTCAAGGACCACAATTCTGTGTTGTCTTACATCCAGTGTCTTGCAAACCATCATTTCCTATATTGTATCCCTTTTTGTTGTTGTTTCATGTGAGAGAGTAAATCTGGTCCCTGGTATTCCATATTGGGTGAAAATGGAAGCTCCTACCATTTTTCTTTAAATGTACCTGATTATTTCTACTTTTGACAAATTATCTAGCCTCTCACAGTTGAGTAAAATCTTTGAGTTCCTGGGATGGTGTTTTGCATCTAGCTCTTGTATGACTGTCTGGGAGTTACTTCCGAAATTACCAATACGATCTAGAATGTGTTTTATTTCCCTAAGGTCTTTGTTTCCTTCCTTTGCCACTTAGCTAATGCTTCTCTTCTAATGGGTTCCTCCCTTACATTTGTAACATATGTGTCAACTAAGCTAATTGTTCATAGCACTGGAGCTTTAAAATGTTATTGATTTTTTGATCATGTAAGAACTATATGTATGAAACCACTTATTTGATTAAGTGTTTAATGGCTGACGTCTTTGTCTAGTGTGCATGTACTCACTAGTGTGCCCAAGGGCAGAAAGACATATTACAATCCTCTTGAAAGCAACTGAAATATCAAAATTCTTTCATATAGACTTTTTATCAATGTCTTTGTTTCTACACCCATCTCTGAACCAAATTTTTTTTTTTTTTTTTTTTTTTTTTGAGAAAGGATCTTGCTCTGTCAACCAGGCTGGAGTGCAGTGGTATGATTATAGCATACTGCCTCAAAATCCTGGGCTCAAGCGATCCTCCAACCTCAGCCTCCTGAGTAGCTGTGACTACAGGCATGCACCCTGCACCCAGGTAATTTAATTTTTTTTTTTTTTTATTGTAGAGACATTGTCTCACTATATTGCCCAGGCTTGTCTCAAATTCCTGGTCTCAAGTAATCCTCCCTCCTCAGCTTCCCAGTGCTGAGATTATGAGTGTGAGCCATCACACTCAGCCATAACCTGAGATTCTTTAAGCAGCAAATAACTTAATAACTATGAGTAATAAAGGCAGTGAATGAGACAGAACTTGTTTTTATTTAGAAAAAGGCTTGTTTGGCTTATCTAAAGTCAGCCCCAAAATAAATGCAAGTGAATTAAATATATAAGCATTAAAAATCAGTCATGGCCGGGCGCGGTGGCTCATGCCTGCAATCCCAGCACTTTGGGAGGCCGAGGTAGGCTAATCACGAGGTCAGGAGATCGAGACCATCCTGGCTTACACGGTGAAACCCCATCTCTGCTAAAAATACAAAAAATTAGCCGGGCGTGGTGACGGGCGCCTGTAGCCCCAGCTACTCGGGAGGCTGAGGCAGGAGAATGGTGTGAACCTGGCAGGCAGAGCTTGCAGTGAGCCGAGATCATGCCACTGCACTCCAGCCTGGGTGACAGAGCGAGACTGCAACTCAAAAAAAAAAAAATCTATCTATATATGTGTGTGTGTGTGTGTGCGCGTGTGTGTGTGTGTGTGTGTGTGTGTGTGTGTATATCAAAGTCATATTCAAATGAAATATTAGGTAATTTATCATAATCTAGACTTGGAAAATGCTTTTCTAAGTAAGAAACAAAATCCAGAAACCATACAGGAAAATAATTGACAGATACGTAACAATTTTTAAATTTACATTTGTACCAAACATACTCCAAAAACTCCAAAGAAAAGTCAAGCAATAAAACTGAGAAGAAATATTTGTGACACTTGTAACAAACAAAGAGTTAAATGTCCTTAATTAGACTATCCTCAGCTCTACTCCCTAATGGTTCTCAGAATTAACTTCAAACTGAGGCACTTGCTGCAAGGAACTTTGTCTCCAGGCCACCATCCCTCTGGGTAAGTTCTTGAGTCTCTCCTCATCCACAGTTCCTCGGATCATGAGGAATGTTAAACAAGCCTTGGATGAAGTTCTGGCTCTGCCATTCACAAGCTATATGACTTTGGGCAAGTCTCTAAATCTCAGCGTGTTTAATGACCCACAGTGGATAGCAACAGAACTCAGCTCACAGGATTTTTGTTTGTTTTTGTGAGAATCACCTGGCATTACCTCTGGTTTATTCTAAGTATTAAACAAATGATAGTCATTGATCACTGTTACAGCCTCGGTGCCAGGACATCATCTGACACATACAGACATGCAATAAGCATTTGTTGAATAAATAAATAACTTATATAAATCAATGAAGAAAAAAGATAACCCATAGAAAAATAAGCAAACGATATGGTAGGATATATACAGAAAAATGCAAATGTTTGCAGACACATGCAAGAAGCCCAATTGCAATAATTATAATGGAAATGTCAACTAAAACAATAACAAATTGTCTTCTTTTTAACCTTCTAGATTGAAAAAAAAAGTTTTATTGATTGATCGCCTCCAGTATAGGCAAGGTTGTGGGGAAATCTTTTTATACGTGGTTGATGAAGTTGAAATTCATGGAATAGTCCTAGAAAAAAATATTTGACAGTAGTTTTTAAAATTTAAATATACACATTCAGCAATCCCACATCTAGGAATCTAGCCTACAGAAATAATACATGGGTATGGAAAGCTCCACCTGTAAGCATGTTCATTGTGCTTTGTTTGAAATGGGAAACAAATTAGAAATAACCCAAATAACCTAAATGTCCATTAATTGAGAACTATTTAAAAAGTAGTGATACATGGATACAACTGGATGAAATAGACCAAGAAAGACTCTCATGATATATAGTTGTTTTTTTTTAAAATTATTATTATACTTTAAGTTTTAGGGTACATGTGCACAATGTGCAGGTTTGTTACATATGTATACATGTGCCATGCTGGTGTGCTGCACCCATTAACTCATCATTCAGCATCAGGCATATCTCCTAATGCTATCCCTCCCCGCTCCCCCTACCCCACAACAGTCCCTGGAGTGTGATGATCCCCTTCCTGTGTCCATGTGTTCTCATTGTTCAATTCCCACCTATGAGTGAGAACATGCGTATTTCGTTTTTTGTCCTTGCAATAGTTTGCTCAGAATGATGGTTTCCAGTTTCATCCATGTCCCTACAAAGGACATGAACTCATCATTTTTTATGGCTGCATAGTATTCCATGGTGTATATGTGCCACATTTTCTTAATCCAGTCTATCATTGTTGGACATTTGGGTTGGTTCCAAGTCTTTGCTATTGTGAATAGTGCCGCAATAAACATACGTGTGCATGTGTCTTTATAGCAGCATGATTTATAATCCTTTGGGTATATACCCAGTAATGGGATGTCTGGGTCAAATGGTATTTCTAGTTCTAGATCCCTGAGGAATCGCCACACTGACTTCCACAATGGTTGAACTAGTTTACAGTCCCACCAACAGTGTAAAAGTGTTCTCATGATATACAGTTTTAAGGATACATGTATTTCAAGAGAGAGCAAACTACAGAACAATATAATAATAGCTAATATTTGTTGAGCCCTTATGTGTTAGTGTGGGAAGCAATCTACATGAATTATCTTATTTAGTCATCCTCTATAGATTTCAGTATCTTCATCTGTAAAATTAGGAGATAGGACCACATAAGCTCTAAGATTCTTCCCATCCTAGACGTAAAATACTGCCTATACCAAGCTACATTTTTGAAAGCCATTTAGCCCTGGAAAAGGCCGAGCACAATGATGCCTCTGGGAGTTGGACAAACAAACTGATACCTGTTCATTTGGTTCCTCCCATGGAAACTTTGTGATTCTGCCTCCTGGAAAACATTCACAAACTTGTTTTTAAATGTTAAATGAAATGAGACCACTGTTAATTAGTAGAGTAACTTTTTTACTTGAGGGGGAACTGGCTCCTCCTGAAGCCCGCCTATAAATAAAACAAAGTGAGCTCAAGTCTCCTAAATGTGCAGGAGATCCCAACCACATACTCTTCTGAGTGTCTAAGTGTAGCAGGACCACCCACTTGCGTGAGGCTGACCTCCTGGTAGTCCTGGCTATGTGATGTTGACAAGTATCACATTTCACACTGGCAGTTGGGCAGTAGAGAATGAGAGAGGTGAGGTATAGCTAGCTGAGAGGCAATTGCATGCCCACAGCAGATCTTTACCTTTGGCCCACTCACCATACATATCAGAAGTGTGCAGAGATTTCCGGGTACCCTTAGGTCTGTGTTGTGGAGAAAGGGCAAGTAGTTTGAGTTGTGAACATGTGTGGGAATACAGGAAAGTGAGTAGTGAACTCAAGATGTTGACTACACACGTTTCAGGAAAAATGTTATTATCTTTTGTGGAAATAAAGCAAACGGGTTACTCTTACAACTGCCCTAATTTGGATTTTTTTTTCTTTTTTTAGCAACATAGGTATTTTCTGGATTAGTATCTGACAAAAATGTGTTTATCAGTAACTACAAATTCAAAGCAAGCACAAAATAGGCTCTGATTTTTGTCTATTTGATAGAGGCTGTTTGTCAAATAAAAACGTTTATTGTGTAGTCATGTGCTAGACATTGCTTCTCCAGTTGTGCAATCTACTGCGAATTTTCTGGATGTCATTAGTAGCACCAGCATGAAAAATTGCCACCAGAAAGATTGGAAGATTTGGAATCACCTCTCCCAGTAAGAATAAAAGCCCACTTGCAGCATGTGTCAGGTGACTGGAGTGTCAATTAGAAAATTAATGACTGCCTCAATACCAGCAGAGAGAAGTACACACTCCCTTATGGGCTGCAGTCAACTCATCCAAAAGTGGTGCTACATAACTGAAAGTTAAAAAGAAGGTGAGGCAGGAGGATAGAACACAAACCAGTTTTCTGGAAAATTTTTTTAAAATTTTAAAAATCCTTCTGGAAAAGAAGAATTTCTTTTTCCACTGCCCAACTGCCCAGTGTGAAAAGTGATACCTGCCAACATCACATAGCCAGGACTACCAGGAGGTCAGCCTCCACGCAAGTGGGTGGTCCTGCTACGGTTAGACACTCAGAAGAGTATGTGATTGGGATCTCCTGCACATTTAGGAGACTTCAGCTCACTTGGTTTTATTTATAAGCGGGCTTCAAAGAGGAGCCAGTTCCCCCTAAAATAAAAAAGTTACTCTCTAACAATTAACAGTGGTCTCATTTCATTTATACAGATCATGTATACAGATTATATACAGATAATTTCTACCAGTGCCGACTCTCACAGTAGTATTAACATGCAGATATTGCATAATTATCAATATTGCATCAGGTATCTACATGATGCCTAAAGCTAGTTGCTGTCTTTTGAGCCAAAGGTTGAATAAAAACCAATAAAATCACAAATAAACGAACACTCTTGCTGGTAGGTTTCCTTCCAAAGGCAGTAGAGTATAACAGAAATCTATAATGGACTAGTCATGCCTAAAGCCCACATAACTCTCACCTGAGGTATTGGCTTTGAGAATTGCAGAGTGCAGGTTAGTTTTCTCTGCTGTCAACAAGCTAACAATCAGGGATGAGATGGAAACAGATAGCTCTGACAGGAGGCAGAGGGTCTATGGGCCTCCTCTACTTCTTATTTTTATTTATTTATTTATTTATTTTTTGAGACAGAATCTCACTCTTCTACCCGCGCTGGAGTGCAATGGCGCAATCTCGGCTCACTGCAGCCTCTGCCTCCTGGGTTCAAGCAATTCTCCTGCCTCAGCCTCCCAAGTAGCTGAGATTACAGGCATGCATCACCATGCCTAGCTAATTTTTGTATTTTTAGTAAAGACGGGGTTTCACCACGTTGGCCAGGCTAGTCTCGAACTCCTGGCCTAAAGCAATTCACCTGCTTCGGCCTCACAAAGTGCTGGGTCTACTTCTGACACTAGCCACGTAGACTTCTGGCCATTGCAAAGACGTAGTTTGTTGCTAATTTGAACTCACTGACAATCCTCTGTTTCATACTTCACCATCCCTCAATACTAATTTTCCTGAAAGGGATAAAATATCTCACGCCACATTTGTGTGCCCCTCTGTTATGTGAGTCAGAGGCAGGGCTACCTTAGTTCTCAGGTTTCTCTTCCTTGAGCTTAGGAACAAATCTCAAGAACAGAAAAGAGTGGGGATGGAGGTGGAAAGACCAGAGGATGTGCTGGCAGTGAACACGCATTATTGCATGCAAAATCTATCTTCAGATGTGATGTGCCTGCCTCAATTCCGACTCCCTTAGGCTGAATTCCTTCCAATAAAGCTTATTCTCTATACTTTGTCTGCTCCAAATGTAATTATTCCCCTGAAGCTTCTCTGGAAGCCTCACCTACCTCTTGAACATGTCTGAATCTCCCAGGTAAACCTGGCCTAGGGCCTTACACTTGGATCTCAGGCAAATAGTAAGAACAATCTCCTTGAATTATGAGGAGAATAATTGAGGGAGATACTGGCTACATTTTTTTTTAAGGCTTGCAAAATAAGTGTCCCATTAGCCAACTTGCCTAAGTAATCTGGGTCTGCTGTTCTTATTTTTCCAGATAGAGGAATTCATTTCTCTTCTCTTTTCCCAGTTCCATTTGAAATACAGTCCATCTTCCAAGGGTGCTCAGGAAGACAGACCATTTAAGTTTCCCAGTGCTATCAACAGTGGCCCCATTTTACAGTGGAAGAGAAAGACACAGCCATCCTTTTGTCGCATGGAGACTTAGAAGAGGAAAAAAGTGCTTTTTTTTAAACTTAAGCTTGTATTTATTTTTGTTGCATTATCAACTGATTTAAATTGGGGATAGTATTTTAATACAGAAAAAAATTTAAAACACCAGCATATTTGACATTGAAATTATGCTGATTAGCTGCCACATTTTAAAACATATCAATAAGACAGGCATCAGTGCTTGACAAATTTTTATACAAAATATATTGTAAAAAACAAGTGAAAGGGAAAGTGTCAACAAATATTTTATAGAATTTGAAAGACAGATGCATAGAATTGCAGTTGGTGTATTAAGTCCGTGTAGAATTTAAAATGACTTCTGTGGTTTATAATCCTTTTAAGATTCAATCTGGAAAATTGCATTGGAACAATGAAAACCTGAAATCAAATCATAAAACAGACTAACGGATAAAGACTGTAATACAAATGGACATATTTTATCCTTCTTTTTCAATGTGAGAGCACATTTCTATTCCTTTATAAGCACAAAGAAAGGTCTATATTAATTTTTCTTACAATAGTCATTATTTCCTTTGTGAAATTTTAAGTTATATTTTAAACTAATCTGGTTGCCTTTTTTTCTTTTTATTATTATTTAGTGATTTAATTTTTGTATGTATACCATAAAAAGAGTCAAACATTAATGAATATTGATGGACATAAAGCCATATGTTACAAAACAGCTGGTGCAAGGATTGGATTGTATGCAAGGGTTTTACAGCATAGACTTTACTTTGAAATTATCATCTTTCGGTTTGAATTTCACTCATAATCAGTACCTGCCAGGCAAAGACTAGGCAGAGCAAAATCAGAAATCACCTCTTCTTGGTGGTCTTTTTTTTTAATCACTATTTCTGTGCAACTTTTCAGAGCACATTGAAATTCTCTGCTATAGTCTCTGTGCAACTGGGTTTTAACGTATGGCAGCATGTCCCAAGGGCAGAGCAAATTATGCTACCTGAACCCTTTATCTGTAAGCAGCAATACAACAGGGCGATGTAAAATAGAAGACAGATTTATTTAGACATAAACAATGTAAAAAATATTATTCGATACAGGAAACATAAAATCCAATATCCCAATAAATCTAGCTGGCAAGCCTTACCTTATTGCTAAATGATTGCACAAAAGAACAAAGTTTCTTTAACGTTTCCAGGTTGATAAATGCAATCTGTTCTGTCTACAGCCTTCTAACTTTGTCAGGAGCTATAAAGTCCTTCTCTCTTGGGTGCCAGTGTTTCCGAAGAGGTTTACAGGATTTCAGTCTATCCTGTTGCAGTTTACTTGGGCCCTGCCCTTGCTTTTTGTCCCCTGATATTTATAAAAACTACAGACACTATTAGAGTGTAGTATTATAGAGTTGATCATACTTTGTCTTAAAATTACTAATCAGTTATAAAAGTGATTGGGTCCAGTGTAGCTTAAACATTAATGTGCACACAAATCACCTGAGGATCCTGTGAAGAAACAGACTCACAGTTATCTGGGATGAAGCCTGGGATTCTTTGCTTGGAAAAAGTTCACAGGTGTAGCCAATATTGTCTATCTGTGGTCCACATTTTGTATTGCAAGGATCTATGTGACCTCATTTTCAGAAGAAAACTATGACCCAGATGGTTTTAGAAACTTAAGTTTCCACAAATACTTAGAACCTTTATTTTGGAGCATTTAGACTCTTTGTATGTGCCAAGCCTGGCTCAGTCCATAGGGATATGCCAATGAGGGGGCCACAATCCTGTCATCACGGAACTTAGAGGGTAACGAGGAGTCAGGGCAGAGAAGTGAACAACGTATATGTTGCTCAAAGCTGGAGGCAGAATTCACGCTCTCCTGAACTCTAGTCCATGGTCCTGCATAGGCTATCAGCCTCCTGCCTTCTTTACAGCCGTCTCTCACCCTCTCTGCCTTCTCTCTCCCTATCAGGTCTCCTGTTTTTAGCATGTTCTCCAAACTATATGGTAAATTCCTCTAATTTACTAATAGTTCCTTGCTAAGGGGTGTGAATATTATCCCATAAGTAATGGGGCATCCTTGAAGGATTTTAGCAGGAAAATGGCACTGGATGAGCTAAAGTATGGTCTGTGTTGTTGACTATTATATCAGCACACTTAGGGCAGTGTTTGGCAGTAAGAGTTCAGCAAGTATCTGTTGAATGAAGGAATGTTTGCATTCTGGATAGGCTAACTCCTTGAAGTGAGGGGAATGAATTGGGTGAGAATAGTTCTCCTTGTGAAACTTAGGGAGAACGGATTGACCATCTGTTCTATACCTCTACACCAAGCCCTGAGGCTGGCACTGTAATTTAACCTCATCAAATATTTCCAATAATCAGAGAGAGCAGTAGCTACAAACTAGTCCTGTCTGGGTTTGAAGCCTGGCTCCCTAATCCTAGCACTTTTGTTTTTTTAGCACCTCCCAACTTCAAAAGCATGTTAATGTACAATGCTTATCACAGTGCTATGCACAACAAATGCATTTTGGATGCAACTATAAAATGGCAACAGAAAGCATGGCAAAATGAGTAAGCCCTCAGGCTTATGAATCAAACAGACCTGGTTTCTAATTCTGCTTCTACCACTTTATAATAAACTTGGTGATAATAAAATATTAATAATAAAATATTAAATAAATATTTAAATATAATATAATTAATCTGAATCAGGTTTCTCTTCTGTAAATAGTGTTAACAAGACCTACTTCACAGAACTGTTGTGAGAGAAAAAGTAAAATAATGAATGGAACAAGTTTAGTACTTAGCGCATATCCAGTGTTCAATACATTGAAATCTTGTATTTATTGTTATTGTTGGTGACAAATGTGCTGAAATTTTATTTGAGAGATACAGACTGAATTTTTTTTAAAAAAAAAACACTTTTCCATTAGAAGGTTGCAAATAAACTCAAGATTTCTTAGAATAAAATGCAGAACAATTTATTCCTGGTGACTTAATTATGGTCTTGCTTAAGGACTATGCCTTGAAAATGCTTCCTAGACCTACAATCCTTTGTTTTCTCAGCTAAGTAAAGAGGGCAATCAGAATACTGACCTACAGCATAAATTTTGTGAAGAATACCAAACTTGAATGTCAAAATAGTTTGAAAAATGCAAAGTAACACATGCATTCTAACTAATCATTATCTTTTCCTCTGAGGTCCAATCCAAAACTACTCTGGTAAGCTATCAACTGAACAGTCTTTCTCTATCAGCCACTTGTCAATCGGTACGGTGGAAATGCCCCCAAATAGTGTATGAATACATTTTGGGGAGTTTCCATGACAACGTATACACCACTATAGAATGCCTTAAGTCTAGAAAGACTCACTTCTGCTATAATCAAGATAATCTATCACAACATTAGACTAATTCCAAGTATAATTCAAGCCAATTTCCATTTTTACTGAGTACATCATACTTTATATAAAAATTTTTTCTCAGAGTATGCCTTTTACCTTATGTGAAAACACAAATAACCTGCTCCATCTGACAACTATTCCATCATTCATATCTAACCATATCTCATAAATAAATATTTATCTCTTAAATGTCTCTTTTCCTTGAAGATAATGCCAGACTGAAATTTTAGAATACTGTTAAATTTCTCTGTGTATTTTTATGCAAGACCAAAAGAAAACCTGGCTTATTTTTATAATTTTTGCAAGAAATATGAGTTGATCATATTATGAGAGTTGTATATTTTCCTTGAACTCAATTTTCAGTTAATCTAATTGATAATTTCTATTCATAGATCTTGGTTGTATATAGAGACAACCAAGACAATAACGAATGTAACATACTAACAATGTATGTTCCTAGCTGAGCAGAAGGCACAATTAAGCTGTTCTGATTAATCACATGAGAAAAAGGAAGAGCACACAGCAGTATGTTGACAGTCTTAGTCCCCATAAATGGAAAGAAACAATTCATTTAAAACCAATATTTAACTTCCAGGAAAATTTTCCCATCATTCAGTAAATTATGCCTTTAGAACATATTTCAGTTACACATCACAGCCCACCTTAGACAAATCTGAAAGCCTTTGTGGGCAGCTTTAAGTATATTTACCTATAGGTTATGTATGAACTTTAGACTTCTTCCCCTCTTCCCCAGGAAAGCCCATTCATGACAGTTGAAAGGTTTTTTTTCTCTTCATCTTACTCTTAAAAAATATTTACTAGATTTAAGAACCGTCAGAGTTTTTAAATATTTATATAACAAGGTGAAAATATTTAATTTGCCAGAATTGCAGGGGGAAAAATGCTTTTTCCAAGGCAGTTGAAGCAAGAAAGTAGGAAAGAGTATCACATAGTAGAAACACAGACATTGGGAAGGCAGCAGATGACAACTAGAGGAGGATCTGAGGAAGCAGACACAACCAGGGACCAGTACGATGGCACCAATGTAATCCTTCCCTCAGACCCCACAAACCTCCAAATATTGTGATATAATTGATGGTTTGGGATTTCTTGTGGAAGTCAGAAAGATGTTATTCTTCAGAGGTTTGGTGCAAGAGCAGAATGGAAGAATCCTGCAAGGACTCAGAAGGGAAACCCAAAGAGCACCTGGAGAAATACATCAGGAACTGGGCCAAGACTGTAAGGAAGACAATAGATGGCGAGATGGTTTATGAGGCCTTCTGGTGACAATGAAGAACAGCCTATATGTGGGCAGAGGTTTGGACGACTCTTTGTTCCTCCCTTTGCAATTGTTTCCAGGTGGGAAGAGGTCCAGAACTATCTAAGCAGTTAAAGATCCAGAACAAATTATCCAGGTACTCAGAGCTTGAAACAATGTTCACACAAAAACAGTCATGTATAAGTTAACATAAGGGACAGCTTTGACAGAAAAATGTGGGTACTATTTGACTTTAGAATAGGAAAAGGAAGTGGTGAGATCTCTTGAGTTTTGCTTTGGTGGTAGTATATATGTTTTGAATGGTTTTTATGTGAAATAACTCTCATCTTTGTGAGTATAAGTTGACGGGGAAGATTCTACCTGCTCCGTGTCCAACTATCACCATCATGTCCCCCTACCCCAGTTATATGGATGTGAGAATTGCCCTGACTCATTTTACACTAAAAAGAATTCTGTTCATTCCAATTATATTCACAGGGAATATACTTTTTCCCTCATGTAGTATGTGGGACACTAGACAGCACCTACCATGGGGATTACCTGCTTATCAAATATGCATTGAAAAAATACTGGAATGGGTTGCTAAGGCAGTCTCTTGGTGCTCCCTTCCTGGAAAGTCTAAGCAGACCACCTTCCACTTTGACAGGTTTCAGACACTGAAATCCAACCTTTTGGACTTAAGACATCTTCACTATATGCTTTATTTTATTATACTCCAATGATGCTACCAAGAGTATGTTAAAGCACGTCATTTTAAAGTTAATTAATTCTGAGTATTTAAAATTTCACCTTGTGGTTCCCTGGTTTATATGTGGGATACCACAAAAATAAACTAAAATTCCTGGTCTAGGGACATTCACATAGATGGAGCCAACAGATAATTCAAGGTTATTTTGAGTTCTACCATTCTATGAAACCTGAGCTCCAACATTCAGCTTCTATTTGATCAGAGAAGTATTAGTCTTGGTATTTAGAAAACAAAAGTTGAATATTTATGTTGGTTATGTAGAATGAAGAGAAAAATATTCTGATTGGTTGTTAAGACAATAACAAAATCTCTGAAACTCTTAAGCACTATTTTTAGTGGCCAAATGCTCTAGTTCTCATCCAGCCATGAATCATCAACCAGTTTTTACCTAGGTACAAGTTTTTCCAGAGCTAAGAACTGTTGAATGGGGCCTGATTATAACAAATTGTTCTATTTTAAAAAATTATCTTTTGAAAGCACACTATCTTCATATGGTACCTGCAGATGTATGTAAAAGTTGTTTCACTTCTCAAAAACACTGAAACTTGCCAGACAGTATGTGCCCTAATAATAAAGCATAAATCACCTCCATATTAAATCTGTGGCCTACTCAGGAAGACAGTCATATTCTCTGATCAATTTTTAAAAACCCAAGTAAATGGTCATAAAGATGGCCAGTTGGGAATAGGAAGTGCTCCAGCTCTTCTTTCAAAACTATTCACCTTAGAGTTACCTACAACTTGATTCTTAGTCTAGGCGGGAAACAAATCTTGGGCCACGGCTGGACCAAAGTCTGTGCTGCAGCAAACAGACTAATAATATGGCACTCCTTCACATCTATACTTCTTAAACATTTTTTCAATATTTATTTAAATGTGGGGAGGGGAGGGAGGCAGAAAAGAAGGAGCTGGGGGTCAGCTTCAGTCCTTCTTCAGATTCCCTAGGCAATTCAACTCCAGCTCAAACTTCCATACCCTACTCAGCAAAAGGAAACTCACCTTGCTGTTGTTAGTTTCTCACCATCTACTGTTGTTGATGTAGCCTTGATGTAAAAAAAAAAGTGGAACCAAGTAGGATACAAGGAGAAAATAATGTTATTCTTTTTATTACTGTTCCTTAAATCCTCTCATGGGCTAGTTCTTTTCCTGCCAATGACTGAAATTTTGGCTTTTCTGTTCACTTATAGATAATGTCTTAAAAGTCCTCCAGGGCCAGGCGTGGTGGCTCACAGTGGTAATCCCAGCACTTTGGGAGGCCAAGGCAGGTGGATCACCTGAGATCAGCAGTTCAAAATCAGTCTGGCCAACATGGCAACATCCTGTCTCTACTAAAAATACAAAAATTAGCTGAGCATGGTGGCAGGCACCTGTAATTCCAGCTACTTGGGAGGCTAAGGCAGTAGCTGAACCCAGGAGGCAGAGTATGCAGTGAGCTGAGATCGCACCATTGCACTCCAGCCTAGTGACGGAGCAAAACTCTGTCCGGAAAAAAAAAAAAAAGAAAAAAGAAAAAGTCCTCCAGGAAATTCTAGTCAAACCTCAATATCAGTCATCACCAAAAGTGCAAACTTTAGTCAAATGTAAAGCTTCTCTCTTCCTCCATATTGGGTGACTTCCAGCTGAAAATCTCTAATGGCAAAGAGCATGCATGATCAGCCTTTTCTTTTTTCTCTGTACTTCTTTCAGAGCACCCCACCCTCATTAGACAGATTCTGACTCTGGGGTGCTGTTGAAAGTGCAGCAGGAGAGGCTGTACTTGTTGGTGCTGTTGTGACAAGACATTGCCAGTCTCTGGGCTTGGTGCATATTCAAGGCTGACTTTTTCCTTGTTGGTGGTTTCTGAGAGTTTTTCTGAGATTTCCAAACTGAGAACCTCCAACTATACTCAGACAATTTGAGTGTGTACCTCCTTCCGCTTGCAGCTCCTGATTTCTGCCCTAGCCTCGGGTCTCTGCATGCAGTTGATCCCCACAATGCAGGATCCCATCAACCCTCCAGGCTACAAGTTCAAGCAAAATTCAAAGCAACAACTTCCCAATGCAGTCTTCTTCTACCTGTCATTCCAAGGCAGACTTTGGGAGACAGCATCACCATAGCTCCCTCACCACCTTGAATGTTTCCACGTGGGCCACTGTATGCAAGGCTTTATCACAGTCTGACCCAAGTCTTTGCTGAAAGCCCCGTGATTCCTCCCAGAAGTAGAGGAAGAGAAGCAGCCTTGTGAAGAGCTGCCATGAGGCAGTTTCTCATCTGTCTTTCCATCTGGTGGAAGATAGCCACAAGACTATTTCTCATACATCTCCCTAATTTCAGTTGAGAATAGGGCTCTCTACTGGCTTCTCCCCTCCCCCACCCTCCTCTTAGAGTATGGCTGTAGGTTTTTGTGTAAGTCTGTAAAAGTGCTTGGCTATAGTTTAGAGTCTGCTCCTCAGCAGCAGAATAGCCACTACCACACCACCCCTCTCATTCGGTGTCACCACCCCCTGGCACTGTATTCCAGCATTAGAGAGGTGAGGAACTAACACCGTAGTGATCTTGCTTTTGCTGTGTGATAGGAATCTACCTGAAACCACTTGGAAAAAACATTTCATGAGAGCTTGTCACCTTACCTGCTACTAGCTGAATCTCAAAGTGTGACCAGCCAGCCCAGCAGTCTACATACTGGCCTCTGTGAGCCTTGTACCCACTGTGCTGCTTCGTCTCTTGACGCCACCAAGGCAGCCATACTCTCCCGTCTTTATACTTGTCCAGTCACAGCTCCCTACAAACCTCAGGAACATAAGTCAAACTTTTTAAGTAATTTTCTTTAAGCTCTTCTTCCTTAAGGTGGGGGTAAACACACTCTACCACCCTAACATTGCCTAGGATGGGACAGCCACAGTACTCCACTAACTTCCTCCAAAAACCACTACTCTCCCCCAACCTAACAACTTCAACTCACACCTGTCTATAGCCTCAAATGGGTGCTTGCCTAAACCTGCAAAATTGGTGGAGCTTCTTTGCATGGTGGATTAGCACTTTATTTTAAGAATATGAGCATCACTTGATATCTATAACTCGTTGTGTTATTCTCAGCTTTTGAAGTCTCAGCTTAAATGAAGACAGAGTTTTAAGAAAACTTCTTGGCTAGTTTATCATCAGCCTTATATAATATAATAAAAAGTTTCCTTCTAGTCATAGAACAGTCTTCCAGAAATAAATTCTGGTTTGAAACCATGTTTACTCATTTTGTGACATTATTAGTGATGCTTTATCAGCCTTTACAGATTGCAAGTCTAGGTTAATGTCCTAACTGGCCACCACTTAATCTGGCTCTGCTGCCAACCATGAAAAGGTTATATTCTAGGAGCCATGTTTTGTTTTAGGCCACCAAGCAGGCAGATTTAATTTAGAGAATTTTTAATGTCTGATGTTCTCTTCTCAGTTGACTGTGAAGGCAAGAGTTAACTTCTGAGCACATTAATCTCAATCACAAAGTTGTTGAATTTATAACCCTCTTGCTTGCCTTGATTAAATAACTGCAAAAGCTGGAAATTGCATTGAGCTTTTTAAAAGCTTAAAGCCCTAGGAGCTTTCATGCACCTTATTTGTTTCTAGATAAATGTGGGTGCAGCATAGCTGAAGTGTGGCTGGCTCTGTGAAAAAATATGTGCAACAGCTGCTTTGATATCAACACCTCTAGTGCCCCCTTTTGTTGCCTTCTCTCCCATCAGGAGCACCTAATGCCCACATATTTTCACTAAGACCTGCCCTCTCAGGGCTGAGCCCCGGCTCTCAAACACATTCTCCCCACTGCCTGTGAAACTCACGTATTGTGCCTTTCAATTGTTCTGATAAGTACCTGTTCTGATCCTACAAATAGGGTGCTAGCTTTCCCTGCTTCGTTTTCTCTCTTCTCCCCGCAAACTAAGAAATTTTTGTTCTCCACATAAATTCTTTTGGGTTTTCACAATGAAAATACAGGAAAGAGGAGAAGGAATGGAACATATCATTAATTTACTCTAAAGTGGTAATATCCCCTAATTACAATGTATTATTCATTACCAGTATATTCAAAGAAATTGGACCTAATGGTATCAACAAGTGGTACACTTGTTACAATTGATGAACTTACATTGACACATCATTATCACCCAAAATCCATAGTTCACATTACAGTTCACTCTTGGTGTTGCACATTCTAAGGACAGTCTTTGGACAAATGAACAATGACATATATCTAACATCATAGTATACTTTTTTGACCTCTGAACTTTTTATTGGCCTCCTGCTCCCCAAAGGGTACCCTGCTTCTGCTGGCTTAATGTCTCAGAACTTTGGTGTCGTTGGTCTCAGACACCACTTTGCTATCCACTATCCAGCGGGTAGTGGTATTTGGATGGTTTCCATGGATTTGCTGCTGTCCAGGGCATCACCAAGATTGAAGTCCTCACCATTTTCCAGCAGGCGGCGGTAGGTAGTGATCTCAGCCTCCAGCTTGACCTTGACATTCAGCAGGGCCTGGTACTCCTGGCCCTGGCACTGTCCCTCTGCCTGGGTCTGTGCCAGCTCTAACTCCAGGTGCAGCAAAATCCCATTGACCTTCTCCATCTGCAGGGTGTAGCGGGCCTTCACCTCCCTCAGGCTGTTCTCCAAGCTGGCCTTCAGATTTCTTATGGAGTCCAGGTCAATCTCCAAGGACTGGACTGTACATCTCAGCTCCATGAGCGTCATCTCAGTAGCTCCAACCTTGGCGGACTGCATGGTGACCACTGTGGTGTTCTCCTCAATCTGCTGAGACCGATACTTGTCCAGGTCTTCTCAGTTCTTCCGAGCCAGGTCGTCATATTGGGGCCAGATGTCTGCCACGATCTTGGCGAGGTCCTGAGATTTGGGAGCATCTACCTCCATGGTCAACCCAGAGCTGGCAGTCTGGGCTTGTAGGCCTTTTACTTCTTCTTCGTGGTTCTTCTTCATGAAGAGCAGCTCCTCCTTCAGAGCCTCGATCTCTGTTTCCAGCTGCAGCCGAGTGACATTGGTGTCATCAATGACCTTGTGGAGCCCACGGATGTCGCTTTCCGCAGACTGGCGCATGGCCAGCTGTGTCTCATACTTGACTCTAAAGTCAGCAGCAGCAAGGCAGTCATTGTTGACCTGCAGAATGATGCGGGCATTGTCCACAGTATTTGCAAAGATCTGAGCCCTCAGGTCCTCGATGGTCTTGAAGTAATGGCTCCAGTCTCTGACCTAGGGTCCCTTCTTCTCCAGGTGCTCCCAGATTTTGCTCTCCAGCTTCCAGTTCTCGGTCTCCAGGCTCCTCACTCGTCCAGGTAGGTCGTTCAGGCTTTGCAGGGTCTCCTCGTTCTAGATGCCTTCCATTCCTGCCAGGCTCCCAGGCCCCATGCCGCCATGTCCTGGAAGCCGGCAGAGCGGGACACGCAGATCTGGGAACCGGAGCCCCCGGCTCCTGCATAGATGCTGGCTGCACTGCTGACTGGCAGGGAACCGTAGCTGGGCTCCAGGACAGAGCCCTGGGACTGGTAATTGGTGGAGAAGGTGGAGCGAGTGGTGAAGCTCATGCTGTCCGGGGAGGAGAGCGAGAGGACAAGACTCGGGCTTTGCCGACAACATAATCATATATTTTTATCACTGTAAAAATTCTCTGTGACCTGCCTATTCATTCTCCCACCCCCAACCCCAACTTTCGGCAACAAGTGATCTTTTTACTGGTTCCATAATTGTGCCTTTTCCAGAATGTCATAGAGTTGGAATCGTATAGTAATGTAGCCTTTTCAGATTGACGTCTTTCACTTAATAATATGCATTTAAGTTTTCTTTATGTGTTTTTTGCGGCATGGTAGCTTATTTCTTTCTAGTGCCAAATAATATTCCACTGTGTGGATTTACCACAGTTTATGTATTCATTTGCCTCTGAAGGAGGTCTTGATTGCGTCCAGGTTTTGACAATTATGAATAAAGTTGCTAGAAACATCTATGTGCAGGTTTTTGTGTGGACATAAGTTTTCAACTCCTTGTAGACACCAAGGAGCGTGATTGTTGGTTCATATGGTAAATGTTTAATTTTGTAAGAAACTACCAAATATGTTGATAATGGAGGAGGCTATGCATGTGAGAGGCAGGGAGTATGTGGGAAATCTCTGTATATTCTGCTCGGTTTTGCTAGGAAACTAAAACAACTGCTCTACAAACATAAAGTCTGTAAAATAAATAAATAAATGAACATATATATGTATATAAACATATATATATATATATAAACACACACACACACACTATAGGAGAGGCTAATTTTACCCCTACACTCTTAGAGTTTTTTTGGCTAGGCCTGAGAATTAAATTGACATAGACAAATTAGTAGGAGAAAAGCATACAAATTTATTTAATGTTTTACATGATACTTAAGCAAATGAAGGCCCAAAGAAGTGGCAAATTCTAAGTGCTTTCATATTAGGTTCCACAATGGTAACTTTTATGGAAAAATTACTAAACTATGAGGAGAGGCTAAAGGAAGACATGAATTATTAACAAAGTCTGTTTGTACAGAATTCTCTTGGCCACACTTTTCATCCTTGCTGATGATATTACTTTCCTTCTGACACAGGGAGAACACCTTCCATATAGGGGTTTTATCTCCTGATTTCAGGAAGAAAAAGAGGGCTAGAACACACTTCTTGCACCTACCGTTGTTGGTGGTGATTTTTTTAAGTGCTTTTGGCTCAAAATAATTCTATCCCAAAGTGGCATATTTTGGGGTGGCATATTCTGCCATATATACATATACATACACATACACATACACATACACATACACATACACATACACATATACATATACATATATTCTAGCCTCAAACAGGTATGTAGTTCAAAAAGAAAGAAATCTTTGAATAACTATTTCAGATAGCTGTGGATATTCTTCTTTTATACTACACCAAAATTCAATATGTGGTGGTTAGTTAAAAGTGAGTTGTAATGCAGCATATGAATCTGTATCAGTGACCTTTCGGTACTCTTACATTAAAATCTATTGGTCTGTCTTGCACTTTGATGGAATATTTAACCCATACTTGATTTTGTGACATCATGCATTGACCATTTGGAAAATATTGGTTCACTGAGTTATGCATGTCTTCCAAATGTTGACATATTTCATTATCTAATACAAAACATCACATATTTAATATCACCACTAATCTCATCATAGAAGTCTTTAAGTACTGGGAAGCTGTCAAGCTCATAGTTTTGATACAAGTTTTTTAAATGTTAATTTTTACCCAAATGCTTGAATTTTGTCACTGGCAACATGTAGTGTAAATTATTTCCCTTAAAGGAATAGGCTCATTTTGTTCATTTTGGAGACCATGTTTGCCAAATCCCCTAGTCTGAATAATGATAGTTTGTCTTAAATTGTTCTTTCAAGTAAAAATGGCTTTCTGTGGACTGGCTAGTTAGGCTCACAACATAGTCACAGGAATGCCTTTCCTTGGGACATTACATGTTGATATGCAGCTGAAGCACTTCACAGAGGTACTTCTCATTTTGTCCCAGAGAATACTAAAGTGATGCATACTCAATTTTTATTGAATCTTAATTATTAATTTTAACCTTAATAATTTTCATTACTTCACCATGGATATTATTAAGTGGAATTTAATTTATTTTGTTTTGTTTTGTAATGTAAATGCATGGTGGTGAAGAACATACTGACTTAGGTACAGCTTGGTGCCATTGCTATGATTCTTGCTAAATTGCCAGTATTTTTTACCCACCATTGTTTTTGCACATCAGTAGAAATTTTAGCATGCTAAAGGCAAACAATATCTTCGTGTTATGAAGAACATAATTTTGACCTCATAGAATCCCTGAAAGCTTGTTGGGGACTTCTAGGGACCTGTAGAGCACACTTAGAGAGTCTCTGCCATAAACAAACATACAAACAAAATGCGACAACCAAAAGATATTTCAAAATGACTAAAATCCTTTGTTTGTGTTTCTTAAGCACGATGAAATAAACATATATTCAAAACAATGGTTGTAAAAGTGATTTTCCCCTTCCATCCAAAGCTCTCAAATTGTAACTACTCTTGTGCCTTTCTCTCTAACCCTCCTAAAAGCTCCCTCCCTAGTCACTGCCCAAGGTCCTTAAACCCTTTTCTATGTATCTCTTACCTGCTTAGTCTCATCTTAAAGGCTCAAAATAACTGGTCAGAAACAGGAGGAAAAATAAGCATCAGATCATGAGAACACTATAACCCTCTACTTATTGGAAAGGCAATAAGAAAAACGAATGGTCATATATTATTTTTGATGCCATATTTTAAATATTTTTGAGAAGCTGATGGTTATATATTGTGCCAAATACTGACTGTCCATAATGTCAATCTGAATGTCCATAACTCTTTCCTATATAACAGGGTCTGGAAGCCTGCAAAATACATTGCTTAAACTCTCTCACTGCTAGTGACAAAGCATCTTGCATAATATTTGGAAGGCAGAAGAGAGCACAGCCAATATTCTTCCCCAGCCATGGATGGTAGATGCCCAGGTTGATAGCAACCGTGAAGTTTACAGCTCCTTTTGAGTGAGCTCTTGTGAATTACCTACTTGAGTTCTTCAAGCAGCTGTAATCACCAGTCACTTACTGTGGTTCCTCAATTTCCACATTTCTTCAAAGGAAGCAGTGTTTCCATGAACCTTAATTGCCCCAGTCCTCCAACAGCTTTGTAAGTTTTGTAATTCCCTTCGTATTTAGTCATCCCTTCCGGGTAAGCCAAGAGAGGCAAGTACTTTCCTGGGAAAACTCTGACTGATAACAGAGTCTGTTTCCAAAAGTGGTTCCAAGATGCAGAAGCTCAAAGACAGGAATTGGGGATTTAATTATCTAATCTTGTTAGATTGGAAAGCAATTACGACTTCATCACCAGTGAAAGATGGGATACTAGCCATCCACGGACAGCAGTGGCAAAATATCTATAGCTTTGAGGAATGAAGTGTTTATTGTAGAAGAGCCTTTGAGAGATTGCTATTACAATAGGATTTTAAGAGGAAATAAAGACTGTAAGGACTATGAAATGGGCTGGCTGCATCTAAATAAAAGGTTAGGATTTCATATTCTCAGTTCAAGGCACAGACAGAGAACAAGAGAGCTTCTAGGACTGCCCTAAAAATATCTCTTATAGCCATATGGCTAATGCAAAAAATTTTTTTTCATCTGTAGGTTGGATAATTATAACTGAAATGAAATTCACAGACTTGCCAGGTCTCTTATGTAAAAGTTAGGGCATTGATTGAGAAAAAGTGAAAATTGGAATGAGGACATTTGGATAGATTCCAATGACTCTGAGAATCACGAACTTCCAAATGCCTCTCAGCTTTCCCTTTTTCCTATTTGAGATTAGCTTCCCTTTGCTTAAAGACCCTGAAACAATTACCTTGCACAGGGATACAGTCATGATTCACCTCCATCACTTCTTATTGCTCCCAGATTCATAACTAGAATCACAGACCAATAGGCTCTGGAAAGGTAAGTACAGAGTCTGACCAAGAAGGATGTAATGTACACATTGAAGAACTGCAAGATTTATATTACCAGGAACCTGGAAAACAATTGTAGGAATGCAATCTAATGATTTTAGACAAGAGAGGGAGAAACAGTTTTGGATATGGGCAAATTTGTTAATGTGGGTGCAGTTACCATAAATTTTAGATTCAATATTTAGTTTGAGGGTTGGGAATAAATCTATAAAGAGTTTTTCAATTGGTTGACTAAAGCCTGACCCAACAATGGGCTTCATTAAATAAAATTTGTATAAGAAGAAGAAATGCAAAGGATTAGGAAGATTAAATTTTTGGTGTAGATCAACCATATGTAACCTTTCACCCACCCCTTCCTATGGCCCAGAGGACATTCCAATCATGAAGGCATTAAGAAATATATCTGTGAAAGGAGAACCAGTATCCTTGAAAATCTCAGTGGTATCTGTCCTTCTGCAGCTCAGAGGTGACAGTATAGTATAACACTATTCAGATTGGCTACCAGGAGTTACAGAGGCCAATTGACAGCACTTAGCCACCGGAGATAAGGTAGCCAAGAGCATATTATTGAATAAAAGAACAAAGTCCCAATCCAAATAGTTTTATTCACAGATATCTTTTGCAGTGACTTTATTTTGTCATAGTGTTTATGGAATTCAAATGGTTTTTCAGCCTGATAAAGTCTTAGTTCACCTGTAAAATTTTTAAAAATTAAATCCAGTGTACAGGTATCTGACTTAAATAGCCATAATGAAGAGTAGAGGACTCTCACCAGTTTTCACAAATGAGCCAGTTAATAAGATCCCTTAAAATAAAGGGGAGCTTGGACTTCTGAAGGAAGGATTCAATGAGGTTGCAACAAGAACATAAAATTTCCTTCTAGCTTTGCCCAAAAAGTAGTGTACCTATTTATCATGATGATTATACTCTGGGGAAAGGAAAATACCCAGATGATTCTAGGTTTCTGGACCCTGGCTCTGAAATGACAAATCTTTAGATAACCCCCAAATTTTAGGACCCACCAGTTAGACTGGGGACTTATGGATGTCAGATAACACACAAAGTTTTGGCTTAAATACATCTTCCAGTGGGCCAAGTGGGTCTCTCATAGTTATTTTCCCAGGTTCCAAAAACATATTTAGCAACTGGCAGAACTCCCACTTCCCGACCCTTGAAGTAAGGGCTATTGTAATAGGAACAGCCAAGAGGAAGCCCCTTGAACTACCCCTTTACTACCAAAGTGATACATTAATAATAATTACACAACCCTGGGAGACTTTCAGAGATTAATATCATCACCAAAAACCTGAAAGTTATAGGGGCGGTGATTTCCATGACATTCACATAAATCTCCCCTATTTGTCTTGTGCAGAAGAAAGATGAATTTTGGAGAGTAACAGTAAATTATTTTAAACTTAATCAGGTTGTGACACCAATTACAACTACTGCCCCAAAGCGCTATCTTTTTGGAGCAAATCAATGCATCCTCTGGCATCAGGTATGCTACTATTGATCCGGTAAATGCTTTCTTCTATATACCAATTCATAAAGACCACTTGTAGCAAACAGAAATGATGTATTAAGCCTCTGACAAATCCAGATAAGAGAATTACAGTGCAGACCCTTTGGGGTTTTTGAGAAAAATCATCTTCTTTTCCACAGATAATTCTTCTTCTAAAGAATAACTTCTGGAGTACTACTGGATCCAAGCAGAGACTGAATGACTGAACAAGGTCCATCAAACAACCATATAGCCTGAGCTGCCCATCAGGAACTGAAGTTATCTAATGCCACCTACTTGGGTGTCAGCATCAGCACTCTAGAACCACGTGCAAGTACAGTTGATGGTTAAACAACGCAGGTTTGAACTGCATGGGTCCACTTAGATGTGGTTTTTTTTTGTTTGTTTTGTTTTTCAATAAATCTCTCCCGCCTCTCTTTCCACCTCCTCCATCTCTTCCTTCTCTGCCACCCCTGAGACAGCAAAACCAACCCCCCTCCTCTTCCTTCTCCTCTTCAGGCTACTTAATGTGAAGACTATAAGCGTGAAAACCTTTATGATGATCCACTTCCACTTAATGAATAGTAAATATATTTTCTCTTCTTTATGATTGTTTTAGGAACATTTTCTTTTTCTCTAGCTTATTTTATTGTAAATATATAGTATGTCTTACATATATCATAGAAAATAGCTGTTAATTATCTGTTTATGTTATTGGTAAGCCTTCTGGCCAATAGTAAGCTACTAGTAGTTAAGTTTTGGGGGAGTCAAAAGACATACACAAATTGTCAGCTGTGCAGGGGTTGGTGCTCATAACCCTCTCATTGTTCAAGGGCCAACTGTAGTATAAACAAGACCATGCTCAAGCAGGCCTTGAAGGCACAAATAAGCTATGGGAGAAGTTGGCTCAGATTCCCTGGCACCTACTCCCTGCTCGTTGTCACCTCTCCCCTGGCCCAAACTCACAGCCCTATGATTAGTTCCAAGAAAGAAACAACTTGGACCCGATTTTGAGATGATCTGATTTTGAGATAATTCTGCATGGTGTACTGGCACTACCCCCAAATGGAGTGGTATGGCATTTCAGCTTTATTCATGGCTAGTCCTCAAGAGCATAGTGAATGGTCCATGATGGCTGTAAGGAGCCACTAAAAGGATAAGAAAGAGATTCTTACCTAAGTCTCCCTGATGCCCATATACAACATTACATTTTATGTATCAGAGCTCAAGACTCCAGTGTTTTCCTATCACCCACCCACTGCTATTCCCCTCCACGGCCCCTCACTGCGGCTACCATTTATTCACTACTGTTCACTAGATGCTCTCCCAGCTTCGGGATTCGTTTCAAGATGGTGCTTCTCTCTGAGTGACCTTTCCCACCCAACCCGCAAAGCTGTCACCTGATTAAAGCCTTTTGGATTTGCCACTAATTACCACTCTCTCCCCTTCTTACACCTATAGAATTTTTTCTATGTCTTCCCCTGTCTTGCACTTTACATCAATATGCCCTAAACAAGGGGCCTGAAATTCAAACACTTAAAGAGGTGAGGCAGGTTACTTGAATGTGTGACAAAGGCCTGGCAGTTGCACCTTAAATTCATCGGGTTATTTTTACTTCTCAAAGGGAATATGCTGTCCTCCACATTTCTTAAAACATGGGGTCCTTTGGACCTTTCGTTTCCCACTTTTGATACAGACATAGGTACAAAACTATTTCCCTAGTGTTTTTTCACACTTGTTAACAAATAACCACTAAGACTCAACCTCTGAGCTGGGAAAGAGGGACTGGTGACGACTGTGGCAAACTGAAAAACTCATCCTGTCAAAATGGAGAGACTGCACTCAGTTCCTGGTGAGTGTGTGGTGGAATAATGGGGCCCTATCTTGGGGTTTTTTTGTTTTTGTTGTTGTTGTTTTGTAGAAACTGGAAATTCAGATTTTTATGTGAAATTATACAATTTCAAGTTTAGCCTCAAATTTGCTACAGCAGTGTGCCAGTCAGAAACTAAAGGAATTCACAGGCAGGAATGGGCCTCCAGGCAACAATTTGCAACTTCTGCCTGTGGTAGCATGAGTTCCTTGAGGGCAAGAAATGGTTCTTATTCACTTGTGTATAAGAGCTCAGGACAATGACTGGCACGTGATACCTTCTCATTAAATATTTGCTACCTTTAGTTAAGTTTTCAAGAATCAAATAAAATTGTGTCTTGTCTAATTCTACAGCTAGAAATCCTTAACAAAAGAATTTTTTCTTACACCTTTTACATACGCCCCAGAGCCTAGCACATCACTTGTACACTGTAGAAGGGAAACACACCAACTGTTTGTTAACAGCTTGGTTTGATTTTGCTTATCAGATGAGAAGCAAGCTATGTCCTAAGGCTTAAGATTAGGGAACATAAGACGGATGATTTTGATAAGGAGAAATAGGTCAAAAGAGATATTAAATGCTGCCCTCAGGAGGTACGATGAAGCAACTCAGTGATTTCTGAACAAGAATATGGGAATATGTGAGAACCCTGGACCTTTGGGGGACTTGGTGACACAATAAACCCTGCTTACTTGACTACTATTTGTTTGTTTGTTTGTTTGTTTTTTGTAAATGCACTGCTTGCTAATTTCATTTTTAAAACATCATTATTTTCGAGTTACTACTCTTTGAAAACATTTATAACTCTGGGCAGTTTTTTCAGTTTGAAAAATTCAAAGAGCAAGTCCCTGGGTCTTGTACAAGTGTCTTCCGCCCCGGGTCATAATGAGGCTTAAGGCTTTGCTTCTGCAATACCAAGCCGTGCTATGGCTGCCACTGCTGAATATGACTTATCAGGAAGGCTGCTGATTTATGATGGTCACCTTAAACATAACTTCAAATGTCCACTCTGAATAGAACCATAACATATGAAGAAAGGTTTGCAGAAAAGGCTAAAGAAATGGACTTGGTTTTTGAATTTTTCAAGTTGAGGAAACTCCCCAGACTTATAAATGTTTTCAAAGAGTAATAACTCAAAAATAATGACGTTTTAAAAACGAAATTAGCAGGCAGTGACAAATAAATAATAGCTGCATATCTATTCATATACGCTACTGCCATATAATGTGGCTAAAAGTGAAAACAAGAACTGTTTTAAATAAACTACAAAAAGACATAATTTGCTGAGTCAATAGTGAGTTGCACCCAATTTATTTTAAAAGGATCAATTGCAAATATTTCCTGTTAAATTATCATACCATACATTAAGTATTTGCCTTGTCTAATATATAATGAATGCATTTTTGCAAATTTTGCCATATGTTATAATGCATTTTAGATTCATAATAATGACAATATTTTATTATGCATATACAAAACTCATGAATTTGAAGACCCTATAGAATATGAAAATTTTAGTAAGCAAAACTTTGGTTCCAAAATGTCATTTTATGGGACTTTAGATCTTATTTCTTTGTGATAACCAGCCCCTCACCCTCCCCAACACACATTTCCAATTTTATACCATATAAACAAGAAAATATTCAACTGGATACAGAATTAGGTAATAGTTCTTAGCATATGAACACATGTCAAAACACCTTAATATCCCACAGTAGTGATGCTACCTTATAAACGGGCACATATTCAATAAAAATTAGCCAGACATGAAGGCATGTGCCTGTAGTCCCAGCTACTAGGGAGGCTGAGGTACAAGGAGCACTTGAGCCCAGGAGTTCAAAGCCAGGCTGGTCGAAGTAGCCAGACCTCATCTCAAAAAAATTAATTTAATAAATATTTACTGAATACTTACTGTGTGTTGGACACTGTAGGTACCGGGACGATATCAGTATACAGACAAAAAAGCCTACCTGGAGCTTAAATTCTAAGCCATTATGATGTTTTTAGCCCCATTTTGCATTTTGTGCTTATTAGATATTCTGAAATAATATTATTTATAATTTATATATGTTTATAATTACAATTATAAAATATAGTGTTTAAGTTTTCAAAGTACTTTCAAATGCAGGCACAAATTGTCTTATTTTGTTTCACTTCATTGTGCTTTGCAGATACTGAGCTTTTTACAAATTGAAGGTTTGTGGTAATGCTATGTTGAGCAACTCTATCAATCTGCACCATTTTTCCAACAGCATGTGCTCACTCTGTGTAGCTGTGTCACATTTTGAGAATTCTCACAATATTTCAAGACTCTTCATTATTATTAAATCTGTTATGGTAATCTGTATTCAGTGATTTTTGAGGTGACTATTTAAATAGTTTTGGGGTTCCATGAACCACATCCATATAAGATGGCAAACTTAATGGATAAGTGTCGTGTGTGTTCCGACTGCTCCACCAATTAGCCTTTTCCCCATCTCTGTCCTCCTCTTCAGACCTCCCTATTCCCTAAGACACAATGATACTGAAATGAGGCCAATAAACAGCCCTACAAAGGCTTCTAAGTGTTCAAAAGAAAGAATTGCGTATCTCTCTCATTTATTTATTTATTTATTTTTATTTTATTATTATTATACTTTAAGTTTTAGCGTACATGTGCACAATGTGCAGGTTTGTTACATATGTATACATGTGCCATGTAAAGCTAGAAATAATTAAGCTTATGAAGAAGGCACATTGAAAGCTGAGATAGACCAAAAGCAAGGTTTCTTACATCAAACAGCTGGCCAAGTTGTGAATGCAAAGAAAAAGTTTTTGAAGGAAATGAAAAGTGCTACTCCAGTGAACACACAAATGATAAGAAAGCAAAGAAGCCTTATCACTGATATGGAGAAAGTTTGAGTGGCCTGGATAGAAGATCAAATCAGATATAACATCCCTTTAAGCCAAAGCCTAATCCAGAGCAAAGTCCTAACTCTCTTCAAATCTATGAAGAATGAGAGGTAACGAAGCTGCAGAAGAAAAGTTTAAAGCTACCAGAGGTTGGTTCATGAGGTTTAAGGAAATGAGCTGTCTTTATAATATAAAAGTGCAAGGGGAAGCAGTAAGTGCTGACGGAGAAGCTGCAGCTAGTTATCCAGAAGATCCAGCTAAGATCATTGACGGGGTGGCTAATCTAAACAATACATTTTCATTGGGGATGAAACAACTTCCATTGGAAGAAAATGCCACCTAGGACTTTCATAGCTAGAGAGATGTCAATACCTGGCTTCAAATCTTCAAAGGACAGACTGAATCTTGTTATAGATAATGCAGCTGGTGATTTTACATTGAAGCCAATGCTCCTTTACCATTTGAAATATCCTAGGGCCCTAAAGAATGATGCTAAATCTATTCTGCCTGTGCTCTAGAAATGGAGCAACAAAGCCTGGATGGCAGCACATCTAATTACAGCATGGTTTACTCAATATTTTAAGCCCATTGTTGAGACTTACTCATCACAAAAAAAAACTTTCAAAATATTACTGCATTGACAATGTGCCTTTTCACCAAAGAGCTCTGACAGAGATGTACAAGGAGATTGATGTTGGTTTCATGCCTGATAACACAATATCCATTCTTCAGCCTGTGGGATCAAGGAGTAATTTCAACTTTCAAGTGTCATTTAAGAAATACATTTCATAAGGCTATAGAAGCCATAGATGGTGATTCCTCTGATGGATCTGGGCAAATTAAATTAAAAATCTTCTGGAAAACATTCACCATTCTAGATACCACTAAGGACATTCATGATTCATGAGAGGAGGTTAAAATATCAACGTTAAAGGAATTTGGAAGAAGCTGATTCCAACCCTCATGGGTGATTTTAAGGAGTTCCAGACCAGTGGAGGAAGTAACTACAGATGTGGTGGAAATAGCAAGAGAAATAGAATTAGAAATGGAGCCTAAAGATCTGACTGAATTGCTGCAATCTCATGATAAAATGTGAGTGATGAGAAGTTGCTTCTTATGGATGAGCAAAGAAAGTGATTTCTTGAGATGGAATTTACTTCTGGTGAAAATGCTGTGAAAATTGTTGAAATGACAACAAAGTATTTACAATAGTACATAAACTTGGTTGATAAAGCAGCAGAAGGGTTTGAGAATAGTAAGTTAAGTAACCAACATCAAACAGCTACAAATTTTTAAAGAAGTTCCACTGTGAGAAAAATGCTATCAAACAGCATCACATATTACAGAAACGTCTTTGGTAAAAAAAAAAAAAAAGTCAATTAATGTGGCTAACTTCATTGTTGTCTTATTTTAAGAAATTGCCATAGCTACGTCAACCTTCCTCAACCACTGCGCTGATCAGTCAGCAGCTATCAACGTCGAGGCAAGACCCTCCACCAGCAAAAAGATTACAACTCACTGAAGGCTCAGATGATTGTTAGCATTTTTTAGCAATAAAGAACTTTTTAAATTAAGTATTTTTTTAGACATAATGCTACTGCACACAACAGGCTATACTATAGTATAAACATAAATTTATATGGATTTGGAAAACAAAAAATTTGCATAACTCCCATGGTTGCAATATCATTTCATTGTAGAGGCCTGAAACCGAACCTGCAATATCTCTGAGGTATGCCTGCACATTCTCAGTTAATTTTCACATGTCCCTGGCCTTGAAGTAAGCTTGGCAGATATTACTATCTCTCTGTTACTGGTGAGGAAACTGTAGATGATATATTCCTGCAGTCACTGTCCTAGGATTTGTATCATCTCTCTCCAATCTACACAACTGTGAGAGTACTACAAAGAGGTAGAGTCAGAGGCTGAATAAAAGCTTGAAATAGTTGCCACAAAGAGAGAATGAGAGCAAGAGAGAGAGAAGGAGAAAGTGCTAACTGGAGAAACTTATTAAGAATGCCAGGAGCAGTTGAGATTAATGGCTGTGGCAGTCATTGACAGTTCATAAATACTAGTATTTGGTTCTTCTCATTCCTGGTACATGATAAGATTTTACTTTTCTAGACCCTTGAGTGCAGGTAAGGCTACCTGAATTTCTTTGGCCAATGAAAGATGAACAGAACCTTTCCCCTTGTTTCAGGGGCTGTGGATAGTGAGCCGAGGTGGAGCCTCCATCACCCTGAATCCCTGAATGCCTAAGAGGAGAAGAGCCCCTGCCAGCCCACTCTGGACTTGCAACATATGAAAGAAATTTGTATCATGTCAAGCCCTTGATTTTGAGATTTGTTGTTTTGCTTATGTTTTGTTTTGCTTCTTACTGTTTTAGTTTGCTTGTTACTGCAGCAGAACCTAGCCTACCCTGACTGATAAAAATGATGGATGTTTACGGATATATTTGTCTGGTTGTGGAATTTCTTTTCCTACAATTGTGTTCAGTGGCTCAATTGTAGGCACAGAAAGCAGAGAGTGAATTCATCTGGGGCTGGAATTTTGTCAGGTGATTGTAAGAAAAGGATTTTGGGATTTTGACAAGACAGTGATTGAAACTGCAGACCATGAAATCTCAGCTTGACTAGGAAGGAGGTCAAGCAAGAGGAGGCCAGTGAGCAAAGAGAAAGTAGATGGGTCAAGGGACTGGCTATTTTGATAAAGTGGGCACTTACTTGTAGAAAAAGTACATGAATAGTCAAACTTTTAAAATAAGGAGTTATGATTGAATCACAAGTTTATTTAATTAGAGATTTTTGAAGGTTCTGAGGTTCTGGCAAAACCTCTGGACATGACAAGGTATAAGATGTGAAAATGGAACTGAATGACTCAGCTGGAGAGATGTTTGAATAACAGAGGTCATAGAATAGAGAGGCTGTGTGCTAAGCAGGCCAGCCACATGCATACTTGAATTCTTCACATGCACATTTGAATGGTGGCAGGAATTAAGGTAGAGAGGAAGACAGTGAGCTTGTTGCCAATGTCATCAATTCATGAGTGGGGAAGAGAAGTAAGTGGGCTACAGGCCCTACCTTTCAATTCTAAGCTTCACAGGGTATGGCAGAGAAAAAGCAGCCTCTAAGCAAAAAGGCTGTAGGACAAGTGATCTTACAAGGTGATGGTCAAATTTCTGTGGAGGTGAAAAGATTGAGGGACTGTTCCCTGAAGAAGTGGATGAAGGCCATGATTTGGAGCCACAGAAGAAGAGTTTAAATGGCTCAAGGGAAGAGTTTAACAGGTGTGGGGGAAAGTGAGAAACTGGACCAGGGAGAAGAAGGACAAAGCATTATTAGGATGAAAGTCAGCGAGGTGAAGCATGACCAGAAAGGTGTCCTTGGCAGTGGCCAAGGAAAATAGGCATTTGAGGCAGGGAGGAATTAGGTGGCTCTTAGGGCTGTGAAGAAGGTGGAGCCAGTTAGGACAGTGTGCTCTGAGTCTTTTGTGCTCAATTGTGTGCTGGCAGGGAGGACTAGTTGCTATGCTCTGCAAATGCACATTTCTTTTTTGCAAGCACGGATCTCATACAGGCTTAAAGCCTGTACCTGTCAAGGGATGCTTTCAGGAAACTGATCTTTGTTTTATTCAATCTCAAACAAAATACTCAGCAAAGTGTTAAGATTGTTTTGCACTGGTTGCTATAAGTCAGTCTCCAGAACAATCAGGTAAGAGATGATTAATCCAAACCTCTCATTTATTAGATGAGAAAACTGAGGCCCTAAGAATGGTCCAGACCATATCAATATTTTTTCATAGAGCTGGGTCTGCAGCTCAGATCTCCTCTCTCTTGCCCTCTCTCCACTCTAAATATCCAGTATCCTGGAAGAGCAATGGCAGGCCATTGTCACAGAATAATAACTGATAGTTACAGCTAATACTTGTTAAGAATTCACCAATAGCCAAGCTCTGCACATTACAGCTAATTCTCCTAACAACCCCATGTGATGTAGGCCGTGTCATTATCTTTATTCTAATACCTATGTGACCACCCAGGATTAAAGAAGTTAAGTGACCAAGATCACACAGCTACGAAGTGGCAGATCTGGAATTCACCCTTCCATTCCAGGGGCCTCACTCAGCCAATATAGTATGCTTTATCAGTCACTGTCACATGTGTTATGGCTTCCTCATTCTCCTTTTTTAATGGAGTCAGATAGAAAAGTAGTGGGTTTCCTTCTTGCTAAATATATAATTTCACATATCAGTACATGCTCTACTCCGACACCTACATAACTTGGGTGTGCAAACACCTGTTTGGGGACAGGTTCTTCCTGAACATCTCTTGGCTATCAGTTTCAGGAGCTACTCACTTCTGGGGAATAAAGCAAGAAGGGAGAAGGGTATAAATGTAAGTGTGAAGCACTACATTTTTTCAGATTTATTTTGGTTTCTGAATTCATCGGTATTATCTGAGAATGGTACCTGCCTCCTCTTTCATTGTAGGAAAGTTGCAGAGTGGCTTTAAAGCTGCTTGAGTTTGTGGAGTTCTTAGGTAGTCATCCAAAGTTTCCACAGTTTGGGGAGAGCTGTACTGAAGTCAGCTTTAGGATAAAACTGGAGAAGGTGGTAATGCAGGCAGGCACACATCCAAGATGTCTGCTGTTTCCTAAAGTCTCTTCCAAGACAGAGAATCTCTGACTAGCAGGAGAGAAGGGCTGTCAGTTGTAGCGGAAGCCGGTCTGCTTCTTGGCACAGGTGGTAGTTATTCAGCAAATGTTTAGTGAAGTCCTTTTGTGTTTTAGGCATGTGCTAGGTGCTCTTCAGGAAATCACATTCCCACTGGGCAGACGAAATAAGTGAACAGAAACCTGTAACGCTATGTGGCAATTTCTACACGATGAGCGCATGCAGGGTGTTAGGGAAACCCAGAGGAGCAGCTTGGGCATCCTCAGAAGCCTCCTTCCAAGAGATATTATGGAACCACAATGACACGAAAGCAACCATCTTCCCTCAGAGAAGCATAATAAGCATATCATTGGGGAATTTATTAGTTTTATTCATCGGGACAGGCAAGGTCACATTTTGATCATGAACTGATGTTTGTATGCAGGTCCTGGAAACTATACTGTGCACTAGAGGAAAACTGGCAAAGCAAGATACTAAATTCGTTCCCCCAACCTTTCACAATTAATAAAGTTACCATCTTTTGTTTCCATGGCACTTGGAAGCTATGCGGGATTGCCTCTGAATTGTTTCAATAATGTGCTGTTTAGTTCCTTTGAGTACTCCATACTTGAGGTGCCAATTTACCTTTTCCTCTGATAAAGAACAGTCAGGAAAAAGAACAAGAGGAATGGCTGAACAATTGAAACACCAGCATATTGAAAAGGTCATGGCACCACCACATGCTATTTTAATTTCTAAATGTTTTAGGCATCGTAAGTCGTTTTTGACACTCTATTCTACTGACAAATACTAAAAAGGGACTGGGAAGGGCACATATTATTTCAACTGCTTGTAAAACATGATGAGAAGAGTAGAAATGGTACCCAATTAATCCATTATTTGTGTAGCATTTTCATTTGAGGTCTGTTTTGGAATTGTCTTTCTGTGAGAAAAGGTAACAGTTGTAACCTAGTGGTTACCACAGTGATAGAGAAGAAACTAGGCATTCCTCTAAGTAAGCCAACATTTAAACCTTCTTTTTTCTTCTTCTTATTTATATTATGGGTTCTCATAGAGCATGTGCTTAGCAACTGATTTGCTTCCCAGAAACTTTCAACTAGCCCAGTAGTAATTAATATTTGCCCAGAGTTATCACTATACTAAGTGGTTACGGTGGACAGTGTTACCCAGTCTCCTTCTGTCTCTTGGTCTCTCCCAACAGAGGCTGAAAAACCAAATCCTGTTGAATCTCCCTTGCACACGGTGGGGAGCCATGCCATCCAGTTCTGGACTATATAACACGTAAGTGAAAGTCTGCTGAGAGAGTTCTGAGAAGAGGGAAACAGAAAAAGCCAATGCACCCTTTTATTTTCTTCCTGAATGGGACTTGGGAATGATTTCTAGAGATTCAGCAGCTATCTTGTGACCATGGAGCAATTAGCCAACTTGCTAAGGAAGCTGGAATAGAAAGATAAAAGGATCCTGAGTCATTGATGTTGCCATGGAGCTCTATACTTGCCTACCTACCTGGAGAAAAAGATGAACTCCTGTTTGTTCAATGTATTGGAATTTTGATTTTCTGGTACTTGTAGTTGGGCCAATATTTAGGTTCTAGGAGTCTCAAATTCTTTGTGTTTTTTCCACAATTTCCTTGTCCCTCTCTGTAATAAGAATTTAAACTTACATTGGAAGGGAAGACAAATGATCCATTAGTAAATTATTTGATCTAATTATTGAATGACTTCAGGCTCTTCTCTCTCTCTTCAATTACTAAAGTAGTAGTTGGTGCATCATGTCTCTGCTTCCTCTCTTTGGATGCCATGTTTATGCAGTGTTTTTCCTGTAAAGTTAAAGAGCCTAGTGTTAAATTAAAACTAGACATACAAAAATTTCTCTGAAAGCAGGAAACAACAATGAACCTTTCTCGTAACTAGACATATGGGCAGTATTATGAATATATCTTATTGAAGTGAGCAGTCGAAGTGAGCAGTTTATCCTATAGCGGATGCTGTTGGTGGCCAATCCAAGATCCTTTTCTCTTTCCCTTGCCAGCAGAGCAAAGTGTCTGTGTATCCTTCCTCCCGTGACTGAAGAGATTCCCCAGTTACAGGGCTTCTGTCAAATCCAATCATAGCAGCTCCATTCCCCTTGCCAGTGGTTGGCCTGGGAGCTACCTAGTTCTGATCAATAAGACATGAGAAAAGGTCTTCTAGATAAAATGATTTCCTCTTCCTCTGTGCATTATTGGATCTGGCTGTAACTCCTATCCTGTGACCAGACAAAGCCAACTCACTATGGATCGCAGAGGATTAAAAGGGAAAACCCAGATCCTTGATGATAGTGTTGAGCCACTGAATGTAATCCTGAAATTCTTCTAACTTTAGACACCTTTTTGTGATAGATACTACATTTTTTAATTGTTTAAGCAAAATCGAGTCAACTTAAGGCACTGTATCTGACTACACAGTTTCCTAATCGCAGTGAAGATTTGGCACGATTAAAAAGCACAGCAGGTTGGCTGCTCTCTGGGACCACCCAGCATCAGACAACATGAGGAAGCTCCCTTCAGGCAAGACCTGAAAATCTCCCTGCCTACTGGTTCTTCCAGGTGGTCTGAACATTCATTACTGCTCCACACAATAGCCATGGCGTGACCGTTGGCTGGAGAATCCAGCAGACAAATTGAAAAACTGAATCTAACTAATGTGAAGTAGAATTGCTTAAAATAGAATAGTTACTGCTGTTAGCTGAACTGAGTAGGTTACAGAACACACGTCAGTTTGTGCAACAAAGTCTAAATGGTTTATCTTTTTAAGAATTAACACAATGTTTGGGCATTTTACTTTTTTTTTTTTTTTTTGAGACGTTATCTCGCTCTGTCGCCCAGCCTGGAGTGCAGTGGCGCGTTATCTCGCTCTGTCGCCCAGCCTGGAGTGCAGTGGCGCGTTCTCGGCTCACTGCAAGCTCCGCCTCCTGGGTTAACGCCATTCTCCCGCCTCAGCCTCCCTAGTGGCTGGGACTACAGGCACCCGCCACTACGCCCAGCAAATTTTTTGCATTTTTAGTAGAGACGGGGTTTCACCGTGTTAGCCAGGATGGTCTTGATCTCCTGACCTCGTGATCAGCCCACTTCAGCCTCCGAAAGTGCTGGGATTACAGGCATGAGCCACCGCGCCCAGCCCGGGTATTTTACTTTCTTGAAAATAGGATAGTGGGCCAGGTGCAGTGGCTCACGCCTGTAATCCCAACACTTTGGGAGGCCGAGGAGGCGGGTGGATCACATGAGGTCAGGAGTTCGAGACCTGCCTGACCTAGATGGTGAAACCCCGTCTCTACTAAAAATACAAAATTAGTTCGACGTGGTGGCACGCACCTGTAATCCCAGTTACTCCTGAGACAGGAGAATAGCTGGAACCCGGGAGGCAGAGGTTGCAGAGAGCTGAGATCATGCCATTGCACTCCAGGCTGGGCAACAAGAGTGCAACTCCGTCTCAAAAAAAAAAAAAAAAAAAAAGATGGTGTAGAATATGAGTCTGGCTTTGAGTGAAAGCTGCCAGGATTCAAATCCCATCATTAACCACTATTACATTGAGCAAGTTTATAGTACTTTTCTGTGCCTCCATTTCCCCATCTATAAAATGGGCGTAATAATAGCACTTTATAAGTAATAATGGACATAAAAATAACAACTGCAGAGAGTTGTTGTGAGGATCTAATAATTTTTATTACATAGTAGGTGCTATATAATTGTTAGCCAGCATCATTATGCATGGGCTGAATTGCAGACATCTTTTCTTTCTTCACTGTCCTCTTGGGTGACAAGTAGTCCTGCATTCATTAAACTCTGAATTAATGCTGCTTGAATTTAAGTTTTCTATGCCTGCCTCTGGAAAATTTTGACTATAATATGATTTACCTAATAATTATCTACTTCATGACAGGAGAAAATAATATCTTGAATATGCATTGTGCTATGTTCTATCTTTTATAATTAATGCTGTTACTACTAATAGCATCACTAAAAAGTGCTTTTGATCATAGAATCCTTACTTTTGTAACCTGGTAAATAAGTCCTGGATTGCCTTAATCTTAATTTTTAAGGTTATGTAAGTGATAATTTATTCCTGTAAAAGACTGTGGTAATTTCCCTCACTTGAACTCATATTTCCCAGTGATCATTATTCTTGTAGTAGCTATCATTCACCTCTATGCTGTAATTTAAAATTTTCCCCTCAAAATATAGCCATGACCCTGACAAATGCTTTCTCAGTGGGATATCTTTCCTCAACAGTCTAACATTCTACTCTTCTTTGCATATAATTTAATTTTACTCTTTCGAGAAAATTGTCTCTAAATATCCTGAAAGCAAAAAGTCTGGAAGGAAAATTATAGTACCTGGGTTTTCTTTCTAAGCATTCGAACTGCAGAATTCTACAGCAGAATAAAGACTCTTATTTATTACAGGCATCTTATCTGTAGAAAAGAGTACTCACACTTTTAGATAAGACCATTGGCTGTTTTGGTGTTAAAGCCATAATTATATTGTAAAGATTAATCTCCAACTTTCTTGTCTAATTTTTTTATTTGATATAGCTTTGGTTTTTTTCCATAAATTCTTAACCATAAATAAACTTATAAGTACTGACATTTTTTTCCTGCATAAAAATCCTTTATTTATTCATTTAAAATTATACTGCCTAGTTTATTATACCAGGTGTTATATTAAGCACTGGGGACACAAAAGTGAAGTGAACATAGACTGTATTTTCTATAATTTCTGTAATTAATAAGACTGTTAGAAGTGGTAATACACATAATCACCTCTTAGCTATTAGAGTACAAGAGAATGGCATAAATACTACTTAAGTAACATGCAAATATGTATCTAAATTGCCAGCTTCTACAAGAAACATCTTTTTCTAAATGTTAAAAGAAATAACAAAAGTTGTGCTGTGTTGTGTGTGTTGTATTTAAAAGTTCCTAAAGAAAAATCAGGGGCCAATTTAAGAATGATCCCCCCAAAATTTAGGAAGATCCACACTGGTTGCAACATTTTGCAAAATGTAGAAATTCCATCCATTATAGAATGGCAAGACTGAAAATGTGGAATAACACTAAAATCATGCAACAGACACGTGATAATTTGCTTGTGACCAAGGAAACAGGGTCATAAATGTTGCAAAGATTATAGTTTTTTTTTTTTTAATTGATGGGAGAGAGAAAAAAATGGCAACACGTTCTATATGACAGGGGAGAAGGCCAAGAGGGCCTGAGAGACCCTGTAGATAACAAGTAACAAGAGCTTATCTCTGAGAGATTTAGAACATTAATTAAAAGTCACCATTCCATCAGCAAGAAACCCTACCTACAGGCACAGCCTGAACCCCAGAGTTTGGGAAGCAGGGCAGCTCGTGGGCATCTGACTCCAGAGGAAGGAAGGGAGAATTAGATGACAATGATGATGATGAATAGCTAGCTCTTAGGGCATCTACTATATGCCAGGCTCTGTGTCAGTGCTTACCTATCATTTCATTTACATCCTCCTCTGAATGATCCTCAGAGATCATTATTACCAATGAGAAAACTGACAAGCAGAGAGGCCATAAGACTTGCGCGAGCTCACTGTTGAATCCTAACCTGCAGTTTGGAACCTCCTAGAGCCTCTCTCACTTGGGACATCTCTTCAGTGTCTCCTTCAAAGATTCTCCTTTCCTTCTTCCAACCTTATTTACATATCTGCATCCTGTGGATACTCTTCTAGGTCCAGCCAGAGCTACTAAAGGGGCCTCCAGGGAACACAGCTGCCTTTTCTGGCTGTAGGAATTTAACTCCCCTTGCCTGCACAAGAAGCAGATCAGTGCTGACTCATGTTTAAGCAATATTCGTGCGAAATAACTGCATCTCTCAAAGACAACTAACGTTATTTAGGGGCTGATCACCCAGTCTGTGGACTGAGGGTGGATGATGAAACCTCGTCAATAATGTTACTTTGAAGTCATAGAGAATCTTTCATCTAAAAGGGCTTTGTAGTTAAGAGATGAGTGATTACTTAAATTTTTAGTAAGTTCTAGGTTGGAGTTGAGAAAATAAATTAGAGTTATGGATTTCCATAACATATTTTAGTACAATGTATTTATGATAATTTCTACTTTCTATCCTGAACTTTTCTAAGTATTCAAGAAAAGTTTAAAGCATTACAGCCGTTCCTTTAGTTGAGAGTTTAGCAACATGGTTTTGCTAAGTTCTTATAAATTAATAAGGATAATAACTAATGTTTTTACAGTGCTTTTAAATTTATAGTCCTCTTTCCCTGGCAGATAAGAATATTGCTTAATTTCTCAGATGGAAAAATGAAGGTGGATGATATACCCAGGTTCGCCCAGCTAATAAGAGTCAAGTCTGGTCCTTCCTACTGTGCATGAAAGACCTGTCTCCTGCCTCCCACTGCCCTCAGTTGCCAGCATATGATATATTCCTTAGATTGTGAGTTAGCTCTTCAAGTCAGAGATGTTGCTTGGCAATAGATGGGTGTTCAAAACTGTTTGTTTAATAAGTAAGTAAATGAATAGTAAAGCATTCTTACTTAAATTGTTTCCATTTAGCTCATTTCCATATTTCATATTACAACCACTCTCCTGTCATAAGCAGAAGCCTACCTGTATAGAAAGAAAATGAGATCCAGAGAGGTTAATTAAATGCCTAGAGTCCTATAAGTGATTTAGTAGCAGAACAAGAAACACCGAGCTCCAATTCTATTGCATCTGAGTCAATCTTTGCCAGTCTACTTCCAGCCTCCTCTGTTTTTCAGTGCATGCACTCTCCTGGTAATAGGTAACCAAGAAATGTTTTCTTTCTAGGATACCTAGCCACAAATACATTTAATGGAAGAGCATGACACATACTATGTTAACAAGATAGCACTTGTTGCTGACTGTTTCCCATTTGGATCTCAACATCTCAATCTAACTGGACGGCATCAGTAAGGATTGTTGATGATCAAGTATCAGGCAAACAACTCCATTTAAAACATTACTCACACTAAAAAAAAATGGACTTGTAGAAAATAACTAGTATAGATTTTTTAAATAAAGCTAAAGAATTTCACATAATTGCATATAGATAGTGGCAAATTGCATTAAGTGAAACACATTCTTTGGATTTGTATAAAAATAAGAAAAACGAGTAATAAATATTTCTAGTTTAAAAAGAGTCTCTAGCTCCACAAAACATACTGTTAGTAACAATAGAAAAAAAAACGGATATTTCTCATAAGAGGGTAGTAATTCCTTATTATAATGGAGTAAATAGCAATCAAGATGATCCAAATTAATTTTCTTTTCTAAAAAAGATAAGTTGCTTTGAATAAATACAGAGCAGTGGGATTGCTGGATAATGCAGTAGTTCTATTTTTAATCTCCTGAGGACCCTCCATACCGTTCTCCATAATGACTGTACTGATTTACATTCCTACCAACAGAGTACAAGGGTTCCCTTTTCTCCACATCCTTGCCAACACTTGTTATTCTTTGCCTTTTTTATGATAGCTATTCTAACAGGTGTAATGTGATTTGTCATTAGATATCTGCACTTCCATGTTCATTGCAGCATTATTCACAATAGCCAAGATATGGAATCAAAGTGTCCACTAACAGATGAATGAATAAAGAAACTTCAGCCCAAAGCAATCTAGAGATTCAATGCAATCTCTCTCAAAATGCCAATGACATTTTTCACAAAAATATTTTTAAAATCCCAAAATTTGTATCAAGCCACAAAAGGCCCCAAATAGTCAAAGCAATCATGACTAAAAAGAATAAAGCTGCAGGCATCATACTATCAGACTTCAAAATATACTACAAGCTGCAGTAACAAAAACAGCATGGTGCTAGCATAAAAACAGACACAGAGACCAATGGAGGAGAATAGAGCACAGAGCAATTAATTCATGTAGCTACAGCCAACTGACTTTTGACAAAGACATCAAGAACATACATTGGGGAAAGGACAGTCGCTTCAATAAATGGTGCTGGGAAAGCTGGAGATTCATATGCAGAAGAATGAAACTAGACTCTCTCCTTTCACTTTATATAAAAATCAACTAAAAATGAATCCAAGACCTGAAACTATAAAACTACTGGAATAAAACATACTGAAAATGCTACAGGACATTGGTCTGGGAAAATATTTTATGAATAAGACCTCAAAAGCACAGGTAACATAAGCACAAATAAACAAATGGGATTATATGAAACTAAAAGGCTTTTGCACAATAAAGGAAAGAATCATAGAGTGAAAAGACAATCTACAGAATGAGAGAAAATATTTGTGAACTACTCATCCAACAGAGATTAATATCCAGAATATATAAAAAACTCAAAGAACTCAACAGCAAAGCAAACAAAGAAACAAACAATCTGATTTAAAAATGAGCCAACTGCAGCACTATTACAATAGCAGACTTGGAACCAACCAAAATGCTCATCAATGATAGACTGGATAAAGAAAATGTGGCACATATACACCACAGAATACTATGCAGCCATAAAAAAGAATAAGTTCATGTCCTTTGCAGGTACATGGATGAAGCTGGAAACCATCATTCTCAACAAACTAACACAGGAACAGAAAACCAAACACTGCATGTTCTCGCTCATAAGTGGGAGCTGAAGAATGAGAACACATGGACACAGGGAAGGGGACATCACACACCGGGGCCTGTTGGAAGGTGACATCACACACCAGGGCCTGTTGGAAGGTGGGGGGCAAGAAGAGGGAGAACATTAGGACAAATACCTAATGCATGTGGGCCTTTAAACCTAGATGATGGGTTGATGGGTGCAGCAAACTACCATGGCACATGTATACTTATGTAACAAACCTGCACATTCTGCAGATGTATCCCAGAACTTAAAGTATAATAATAATAATAACAAATGAGCCAATAATCTCAACAGACATTTTGCAAAAGAAAACATGGAGTGGCCAACAAATATATGAAAAAAAAATGCTCAGTATTACTAATCGTCAGGGAAATACAAATCAAAATCCAAATGAACTATTATCTCACCCCATTTAAGATGGCTACTATCAGAAAGACAGAAAATAACAAATGCTGGCAAGTATGTGGAGGAAGGAGAAAGCCTGTACACTGTTGGTGGAAATATAAGCTAGTATTGCCACTATGGAGAACAGCATGGGGGTTCCTCAAAAAACTACAGACAGAACTACCATATGATCCAGGAATCCCACTGATAGCCATTTACCCAAGGGAAAGGAAATCAATATACCAAAGAGACATCTGCACCCTCGTATTTATTGTAGCACTATTTACAATAGCCAAGGTATGGAAATTTAAATGTTATATATACATATATGTAGATAGATAGATAAATAGATAGATAGATATGCACAATGGAGTACTATTCAGCCATAAAAATAATGAAATCCTGTCATTTGTTGCAACATGGATGGAATTGCAAGACAGTATGTTATATGAGATAAGCCAGGAACAGAAAGCTAAACACCATGTTCTCATTCATATGCGGAAGCTAAAACAAAAAAAAGAAGTTGATCTCAGAGAAGTAAAAAGCAGAACAGAGTATACTAGAGGCTAGGGTGGTGAGAAGGGGAGGATAGGGAGGAATCTTTTAAAGGATACAAAATTACAGCTAGAAAGGAAAAAAGTTCTAGTGTTCTATAGCACTGTAGGATAACTATAGTTAACAATAATATATTAGTTTCAAATAGCTAGAAGGAGGATACTGAATGCTCCCAACACAAAGAAATGATATATGTTTGAGATTATCGATATGGTAATATTGATCACTATACACTATATATATTGCAACATCTCTACGTACTATACCCCATAAATATGTATAATTTTTATGTCCAATTTAAATTTTTAATTTAAAAAAGGAAAATGTGGTATAGATACACAATGAACTGCTATTCAACCTTAAAAAGAAGGAAAGTCTATCATTAGCAACATGGATGAGCCTGGAGGACATTATGCTAAGTGAAATAAGCCACAAAGAGAAAGACAAATATCACGTGATTTCACTTCTATGTGAAATCTCAAAAAGTTGAACCTACCAAAGCAGAGAGTAGAATGGTTTTTACCTGGGGCTGGAGTGTCAGGGTGACTGGGGAAATGTTGGTCAAAGGATACAAAATTTCAGTTAGACAGGGGCAATGAGTTCAAGAGATCTATTGTACAACAGGTTGACTGCAGTTAATAAAGATGTGTTGTATACTTGAACATTGCTAAGAGTAGATTTTAAATATTCTCACCAGAAAAAAATGGTAAGTACATGAGGTAATGCTTACATTGTTAAGCCTAACTTAGTTATTCCACTGTGTATGCATATTTCAAAACATCATGTTGTATACCATAAATATCTACTATTTAAATAATAATTTAAAAATGAAAAAAGTTGGAAATTAATCCCAATGTTTTATTTAAAAGAATGTTTGCCTTAATAACAAAGAATAATAAATTTAGTGTTCTTCTGTTTTCCTTTTATTAGAGAATTAGAATTTACAAATAGAATAAAAATGACATGTCCTCCATGCTCATTAGTTGCCTTTGTACCACTTTCATTTTCATGTTACTGATATTTCTGTTATAAATGGTGTCCTATAAAAATGGGATTTTACTTTTTTTATCAAAAGAAGGCAATTTCATTTTCTACCTCGGAGAGAATCCAATGCAAAAGAGAGCCAGCATAATTATACACATACTATTATAACTTCAATATCATAATATTTTGATTTTGCTTTACATCACACACTTTCCCAGCTGGTGGGCAGCTTCTGTTTTAGCTTCGTGGATTATATTAGTAACGGGGAAAGAGACATCATACACATTGTGAATCTAATGAGACCAACATTCTGGTGTCATTTGAGGATACAATAATGTATCTGTTTGATAAGTCTTTGACTTGCTTTGTTGTTATAACTCCTGTAATCCAGGCACAGTGACACTTATTTATAGCATACTGGGGCTCAGGCAGCAGCAGCAGAATATAAATGCAAGGTGGCTAACCAGTAAAGGAGAAAGACTTAGGAAGTCCTGATGACAGAGGCTGATACCTGGAGATGAGTCAAACCAGATAATACAAACAAGGGGCCACACAGAACAAGTCGGGGGTGCAGATGACAAGAAACCAGGACAGCAGCACCAGAGAACACCTGGAGAGAGCCAAATAAGGTTTAAGAGTAGAGGTAATTTCCTATTTCACCTTTAGAAAAAGGCTGATCTCATGGGAGCTAATTCTTCAATCCACTGCTTCTAAACCGTAATGTGAATCTCACCCCAGTTAGAATGGCTATTTTCAAAACTACAAAAAATAACAAATGCTGGCAAGGATGTGGAGAAAAGAGAGCTCCTATACACTGCTGGTGGGAATGTAAACTAGGACAGCCATTATGGAAAACAGTGTGGAGGTTTCTCAAAAAACTAAAAATAGAACTACCATATGATCCAGCAATTCTACTACTGGGTATTTAACCAGAGGAAAGGAAGTCGGTTTATTGAAGGGATATCTGCACCTCCGTGTTTATTGCAGCACTATTCACAATAACTAAGATATGGAAGCAACCTAAATGTCCATCAACAGAGAATGGATAAAGAAAATGTATATATACACACAATGAAATATTACACTATTTGGCCCTAAAAAAAGATTGAAATCCTATTACTCATGGCAACATGGATGAGCATGGAGGACATTATGTTAACTGAAATGTCAGGCACAGAAAGATAAATACCCCATGTTCTTACTCTTGTGGGACTGAAAAAAAAAATGCTTGAGCTCATGGAAGTAGAGGGTAGAATTGTGGGTACTAGAGGCTGGGAAGTGTAGGGGTGGGGGAGGCTTGGAAGAAGTTGGTTAACAGACACAAAAGTACAGCTAGATAGGAGGAAAAAGTTCTGGTGTTCTGTGAATATGGTTAACTATAATTTACTGTATAGTTTCAAAAAGCTATGAGAGGATTTTGAATGTTCACAACACAAAGAAATGATAAATGTTTGAAGTATTGGATATACTTATTCCCCTGATTTGATTATTATTACACATTCAAAATATCACTCTGCATCCCATAAATAGGTACAATTATTACAGATCAACTAAAAATAAAGGGAACAAAAAAATGTGCCTGTGAATCCTTTAGAGATCTTTAAAATGCAGATAATGATTCCAGAGGTCTGAGATGGGGCCTATGATTCTCATTTCTAACAAGCTTCTAGATGATACTGATGCTGCTGCCGATACAGGAACCATAGATTGTGCAGCAAAGTCTTAGACCAGCCCAGAGATAGGCAAAGCAGGCAATAAAAAGAACTGAGTAGAGTAAGGGGAATGGAGTTAGCAGGACAGCAGTGTTGGGGGAGTACAGTTCCTAAAAAAAGGCAGGATTTGCAAATTTAATGTATCTCAGATGACAAAGCAAACTTTGTTGATGGCTGTTTGTTATGGGTTGAATTGTGTCCTCCCAAAAAGATATGTTGAAGTCCTAATCCCAGTACCTCAGAATGTGACCTTATTTGGAAACCAGGTCTTAAAGACGTAATCGAGTTAAAATGAGGTCGTTAGGGTAGGTTCTAATCTGATATGCCTGATGTCTTCATCAAAAGGGGAAATTTGGATACGGAAACAGACATGCACAGAGGGAGATGATGTGAAGACCCACAGGGAGAAAATGGCCATGTGATTGCAGTGATGCAACTACCAGACAATGCATGTCAAGGATTGCCGGGGAATGGCAGAAGCTAGAAGAGGCCAAGAAGGTTCCTCCCTGAGAGCCGCCAGAGAGTGCAGCCCTGCTCTCACCTTGATTTCCAACTCTTAGCCCCCAGAACCGTGAGAAAAAGGAGTTTTTGTTTATCTAAGCCACCTAGTTTTGGGTACTTTGTTATGGTCAGCCTAGGAAATTAATGCACAGAATAATAAGAATATTCAGTGGTCACTCTTTGAACAAATATCAAACAAAGAAGAAACTTCAAGTATAGAAATATTTGATTAATTTACCAAACTATGTTCTACATAATAGAAAGAAGGCCTGGAAACCAGGTCTCCTAGTTGTCAGTCAAAACCTTTCCACTTTAATACCCTGCTTCCCAAGAACAGGCACAAATGGACTAATCAGTAAACCAACACTTCCCAAACTGGTGTTCTCCGGAAGCTTTTTCAGGGTTTCATTAACAGGCGCTACAAAGGGCTCATGGTTAACTAAATTATAAAACACCCCAAATTCACAATACATAATAATGTAATTAAAGATCTAGGTTAAAAACTACCAGAAAACCAAGTCATAGGAAAAATTTACAAAATCTGTTAAATGTGTTGAACTAGCAGTTCCCTAATTTTCACAGCACAGAATACTTTTTCTACCATACTACTCTTAGCAGCCTACAGAATACCACTTTGGGAAATGCTGGAGGAAGGATAAAGGTTCACAGCAACAGAGAAAATTCATGCCAACAAAACAGCTACTTTCAAATTTAATTATATTTTACTATAAGTTATCCAGAAGACTACCTGGGTTATTTGTTGTTGCTTCCTCAAGGCAGGAAAAACGATGCCCTCCGGGACGAACTTGAAGAATGAATTTAAAGGCCTATCATAAAAATGAAGTAAGAGATCAGTCAGAGTGACATGGGCAAAATGGAATTGAGCAAAACTGATGAGGTTTGAGGAGAAGAAATGAGAAAAGGGAAATTAAATATTTACGTCCTGTGTATGTGGCTACAGTCTTTTTTCAGAAAAATCCCACTGAGCATAAAGAAAGATTTTTGATATTTACTGTACTTTGTATCACTGGTGAAGAAAAACCACTGCAAAGTATGTAATGGATGATACATTTTTGGTGTTATACCTGGTACACATCCCAGGGTGCGCCACTGTGGACATTTGGGCAAATACAATGGCACCACTCATGGGGCACCATGGACATTGTAGATGTTATAGACTTGCAGAATTATCAGGACAATTTTGGCAGCACAATTCTAACAAAATCAATAGTAACATTACAATAATTTGCAAACAAAAGTAAAGTCTCTTGAGGAAGAGGTGCCTTTTTCTGAGCCACCAATGGCATTGCGTGAGTTAGCAGCAGCCTTGAGACCCCTCCTCACTATCTATACAGTTCAGAACCCCATTTTAACTAGGAAAATTGTCTGATACCACCATTTAACACTTGGATGACAAAAGAATGCAATAAAGAAAAATATTGTTGCATCATCCAGCAAACTTTCACTTTGTGTGGAGATCTGGATCATGTGCCCCTCCCCTCACTCTGAGGAGTCAAGAATCTAACCAGACATGAAGAAAAAAAATACTGTTATGGAACATTCATGAATTCTTCAAAAATGTTTATTCTAGGTCTATTAATAAGCGATGCTGTGTTAGGAAATAGAAGCAGTTGCTACAGAGCTTGAGTCCTAAATGCCATTTTCACATACTGAAATGTTAAAGGTAAGAATTTTAAACACTTTAACCATATTACTTATTCACAACAGAAATGTGAAATTAATCAGTACATGTCAGACATTATTTTACCTGTTGGAGACAGAAAGGGAACAAAATGGCATAACCTCGCCTCCATGGAGCTTACAATCTAGTGATGAAGACAGACTTTAAGCAAATTGTCACACAAACAATAGAACTACAATTACAAAAGTCTTAAGGAGGAAAATTGCACAGTGCTCTAAAAGCTTATGAGAGAAGGTCCCATGAAGACCAAGGAGTCAGGAAAGCCCTTCCTGAAGAAGGCGTCTTTAAGCTGAGATGTGAAGAATGAGCAGAAGCTAAATGGTAAGGTGTGGGGAATGAGAGTTCCAGGGTCTGAAGACAGCAGGGGTTGATGCCGAGGCAGGAAAGGGCCGAGGGTGTTCAAGAACAGAATAAACCTCAGTAACCACAACATCACAAGTGAAAGAAAAGGGGTTAGAGGAGGCAAATTAATGAGATTATTCAGATCCTTCTAGGTTAGGTTAAATATTTTAAATTCTTCCATGAGGGCAAAAGGAAACCTTTGAAGCTTTTTAAGCAGAAAAGAAATACCAGATTTTTAAAAGCCTGTTCTGGCTGCTGTGTGGAGAAAGATTGAAAGACCCAAGAATAGAGCAGGGAGACCAGCTAGAAAGCTATTCTGATGTCCAGGTGGGAGATGGTAGTTCAGTCTTGCATGGTGTCAGTAGACATGGAGAGAAGTGGACAGGTTAGAGACATATACTGCAGGGAGAATCTATGGGAAATATAATTAGATATAAAAGGAGTTATTTGTGCTAATAAAGGAGCATGAGCAAAAACAGGGGATCCTTTTTTTAAATGTGTATATTTACTCAGTGCTATTAATATAATGATATTTCATGTTTCTATGGTACATGGCAGTTTACTAAGCATTTTTGCAAAGATGAAAAATATTAATTGGGTGCCTATGATGAACCAGATGCTGTTGCAGGCACTGAAATTACAGGGGCACATAACACAGACAATGTCCATACCCTCATAAAGCTTGCCTTCTGATGATAGAGACAACAGTAGAGAAAGAAGCCAACAAAGGCATGCAAGAAGGATTATAAGGCAAGGTAAAGACAGTAAGGAATTGGGGGAGATTGAACAGGTCTCTCCTGACTCCTGTGCATGACAGGGAAGGCCTCTCTGAGGAGGTAACATTTGGACTAAGATCTGACTGAAGTAAGGGAATGAGAAAGCAAAGATGTGAGGAGAGAATAGTAGGAGATGAGGTTGGAGAGTGAGATGGAACCAAATTCTGGAGAACTCTGTTGTCAGGGAATTTATTCCCTAGCATCTTCCCTATGAAGTCATAGACTGGCTAGGTCCCTCCACCCAACATCATCGATCTCCCAGGGTGTTCTAGTTCCAACACAACTAACACTCTTTTCTTCCAGGACTGGAGATGTAGGCAGCCTTGCCCATGCCAGCCCTGGGGTCCTATGCTATCCCTTGCAGTTTCCTTCTACCCTACCTGCTCTTTGTAATGAGTTCTTTGTAAATACACCCTCCTCAAATTATGCTACTTGGATGTACTATCTGTTTTCTCTTGGAACTCCAGCTGAAACTATGTTCAATAAATGTTTAGATAGGAAGTGGTACAGAACGGTGGTCCGGAATTACATTTGGATTTTAATTATTTTATGGATAATCCACAAAGTACATTTATAGATGTTGACTCAAAGTTAAACATAATAGCTACCCATCTTTCCTTGAGTGCTTTAATTTTTTCTATTTACTTAAATTTAAAACGAACATATTTAAGATAACTCTACGCTCCCAGTAAAAACTTCAAATTTGCTTCAGTTCTGGATTTGGAACACTGAATACCAAGTTATTTTCATTTCTACTTTAAAATTTTAGGCTTTTGCTCAATTTGTATTCCATATAAAAGCAATTTCTCTGATAGAAAGGCAGTTCACTGATGAAAAACTATTCAATGTAATTGGTAATCAAAGAAATGCATTTATCAAAATTGAAAAATCGGCCAAAATTACCATACAATTATAATATTTACTACTATTTGGTGACAATTCAGGAAAACAGGGAGCCTCATACATGCTGGTGCTAGAATACTTTGACAAACATTTCTAGAAGATAATTTGGCAATCAAAAGCCTTCAGTTGAACTGAACTAGCAATTTTACTTCTAAGAATTTAATCTTAGTAAATAATCAGAGATGTATACACAAATGGATACTCACCACAGGATTACTTATCCTCTCCTCCCAAAAAAAGGGGGAACAACATAAATGTCCAATAATATTGGAAACAAGTTAAATAAGTTATAGAACATGCACAGAATTCCATGCATCTATTAACAATATTACTCAACCCTGCCTGAGAAGTCTAAATCCTGGCTGTACACCACTGTATTTATTTATTTATTTATTTGTTTCTTTTTGAGAGGGAGTTTTGCTCTTGTTGACCAGGCTGGAGTGCAATGGCGCGATCTCGGCTCACTGCAACCTCCACCTTCTGGGTTCAAGCGATTCTCCCGCCTCAGCCTTTCGAGTAGCTGGGATTACAGGCAAGTGCTACCACGCCCAGCTAATTTTGGGTTTTTTTTTTCAGTAGAGATGGGGTTTCCTCATGTTGGTCAGGATGGTCTCAAACTCCTGATCTCAGGTGATCCGCCCGCCTCAGCTTCCCAAAGTCCTGGGATTACAGGCATGAGCCACCGCACCCGGCACTACTGTATTTTTTTTTAAATACAAATGCCTGGATCCACCTAAAGAGAGTCTAATCACTAGACCTGGAGTAAAATCTAGATCTCTGTATTTTTAAAAATCCACACAAGTGATTCTATGAAGAACTGAAAACCATTAAATACAGTACAACACATAACAACATGGGGAAATGTTCCAGAATAATGGCAAAGGTGGAAAGCTTGTTATAATAAAATATTTCTAAATACAGGCTCAGAAAATAAACTGTGAGTAATAGACTCACACTGGTAAGTTTTAATCTCTGGGTAGTAGAATCATGAGTAATTTTTATGTTTTTTTATTTATCCCTGTAATTTTCAAATTTTCTACAATTAGATGTATTCTTTTTAATTAAAAATAGAAAGCACCCATTCTTAGTTCATATTGTCTTTTATGCTTCCCCAAGACCTTTTTTCACTGGCCTTATTTCTATCTCTAAATACAAGTCTAGTTATCTATTTCTAACCAGTTAAAGAACATGTCTACTAATTTTAGGGACATTTAAAGCCTAATTCCAAATCTGACAATGCATCTTTTTGTGTGTGTCCTTTTCCCTTCTTTTGTGACAAGCACTTTTATCAACATGGGATATTGTTTTTCTGCTGGCCCCTCTTCAGTAGCAGCACAAATGTGATTGAACAAGAAATACTTCAGCTTTCTTCCATTTTTTTAGAACATAGTGTTCACAAGGAGTCACTTCCTTAAATGCACTTTTAAGAGATAAAATAAAGAACAAAGGAAATGCTCATTATAAATGTTAAAAAGTATTTTTCTATAATGTCACATTAACGTACAACCTGCCTTTCCTATGAGAGAAATAAAAACTCCTAGAGCATAAGACTATTTGCATGAATTAATTCTGTCTAAATGATGCTACTTACCACTTTGGATAACAGAACGTTTTTCATTTTTATGGAGAAACAATTTTACTGCTCTGCTATTCCTTTAACTGGGAGGTGCTCCTACCTAAGACTTCCCACTAGTCTTATTCAAACAATTTTTATTGAAGTAATACACACACACATATATATATATATACACGTAAAACTCATAAATGTACAGCTCAATTAATTCCTGTGCTATGAGCACATCTTTGTAATTGCCACACAAATCAAGAAACAGAACCTTTCCAGCACAGCACAAACAACCTGTGTTCCCTTTTACCAGCCCTTTTACACTCCAAAGGTAATACCCGTTCAGACTCCCAGTGCCACAGATTAGTCTTAACTGCTTTTTAACTTTATATAAATGGAATTATACAGTATTTACTCTTTTGTATCTGTCCTTTTCCCTTAATATTACATTTTTGAGGTGAGTATATGTTGCCATGCATAGCAGTCATTTGTTCTTTTTCATTGCTGCTTAGTATTTCATTATATAAGTCTACTACAATGTATCTATCTGTTTTACTGTTGATCGACATTTGGGTTATCTCCAGGTTTGGGATATTATGAAATAATGGTACTATCAATTTTTATACATAGTTTAGCATTCATATTTATGCATTTCTGTCAGGCATATACCTAGAAGTTGATTTCTGAATCATCAGACATGTAATTTTTCAAATTTAGTATATGTTGCAAAACTGTTTTCTGAAGTAGTTGTACCAGAAAAAGATGAAAGTTTCAGTTGTACCATGTCCTTGCCAACTCACCATAGTCAGTCTCTTAGAAATTAATGAATTTGCTGGTATGCAGTGATATATCATTATTGTTTAAATTTGCATTTCCCTAATGATTAATCACATTGAATACTTTATCATAACTTTATTATTCATTCAGATACCCTCTTTCATAAATTTCCAGTTCTAGGTTTTGTCCATTTTTTCCTATTGATTTCTGTCTTTTCATTTTGATTTGTAGGATGTTTTTATATATCCTCTTACAAATCCTTTTTTTGATTTTATGTATTACAAATATATTCTCCCAATGATACGGTTTGGCTGTGTCCCCCACCTAAATCTCATCTTGAATTGTAGCTCCCATAATTCCCACGTGTCATGGGAGGGATGCAGTGGGAGGTAATTGAGTCATGGGGGCAGGCCTTTCCCATGCTGTTCTCATTATAGTGAATAAGCCTCATGAGATCTGATGGTTTTACAAAGGGGAGTTCCCTGCACATGCTGTCTCTTGCCTGCTGCCATGTAAGACATGTCTTGCTTCCCCTTCACTTTTCACCATGATTGTGAAGCCTCCCTAGCCATGTGGAACTGTGAGTCAAATAAACCCCTTTCCTTTATAAATTACTCATCTCAGGTATGTCTTTATTAGCATCATGAGAACAGACTAATGCACTCACTATGTGAGTTCTTCTCTTCCTGGTCTTCCTTGATGAACTGTTCATAATTTTAATGTGGTCCAATTTACCAACAGTTCCTTTTTGGATGATACTTTTTGGTCCTGTTTAAAAAGTCTCTGCAACCTCCTCCCCAAGTCATAAAGATCTTCTATATTATCATCCAGAGACTTTATTTTACCTTTCTCATTTAGCCCAACAACACATAATTGAGTTTATTATTTGTAAGTTGTGAGGTAGGGATAAAGGCTTATTTTTTTCAGAGTTATCCATTGATTCACCACCACCATTTGTTAAAAAGAATATTTCCCCTACTGTTCTGCACTGAAAATATTGTAAAAAATCGAGTGCCCATACATGTGGAATTGTTTCTAAACTTAATTTTTTCCATTTACCTATTTGTCCATCCTTGCACCAATATCATGCTGTCCTAATTATCATCCTGATATCAGCTCATGTAAGTCCTCCAACTTTGGTATTTTTCAAGATTTTCTTAGCCATCCTGATTGAGCCTTCTATATTCCCACCTAGATTTTAGAATATGCTTGTTAATTTTCACCAAAAAATTTATTAAAAATAGATTTTGGTTCAGATTGCATTGAATCTGTAGGTAAGATGGAGAATATTTACATCTTTATGATATCGTGTCTTCCAATGGTTTGAAGGTGACGTATCTCCTTATTTATTTGAATCACATTTTCTCTAGTGTGTGTGTGTGCGTGTGTGTGTGTGTGAAGGTATTATATATTTTTTATTAGATTTATTTTTAGGAATTTGGATTTTATGCTACTCAAAATGGTATTATTATTTAAATTTTTACTTTCTAATTGTTTGCTACTTATATATAGAAACTGCTTTTCTATATATAGCAGTTGTTGCTGCTCTAATATCAAGAAACTGCTATATTTACTTATTACTTCTTTTTGATAGATATGTTAATCTGCTTCACTTATTAATTCTGATAGAGTATAGATTCTGATGGATTTTCATTGTATAACACCATGTTGTCAATGAATAATGACAATCTCTTTTCCAATCTTGACATCTTTTACTTTTTTTTTTTTTTAACTTTTTGCACAGTCCAGAATCTCCATGACAATGTTGAATAGAAGTATCAGTAGCAGATGTCCTTGTCTCATTCACAGTCTCAGGGGAATACTTTTGCTTTTTTATTATTTAGTATGATACTAGCTATAGGCTTTTGGTAGACAGAACTTTGTATTAGTTTTTTTTCACGCTGCTGATAAAGATATACCCCAGACTGGGAAGAAAAATAGGTTTAATTGACTCACAGTTCCATGTGGCTGGGGGAGGCCTCACAATCATGGTGGAAGGTGAAAGGCAGTTCTTACATGGCAGCAGCAAGAGAGAAGGAGAGAGAACAAAAGCAGAAACCCCTTATAAAACCATCAGATCTCATAAGGCTTATTCACTACCATGAGAACAGTATGGGGGAAACCACCCCCCTTATTCAATTATCTACCCCTGGGTCCCTCCCACAATATGCGGGAATTTGGGGAGTACAATTCAAGATGAGATTTGGCAAAGACACAGAGCCAAACCGTATCATTCCACCCCTAGGCCCTGCCAAATCTCATGTCCTCACATTTCGAAACCAATCATGCCTTCCAACAGTCCCCAAAGTCTTAACTCATTTCAGCATTAATTCAAAAGTCCACAGTCCAGAGTCTCATCTGAGACAAGGCAAGTCCCTTCCACCTATGAGCCTGTAAAATCAAAAGCAAGTTAGTTGCTTTCTAGATACAATGGGTGTATAGGTATTGGGTAAATACAGCTGTTCCAAATGGGAGAAATTGGCCAAAACAAAGGGGCTACAGGCCCCAGGCAAGTCTAAAATCCAGCAGGGCAGTCAAATCTTAAAGTTCCAAAATGATCTTTGACTCCATGTCTCACATCCAGATCATGTTAATGCAAGAGGTGGGTTCTCCTGGTCTTGGGCAGCTCTGCCCCTGTGACTTTGCAGGGTGCAGACTCCCTCCTGGCTGTTTTCACGGGGTGGCATTGAGTGGCTGCGGCTTTTCTAGACACATGGTGCAAGCTGTCAGTGGATCTACCATTCTAGGTTCTGGAGGATGGTGGCCCTCTTCTCACAGATCCACTAGACAATGCCCTAGTAGGGACTCTGTGTGGGGGCTCTGACCCCACATTTCCCTTCTGCACTACCCTAGCAGAAGTTCTCTATGGGGGCCTCACCCCTGCAGCAAATTTCTGCCTTGGCATCCAGGCATTTCCATACATCCTCTGAAATTTAGGCAGAGGTTCCCAACCCCAATTCTTGGCTTCTGCGCTTTCGCAGGCTCAATACCACATGGAAGCTGCCATGGCTTGGGGCTTGCACCCTCTGAAGCCACAGCCTGAGCTCTACATTGGCCCCTTTCATCCATGGTTGGAGTGGCTGGGATGCAAGGCACCATGTCCCTAGGCTGCACACAGCAGGAGGACCCTAGGCCTGGCCCACAAAACCATTTTTTCCTCCTAGGCCTCCAGCCTGTGATAGGAGGGGCCGCTGTGAAGACCTCTGATATGCCCTGGAGACATTTTTCCCATTGTCTTGAGGATTAATATTTGTCTCCTTGTTACTTATGCAAATTTCTGCAACCAGCTTGAATTTCTCCTCAGAAAGTGGGATTTTCTTTTCTATAGTATTGTCAGGCTGCAAATTTTCCGATCTTTTTATGTCCTGCTTTCCCTATAAAACTGAATGCCTTTAACAGCACCCAAGTCACATCTTGAATGTTTTGCTACTTAGAAATTTATTCTGCCAGATAACCTAAATCATCTCTCTCAAGTTCAAAGTTCCACAAATCTCTGGGGCAGGGGTAAAATGCGGTTAGTCTATTTGCTAAAACACAACGAGTCACCTTTGCTCCAGTTCCCAACAAGTTCCTCATTTCCACCTGAAACCTCAGCCTGGACTTTATTGCCCATATGGCTATCAGCATTTTGGGCAAAGCCATTCAACAAGTCTCTAGGAAGTTCCAAATCTTCTCACATATTCCTATTTTCTTCTGAGCCCTCTAAACTGTTCCAACCTCTGCCTGTTACCCAGTTCCAAAGTTGCTCTCACATTTTCAGGTATCTTTTCAGCTGTGCCCACTCTACTGATACCAATTTACTGCATTAGTCCATTTTCATGCTGCTGATAAGACATACCCGAGACTGGGAGGAAAAATAGTTTCAATGAACTCACAGTTCCATATTGCTGGGAAGGCCTTACAATCATGGCAGAAGGCAAAAGGCACTTCTTACCTGGTGGCAGCAAGAGAGAATGAGAGAGAAGCGAAAGTGGAAACCCTTTACAAAACCATCAGATCTCATGAGACTTATTCACTACCACAAAGACAGTATGGGTGAAACCACCCCCATGATTCAATTATCTCCCACCAAGTCCCTCCCACAAAATGTGGGAATTATGGGAGTACAATTCAAGATGAGATTTCAGGGGGGACACAGAGCCAAACCACATCAGACTTATCAAATTAAGGAAGTTCCCTTCTATTTTTATTTTGCAAAGTGTATTTATCATGAAAGGGTATTAAATTTCATTGAGTGGTTTTAGCTCACTTATTGAGATATCATATTTCTCCTTTTTTATATTAATGTGGTGAGTTATATACTAACTGATTCCTGTACAGCTAACCAAACTTGTATTGTTAGTCATGTTGTTTGGCTTCTTTTATATATCATTAGACGTGGGTTGCTAGCATTTTATTTAGAATTTTTTTCATCTATATTCATGAATAAAATTGTAATTTTTCTTTCTTGTAGTATTCTTACAGGATTTTGCTGTCAAGATTATGCTGGCCTTAAAAAATAAGCTGACTATCATTGTCTGCTCTCTGGAAGTATTTGGGTAAGATTGATTTTTTTTTTTGTCCTTAAATGTTTAGAATAATTTATTAGTTTGGGGCCAACTGGGCCTGGTATTTTTTTGAGGATTAATTTTAAATAGAAATTTGGTTATTTACATTGTGATGGGTAAGTATATTTGTCAACTCAACTTGGTCAGAGAGTGCTCAGATACTGGTCAAATATTTTTCTGGGTGTTTCTGGGAGGATATTTTTAATTATGATTGACATTTAAATCAGTAGACTAAGGAAAGCAAATTATCCTCCCTAATGCGGGTGGGCTTCATCCAGTCAGTGGAAGGCATGAATAGAACAAAAAGGCTTACCCTCCCTGTGTAAAATAAAATTCTCCTGCCTGCCTTCCTTCAAACTAGCACATCAGCTTTTTCCTGCCTTCGGACTTGCACTGAAACACTGGCTACTCCTGGGTCTCAAGCCTGCCTGCTTTCAGACTGGAACCATATTATCAAGTATAACATTGGCTCTCCTGGGCCTCCTGCTTGCTAACTCACCGTGCAAATCTTGGGATGTGCCGGCCTCCATAATATATAGATAGATATGTCCTATTAGTCCTATTTCTCTGAGGAACCCTGACTTATACAATTGGATATAGGAATATTCAGATATTCTATTTCTTTCAGCATCATTGTTGACAGGTTGCGTTTTTCTATCAATTTGCCCATCTTATTTGATTTTTCAACTTATTGGCAAAAACTTAATAATACTATCTTATGTGTTTGTAACAACAACTGTAGTGATGTTCCCATTTTACAAGTATTATTAGAAATCCTCTCTCTCTGGCTGGGTGTGGTCAGATAATTATCTATTACAGGCTCAGGCCTATAATCCCAACACATTGGGAGGCTGAGATAGGTGGATTACTTGAGCCCAGGAGTTCGAGACCAGCCTGAGCAACATGCCAAAACCCTGTCTCTGTGAAAAATACAAAAAATTAGCCAAAGGTGGTGCCTGGTGCCTGTAGTTCAAACTACCTAGGTGGCTGAGATGGGAGAGTCACCTGAGCCTGGGAGGCTGAGGCTGCAGTGAGCTGTGATTGTGCCACTGCACTCAAGCCTGGGCAACAGAGTAAGACTCCGTCTCAAAAAAAAAAAAATCTTCTTTCTCTAGCTCTATATGCTCAGTCTTTCCAGAGGTTTAGCCTTCTTATTAACTATTTAAAATAACCAAATTTCATGTTCGTTTATTCCAATTATTGAGCATATATTACTATTTTATTATTTTTAGTAAATTTATATGTTATTTACTTCCTTCTAACTTTTTGGGTTCTATGTGGTATTTTTTCTTTAACTTTTGAGATAAAAACTTAGCCATTGATATTTCAGCCTTTGTTTTTTGAATATGCACTAAAAGCTAGAAACATAGCTTTAAGTTTTATTTAAGCATAGCCATAGGCTATATTTCCCTTTAAACATAGTTTTAGCTACATTCACAAGTTTTTACATGTTTTATTCTTATTATACTTTAGTTCAAAATATTTTCTAGTTTTTTTATTATTACATCACCTTTGACCAGTGAATTATATATAAATACACTTGTTTAAATTTCTGGGCATTGGTGATTTTCTATTTTTCAGACAGACTTTTTTAGCTTAATTTCACTGTGATCAGGGAATTCGCTGTTATTTCAATCCTTTGAAATTTGTAGAGACATGTTTTATGGCCCAGTGTAGTTCAATTTGTAAATAATTCAAAAACACTTGAAACTAATGTATATTCTGCAGTTTTGGAATCAAGTTTCCTAGATATAAGTTCAATTTTGTAAGTCATATTGTTCAAATTGTCTGTATTCTTGTTAATCTTGTATGCTTCTTCAATCTGTTACTGACAGAAGTGTGATAAAATTTCCCCCTTGTCTATTTCTCCTTACTTCTGTTAATATTTTCTTTATAAATGTTAAAGATATGATCATGAGTCCCTATAAATTAAGTTGTTGTATGTGAAATATTAAAAATCTTCAACTATAGTTGTCATTTTTTTTCTTTAAGTTTTATTTGGAATACATTTTTCATATATTATGGGTCTCTGTTGTTAGCCGTGTATATGTTTATACTTGTTATATCTTCCTAAAGTTTTGATCTTTTATCATTACGAGATGCCTCATCTGTCTCTAGTAATAGTTCTATTTTCTCTCATGTTAATATAGTTACTTCAGGTTTCTCATACTAAGAAAGTATAAGAAAATGGGTGAAATCCATTTTTCACTCATTTTCATCCATTTTTCAGCTCTCTTACAGTAAGAACGTATAAGTATGGCTCTCTTGGGTCTACTATTTGATAATGCTACTGCATTGTCTTCTGAGTTTTATTATTTCTATTGCAAAGCAAGATGGGGTTGTCTGCTTTTTTCTGCTTTTTGTTGTGGGGTCTTTTTTGCCTTTTTGATAGTATTTTTTTCCCTAGTATTTTTTTCTCTAGCTCCTTTTAAAATTTCCTCTTTGTCTTTGGTTTTTAACAGTTTTACAATGATGTGCCTAGGTGTGCTTTTCTTTGCATTTGTCCTTTTTTTTTTTTTTTTGGTACCATCTGCTGAATCTGTCACTTGAAAATTTATGACCATTCTCTTTTCAGTTATTCCTTTTGCTTCATTCTGTCTCAGCCAAACTTTTTTTCCAGAGTGATTGTAGCATTTGACATTTCCAGTAAAAGTAAAAATGTTGTTACAGTCTTTTAGTCATTCGGGCTAAGTGTATAACAATCTCATTGTGGTTTCAATTTGCATATCCCTAATAGCTAAGTATGTGGAATATCTTTTTATGTGCTGATTTTCCATTTGTAGATTCTCTTCAGTCTTTTTATGTCATTTGCCCATGTCCTAATTAGATTTTTTATCTGTTAGTTTTTGGGAGTTCTTTATATATTCTAGATACTATTCTTTCTTGGATTTATGGTGTGCAAATATGTTCTCCCAATCTGCAGCTTGTTTTCACATCCTTTGAATAGTATCTTTCACAGAAGAAACACTTTTAATTTTGATAAAATCCAATTTATCAATTATCCCTTTTATGAATTATGCTTTTGGTTTCAAACCTAAGAATTACCTAGCTCTAGATCCTGAAGATTTTCTTCTGTGTTATTTCTTAAAGTTTTACAGTTGTACTATTTACAGGTAATCAATTTTCCATTTTGAGTTTATTTTTGTATAAAGCGTGAGAATTAAGGCAAGGATGTTTCCCCCACTATGGAGGCCCAATGGCTTCAGCACCATTTGTTGAAAAGGCTATCCTTTCTCCATGGAATTGGTATGGCACTCTTGTCAACTCTCAGTTGGGCATAAAGACAAGCATTGCTTAATGATAGGGATGCATTCTGAGAAATGCATCATTAGGCAATCTTGTTGTTGTGCAAACTTACATAAACCTAGATGGTATAGTCAAGTAAATCCTGGGCTATGTGGTATAGTTTATTGCCCCCAGGCTACAAACTTGTACAGCATGTTACTGTACTGAATACTCTTGGCAATTGTAACACAATGATAATTATTTATGTATCTAAATATATTTAACCATGGAAAAGGTACAATAAGAATGTGGTATAAAAGACACAAAATGGTACACCTGTATAGAGCACTTACCATTAATGGAGCTTGTAGGACCTGAAGGTGCTCTGGGTGAGTTAGTAAGTGAGTGGTGAATGAATATGAAAGTTTAGGACATTATTGTACACTACAGTAGACTTTATAAACACTGTACACTGAGGCTACACTAAATTTGTCTTAAAATACTTTTATTCAATAATAAATTAACCTTAGCTTATTGTAACTTTCTTACTTCATAAACTTTTAATTTTTTTTAACTTTTTTACTCTTATTTAATAACTCTTAGCATAAAACACACATTGCCCAGCTGTATAATAATATTGTCTTTATATCCTTATTCCATAATCTTTTTATTTATTTTAAATTATTACTTTTTTTCTTCCTTTTTATACTTTTTTGTTAAAAAACTAAGACACAAATACAAACATCAGCCTAGACCTACAAAGGGTCAGGATCATCAAGAAGTCAATAGGTGATAGAAATTTCCGGCTCTTTTATAATCTTATGGACCATCGTCACATATGCAGTCCGTTGTTGATAGAAATGTTGTTTCCAACGAATGACTGTATTTGTACGGGTCTCTGTTTTTTATCTATTCTGTTTCATCGATCTATATGTCTATCCCTCTGATAAAAATATTGATTACTTTAGCTACATAAGTCTTAAAATGTGGTGTACTGATTTCACCCATTTTCTTCATTACCTTCAAAATTATTTTAACTAGCTTCTTTGCCTATCAATATAATTTTAAAATAATTTTGTCATGGGATCTAATTAAACTAAAGAGCTTCTGCATAGCAAAGGAAACAATCAACAGAATAAACAGACAACCTACAGAATGGGAGACAATTTTTGCAAGCTGTGTATTTCACAAAGGTCTAATATCCAGCATCTATAAGGAACTTAAACAAATTTACAAGAAAAAAAAACATTAGAAAGTGGGCAAAAAACATAAACAGACACTTCTCAAAAGAAAACATACATGCAGCCAATAATCATATGAAAACAAAGCTCAATATCCCTGATCATTAGAGAAATAAAAATTAAAACCACAATAAGATACAATCTCACACCAGTCAGAATGGCTATTATTAAAAGGTCAAAGATAACAGATGCTGGCGAGGTTGTGGAAAAAAGGAATGCTTATACACTATTGGTGGGAGTGTTAATTAGTTCAACAATTGAGTAAGACAGTGTGGTGATCCCTCAAAGACCTAAAAACAGAAATACCATTTGACCCAGCAATCCCATTACTGGGTATATACCCAAAGGAATATACATCATTCTGTTATAAAGACACATGCACACATATGTTCATTGCAGCACTATTCACAATAGCAAGAACATGGAATTAACCTAAATGTCCATCAATGATAGACTGGATAAAGAAAACGAGGTACATATACACAAAGGAATACTATGCAGCCATAAAAAAGAATGAGCTGGAAGCCATTATCCTTAGCAAACTAATGCAGAAACAGAAAACCAAATACCACATGTTCTTACTTGTAAGTGGGAGCTAAATGATGAGAACACATGGACACATAGAAGGGAACAACACACACTGAGACCTATAGGAGGGTAGTGGGTGGGAGGAGGGAGGGCATCAAGAAAAATAACTAATGGTTACTAGGCTTAATCCCTGGGTGGTGAAATAATCTGCATAACAAACCCCCTTGACACATGTTTACCTATGTAACAAACCTGAACATCTACCCCTGAACTTAAAATACAATAATAATAATAATAGGCCAGGTATGGTGGCTCATGACTGTAATCCTAGCACTTTGGGAGGCTGAGGCAGGCAGATCACTTGAAGTCAGGAGTTTGAGACCAGCCTGGCCAACCTGGTGAAACCTTGTCTCTATTAAAGATACAAAAATTAGCCAGGCATGGTGGCAGGCGCCTGTAATCCCAGATACTCAGGAGGTTAAGGGAAAAGAATCACTTGAACACAGGAGGCGGAGGTTGCAGTGAGCTGAGATCACGCCACTGCACTGCAGCTGGGTGACAGAGTGAGACCCCATCTCAAAAATAATAAATAAATAAAAATTTAAAAATAATAACAATTTCGTCTACATCTAAAAGAAAATCTGGCTGGTATTTTGATAGGAATTGTGTTCAATGTGTATATAATTTAGGGAAGATTGACATTTTTACTATATTTTGATACTGATAAATGACATACTATACATTACTGTATCTTTATTATATGTACTCATTCAAATCACAGTATCTCTTTACTTTTATTTAGTTCTTCTTTAATTTTTATCAACATTTTGCATTTTTAGCATACAAATACTATACATGTTTTGTTACATTTACACCTATTTCATCTTCTTTCAGCAATTATAAGTGGTATTGCATTTTTTTTTTATTATTACACTTTAAGTTCTGGGATACATATGCAGAACGTGTGGGTTTGTTACATAGGTATACACATGCCATGGTAGTTTGTTGCACCCATCAACCCATTATCTACATTAGGTATTTGCCTAATGCTACCATCCCCTAGCCCCCCACACCCTAACAGGCTCTGGTGTGTGATGTTCCCCCTCCCTGTGTCCATGTGTTCTCATTGTTCAACTCCCACTTATAAATGAGAACATGCAGTGTTTGGTTTTTTGATCTTGTGTTAGTTTGCTGAGAATGATGGTTTCCAGCTTCATCCATGTCCCTGCAAAGGACATGAACTCATCCTTCTTTATGGATGTGTAGTATTCCATGGCGTATATGTGCCACATTTTCTTTATCCAGTCTATCAATGATGGGCATTTGGGTTGGTTCCAAGTCTTTGCTATTGTGAATAGTTCTGCAATAAACATATATGTGCATGTGCCTTTATAGTGGAATGATTTATAATCCTTTGGGTATACAGCCAGTACTGGAATTGCTGGATCAAATGGTATTTCTGGTTCTAGATCCTTGAGGAATCACCACACTGTCTTCCACAATGGTTGAACTAATTTACACTCCCACCAACAGTGTAAAAGCATACCTATTTCTACACATCCTCTCCAAAATCTGTTGTTTCCCGACTTTTTAATGATCGCTATTCTAACTGGGGTGAGATGGTATCTCATTGTGGTTTTGATTTGCATTTCTCTAATGACCAGTGATGACAATATTTTTTTCAAATGTTTGTTGGCGATATAAATGTCTTCTTTTGAGAAGTGTCTGTTCATATCCTTCAGCCACTTTTTGATGGGGTTGCTTGTTTTTTTCATGTAAATTTGTTTAAGTTCTTTGCAGATTCTGGATATTAGCCCTTTGTCAGATGGATAGACTGCAAAATTCTTCTCTAGGTTGCCTGTTCACTCTGATGATAGTTTCTTTTGCTGTGCACAAGCTCTTTAGTTTAATTAGATCCCATTCGTCAATTTTGGCTTTCATTGTCATTGCTTTTCGTGTTTTAGTCATGAAGTCTTTGTCCATGCCTATGTCCTAAATGGTATTGCCTACCTTCAAGGGTTTTTATGGTTTTAGGTCTTATGTTTAAGTCTTTAATCCATCTTGAGTTAATTTTTGTATAAGGTGTAAGGAAGGGATCCAGTTTCAGCTTTCTGCATGTGGCTAGACAGTTTTCCCAAAATCATTTATTAAATAGAGAATCTTTACCCATTGCTTGTTTTCATTAGGTTTGTCAAACATCAGATGTTTGTAGATTTGTGGCGTTATTTCTGAGGCCTCGGTTCTGTTCCATTGGTCTATATATCTGTTTTGGTACCAGTACTATTCTGTTTTGGTTACTGTAGCCATGTAGTATAGTGTGAAGTCAGTTAGCGTGATGCCTCCAGCTTTGTTCTTTTTGCTTAGGGTTGTCTTGGCGATATGGGCTCTTTTTTGATTCCATATGAATTTAAAGTGGTTTTCCTAATTCTGTGAAGAAAGTCAATGGTAGCTTGATGGGGATAGCATTGAATCTATAAATTACTTTGGACAGTATGGCCATTTTCACAATATTGATTCTTCCTATCCATAAGCACAGAATATTTTTCCACTTGTTTGTGTCCTCTCTTATTTCCTTGAACAGTGGTTTCCAGTTCCCCTTGAAGAGGTTCTTCATATTCCTTGTAGGTTTTATTCCTAGGTATTGTGTTCTCTTTGTAGCAATTGTGAATGGGAGTTCACTCATGATTTGGCTGTCTATTATTGGTATATAGGAATGCTTGTGATTTTTGCACATTGATTTTGTATTGTGAGACTTTGCTGAAGTTGCTTATCAGCTTAAGGAGATTTTGGCCTGAGACGATGGGGTTTTCCAAATATACAATCATGTCATCTGCAAACAGAGACAATTTGACTTCCTCTCTTCCTATTTGAATACCATTTATTTCTTTCTCTTGCCTGATTGCCCTGGCCAGAACTTCCAATACTATGTTGAATAGGAGTGGTGAGAGAGGGCATCCTTGTCTTGTGGCAGTTTTCAAAAGGAATGCTTCCAGCTTTTGCCCATTCAGTATGATATTGGCTGTGGGTTTGTCATAAATAGCACTTATTATTTTGAGATACATTCCATCAATACCTAGCTTATTGAGAGTTTTTAGCATAAGGAGGTGTTGAATTTTATTGAAGGACTTTTCTGCGTCTATTGAGATAATCATGTGGTCTTTGTCATTTGTTCTGTTTCTGTGATGGATTATGTTGATTGATTTGCGTATGTTGAACCAGCCTTGCATCACAGGGATGAAGCCCACTTGATCATGGTGGGTGAGCTTTTTGATGTGCTGCTGGATTCAGTTTGCCAGTATTTTATTGAGGATTTTCGCATCGATGTTCATCAGGGATATTGGCCTGAAATTTTCTTTTCTTGTTGTGTCAGGTTTTGGTATCAGGATGATGCTGGCCTCATAAAATGAGTTAGGGAGGATTCCCTCTTTTTCTATTGTTTGGAATAGTTTCAGAAGGAATGGTACCAGCTCCTCTTTGTACCTCTGGTAGAATTCGGCTATGAATCCATCTGTTCCTGGGCTTTTTTTGGTTGGTAGGCTATTAATTTCAGAACTTGTTATTGGTCTATTCAGGGATTTGACTTCTTCCTGGTTTAGTCTTGGGAGGGTGTATGTGTCCAGGAATTTACCAGTTCTAGATTTTCTAGTTTATTTGCATAGAGGTGTTTATAGTATTCTCTGATGGTAGTTTGTATTTCTGTGGGATCAGTGGTGATATCCCATTTATCATTTTTTATTGTGACTATTTCATTCTTCTCTGTTTTCTTCTTTATTAGTCTGGCTAGTGGTCTATCTACTTTGTTAATCTTTTCATAAAACCAGCTCCTGGATTCATTGATTTTTTGAAGGGTTTGTCGTGTTTCTATCTCCTTCAGTTCTGCTCTGATCTTAGTTATTTCTTGTCTTCCGCTAGCTTTTAGATTTGTTTCCTCTTGCTTCTCTAGTTCTTTTAATTGTGATGGTAGGGTGTCGATTTTAGATCTTTCCTGCTTTCTCCTGTGGGCACTTACTGCTATAAATTTCCCTCTAAACACTGCTTTAGCTGTGACACAGAGATTCTGGTATGTTTTATCTTTGTTCTCATTGGTTTCAAAGAACTTATTTATTTCTGCCTTAGTTTCATTATTTACCCAGCAGTCATTCAGGAGCAGGTTGTTCAGTTTCCATGTAGTTGTGTGGTTTTGAGTGAGTTTCTTAATCCTGAGTTCTAATTTGATTGCACTGTGGTCTGAAAGACTGTTTGTTATGATTTTCATTCTTTTGCATTTGCTGAGGAGTGTTTTACTTCCAATTATGTGGTCAATTTTAGAATAAGTGCAATCTGGTGCTGAGAAGAATGTATATTCTGTTGATTTGGGGTGGAGAGCCCTGTAGATGTCTATTAGGTCCACTTGGTCCAGAGCTGAGTTCAAGTCCTAAATATCCTTGTTAATTTTCTGTCTCATTGATCTGTCTAACATTGACAGTGGGGTGTTAAAGTCTCCCACTATTATTGTGTGGGAGTCTAAGTCTCTTTGTAGGTCTCTAAGAACTTGCTTTATGAATCTGGGTGCTCCTGTATTGGGTGCATATATATTTAGGATAGTTACCTCTTCTTGTTGCATTGATCCCTTTACCATTATGTAATACCCTTCTTTGTCTTTTTTGATCTTTGTTGGCTTAAAGTCTGTTTTATCAGAGACTAGGATTGCAACCCTGGCTTTTTTTTTTTTTTTTTTTTTTTTTTTTTTTGCTTTCCGTTTGCATGGTAAATATCCCTCCATCCCTTATCCCTTAATTTTGAGCCTATGTGTGTCTTTGCACATGAGATGGCTCTCCTGAATACAGCACACTGATGGGTCTTGACTCTTTATCCAATTTGCCAGTCTGTTTCTTTTAATTGGGACATTTAGCTCATTTACATTTAAGGTAAATATTGTTGTGTGAATCTGATCCTGTCATTATGATGCTAGCTGGTTATTTTGCCCATTAGTTGATGCAGTTTCTTCATAGTGTTGATGATCTTTACAATTTGGTATGTTTTTGCAGTGGCTGGTACCGGTTTTTCCTTTCCATATTTAGTGCTTCTTTCAGGAGCTCTTGTAAGGCAGGCCTGGTGGTGACAAAATCTCTCAGCATTTGCTTGTCTGTAAAGGATTTTATTTCTCCTTCTCTTATGAAGCTTAGTTTGGCTGGATATGAAATTCCGGGTTGACAATTCTTTTCTTTAAGAATGTTGAATATTGGCCCCCACTCTCTTCTGGCTTGTAGGGTGTCTGCAGAGAGATCTGCTGTTAGTCTAATGAGCTTCCCTTTGTGGGTAACCAGATCTTTCTCTTTGGCTGCCCTTAACATTTTTTCCTTCATTTCAACCTTGGTGAATCTGATGATTATGTGTTTTGGGGTTGCTATTCTCAAGACGTATCTTTGCAATGTTCTCCATATTTCCTGAATTTGCATGTTGGTCTGTCTTTCTAGGTTGGGGAAGTTCTCCTGGATAATATCCTGAAGAGTGTTTCCAACTTGGTTTCATTCTTCCCGTCACTTTCAGGTACACCAATCAAATGTAGGTTTGGTCTTTTCACATATTCCCATACTTCTTGGAGGCTTTGTTCATTCCTTTTCATTCTTTTTTTCTCTAATCGTGTCTTCATGCTTTATTTCATTAAGTGGATCTTCAATCTCTGATATATTTTCTTCCACTTGATTGATTCAGCTATTGATACTTGTGTATGATTCACAAAGTTCTCATGTGTTTTTCAGCTCCATCAGGTCATTTATATTCTTCTCTAAACTGGTTATTCTAGTTAGATATTCCTCTAACCTTTTTTCCAGGTTCTTAGCTTCCTTGCATTGGGTTAGAACATGCTCCTTTAGCTCAGAGGAGTTTATTATTACCCACCTCCTGAAGTCTACTTCTTTCAATTCATCGAACTCATTCTCCATCCAGTTTTGTTCCCTTGCTGGCGAGGAGTTGTGGACCTTTGGAGGAGAAGAGGCGTTCTGGTTTTTGAAATTTTCAGCCTTTTTGAGCTGATTTTTCCTCATCTTTGAGGATTTATCTACCTTTGGTCTTTCATGTTGGTGACCTTTGGATGGGGTTTCTGTGTGGACATCCTTTTTGTTGATTTTGAAGCTATTTTTTTTTTCTGTTTGTTAGTTTTTCTTCTAACAGTCAGGTCCCTCTGCTGGAGTTTGCTGGAGGTCCACTCCAGACTCTGTTTGCCTGGGTATCACCAGTGGAGGCTACAGAATAGCAAAGATTGCTGCCCATTGATTTTTTTTCAATGTTTACCTTATATCCTGCAACCTTGCCAAACTCACTTATTAGTTGTAGGAATTTTTCAGCAGGTTCTTTGGGATTATATAGATAATTATGTCACTTGCAAATCAGGACAGTTTTATTTCTTTCTTTCAAATCTGTAAGATTTTTATTTCCTTCTCTAGCCTTATTGCACTGGCTAAAACATCAAGTGCTATACTGAATACAATTGGTAAGACTGAATATCCTTGCCCTGTCCTGAATCTTAGGGAGAAAGCATTCAATCTTTCACCATTAAATATAATTTTAGGTGTAGGTTGTTGTAGATGCTCTTTGTTCAGTTAAGGAAGTTCCCCTCTGTTCCCATTTTCCCTGAGAGTTTTACCATGAATTAATTTTAACTTTTGTCAAATGTTTTATCTGTATCAATTGATGTGATCATGTAATTCTCCTACTTTAGTCTGTTAATGTGTTAAATTATATTGAATGATTTATACATATTGAACCTGCCTTACATCCCTGTACTAAACTCTTCTTGGTCAAGATATAGAATTCTTATATTTCTGAATTCTATTTGCTAGTATTTTACTAAGAGGTTTTGCATCTATATGCATTAAGGCTATTGTTCTGTAGTTTTCTTTTTATGTACTTTGTCTAGTTTGGGTCCAAAGTAAGACTAGCTTCATGAAGTAAATTTGGAAGTGTTCATTCCTCTTCTATTTCCTGGAAGACATTGTATAGAACTGCTATTAAGTGTTCTTTAAATATTTATAAAAATTCTCTAGTGAAATTATCTGAATCTAGAGATTGCTTTTGTGAAAGTTTATAATTATGAATTCAATTTTCTTAATAGCGAATGAGCTATTCAAACTATTTCATATTGGATAGATTTCAGTAGTTTGTATTTTTTAAAGAATTCATACATTTCACCTAAGTTGTCAAATTTATGAACGTAAAGTTCATAGTCTTATTATCCTTTTGATATTTGCAGGGTCTATAACGATATCCCTTGTTTCATTCCTAATATTAGTAATCTGTGTCTTCTCTTTTTTCCCCTTGTTAGTCTTAGTAGAAGTTTCTGAATTTTATTGATCTTTTTAAAGAACCAGCTCTTTTACTGATTTTCTCTATTTTTTTTGGTTTTCAATTTCAATAATTTCTGCTTATATTTTTATGATTTCTTTCTTTATGCTGGCTTTGAGTTTATTTCGCTCTTCTATGTTCTTGAAGTGAAAGTTGAGATTATTTATTTGAGACATTTTATCTTCTAATATATGCATTTAATGCTATAAATTCCCCTCTTGGCACTACTTTAGCCATGTCCCACAAATTTTGACGTGCTGTTTTTTCATTTTAATTTAGTTCAGGTTTCTTTTCCCCCTGAGACATTCTCTTTAACCTATGCATTATTTAGAAGTGTGTCATGTAATTTCCAATTGTTTGGAGAATGTTATTTTAAACTATTGGTTTCTAGTTCGACTTCATTCTGATTCTTCTGTATAATTCAATTCTTTTAAATTTTTTGGATTTGTTTCATGGCCCAGGATGTAGTGCAACTTGATATATGCTCCATAGGTGTTTGAAAATAATGTGTATTCTGCTGTTGTTCAGTGGAATTATAGATTAGATCCTATTGGTTAATGATGTTGAGTTTTCTACATTCTTGATTTTCTATCTAGTTGTTCTCTCAATTGTTGAGAAAGAAGTGTTAAAGATTTGACTATAATTGTTGATTTGTCTATTTCCTCTTTCAGTTCCATCAGTTTTTACTTCACATATATTTTAGCTCTCTTGTTTGTTGCATACTGATTTAGGACTGCAACATGTTCTTGGTAAAGTAATCTTTTCACTATTATATAATGTCCCTCTCTGTCTTCGTTAATAGTCTTTTTCTCTGAATTCTACTGTATCTGATATTAACATAGCTATTTCTACTTTCTTTTGCTTAAGATTTGCATAATACATCTTTCATCTTTTTGCTTTAAACCTACCTATTTTGCTATATTTGAAGAAAGGTTCTTACAGATAGCATATAGATGGGTCATATTTTTTAATCCACTCTGTCAATCTCTGTCTTCTAATGAGTGTACTAGACTATTTGTATTAATGTAGTTATTGATCTGTTAGGGCTTAAATTTTCCATCTTATTTTTTGTTTTCTGTTTGTTTATTCTTTGTTCTTCTGTTTTCTTTTTTCTGTTCTCTTTGCGGCTTACTTGAACATTCTTTAGAATTCCTTTTTAATTTATCTAAATTGTTGCAATGTGTATCCCTTTATATAGTTTTCCAGTGGTTCTATTATTTGTTACATTATTACATTATTTTTACATAACTTATCACAGACTATTGGTGTTTTTCCTTGGGCCCCAAGGTCGCTAGCTGGTATGCTTTCTCTCTACTTCTCAGTCTTACGTTTGTTTTATGCATAAACGCCAGAGTTTTTCATTGTATTTAGTGAATAATGTGTCTATTTATGTTTATGTCTTGGTGAAAAATATGTTTCAAGAAGGAGAAATTCATTTCTGAGAATTTCAACAAACACATATAATCATGTAACAACTACCATCATCCCCCGAACGCCCCCATACCCCTTTTTGCTCAACTCCTTCTTTCACCCTGCTTATCTGTTTTCTGTCCCTATAGTTTTGCCTTTTCTAGAATGTCATATAAATAGAATCACACAACATGTATGTGGCCTTTTGATACTGGCTTCTTTAACTTAGCACAGAGCACGTGAGAGTCATCCATATTGTTGTGCGTATCAGTACATTGTCCTTTTCTATTGCTGAATAGTATTTAATTGAAAGCTTGTACTGTAGTTTCTTTATCCACTTACCAGGTGAAAGATATTTGGGTTGTTTCCAGTTTGGGGTACTATAAGTAAAGCCACTATACACATTATAGGTTTTGTTATAAATACAAATTTTCATTTAACTTGGGAAAATAAGAAAGGCATAGGATTGCTAGGTCATATTTTAAGTGTATGCACAATTTCATAAGAAACAGCGAATTTTGTTTTCCGAAGTGGCTGTACCATTCTTCCCACCAGCAATATATGACAGTACCAGCAACTTCACATCCTTGCAAATATTTGGTTTTGTCTATTTTTTGGCCATTATAACTGGTGTTTGGTAATATCTTGTGATTTTGACTTAAATTTCCTTAATGACTAAAATTTTTGAACATTTTTTTAATTTTTTTATTTTATTATTATTATATTTTAAGTTTTAGGGTACATATGCACAATGTGCAGGTTTGTTACATATATATACATGTGCCATGTTGGTGTGCTGCACCCATTAACTCGTCATTTAGCATTAGGTATATCTCCTAATGCTATCCCTCCCCCCTCCCCCCACCCCACAACAGTCCCCGGAGTGTGATGTTCCCCTTCCTGTGTCCATGTGTTCTCATTTTCAATTCCTACTTATGAGTGAGAACATGTGGTGTTTGGTTTTTTTTCCTTGCGATAGTTTGCTGAGAACGATGGTTTCCAGTTTCACCCATGTCCCTACAAAGGACATGAACTCTTCATTTTTTATGGCTGCATAGTATTCCATGGTGTATATGTGCCACATTTTCTTAATCCAGTCTATCGTTGTTGGACATTTGGGTTGGTTCCAAGTCTTTGCTATTGTGAATAGTGCCACAATAAACATATGTGTGCATGTGTCTTTATAGCAGCATGATTTATAATCCTTTAGGTATATACCCAGTAATGGCATGGCTGAGTCAAAGGGTATTTCTAGTTCTAGATCCCTGAGAAATCGCCACACTGACTTCCACAATGATTGAACTAGTTTACAGTCCCACCAACAGTGTAAAAGTGTTCCTATTTCTCCACATCCTCTCCAGCACCTGTTGTTTCCTGACTTTTTAATGATCGCCATTCTAACTGGTGTGAGATGGTATCTCATTGTGGTTTTTATTTGCATTTCTCTGATGGCCAGGGATGATGAGCATTTTTTCATGTGTTTTTTGGCTGCATAAATGTCTTCTGGACTTCATGTCTAAAATACCAAAAGCAATGGCAACAAAAGCCAAAATTGACAAGTGGGATCTAATTAAACTAAAGAGCTTCTGCACAGCAAAAGAAACTGCCATCAGAGTGAACAGGCAACCTACAAAATGGGAGAAAATTTTCGCAACCTACTCATCTGACAAAGGGTTAATATCCAGAATCTACAATGAACTCAAACAAATTTACAAGAAAAAAACAAACAACCCCATCAAAAAGTGGGCGAAGGATATGAATTTTGAACATTTTTATGTGCTTAGTTGTCATCTACATATTGTTTTTAGTGAAGGGTCCTTTCAAAACTTTTGCCCATTTAAAAAAATTGAATTCCTTCTTTTCTATTATTGTGTTTTGTGAGTTCTTTACATATTTTGGATACAAGTCCTTTATCAGAAATGTGATTTGCAAATATTTTCTCTCATTCTGTAGCTGTCTTTTCATTCTCTTAACAATGTCTTCTGAAAAACAAAAGGTCTCATTTTTAAGGACGTTCAATATATCAATTTGTTCTTTGATAGATTGTGCTTTTGGTATCATGTTTAAGAAATCTTTGCCTAAAACAGACTGATAAGGAGTTTTTTCTTTTTTTTTTATCCAGCTAATTTTTTATTAAATGCCAGACATTGTTTTTGAAAGATTGTAGAGATAATTTGAGGCTCTGGATGATGTCACCTTCCGCCTAGAGAAAATATACTTCAGCTTCTGTCAGGCAATTAGGTTAGAAGCAGATCACTTTAATCTAATTGGGGACTGAGGTGACTCAAATCTTGGTTTTTGTCTTTGTGAGGGCTGGTCTATTTCTTATTTACTTTAAGTTTTAAGTCATCAAGTGCGGGGGAGTCAGTGCAGGGTGGGGATTGAAAGTCTGAAGTTTTTAACTAGCTTTCTTCTTCCTTGGGTCTTATACTCCAATTTTTACCTCATCATCTCCGTGAGCCTGCCAAAAGCACCACTCAGCTTTTCTATATTTCAGCTGCTGCTTATAAATAAGAAAATGGCTCCGATGAAATTTTGAGCCAAATGGCAGATTCTTTCTTTGCCTCCCTTCTGTCCAGCGTCACATTCTCTCAAGCACAGAGAGGAAACTCTTGGATGCCTTTAAACATTTTTCTTTATCTAGCTTTTATAATTGTATTGAATAGGAGGGTTGGTCTGATACAAGCTAATCTGATATAACCAGAAGAAGAACTCCTCCCCATCAATTTTTACATTGACTCTTCTGGATGTGTATTATTAACTCAGTGTCCCAGTGATTAATTTCCCTTTAGCTAAATTAGCCTATATTGGAAACTGAGACACTATAAACCTATAGGTTCACTTAGCTGTGGGAAATGACTTTAGTTCCTTGAGGAAGCTGAGGTGAAGAAAAGTGTGTTTTTCCGGGACAATGTGTTTCACCAGTTTAGAATGAGAGAATCTGGTATTTAACCACCTGCCTCAGTTAATGTAACAACTTTCTTCACCTAAGTAGCATCAAAAATTTAATTACTTTCTCCTTCAGTTATTTTATGTGCTTATTCCCCCACCTCCTATCCTCTTTAAAAGGTTACTGCTAGCAAACAAATCTGTCAGGTCATATCTGGCATTCCATCCAGTACTTAATAGTGTGGTTCCCTAGGATGATCCAGGATAAAGGAATTTGTCTTCAAAGTGTCAGACGAGAGAGATAAAAAGTTTCCACAGTCAACACTAAATGTCTGATAGCAGCTCAAGAATAATTGAAATAAAAAAATACCAAATATGAATGCACATGCACCAGCTTTCAAAATTGAAAGTAAAATCCTTCTAAGAACCCTGAATAGAGATGCCATAGAGCTCATTGGACCTGCACCACCACTTGGACCAAGTCTAGTGAGATCAAAAGTGAAATAAGTGAAGGTAAATATACAAGATGCAGAAATAGAAACAAAGACAAAGGTAGAAAGGAAACTGTTAAAAGTATAAGTAGTATTTAGCTATAAGAAGAAATAAAATATATAGCCGAGGAATGAGCAGGTTGACTGAAAGAAACAGCTAAACAAGGATCCATAAAGTATGCACACTCTGAGCTGTCTAAACTGAACACCTTTAAAAGACAAGTAGCAAATATGATCAGTGACCATTTGCTCCACATTCAGAGTACAGAATCTTTGGGATTAATTGATCAAAGAAGAGAATTAGAATCCTAGCTTTGCTATTAATTCATGGAGTGACCTTGAGAAGGTCACTTATTTTAGGCTCTGCAAAATGGCAGATTTTTTTTTCTTTTTTTTTTTTATTATACTTTAAGTTTTAGGGTACATGTGCACATTGTGCAGGTTAGTTACATATGTATACATGTGCCGTGCTGGTGCGCTGCACCCACTAACTCGTCATCTAGCATTAGGTATATCTCCCAATGCTATCCCTCCCCCCTCCCCCCACCCCACAACAGTCCCCAGAGTGTGATATTCCCCTTCCTGTGTCCATGTGATCTCATTGTTCAATTCCCACCTATGAGTGAGAATATGCGGTGTTTGGTTTTTTGTTCTTGCGATAGTTTACTGAGAATGATGATTTCCAATTTCATCCATGTCCCTACAAAGGACGTGAACTCATCATTTTTTATGGCTGCATAGTATTCCACGGTGTATATGTGCCACATTTTCTTAATCCAGTCTATCATTGTTGGACATTTGGGTTGGTTCCAAGTCTTTGCTATTGTGAATAATGCCACAATAAACATACGTGTGCATGTGTCTTTATAGCAGCATGATTTATAGTCATTAGGGTATATACCCAGTAATGGGATGGCTGGGTCAAATGGTATTTCTAGTTCTAGATCCCTGAGGAATCGCTACACTGACTTCCACAATGGTTGAACTAGTTTACAGTCCCACCAACAGTGTAAAAGTGTTCCTATTTCTCCACATCCTCTCCAGCACCTGTTGTTTCCTGACTTTGTAATTTTTAATGAACTACCTTTTAGGTTTCTTAAAGGTCTGTGTGGGTATAACCCAACTTCAAATATTGATATAAGGAAAAAATGGGGGGACCTATAATATACTTTCCCTGACATTTCTGCACTTAACAAAATTGATTATGGTGGGATTTAGGTTGTTTTTTTAATCATAGAAGCATGGATTATATAATATATACTTTTCTCTCAATCAACAGTCATTTAATAAACACAAATCACACTGTAAATACAAATATGTATAATTTGTAGAAAACTTGGATCCATACACCTAATTGTCCATGGAAATCATTACCTCAGACTCATACTGAGGTAAGTTTTGTGAATAATTTTACCCTTTATGTAGTGGTTTTTGGATAAGGGGCATATTTACCTTTCTCGGGAAGAAAAGAGACTTTGTCACCAAATATTTATAGAGAAACTAAAATTTCATATCAGCTGCTTTAAATGACCCAGTGTTAACTCCATGCTGTACCTGATGTCAGCTTAATTCATTTTTAATTTTTATATTCTAATTTTGAAACAAAAATCTTATCACTGAGGCCATGATAACTCAAAATCAATCTATGAAACTGATCCTAAAGACTTTCATGTTCCTTTCAGAAATGCTATGGTAATTTATCTTATTTTTCAAAGTCCTACCCCCTCACTTAAAACACAGTTTACCCTAGTGTACCTGCCTCAACATTATCTTAAAATTTTACAACCATTTAGAACACCCAGGGATCTCTGAAGACAACATAGGCCAAGCCTATCATCATACAGATAAGGAATCAGAAACCCAACACAGGTAAGTCACTTAACCAAGGGGACACATGCTTGTTGCCATAAGAATTCTGTTCTGGCTCCCTGTTAACTGATCTTAGAGTCAACAAGTTTATCAAAATCCATTGCATGTAAACCATTTTACTTGGTGTTTAGAGGAATTACAAAACAAAGAAAAAAGTTGTCCTGAAAGCCCCAGGACAACTGGATCCACACCTGGTTTATTCATTACCCAGCTTAGTGCCTGGCATATGAGTGCTCCATCAGGGATTAGCCTGAGCTAAACCTTCATTCCTATACCCATCATCCCCTTCATTTGAATAATCACTTTTTGAGCGCTGATTGTGTATAAGATGCATGAGCTTGTCTGTGGGAACCACTTTCATTTCATGAACAGTGGATGGGTAATGGAAACTGCCCCCTTCCCTGACTGACAACAGGCAAGGGGCCTGGGGCTGTCTGTGGAGGGCTGGAGGAAGCTTGGTTGATGAGTGTAATAAGTGAATATTTAGGAGCTAAACTGGTAAATTGTTCAGGTGCACAAGTATGGAGGTTGGCTAATTAGAGTGGGGAACTGGAATGGAAGAGATGCTAACTAAAATGTATTGAGCACAATTATATGCTGAGCATTTTACCTAAACTAGCTCGTTTAGTCCTCATAGCAATCAGATGAAGTTAAAAACTGTTATCCCCTTTAAAGTTGGAGGACTGGCCAGGCGCAGTGGTTCATGCCTATAATCCCAGCATTTTGGGAAGCTGAGGTGGGAGGATTGCTTGAGGCCAGGAGTTTGTGACCAGCCTGAACAAGACAGTGAGACCCCATTGCTACAAAAAAATTTTAAGCATTAGCCAGGCATGTTGGCACATGCCCGTAGTCAGAGCTACTTAGGAGGCTGAGCCAAGAGGATTGCTTCAGCTCAGGGGTTCAAGGTTGTAGTGAGCTATGATCACACCAACTGCACTCCACTGGCAGTAGAGTGAGACCCCATCTCTAAAACAATATATTTCTAAACAAATTTTTAAGTGGATGGCTGGGAGGGTTAACTGTTTTGCAAGATTGCACAGCTCCTATAAACAGCAAAGGTAGGGTCAGACCTTGTCCTCCTACTTTACTGTACCAAATGCTGCATCAAGACAAGTGAAGGAGATGAGTTAAAGTCAGACATGCCGTGGACTATAGTCAACAAATACAGGACACATCACATCTCTTTCCCAGAGACAAGCAGGACCAGAAAAGGAAGCAAACAGCACAATGCATAGGCCATGATGTGGCTCATAAGCTATGGCTGAGTGCAGAGAAGTCAAGAAGCCTGTGAACAGGCACATGGCCAAAGCCAGAGCCTGTAGCTCGGCTTCTTGCCAGAGAGAACAACTGGACTGACGAGGCTTCTTGGAGACTGCAGGCTGTTTTTTAAAAAAGGGTAGTTGAGTTCCTCTTGGGCAGGCACAACATGGAGGGAAGCCCAGTAAACAGAAATGAACTTGAAGGGCCCAATGAAATCATAGTTGGAAGCACTGCCCAGACCTGCAGCAGCTTTTACCACTTAGACTGTATGTAAAAAGAAGAAATAAAGTCAGGATTTAGTGATCTCCTGCTTCAGGTTTTTGGACCAACACTGTTTGTGTTTTTCCATATTATTTCTACACTCCGAGTAATTGCCATAATCTTGAGGCTTGGGACTGGATTTTCTTCCTGCTTTCATGCCCTTACTTCAGGGGATTTGTTATGGTAAGGTTTAATAAGTGTGGCATGAAGGAATAATATTCCCATTATGTACTGCATACCTTGAAATTTTAACTATACAACCACTAGAAAAATCAAAGTAGGACTCTATAGGCTGGTTCTTGCCTTTCCTTCCACTTTTAATGGAGACTTGAGGCTCAGAGTTTGCATTTAATATTTGTTCAGTGGATGAATGTGGCCCAATTCAGTTGCACTTCTGATGTTCACTATTCATGGCAAGCCCAGTGAGAGTGATTTTTTTGCCCCATTTGTGGCACAACTTTTCAATAGAGTCCTTCTCTGGATTTCACAAATCCAGACTGAATTTAAGATGTCTCAAGGCTTACAAACACGTTTATTTTTGTTATCTATTTAATAAGCCAGAGGCGTTTATAAAGTTCTCAAATACATATATCATAAATTTAATGTAATATATACTATATAGGTAAAGTATCATAACAAATATCTTCTATTAATACTTAATGCCAAAAAAATTAATGCTCATCTGAATGCTGTTTGGTGCCACCATCAAATTTCAGTCTTCAAACATTTAGTTCTCAAACTCACACACTAGAGATTGAACACAATAAATATGACAGGAAAAGGGCTTTTGTTCCAAAGCTCTTTGGAACAAAAATGGTTATGAAGGCCATTTTTTTTTTTTTTAATTGAGACGGAGTCTCGCTCTGTTGCCTAGGCTGCAGTGCAGTGGCACAATCTTGGCTCACTGCAACCTCCACCTCTCAGGTTCAAGCAATTCTCCCGCCTCAGCATCCTGAATAGCTGGGACTACAGGCAGGCACCACCACCCCCAGCTAATTTTTGTATTTTTGGTAGAGACAGGGTTTCACCATGTCGGTCAGGCTGGTCTCAATCTCCTGACCTCAGTTGATCCACCTGCCTCGGCCTCCCAAAGTGCTGGGATTACAGGTTTGAGCCACCACGCCTAGCCCCAAGGCCAATTTATGATAAACTGCTACTTACAAGACAGCCTCTCTCATGCAGCAAGCTCCTTTAAAGGTGAAATTCATCAAGGAAACACAGCAAGCCCAATCCCAGCAGCTCTCGTGGCCCTTCCAAATGTTACCAAGAAAATCATCATTCAGTTGTGTCACTTTCCACCTGAATAAAAGCAAATTTTTCTTTACTTCTAAAATTGTTATCAAAATTGAGCAAGGCTAACAAATATCTGCTATTAATACTTAATGCCAAAACAATTAATGCTCATCTGAATGCTCTGTTTGCTGCCACCATCAAATGTCAGTCTTTAAACATTTAGTTCTCAAACTCACACACTAAAGATTGAACACAATAAATACAACAGGAAAAGAGCTTTTGTTCCAAGAGGTTGCAGCAACTATTTCCTTAATAAATAAAGTCCTTTTTGGTTTCACTGATGCCTTACCCAACAAATTATTTAAGATCTTCCTTTTAGCAAGTTATTGGAGACCTAAAAGTTACAAATGCTTTTCAAGACTTTCTAAATCTAATATAAATCCATGATACAGTGAATAATGAAGCTTCAATATAGCTTTACGAATATAATCTATAGTCAGCCTTGCCAAAGGTTATTCTAAACTTACCAACAGAAACAAAGAAACATAACACATAAAGGCAATATATTTTCCTCAATGTGACTGCATGAAGGAACTATTATAAACACATTCATAAAATGCCCACCAAAAGATTTCATGGTTGTTCCTGAAACTTATGCAAGCAATTTCAATTATTTTCTCCTTTTTTAAAAAATGAAGTCTTATGAACAGAAATAAATTAAAGGCATATCCCTGCATGCAGCACTAATCCATGATGTAAAAAAGCCTGTCAGACTAAAATTAAAATGAAAGCAGTATTACAAACAAATAAATTTCAGCTTTCACTTGGGACAATTAGTAACTGGGATTAACGATATTAGAGACCCAGAAAGTGATTTGGCCTAATTTTTTTTTTTTGTGCAGAATAAATGCTTATTAAGGGTAGTCCCTGTGTGCTATCCTTGAGGCAATTAGACAGTTGTCATCCCTAGAGTTGAAGCAGCTCTTACCTGTAAGCCACTTATTCAACAAACATTTCAGCATCAACCATGTGGCCTGGCAGAGGGATGCAATGGTGAATAGGCAGGTGTGGCCATCACCTCAGGAAGTTCCCAGTTTAGGAACCACTCAGATCCACACTTGCAGCCCTGTACGAGGAAGACTGACTCCTACGACAGCCCCTCATAGGCTCAAGAGGAATATTTATATTCATTTTATAGACAAGAGAAGCACAGAGACATCCTCACCTCCAAGTCACACAACTATTAGTGGTGAGATGGGACTCTGTCTCTGTCTCCTGGCTTCCAGCCTTGGCTCAAATCTGGTAAAGTCACCCCTCTTTGATCTCAAGGTTTTGAGTTTAGACTTGATAATGGAGGCGCCAATATCAGAAACACAGTAGTTGAGAAAAGAACCTGGAGATCAGGTGAGATGGAGACATAAATCTAAAAGCTATGAAGTGATCATGACATTTATTTGTATAAAAAGCAAACACTAACAAGAAAATCCAATGCTACTGCATAAGAATAAAAGTAGCATTCACTATATCATGAATTTATATTAGATTTAGAAAGTCTTACAAGCATTTATAACATTTAGGTTTCCAGTAGCATGCACATGCCTGGCACTGTTATAAGCATTTTGTGTGCATTAATTCCTTCTAAAAATCCCTGTAAGATAGCTTTAATCCCCACTGTATAAATGAGGAAATGAAAACACAGAGAAGTTAAATAATTTGCCCAAGATCACACAGCTAGTAAATGACCCATGGCGGAACTGGAACTAGGTAGTTTGACCCCGGAGTCTATGATTTTAACCATTATGCTGCACTGCCTCTCCTAAGAAAGAAGCAAAAGCTCTAGAAGGATATTTGCCTGCCACTCAAATGTTCTTTCATTCCTTCAGAGATTATGGTGTACAGAATAACAACAGCCATTTCTTTCTCTCTGTTTCACAGTACTGTTATAGGCTTTTATAGGTAAATATGCATTCTTCTCTTCTGTCTCCTAGGAAAAGCCCACTGCCCCTTACCTAGAAATTGGGGGAAAGTTGTTCCTATACTCCATTCACTTACTACTAGCTCTGCCCTAACTGCATATTTCTTGGTATTCCTTTTCAAGCATTAGCCTTTGTGACCTTCAAAATCAATAGTGTCTTATCCTGCAGGGATATCGGAAAATCAAAGCTGTAGGCAAGTATGGGACTGTCATTGGCTAAGAAAAATGCCATGTCCTTAGTGGCACTGTGGCCACACAAAATGGAATTGACCTGCGTAGACAGCAAAGGGCTTTGCTCTAAAATAACAGAGCTAGAATTCTTTTTGTTATTAAGAAATGGAATTTAGAAAATCACATTACCAGTAAGTCCAAGGGTAAACTAGTTTTTCACCTATCATGATACAAGAATCATTGTGTTTGAACTTGCTAATTAGCCAGGAATGGAGCCAGTTCCACTTTGGTACCAGTCACCTAAATCTCATGGCCAAGAGTCAGGGAAGAGTGGCTCTCAGAAGTAAAATCATTGCTTTTGCTATTTTAAAAAGCAAATAAAATAGGAATACATGAGGCAGATACAAACCCACAGCAGGCAACTATGGGATCCCAGTCTCTACCTCCCAGCTTGAGAAACTGAAGCAAATCTTGCTTGCCTGATAGCATTTTGGAGTGTTGTGGATATAGGCAATGATTTTCCCTATGCAAAGCAGATAATATAGAGGAGGGAAGACAACAGTTTTGAGCAGTCTAGTGCCAAGCACAGTACTGGGTGGGGGATTGTTCATCTACTCAGCACTACTTTTGGCTTTACCACAATTTTCTTTGCAAGTTATCACAAGAGACTGTTTTGTTATTCAGCCTGAATAACTATATTGACACTTAGAATTCCATAATTGTGTTGAGGAAAAAAATCAACAATTATTTGGGTTTCATGAAATGAATATTTGATCAATTCAACAAAGAATATGGAAATGGGAAAGTAATTGCATTTTGATTAAGTTGTTTCTGCTGTCAAGTCACCAGAGATTGCTATCTGGTTGGAAATTAAGTCAATGCCATGGGATTGGGTGACCAAAAAGTCCATTTTTTAAAATGTCCTCACTAGACTCCATGCAACCACCTATGTCTACATGTTTTAACTACTTCAGTTGTTGTGACTCTGACTTGATTACTCACAAAATCTAAATGCTAACATTGGAAGGAGACTTAGAAAATTTACAGATGAGAGACCAGAGGCCCTAAAAGCTGGGAATAAAATTTAGGTCATTTCATATCAGGGGAAAATTTCAATGTAAACAAACAAGTTTTAGCATTTAGCCCTAGCCTAAGATTATGTCTAACATAGTGGTGAAAAGTGAGATCATCTTCCTATGATATAGTTTTTGATTCCATTTTCTTTGGGAAAAGTGGGTTTCTCATCAAACTCTAAGCATTTATTAACTCAGAACTTTACACTGAACTAAAGGTGAAATGAAGCACTCATGCCACCAAACATCCTGGGGCCACATACTCAGAGAGCAAAAATATTAATACAGTCTCTGTAGATAGAGGTAAATAAACAGAACGTAGCTCCCTGGTCCATGGTCCATCTTCATGGCCTCTGGATTGTGTGGGCTGGACCAGCCCAAAGCTCACTGTTTTCTCTGCAGGAGGATGGAGCTTGGTGCATGGCTTCTCTATTTGAATCCATTAGACTATGCACTCTAGCCAACCCTCCACGGAGGGACCTTTCTTGCAAAGTGTTCAGTATAATTTGAACACAGTGACAGCTTCTTGTGGTATCTGGGCAATCGGTGCTGTGTATGCCCAAAGTCACTCTTGAGCTATGCCCAGTTTTTATGAAATAATGTGACAGAAGAATGACAAAATTCTTCTTTTTCATCTCTGTTGGGTTTCATTTGCTGCCATTATTCTTTATCCTGCCATTGGTCTTATAAGAAGAGAAATGGAGTCTCGAAGATAAAATAGCCTTCAAAGCCTCATTCCTACATTCTTACTGTTTTGACTGATGACACTGCTGCTAATAAGATTAGTACTTTCGCTTCTGCTCATTTTCTAGCAGAATTAGTTGCTGCTTTTATACCCTCTGCTGCTAATTTTTCTGGCAAATCTCTGGAGGATGCTAGCCTAATTTTCTGCTACTAGAAGTGCTGTTCTAGTAGGTCGCCTAACATTATTTAATTCCTTTAGGGGATCTTGAAGAATAAAACATATAGGAGTAATTCAGAAACAAACATCAAATACAAATTAGAGACTAATTTTTCAGACAGGAGAATTAATTGCTTCGAACCAGATAATTCGTATTTCCCTTAATCCTTATGCCATAGTGTTGATGTAAGAAGTGTGTAGATAGAGAGCTAGAGATATTATATTATTAATAATATTCTATATGTTATGTTATATTACATTATACATTGTTATGTATTCAAATATAACTAATTACTGTTCCTGACACATTAAAATAAATTTTAAAGCTTCTAAAGCAACAGGACCAGTTTAAGTTTCCTAATTATGTATCTAAGTAATCCTTTGCTCATTTGGATCTTGAAATATGTAGACTACATAGACTAAGGATTTTGCAAGCACCTTTCAGTTTCTTCTCTGCTGATGATTCCCCCTTATTTTATTTTCATTTCTTATACTTCAAAAATGCTGTCAAAAAGAATACAAGAAAAGACAGACGTGATGCATTTTAAATTTTGCCGGACCAGCACTATCAATGGAATGTGAGATGTCTTGGCAAGTATCTGTATTGCCAGGTGTAATGAAAACTGGGAACTGGCAAAGTGAAGGATGTTCTAAATCCATAGTGGGACGCTCCATTTGATGTCCATTTTATCCACACCCCAAGGCAGTATTTTGTGAAAGAAGGGTACTGGTGATGGGGACTCAGAATGAGGCACCAAGAACCATTTCAGTAAGGAAGCGAAATTTAAGATATATCAGGAAATATTCATCAACAATGGAAGGAAACAGGCCCAGATTGGAGATGGGGTCATTCATGGGACTTCTACGCTAAATTTAGACAAATGCCTTTATCTTTCTGGAGGTGACAGCCAATGACAAACACATTGGATTTTGCTCTAGGTTATTAAAGTCTCTGGCAATACCTTGGCTAGATACTGATTAATAAACATTTGTGAGATGGCTTGGTGACTCGCACCTGTAGTCCCAGGAAGGCTGAGGTGGGAGGATCGCTTAAGCCCAAGGTTTGAGGCTGCAGTGAGCTATGATTGTACCGGCCTGGGTGACAAAGTGAGACCCTGTCTCTAAGAAAAACAAGCAAACAGAAAACATTTGGTCTTAAGTAAATACCACATGTTCTCACTTATAAGTGGAAGCTAAACATTGAGTACACATAGACAAAGATGGCAACAATAGACACTGGGGACCACTAGAAGAGGGAGGGAGAGAGAGGGACAAGAGTTGAAAAACTAACTGTTGAGGACTATGTGCAGTACTTGGGTGACGGAATCATTCATGCCCCAAACCTCAGCATTATGCAACATACCCAGGTAACAAACCTGTACATGTACCACCAAATTGAAAATAAAAGTTGAAAAAAATCTGGAAAAATAAAATAAAAAATTAAGATACTAACAAAACAGTAGGTTTTTTTTTTTAAGATAAACATACCCACACACAACTCCACTGGTAAAGCATGGAGCCACAGCTAATTTATACTAAATGATGTGAGGCTTGTGGCAGCAGGGTCACTAACAGGATAAAAGCTCAATAAGGTGACAGGATAACACACAAATCAGCACTACCAGATGCCACAGAATGATTTGTAGACATAATAGGCTAGAATGGAGAGCGCTGTACATTAACTAGCTTATGGACATAATCATTTGAGAAACACTGTAATTGTGGAAAGCAGCAATTAATGTTAGCTAGTTACAAAGTTGTATTTAAATTTGTAGTTATTTAGAATTGATTGAAGGTTACTTAGAAAGATATTGGAAGCTTAAGTGGACATCACAACAAAGTAATATTAGCAACAACATAGACTGCTCTCCTCAATAGAAAGTAAAGAAGGGAAGGCGGATGTAGCAAAACACACTGGGGTCTTGGTTGAGTGTTAGTGTTGCTCACAGAAAAACTTCCAACCAGTATATTTTAAGACTGTTTTTCTGATACTGTTTGACCTAAATCCACATGCTTCAGTCATAACATCATGACTTACTGTGTTTCATAATCAACTATAGCCTAATATATTTGCTGATAATAATCAATACATATAAAACATATATAATGATTTATCTCTTTATCTGAAATTAGAGAGACTTCAAAATTATCCTTAGCCTTATGCCATTACCTTTTACTAAAATTCCATACACTTTCTTGAGTGAGGAGAGAGAGAAGTTGCCTGAAGAATGAGAAGGTTTAAGCAAGGTGAAGGTAGAGCAAGGGGGTGGGGTAGGGGGAAGAAAGAAGGGGAAGGAGCGTTTTCCCAATGTGAGAGTTAATTTTAAGAATTAACTTGACTGGGCCATGAGATGCCTAAATATTTGGATAAACATTATTTTTGGATGTGTCTATGACAATGTTTGTGGAGACATTAACATTTGAATTGGTGAACTGAGTAAAGCAATGACCCTTTCCAATATGGGAAGGCATCATCCAATCAGTTGAAGCCTGAACAGAACAAAAATGCTGAGGAAAGTTGAATTTGCCCTCTGCCTACTTGATCCGGAACATTGATCTGCTCTTGTCCTCAGTGCTCCTGGTTTTCAGGCTTTCAAACTCAGACTGGAATCTACACCATTGTCTCTCTGGCTCTCAGGCCTTCAAACTGCACCACCGGCTTTCCTGGGTCTCCAGCTCATAGATGGCAGATTGTGGGACTTCACAGCCCCCATAATCATACAAGCCAATTCTGCACAATCTTATTTAGTGTGATATATATATGTGTGTATACATACACACACATGCAGATATAGATATGTATTAGATACAGATGTAGATATAGATATATCTCCTATTGTTCTGTTTGTTTCACTGGAGAACCCTGACAAATACACCCAATTTATTTGATTATGGAATATACCCCCATTTTTTCATGCGATGCCTAGTACATCTCCTGAAATTCTGTAGTAGGCATTTGTCATTTTTTTTGACTGACCAGTACCTGACCCCCTTTCCTATTTTGAGAGACCTCACTTTATGAGACATGGTTCAACTCCCCCTAGATAAGTTGAAAAAAATCTCACAGACATTTTTCCATTCTCCTCTGTAGCCAGTGCACAGACAAAAGCTGTAGCCTTGGCTAATCTGATGAGTGTGCCCTAGAATTTGGTTCAGAAGCTGTTGACATGAAGAATCAGAGATCGCCAAGGACTCAATTCTACCACGGTCACACCTAGAGACCAACGCTCAGTGATCTGGTAGTGTCATTCTGACTCCCGGATCAGAAAAGATGCCTGTACCCACTGCAAAAGCAGAGGTGTGGCTCCCAATAGTTCTGAGGCTTATTTTGCAGCGTTTTTTCCTGATTATGTAGTCTCCAAGTCTGGTTCTCAAGATTTCCTGGAAATTTTATAATCTGCCCAATATCCATTAATTAATTTTCTCCTTGAATCAGCCAAAGTTAAAGTTTCTGTTGCTTGCAGTCACAAACCTTGACTGAGACAAATGACCTTAGGAAACTCAGTTCTGTGTAATCTTTTAAAGTACCAACAGGGCCAGGTGCAGTGGCTCATGCCTGTAATAATCCTATCAGTTTGGGAGGCTGAGGTGGGTGGATGGCCTGAGCTCAGGAGTTCCAGACCAGCCTGGGCAACATGGTGAAACCCCGTCTCTAAGAAAAATACAAAAATAAGCTGGGTGTGGTGGCATGCACCTGTAGTCCTAGCTACTTTTGGGGCTGAGGCAGAAGGGTTGCTTGGGCCCAGGAGGTCAAGGCTGCAGTGAGCTGTGTTCACACCACTGCACTCCAGCCTAGGTGACAAAGCAAGACCCTGTCTCAAAAAAAAAAAAAAGTGATAGAATATGAGTTCTCACTGACTACAGAGGAAGATTAAATACAAATAAATGGGGAGAAATTGATTTATTAAATGTTACTGGTAATTGGCACTGTGATATAGGTTTTATTATATACAATTATTATTATTGCAAGTTTAGAGATGGAAAAATCAAGATTCAAAGGGGTTTTGCCCAACGTCAGTAAGCAAAAGTCAGAATTCAAATACAGCTCTAATTTTGCGACCTATACCAAGGAAACAAGGCTAAATAACATTAGCAACTTAAATTAAAAGGTTCAAATTTAATAGAGTTAAACCAGGATAATCAGGACATATGGCTTATGGTGATAATAAGTCTTTGTAGCAAATATGGCACAACGCAAGCCACCGAGTGTGAAAAGAGGAGGCTCCTCAACTGGTTTAGTAATTGCACACAAATGATGAAATGCAGAGTGTACAAGTTCCCAGTCTTCCCTTTGTCCTTCTCCTGTGATTGCCTCACAAACTGAAGATAATTTCTTTAGATTTTATTTTTAATAGACAAATAATAATACTATATGTTATATATTTATGGGGTACAATGGATAGTGACTATAATAAATACTAATGTATATTTCATAATTGCTCAGAGTAGATTTTAAATGTTCTTACCACAAAAAATTGAAGGTAATTAACAGCAGTTAGTGCTCAGAAAGACAGAGGAACGCGTTAAGGAGGTAATTAACCCCTGCACCAAGTCAACCATCTGAGAATTAGCTAGTTTGATTGTCCAGAGCTGTGAAAAGTGCCTGGGGCACCTTGTGGGTGTTAAAAAGGATTGGTTATAAGCTCGTAATTGGCAGATTAGAAATAAAATTATTCATTTGGTAGTTAAAAATTGATTTTTCTTTTAACCATTGCTCTAAATAGAGTATTATTTTCAGATTAAAAAATCTAGACAAAGAACTATAAGTTATTTTATAAATGGAATCTAGTTTGTGTGAAGAGTGCAAAACTAAGGACTGAGTATTGCATCCCTGGTGGCCTCCTGTGTCCAACCTTGAGGAAGACCCGGCTGTGGGCCTCATGTCGTGCTAAACCAACTGGCAGGCCCTGGGTTCTGAGAGTCAGAGCTATACATTAAGGTATACTTAGAGAAGTATCATTTTCTTCTTATCCTTACTACTCCATTTCAATTTCAGCTATTCTTTCTTCCCTCATGCCCCATAGGTAACTAGTTTCTTTAAGGTCAGGGTTATATTTTCTTTTTTGTACAAATTAGCAGACATACATACATTTTCTTATACGAGCATACCTTGGAGATACTGAGGGTCTCGAATAAAGTGAGTCTCACAAATTTTTGGTTCCCTGGTGCATATAAAAGTTATGTTTACAATACACTGTAGTCTATTAAGTGTGCAATAGCATTATGTCTAAAAAAGCAATGTACAAATATTTTGGGGCATGGTGGCTCATGCCTGTAATCCCAGCACTTTAGGAGGCCAAGGATGGAGGATCACTTGAGGCCAGGAGTTCAAGACCAGCCTGGGCAACACAGTGAGACCCCCGTCTCTACAAAAAATTTAAAAGTTAGCCAAGTGTGGGGGCTATAGTCCCAGCTACTTGGGAGGCTGAAGTGGGAGGATCACTTGAGCCCAGGAGGTTGAGGCTGCAGTGAGTCATGATCACACTACTATTCCCACCTGGGTGACAGAGCAAGACTCTGCCTCAAAAAAAAAAAAAAAAAAAAAGAAAGAAAGAAAGAAAAGAAATCAAAAACAAAACAAAAAAACTTTATTGCTAAAAATGCTAACCATCATCTGAGCCTTCAGCAAGTTGTAAACTTTTTGCTGGTGGAGGCTCTTGGCTCGACATTGATAACTACTGACTGACCAGAGTGGTAGTTGCTAAAAGTTGGGGTGGCTGTAGCAATTTCTTAAAATAAGATAACAATGAAGTTTGTCACATGGATTGACTCTTCCTTCCATGAAAGACTTCTCTGTAGCATGCAATGCTGTTTGATAGCATTTTATCCACAGTAGAAGTAGAATTTCTTTCAGAATTGGAGTCAATTCTGCAACCCTTTTGCTGCTTTATTAACTAAATTTGTGTAATATTCTAAATCCTTTGTTGTCATTTCAACAATATTCACAGCAAGAGACACTTCTATCTCAGGCGATCACTTTCTTTGCTTATCCCTTAAGAATCCTGCAATGTTCTAAGGCTTTCCAGTTATACTATTATTTACATTCTTTAATCTATTCCTGTGCATCTACTTGATTTCTCTGGTATAATTGCATTGGCTAATAACATTACTATAGGGTTAAATAGGAACAGAGGTAGTGGGCATTCTTTGCTTGTTCCTGATATTAGTTGAATTGCCACTAGTGTTTCCCCATTACATAATATACTAGATTGAAGACTTAAGGTGTGTACGTGTGTGTGTCCACACACATCAATTTTATCATGTGGGAAAGTATTCCTCAATTCCTGTTTCTGAGTAGCTTTATTGTGAATGTATTTTTATTGAGAATTTTTACTTGAATTTTGTCACAGCCTTTTTAGCATCCATGGAGATAATCATGTGATTTTTCTTTAGAACTATTGATATAGTATAGGATGATATCAATGGATTTACTAATATTGAACAAACTGCATTCCTAGAATAAATGCCACTTGGTTAGGTGTATTTCTCAATGGGATATTGGATTCTGCTTGCTAATATTTATTTAGTATTTTCATATCAATAGTCAAGAATATGTCTGTGGTTTTTTATGTACTGTCCTTCTTTGCCTTTCTTCCATTTCTATTGCTTTCTCTTGACTAGTTTTACCTTCTTTTTACTTTAGTCTCTCATTTAATAATTTCCTGCTTTCCTTCTTTGCCTATTAAATCTTCATGTGTGTCTATTCTTCTTTGAGAATCTTGTAATTTGTTTTCTTTCTTGGATAATTTTGTATTTTTCTTCCATTTCTTTCCTGACTTGTCAACTCTGTTTTCATTTTTTCCCTTGTGAAGTTTTTATCCACTTCTGTTCTTAATTTTTGAGTTTCCAATTCAAGCATTTTTTCCATATTCTCAAATGCTTGAATGAATGTATATGATCCAGTTTGGAATGTTGACTTACAGAATTTTTCTGCTTCAGGGTTTTTTTCAAGGAGTATGGGGGTTGTTACATGGATGATATATGTAGAATTGTCTTCCCTGCTTTCTTGGCAAAGGCTCTGGATGAATCTGTTGATGTATCTTTTCATTTTTATGGTACTATGATCATAAGATTCCTAGTTTAATGGCTTCATTCATTAGCAATATAGTGAGGTTCATATGCTTTAGGGGTCATTTGCTCATTGTTTTAGTGGTGGCAGAAAGACTATAAACCTTCCAATGTTGTGTTTCTCTTTCATTTTGCAAGACCCTAATCCTTACACCAATTGCTTATTTCCCCTTCACCGTCCAGTTGCAAAGGGTGCTTCCCTCTTCCTTTTTGTCTTTTTTTCTCCCATTTAACAATATGTTTTGAACAGTGCTGTTTAAATAACTCCTGACCCTTTTAATCATGCATACTCTGAAGTTCTTTCCCTGCAATCCATGCTATGCTCTGCCAGGATATTGTTAAAATATTTTCATAGGTAAGATCAACCTGGTCTTTTTGATGGTAGTTTTTTATGAACCTTAGGCCCTTTTGCTAGTTTCTCCCTTTTTTTTTTTTTTTTTTTTTTTTTTTACTTTCCTGAAGTTTTTCTCAGTCTGTCTTTACTCTCTAAAGAGCCTTGTGCAATACAGGGATCAAGCCAGAATATGAGATCTTACACTGGAATGTAGTGACTTTCTCTGTTTAGTCACAGTCATTTTATTTACTTTATTTTTGAGACAGAGTCTTACTCTGTCATCCAGGCTGGAGTGCAGTGGGACAATCTCGGCTCACTGCAACCTCCCTCCCGAGTTCAAGCAATTCTTGTACCTCATCCTCCCAGTAACTGGGATTACAGGTAGGTACCACCATGCCTGGCTAATTTTGTTGTATTTTTAGTAGAGACAGGGTTTCACCATGTTGGCCAGGCTGGTATCAAACTCCTGGCCTCAAGTGATCCACCTGCCTCAGCCTCCCAAAGTGCTGGGATTACAGGTGTGAGCCACTGTGCCCAGCCTAGTCACGGTCATTTTAATATTTTAGCATTCTCTGTCTTCAAGTTATGCCGAAGGCATGGTTTCGTCTAGATTTACATACCATTTTTTGTTGGTTTTAATTCTTTAGGGAGGAAATACAGGGAGGCATATAGCTAAATGGTGCAGCTGTTATGCCCTTAGCTATCCAGAAGTCCCAATTATGGTTGTTTTAAAGTTCTTGTCTGTTAACTTCAATTATGCAGATCATCTATTTGCTTGTTTTGCTTTTTTTTCCTCTCTTGATTATTGGTCATATGACATTGCTGCTTCACATGTGTAGTGACTCTTATTTGTAGGTAGAATGTTATGTATAAAGGACCTGTGGAGGTTTCAGATATTATTATATTCCACGCAAAAATAATTTATCTTCTTGCTGTAAACTGAATTATGTTCTCCTAAATTCATTTGTTAAGGCCTTAACCCCCAATATGACTATATTTGGAGACGAGGCCTCTAAGGAAGTAATCAAGGTTAAATTAGGTCATAAGGGTGGGACTTTGATCTCATAGGATTGGTGGCCTTATAAGAAGAGGAAGAGAGAGAAGTCATCTCTCTCTCTCTCTCTCTCTCTCTCTCTCTCTCTCCTGCCCCCCGCCCCCCACCGCCCCCATGAGCATGCAGCCCAGAAAGAGGAAAGGCCATGTGCTGGTGTAATGAGAAGGTAGCAGTCTACAAGCCAGGAAAAGGGGCCTCCCCAGAAACCCAACTAACCAGAATGCTGATCGTGGACTTCTCAGTCTTCAAAACTGTGAGAAGTAAATTTTCTGTTATGTCAGCCACCCGGTCTGCACTATTTTGTTATGGCAGCTCAAGCAGACTAATACATCTCTGTTTGGCACATAAAAGGGTCCAATCACTTCAATCCAATCGTAAATTGAACAGAGATAAAGTTTTAGTAAAAGTCAGTCTATTTCTGATTTAATCATGTTCCTGAGCCATGGCTATCCCAGGCTCTTCATTGCAAGCATGGTGGTTCTTTGGCTCTTCCTCATATTGAAAGGCTGTAGGAGATACATTTCTGCCATTTGGAAGTTTTCAGCTTACTTTTTGGCCTCCTCCCCCATGCAACTTCAAGATCTGATAAATGTCTTCAGAGGGAGATTGGACATGTGTTTGAAGCAGGCCTCTTCCTGAAGAGTCTTTGTTTTCTAAGCTCTATGAGACTGTGGGAGATTTCAGTACAATGGGGAGAAACAAGCATGCATTTGAGGCTCCTCAAGTTTCCAGTGCTCCACAGGATTATTAAAAGCTTCACTGGTTTCTCTTTTTGCAGCAGAGTCCCTCTACCTGGGTCAAGCCCAAACCATCAGTGTACTCCCAGAACCAACAAAATGTCCTGAGAGAAAAATAGCCAGCAATCATCAGATCACCTCGAAATTATTCTCTCTTTCTCTCTCTGGAATTTTAGTTCACTTAGTCTTCGTTGCTTTCACAGCTCTCAGGTGCTTTTGAAAATGACTTTTTTAATATTTTCCATTTGTTCAGGTAAGAGTATTGGCCTATCACATCCTGCCCCAAAGCAGAAGTCTTTCTGTGTATAATTTTTGATCTTTACAATTCAGGTCTTCCAAAAGTATGTAACATAACTAATACATGTTTGTTGAAATGAATGAATAAATAAATTATTAATGCTAATTTTGCCTGTTTTGCAGTCTTAACTAGGCCAAGTTTTGCCACTCTGTTATGGAAGCGAAGTAGACAGTGTTATTATGGTGATACAACAAAAGTGCTACAGCCAAGATTCAGGAATTTGTGGCAAAGGGAATCTTTTTGAAGTATGAACCAATGAGACTCAATCTAGAGTATTGAACTCTCAACCTTAATTTTCACCTGTTTTTGCTTTTTAGCTTTTCCTTTACCACCCCAAGATGGGAAACAGTGGGTGGGATATTTGCTTACTAGCTGCTGACCATCTCTGTTCCCCACTGAACACTATGAGGGTAAGGACTTTGTCTTGCCTGCTATTTTATCCTCAGTATCTGTACAGTGCCTCACCCATAATAGTCACTCAAATCATTTCAATGAATGAATGAATATCACAGTCTGGCTTGTTAGCAGATTAACATAATTAAATGCAGAAAATGGAAGTTGAACAAGAGTTTAGTAGAAGTTACTGACAATAATTAGCGCTTTTAGAAACTTGAGGGCCAGGCGTGATGGCTCATGCCTGTAATCCCAGCACTTTGGGAGGCCGAGGAGGGCGAATCACTTGAGGTCAGGAATTGAAGACCAGCTTGGCCAACAGGATGAAACACCATCTCTACTAAAAATACAAAAATTAACTGGGTGTGGTGGCACATGCCTGTAATCCCAGCTACTCAGGAGGCTGAGGCAGGAGAATCGCTTGAACCCAGGAGGGGGAGGTTGCAGTGAGCCGAGACTGCACCAGTGCACTGCAGCCTGGGTGACAGAGCAAGACTCAGCCTCAAAATAAATAAATAAATAAATAAATAAAACTTGAGAAGCACTTCAGCAATAACTTCAATCTTAAAAAAAAAACAGAAGTTCAGGACTATACTCTATTTTAAAATAAAGTAATTATTATTTATGAGATTGCAAATAATCCTTTAAACAAAATGAAATCCTGTTCATCAAAGTAAGAAGAATATCACAGAATAAACTGCAAGCAAAACTTCAAAATATAGATAAACTTGGAAATATTTTCAGCCTCCAGTGCTAACTATAGTTATTGGCCATTTGGAACCTGGCATAGGCTCTTTTTCAATAGTTATATTTACACATACTAATGCCAGTACTATCATACAAACTAAACTAATGGCAGATGTTATTTTGATCAAACTAGAGTTAACCTTGTACATTATTTATTGCTTGATTTTTCTCCCCTGGAGAACATTTTTTGACAAGATCTGTAGGTAAAAGCAGCATAATTTTTTTTAAAATTTCAAGGCTATGTGAAATGATTCTTATTAAAAGTCTGAAGAGAAAAATCAATTTCAGGTGAAATAATAATAATAAATATTATTTATATGTGAATATGTGAACATGTACATTTTATTTACATGTTATTGAAAATGTTCCACAGGAAGATAATTGGCCATAGGGTATGATTAATGTTAAGTAATCAAAAAAGTCCAATCTCTTACAATTTAATTTCCTAAATCAACCATAAATGAACCAGTCATGAGTGGACCACAGAGTATGGGGTAAAACCTATGTGCTTTGGAAAAAATCAGTTCTGAATTAGAATGTTTGCCTTATGTTGTGAGTAATGTAACTAATTTCTGAACCTCATTGTTTTCATTTGTAACATGGGAAGTATTGAGAGAGCTCAGACGGGCCACCTGGGCCGGGCGTGGTAGCTCACGCCTGTAATCCCAGCACTTTGGGAGGCTGAGGTGGGCAGATCATCAGGTCAGGAGTTCGAGACCAGCCTGACCAAGACGGTGAAACCCTATCTTTACTAAAAATACAAAAAAATTAGCTGGGCATGGTGGCACACGCTTGTAACTCCAGCAACTCAGGAGGCTGAGGCAGGAGAATTGCTGAACCCAGGAGGCAGAGGTTTCAGTGAGCCGAGATTGCGCCACTGTACTCCAGCCTGGGCAACAGAGCAAGACTCTGTCAAAAAAAAAAAAAAAAAAAAAAAAAGAAGGGCCACCTGTAGTTCAGGAGGATGATTAAAGTTAACTAATAGAAATAGCAGAAGTTGATCTACTTAAAGAGAGGAAGTGTGTCGAGCAAGCAGAACACAGAGAGATAAAGACAAAACAAGGAGAGGATGTAGGCAGAACTATGCACGATTTTCATTTTTTAAACTACGAGACAGATAGAAATAAAAATCTTGGTCAAAAGACTGTACAGGTTGCCCTGACATTAGGATCTTTGCTTTAACATAATTACATTACAAAGAAAACAATTCCTTCTAACTGAATTAGCTTTGCTTTAAAAATTATCTGCGAGGGAATTTGAAAGGGGATTTCAGCACAGACAAAAATTTGTGTCAGAAGGAAGAATACAATTTCTACAGGAAAGTGTTATCTCATGCCTGAGCATAGGAGAACATCTGGTACTGATAACCTACTGCTTCTTGGGGCTGACTTTTGGGGAGTCAGAGGTAAGTCATAAATCAAGTAGATGAACATCTACATTGTGCCACCTAGTCTAATCAGAACTTTGCTTGGAAGGAAACCCCAGAAATCGGGAGGACTGGGAAATGGCAAGTGCTCACTGTCCTGCACCTGGCTGTCGAGGTTTGGAACATCCAGCACTGTACAGAGGGCTCCTCCAGCCTTTAAAACTGCCTTAGAGGATGGGGCCTGCCTAGTGGGGAGAGGAGAATGGGCCCACAAGGATTACAGTGCCAACCTCACAACGTGTTGTCAGAACTAATTAAGGGAATTTGTTATAAAAGTACTTAGCACACTAGTGCATAGCATGTGTTGGCTTTCTTGCCACTTGTCTTTTAGCATTGCCTTGGTTACACGTGTACTTTCCTATAAAGTATCAACGGTATTTTCATGTTTTATTTTAAACTTTAGCATATTCATCAAGGCAATGTTAGATATATATGTTTATGGGTTACCCAAACCAGATAAGCCAGCATATTTGCCTCATAAACTAGTTTCAAATTTGAACTGCCTACCCAAAATTCATCCTATAATGTGGGGGGTCTGAGAATTTTCCAATGAAAGCGTTGAAGATATCACTGGGATTTTTAAAGTAAAGAACGCATTGTAATAATTGACATACTCTTCTCTGCCACTAGATACTAAATGGTGAGAATGTGTCTCACTAAGCTGTGTGTACCAAGTCTGTAGTTCCTCAGAAATTCTGTCATTGCTATTGTTGGAGGAAGGAAGGAAGGAAGGAAGGAAGCAAGGAAGGAAGGAAGGAAAAAGAAAAGAAAAGAAAGGAACAAAGAGAAAAAGAAAAGCTAATTGAGAAACTATTTCTACCATGGGGATTTCAGATGCAAGTCTCTAAAGACCTGTACTTTGAGACACCATTCCTCCCTTTTCAGTTCTACACATTAAGCAAACCATATAAAACTAGCTGCTCATGGAATTTGACTGAAACCTAACATATTTTTTTCAGAGAAATTATCAGGATTAAAGACATTATGAGGAAGAGAATATTGTGGTGAAATCAGTGTAGCAGATTTATTGGGTATATTTTAAATGGCTGTGATCTTTAAAGTAAAATATTGCATTTTATTATAGTAACTGAAAATGCCATTAACTTTGTAAGCATTTAACTGTTTCTGGCCTCAGAATTTCATAATATATTTTACTTTTCATTAGGAAATAAAATGATAAATCTTTCTAGGCTATGTTTTCCAAAAACATTTCAGTTGCTCACTAAACATCAAGAAAAGGGGCAAGGCTGAGTCTTGTGGATTGCACATCAATCTATGGATCTAAGGATCCATGGGTCTGAATGGTCACTGTCCCAAATAATATGTAATTTTTCCAACAAAGAGATACAACAGCTGTCCCTAATAATCTATAATTTGTAAACAAAGAGAAACAAAATCACTGGGAAGAAAGGTTGATTGCTGTTTTCCTTAGACTTCTTAGTAGCAACTGACAGAAACACACTGAACTGGTTGAAAGAGAGAGAGAGAAGGTGAACAAGAAAAGGAATTTATTAACTTAAGTATCTAAGTAATACAGAGATAGCTCTCACTTCAGGCATGGCAGGGCCCAGAGTTTCAAATGATGATATTAAGAATTGAGAATCAGTTATCTTCATTTCTTAACTCAGATTTTCTCTGTATTGGCTTCACTCTCAGACAGGTTCTTTCTATGTTGTGGCCCTTATAACCTCTAGACTTCTCCCAGTGGCAAATTGAGAAAAAAAAAAAAAAAGAACAAGAAAGAAAAGAAAGGAAGGAAGGAAGGAAAAAGAAAATAGAAAAGAAAGAAGAAAGCAAGCAAGCAAGAAAGCAAGCAAGCAAAAAAGCAAGAAAGAAAAGCTTTTTTTTTTTTTTTTTTTTTTTTTTTTTTGAGATGGAGTTTTGCTCTTGTTGCCCAGCCTGGAGTGCAATGGTGCAATCTCAGCTTACTGGCTTACTGCAACCTCCGCCTCCCGGGTTCAAGCAATTCTCCTGCCTCAGCCTCCTGAGAAGCTGAGATTACAGGTTCACGCCACCAAGCCTAGACAATTTTTGTATTTTTAGTAGAGACAGGTTTTCATCACATTGGCCAGGCTGGTCTCAAACTCCTGACCTCAGGTGATCCTCCCGCCTCAGCCTCCCAAAGTGCTGGGATTACATCATGCCCGGGCTCTTTTTTCTTTATGATCCCTGTAACATAGGGATCATAACTGAGTCCCAAAATTGAGTTTCACTGATCTAGCTGCACTAATGTGTCCAATGACATCCAGGATGTGGAAGCCTTTTTTTGGTCAGTTCTAGGCCATATCATACATTACCCCAGAGGTGAGAAGGTAGAGGAGAGGGATGAAGTACTACCCAAACCTGATGTTATTTGTTTATAATTACAGAAACTATGTGTGTGTTTCTTCCAGCCCAGGCCTGGGCTCTCCACCATTCATGTTTAAATTCTATTTTTGGGTAAATCACTCCTAATAATCAGTCAATCAGCTTGTATTGTTATGCCAGTGATACATACCTAGCTTTATTGCTTTCTCAAACTTATCACAATTTAGTTTGCTGTATATTAAAATTTGGCTCTGCAGGGAACTCCATGATAATTTCAGCTGTTGCAGGAAAGGAAAATACATGGTAAAGATAACATCACTGGGAAGATGTGTGTTAGTTTGCTTTGAGGAATTATCTGATTTTTCCATGCATGGGGCTTAATTAGATTTAAAGTTTTCTTCTGCTAAAAAGCCACAGCTATAGAAAACTTTGGGGCATAGCATATGCTTTTCTGTTATTAACAGATAAAGGGAACAAAATGATATCATATTTAGTGAATTCATCCTTCTATGAACATACTTCATGGTTCATGACACAGATGTCAAGGGTCAGTAAAGTGATCACATCAGCAATGCTGCCCCCAGGAGCTTCTCAAGGAAGGACATTAGCACTGTGTAAAATGGCAATGACAGGAACATGGATTTGGAACTATAAGACCGGATTTGTGTCTTAGTTCAACACTCACTATTTGCAAGGCCCTGAACAATTCACTTAACCATTACGTGAACCTCCATTTCTTTATCTATAAAGTAAGAATAACAACATCTGTGATCTCTTGAGAAAAAAAAAGTTTTTAATGTGAAACAATACTCCCCTGAGACTTACCAAACTCAATTTTAATTGATTTATGCCAAAAGATAAAATAAATTAATTAGGGCATGCTATTAGAAATACTGGCAAGGGAATATATTTGATACAACTAACAATGATTGGGTATGGAACGAAAGATTATCTTAAAATCTGAAACAAAATAAATTTTAAATTCTAAAATTTTTTATTTAAAAAACTACCTAGGTCATATGGATTAAAATTGTATACTTTTACAAAATGTTTTTCATATCCAGAACATATAATCTTCTATAGGAAAATACAGTACCACCTGTACTTTGGACAATGACAACCATGTGTTCATTTTACACAGGGAATTCTGCCTTGGTTTGAGCCATGTCTCTGCACATAGGAGAAACTGCTTATTTACAATCATTGCCCACCTGCTACAGCAGCAGGAAGGGTGACTCTGTGTATTTGTTATTCTTATTTCTCTGGGTTTTCACTCTTCCTTGTTTTCCATGCACCCATTTTTATATCCTGGGAACTAGGCATTGCCAGGAAGGGCAAATAGTTGTGGGATGGAGTTAAAAGGGGCTTCATTGAGGCAGAATAATTCTAGTATAAGCAATTAGCAAAAATTGTTGGACATAATCCTTGCCCCAAAGGACCTCTTACAAACTACTTAGAGAAAATATATAGATACAAATAATGGAAAATAATACAATACTGGATTGCCAAGTATAAATAAAATATGTAAAAGTATCTCTACTATGTAGAAAAAACAACAGGGGTGCTATGTGTGGTTAACAAAGATTATCGCTCTGTGTTGAATTTATTTTTCCTGGAAGCTCAAATTTTAGATTAAATTTTTATATTCATTTGTAGCATTTAAATGTGAGAATGAAATGAACATATTTTAAGAAAGAAAAGGTTTTATATTAAAAAAAGAATAACAACATCTGTCCCACCCAACAGGGTAGGTATGAGGTTCAAATGAAATAAAGCTTATTCATCCCCTTGTTCCTCCTGTAAGTGAAATGCCTCATAGGCTGTGTCCTATTGATCTTTGTGAGTTTCAGTGTCTAACCCTGTGCCTGGCAGTCAAAGTATGATCAACAAATCTTTGTTGGATGAACAGATAAATAAAAAAAAATGATCAAACAGATGAATGAATGAATGAATGATAGCCATGACATAGAAGGAAATAACAAATATTGTTTAGCACTGGCTCAGGGTGGTTCTGAGGTTAAGCAATATTTTAACAATATTTCAATTCCTGAATTTGACTCTGCACATTTTTCCTGGGCTTTCCTTAGTAGAAAAGAAGCTAAAGTTCAAGATTTTGAAAGAATAGTGACTGCCTTAGCAAAGGAACAGCCAAGAAAATCACTGCTCTTTTATCTCAAAGAGAAACATTAATTAGGTAAGACATGGGCAAGAAGTAAAATGGAAAACTTCTAAGAGTGAATTGTATTATAGTTAACACTTAGTAATTTCTCTAAATTTTAGAGCATGACTATCTTGTTGCAGGGGTTTTTGAATTATTTGTCGTATTTCTGAAGGAAGCCTTTGAAATCCGTGGAGATGACTTTTTACATTTTTATAAAAGTTCTTTCCACTCCCATCTAGATTCTCTACGTGAGCTCGTGTATGGAACATGTGCGATCAGTAGTCTGGGAAAATTGGAATGGATTTAGGTAAATCTGAGATGGCCGTGCTTATTGATATTAACATTGACGTTGACTGGGCAGTCTCCACCATGGAAAAATATTCCATATGGGTAATTGTGTGATTTCCAGAATTACATACCCTGAACTGTTAATTTCATAATTGTTAAGTTTTTCTTTGTTGAATCGTTCCCAATGAGGGACATAGCGCTCTGATTACTCTTTTTAAATTAGGGTAAGCATAGATTCCAATATCTATACAAAATTGTGTATGTGTGTTTTGTGAATGGGGAAGTAAATGCTGCTGGTGGGGAGTGAGGCAGAAAGCTTTTGAAACACATACTAAAAGATATTATACTCTTATTCTTGGTTCCTCTAATTAGACACATTTGTATACTATTACTATACGGTATTATGGCTATAACTACATAGAATACATAATAGAAACATGCTCACATGTTTGTCCAGCCACAAGCACAAGGGCAAAACAAATTTCCAGCAAAATCCTCTACAATTTATGTTAAGGAAGAGGAACACATGGAAACAGGAAAAGATCATTAACTATGACCACAATTGTATTTTCTCAGAATACCCTCTAAGAAGGAAATGATTCTTAGCTCCACACCCACAATTTAGGATGTGGAAGTGGAAGGGAGAATCTTGGTTTTACACCTCCTGAAGATAACTCTGTTTCACTTTCCCAGCCCAGAGTATAGGGAAGAATCAAGTTGTCGTGACAATTTCTAGACTGGAGCAAAGTCAATGTCTATGCAGGGTGGTGGGGATGCAGGTCTTCATCACTCACTCCCATTTATAGGCACAATCACTTGCCCTATGTGTTTGTGGGAGGAGTGAACAAATAAACTCATTACAGAAATAAATTTCACAATCCAATGAAAATGGGCAAAGATGAACTAACAGTTCACACACACACGCACACAAACACACACACACACACACAAAGTGAATGGCTTCTAAACACATGAAAATTAACTAGATGTCCTTAATAAAGAAAAATATGAGCAGGGTGACTAAGACCCAAACATGTAATGGTTCACTGGATGGAAGAGAGTGAACACAAGTAAGTACTATCGTGATGGGGGTGGAAATTGACAAACTCGTTGAAAATCTATTTGGAAATATATACCAAAATGTAAAGTGAATATATGAAAATATATAATGCACACACATCTCTAGGGCTTTTCTTATAGGTAAAATCACCCTAATGTGCAAAACCATATTTACAATGCTATTTATCATAGCACTGAATTGTTTGTAAAAATAAAAGATTATGGACAATTTAGACATCTGACAATAGTAAAACAGTTCAATAAACTAAAAGTTTATACAATAGAATATTATTATATAGTTACCATATAGAGGGAGTCTATTAGTCAGCTCAGGCTGCTATAACAAAGTATCATAGACTGGGTGGCTTCAACTACAGACATTTATTTCTCACAGTTCTGGAGGCTGGGAAGTCCAACATTAGAATGCCAGTATACTTGGTTCTAGTGAAGGCTCTCTTCTTGGCTTACAGATGGCTGCCTTCTTGCTCTATCTTCACTTGGTGAAGAGAGAAAACTCTGGTGTCTCTTTCTAATAATGGGGGACTTCACTCTCATGCCCTCATCTAAACCTAATTACCATCCAAAGGCCCCACCTCCTAATACTATCATAATGGGGGTCAGGGCTTCAACATATGAATGGCGGAGAATATAAACATTCAGTTCATATTAGAGAGGTTCTGATATGGACTGATTTCCAAGATATTTTGTGAAAAAAAAAAAAATCAGATGCAGGACAATGTGCATGTATTCTGTTACCTTCCCATCATTCACTGTCTTCCAGCCAAGCTGGCCTGTCTCAGATATGCCAAGGTCATTGCTATCTCTTCTGTCTGGAATGTCTTTCTGATTTTCATATACCTGGCTTCTGCTCATATCTCAGGTCTCAATACAGATTCCACCACTTTAAAGAGGCCTTCTAGCCACTAGCAACTTTATCTTACTGAAAGAATCAGCCCATTTTGCTAGAAACTGTGTCTGCCGCTAACGTTTGTGAAGCAGAGTTCATAATAGCTAGAGTGCACCACCCTCATCATTTGCATTGAGCCACACTCTGATTTTTTTATAGGCACTACTTGAAAATCTTTTTTTTAATTATACTTTAAGTTCTAGGATACATCTGCACAACATGCAGGTTTGTTACATATGTATACATGCACCACGTTGGTGTGCTGCACCCATTAACTCGTCATTTACATTAGGTATATCTCCTAATGCTATCCCTCCCCCCTCCCCCCACCCCATGACAGACCCCAGTGTGTGATGTTCCCCTTCCTGTGTCCAAGTGTTCTCATTGTTCAATTCCCACCTGTGAGTGAGAACATGTGGTGTTGTTTTGGCTGAGTGTGGTGGCTCACACCTGAAATCCCAGTGCTTTGGGAGGATCACTTGGGGCCAGGAGTTTGAGATCCTGTCTCTACAAAGAATAAAAAAAAAGCCAGATGTGGTGGTGGGCACCTGTAGCCCCAGCTACTTGGGAGGCTGGGGCAGGAGGCTCAGTTGAGCCCAGGAATTCAAGGTTACATCAAGCTATGATTCCAACACTGCACTCCAACCTGGGCCATGGAGTAAGACCCTGTCTCTAAAAAAATAAATAAATAAAACAAAAAAATAGTTTGACATGTTTATTACTAACCCTTCCCTCCAACACACTCCAACTTCCTAGGATCTAAGGTCCATTAGGTCAGGAATATTGTCATGTTCATCCCCACGCCTCCAACGTCTAGACTTGTGCCAAATACAGAGTAGGCTCTCAGTTAATGTTGAATAAATGAACGAATATGTGAATAAAGAATATATGCCTACATCTATATACACAAAAAACATTTCCAGAAAGTTATCAAGAATGTTATGATGGTACTTTCAGGGAAGGAACAGAAAGGAAACTCATGTTGTGTTTTCAGCATGAGAGAGAAACTAGCTTAAACACCATGCCTGAGTTAGGTCTGCTCCATAGGTAAAGAGGTTTGACTTTGCCCTTGCAGGGCCATCAGTATAATGCCTCTATTTTACATTCATACAAGAATTGCATACCTATCATGAAAGCAGTTTTCCCCTCACTTTGAAAATTATGGAATAACAGAAGCTGTTCCTCAGCTCCAAGCCCACCATCTCTATACACTGCTCTACTATGCAGGGCTAGAACTACTCAAACTACATGTCTCAAGCTCCCTTGCCAGGTGAGTTCCTGTTAGCATCCACCAATGGGAATCACCAGAAAATATTGGGAGCCAGAAGGAGGAGAGGAGGGTCTTACATCCTATTTTCTATTTCCTGTCAGGAATCTTCAGTAGCAGCCATCAGTTGGCTGCAACTTCCAATTCTTCTGGTCCTCCCATTTTCATCAAGCCACCTAGGAGCAGCCAACCCAAGACCTCTGGCAGCCTCAGTGTCATCCACACTGCATTCCCTTACCAACCAAGCTATCCTTCCTGAGCCCAGGGAGAACTCTCTAGCCCACATCCCTCCTCAGACAGTCAGGCACCACTTTCACAGGGTTTTCTCCCAGAGGCCCAAGCATTAGTTCTTTAGGTCCCCTCCTCCCAGCTCATAGGTTCTGGTTACAGGGCCCCTTCCCTGTGTTCCCCAGTCTTGAAGATGGGAGTTGCTTCTTGTTGTCATTAATCTCAGTGTTAACTCAGTATCTTCCTTTTGCTCCTTCAGCCTTTCAGCATATGTATAACAAATTCCCCATACTTATAACTAATAAGGTCTCTGGTTTTCTACTTGAAATATTATCAATGCAATATTTGTTTGGGGCATTCTCTTGATCTACATTCTTTCCCTGGGTAATCTTTACCTAGTCCCATTTATATGCTCAAGATGCATATCCAACTCTTATTTAATGATTTATATATTAAAGTCTAATAGCTCAGATTTATCTTGTCAAAACATGAGCTCCTAGGCAGGCATGGTGGCTTGTGCCTGAAATCTCAGCTACTGGAAAGGCTGAGGTGGGAGGATTGTTTAAGGCTGGGAGTTTGAGGCAGCAGAGAGCTATGATCATGCCACTGCACTCCAGCTTGTGCAAAAAAGTGAGATCTGTCTTTAAAAAAACAAAAAACAAGAGCTCCTGATACACCAACCTCCCACCTATTCCTCCACCAGTATTCTCCATCTCAGTAAGTGGTGCCTCTATCCATTTATTTCTTCAATTCAAAATCCTAAAATCCTAGAAGTCATTCTTGCTTCCTATCCTTCCCTGATTATTCATATTCAGGGCATCAGTATGTCATAGTTACATCTCCAGAACTACACATCTATTTATTTCTCTCCATCTCATCTGTCATTATCCTATTCCATCCCTATCACTCACATTGACTACTATGGTTGTCTTTCAACTCTTGCCTTCCTAAGGCTGTTTCCTACCTCATAGCCATAATAATACTTTAAAAGTATAAATCACAATGAAAGTTAAATCCAAACTTCTTACAATGGCTCTATAGGATCTGCTTCCTGCAAACACCTCTAACTTCATCTCCTACTACAGTCTTCTAGCATTAACTGTGCTCTGGACACAGACGCCTCCCACCTTGAATTTGTCTTTTCCTCTGTTGGTTGTCCAGCTCTACGGGGTAGGCATGTTGTTATTTACTATTGTAGCTCCAGCATCTCCAGCACCTTGAATAGTCTCTATTCCCTAAAAGATGCTCAACAAGTATTTATTGACCGAATTAATAAATAAATGCTTTTAATATCCTCTTGTTTGTGTTTAAAGTACCTCAGCATACAAGACCTGGAAATATATGAAACTTTCTACAGCTTTGGAATGAAAATCTACAGGGTTACATTTGTCTCCTATTTGCTTTCCTTTCCTTTCACATTTCCTAGGAAGTTTCTTGAAGAAAAGGAGCTTACAGAATCAAGACTTGATGACACAGCTGATATTTCCTTTGGATAAATAATACATGAATCAAAGAGGCCAAAGAATCTACAAGATTTTTACAATAGTGAGATTCATGGCCTTTAAAAATATGTAGAACAAGATGAAACAAGTGTTTTCAGTAGACGTTCAGGTGCTCTTTTCTAAAAATAACATATATAACCACAAATCAATGTTTAAAGCCAGATGGTTAATGAAGGCCAGCCAGGAAACTCCTATAATTCATGATAATGAGTATGGTAATGAGCTCCCATTATAAACCAAACTGCAGCGTGACATACTGTAACTATTTCAAATAACAGCAATTTGATTATTTCATATTTTTCAAAGCTCCAAAGCTTAATTTACAGGGAAAAATATTAGAAAGTCTGAGTGATGTAGTTAATCACACCCAGTTAATTATATGGAAGGTAGCCTAAATTTTATTAACAAGACCTGTTTAAATGTCAGATGTCATCACAAAGAAAATAATACCCAAACCCATATAAAGGTTAAAATCTTTCAAAACATGAAAGAAGTATCATTACTATGGTTGAAAAGAAATGTTTGTCCTTCAACTCTTGATTTCTTTCCTTTTCAAATAGGACCCTAGGAAAGGTTGTATTCTGTTGAACAGAATGCATTAGGGACTCTGCCACTATAGAAAAATGCCAGGGATTGAATTTTATTTTTAGTATCAAAAGCAAATATTTATTTTTACACCTAAAGTTCACCTGATCTCAGAAAGGTAGACTGAAAAGGCATTCCAAGATACTTAAAATGACATGGGCAGAAGCACAGCACATGTGCGGACCACTGGGTATGGTTTTATGGAGCCACTCTGCTCTTGGAAGACATGACACACTGGGCTACCTTCTTATGAAGAGACAGGATGCTCAGAGCTGAGTAGTGGGAAAGCAAAGGTTTCAATACCCATCATCATTTCCATCCAATGTGAGTTAGGCTGCACACTGTGTGTTTGGAATACAGGCCATTATAACTGACATGCATAACTGATGCTCCACATTTTTATGTTATTTTTATTAAACTATTATTTGCTGTGAGGAATTCTGAAGCATGCTTTCCCCCAAAATGTGACAGGGCTACAGACAGACAAGCTTGGATAAATTCTGACCTATATAATTTCTGAATGACCTAAGTTATATTTACTGAGGACTGGAAATTCATTTTCTGAAGTGTGTGAGACAAGAGGGTTTCTGGTCTGAAAGCAAAAACATAAAATCGAATGTGTGAGCACTATATTGAAAACTGGAGGATTAAGTTGAATGTACCCATCTTCCTCCACTCAGCTCCCTATATGCTGGGTAGCCAGGCTTTTACCATCATCCAGAGAAAAGATTGACAGTCTCTGGAAAATAATACTAACCCAAAAAGAAAGTTCTAAAGATCTAACATCAGAAGTTTCTCAAGTAAATAGCCCAAGATCACCCCCACAATGAAATTCACAATCCATAAGGCCTATTTATGCAAAGTAGCCAGTGGGTATATTTCAAAATAACGAGAGGAGTGGGATTGGAACGTTCCTAACACAAATAAATGATCAATGTTTGAGGTGATGGATATCCCAATTACTCTAATTTGATCATTACACATTGTATGCTTGTATCAAAATTTCACGTGCCCTATAAAGATGTACAACTATTACGTATTCCTAAAAATCAAAAATAAAAATAAATCAAAGAAGCTTGCTTAGAGAAAAAATTGGCCAGTGAGCTAGAAAATACTATAAAATATAAACAGACAATATGTGTCAAATAAAAAATATATATAATGCATGTATAATTATATATAAAATACTGTAAAATATGAGAAGACAGCCAAGGCTTATTAGGCATTAGAAGCCAACATATAACTTGAAAGATAAAAACCAAAACAAATAGATTGAAAGCAACATAGAAAACAGAGAGTATACAGGAAAAAGAAACCTAAAAATAAAAACAAAACAGCATCAATCTACAGAGAGATAAGAGAAGATCATGCAAACAAAAACAAGAATAGGCTACTATAATAAGGAAATACTCAGATAACAAAGAGCTTTTACAAAATAAAAATGCTACAGTTAAAAACGAAAACTCAGTAGAAAACTTCTCAGGAAGCATCCAGAGAGAAGATTTAGAAAATTGTCGAAGAGTGAGAAGTGGAATAGTGATTAAAGGCATGAAAAAATGGAAGCACATGACAACAATTTTAACTCCAGGAAAAACAAAATGTTGTGCAGGAAAGGAATAGTGTTCAGAGTTTACTACAGGTCTCCACTATAAACAGAATTTACATTGTCATAATATATTGATATGTAATATTAATTTATCAAAAATTATAATATAGCTCTACTGGAGGAAGAGAATGAGAAGACTACATACGTGGAGAAGACTAGGGAAATGGAAAAAAAGGGAGCTAGATAGAGTCTCATCTTACATAGCTGGAAGCCAGTTAACAATGCCAGAAACTGAAAAATCAGCAAGAATGCTACTTGGAGTCGTGAAGCCTACATGACAATATAGTCAGTAAAAAAGATCAAAGTGATTGCTTAGGGGAAGAACAAAAACTTCAGGAGGGGTGAGGCAATACTGTGTTTCATAGCAAACGTTGTGGACAACTGGATCTTTAGAGGGTATGATTAACCTTAACAAAAATTAAAATTAAAAGAAAAAAGGATGAGGCAAGGATGAAGACAGTGACAAGCCTCAGTGGAACAGCACTCACAGGGAAGAGGAGATCTGGGTTGGTGATGGTTGGTAAAACTCTTGTCTGTCTCCAGGACCAGTATGATGCATGGCAGGAGAGAAGTGGATGCTCACATGGTGAGCAGAGATACCTGACTTAGTACAAGCCAACAGTGGGATTTAAGGATCCCTGGCTTCCAGCTGTGTCTCGTTTGTTAATTCCTGGCTCTGCCTCTGAATAGATGGATAACCTTGGACAATCTCTGTGTACCCTGACAGCCTGGATGTTTCTCATCCGTCTCATATTCTTCACAGCTGGCAGCAGAGAGCTTTGTAGAGAGTAAGTACACCGATGGTTCCTTATAGATTATTTGGATTGCTATCTTCTTTGGGAAAATGTCCCCTAAATGTAAATAAAAGGATAAAATAAATTTGTATAGAAAAACCTATTTGGAGAATGACAAAACATAGAAAGTTTCAATAATCATCCTATGAAGCTTAATACGTAATAATCTAAACATGGTAAAGCATTTTTGAAATTTCTATGTTGTAATATACTTCAAAAGCCCAACCATTTTTTAACAATTTGTGACTTTTTGAATTATAAAATATACACACTTATTATTAAAAACTTTGGAAAATACAGAAACACATACAGAATTAATGTTGATTCCACCACACAAAAATAATTATTAAAATGTTTAGGTATAAACTTTATCTCATTTACCTTTATATGCACATATGTTTTACAAATTTGTAAATATACTATAAATATTCTATAACCTGATTTTTCAATTAATATAAATACTTCTCCTTATCATTAAATGTTATTCTTACTACCATTTCAATGGCTTCACAATGTTCAAGATATATGATAATTTATTGCCGGTTATATCTCAATACTTTCCATGGTTTGCTTTTATAAATAACACAGTAGCTGAGTAAACTTGTACATAAATTTTTGCACATATCTGTTTATTTTGATGGAAAAAATTCCCACTCGTAGAATTTCTGGAAAAAAGAGAATGTATATTTTTTAAAACTCTTGATATTTAACTACCAAAATATGTCTCCAGTTGACACATTCATCCACAGCCTGCATTTAATACTTTTTAAAATGAACAAATAATTGTACACATTTATGAGACACAACGTGATGTTTTGATATATGTATACATTGTGGAATGATTAAATCAAATTCATTAACATATCTATCACCTTCTCTACTTTTTTGTGGTGAGAACTTTTAAAATCTCTTTTAGCAATTTTGAAATATACATTACTATTAACTATGATCATAGAATCTAAAAAAGTCAAACTTATACTTTTGAATACCCTCAAACTGAACAAATCTTGATTTTTGAAAATAATTCAATTCCTCATTAGATACCCTACTTACACCACTAGAGTATAAACTTCTAGAACTCAGAGACCACATCCTAAAAATTCATGGTTTGTATTCCCCAAAATATCAAGAAAAGATAATTTTATATTAATACCTGGTGAATAAGGTCAGGATCAAACTGGGTGCTGCTGTTTGAGTCAAATTAATATGACTGTAAAATAACAAACTGATTGTGTATATTGCCAACCGGCTTTGAAACATCAATAAATTCTTACTCATAAGCACAGAAAACAATTACTATAGAAAACAAATGGAAGATACATGGGGCTTACCTGTTTCCTAGGTGGCATCTTCAAATTGGTGGGATTTTTTCCTGATTATTCAGAGATGATACTCATAAAAAGAAATCCCCAAAGAATAGAACATGTAGATAATGACAGAAGCACATTCTGGTAAATGTTGTTTTAAACAATGAGACAAAATTGAAGTACACATATAAACATAGATGAAGATGAGTAAAGCAAATCTCAATGAAAAGGTCTAGGAGAAAAATAAGTATTGCTTTTTTGTTGTGTTTTTGTCTTCTAACAACAATAACAAAAAAGGAGCACGATCGAATTCCAAAAGTGGCTTGCAAGACAAGCCTCCTTTAACTGCTGCCTAAGAGTGCTATCCAGGACTTTCAACACTACGATGTGTATTTGTGGGCGTTTGCACCACAGCAGGACAAACAGAAGCCAGAGCCATACTTTTCCAGGTCAGTGAAGAGGTGGTTAGAAGTCAGACACAGCTGTTACAGATGAGCTATTTCTCTTAGAAACAACGGCAATAGGGCTTTGGGCCTCATAAATCTGTTCAGGCTCTGGAAAGCCCTGGAGTTTTACTTTGACCTCTCCAATTGAGGTCATCGCTAGCAATCTACCTGGGACACCTACCTCAGAGCTGTGTCGCACAAAGCCTTTCTTCTGTCACTGCCACCTTCTTCCCTCCATCCCTCTTGACTATACCCTAGATCAAGCCAACCAAGGGTGCTGTTGGAAGAAACCGAGCTCATACTTTGGTGAAAAGGAGACAGCAGTGATATTCCTTGCCTTCTGAACAGGCAGAGCCATGGCAGGCTGCACATCAAGAGTTCAGTCTGCAAGGTGAAACGTGTAAAGAGATGGGGCTGGAAAGATGTATCCTGCACTTTGTTTAAACATCTGTGGATAGGTGTTGAGGTCTCTCAGTTAGTAAAACTTGGCCCTACAGTCAAAATTGTAGAGGGGACAAAGTTTGTCTTCAGTTACAAAAAAATTAGGGATCCTTCAGCACCTACTTCAGTTCAGTTTTCACATTTCTCAGCTCCTTTAAATCCGACAGCATTCCAGGGAGGTAAGCTTACTATTCCCACTTTAACAGATGAAGAAACTGAGCTAAAAAGGAGGAAGTCATGTATCCAAAGTTAACCAATTAATAAATGGAAGGGCCAAAATATAACCTTGAGTCTTATTAGTTCTAAAATCCCTTTTAATATACCCTCCCCATTTTCTATTCACTTGTGTCTCTTTTTTTTCTGAGCTTTTCCTGTTCAAATAGACTTTCAGCCAGCTACCATGTTAGAATAAATTTGGTAATATAATTTGTAGTGTATTACCTTTTTAAAGTGTTGATTGCATCTTAGGATGAAATTTCAGTGGTGAAATGTTAGATATCAGTTTAATACAAGAGGTATTTCAAGATTATATTCTCAGAAGAGGAAACCAAGTTTTCTAGTGGGACAACTGATAGTCTCAATTCTAGAAGATGTCTAAGACAGGGGCCACATGTCTTTGTCCATCTCTGTTGTGTGACACGGACAGAATGTGCTTTAAAAATACTTTTGATGAGAATGATGAAAAACTGTGTTGGGGTTTCAAGGAAAAAATATATCTGAAGGAAAAGAGACTAGCAGAATAAGAATTCCATTGCATGCATATCAATATAATTTGCACCTTTTTTTCCAGCCTCTCAAAAAAAATCACTATAAACATAAAACCTCTCCTATCCCCTCAATTCTTGGTTCATTAACATGAACACTAAGGATAACTGAGTGGGAGAAAGTGAAACATTTTTCTTGTCACTAGACAAGAACATGTGTTACGCAATCCTCGTAAATGTGCGTTCTGGTAATGCTAAAAGAAATTGTGAATTAGAAGTAAAAGAAAAATGATTTTTTCCCTGAGTTTGCACAGAAAAATGTCAACACAGACATTATATTAAATATACAACTTTAAAAGTCCATAAAACAGATATTTAGCACCCAGGTGAAAAAAAGTACATGAGATCTGAGCCCAGTAGTGAGCTTTTGGTTGTCATCCTCAATAATCAAAAAAAAAAATTTATTTTTAATTTTTTTTAAAACATTAGTATGTATAGAATGCATCTAGTATGTATAGAACTCTGAACTAGAGAGTGGAAAAATTAAAGGTAGATGGTCTTACACTCTATTTTGAGAGACAAACTATACTTATTGACCCACTCACACAAAGTGAAGTGGGTGCTATTGTGTTAAATGCCTTCCATAAGTGAACTCATTTTAACCTGTGTCTCCATGATATTACATAATTATTTTTGCTTATGAGGAGTAATCTGTTGTATTCTTTCACTTTTTTACTTTATTTCCGAACACAAAAACTAAAACCGAAGTGTTATTTTAATAAATAAACTCATGTTTTTCCTTTTATTTTAAGATCATGTTAGGAAGATTTGAAAAAAAATCATACAGAGAGTTTCCATATACCCTTCATTCAGCTTCCCCTATGTTAGCATCTTACATAACCAATGCACTTATCTCTAAGAAACTACCATAGGCACAACGCTATTAAACTACAGATTTTGTCCAGACTTAAATTTAGTTTCTCTACAAATGTTCTTTCTGTCAATAGTACAGAATCTAGTTTAGGATTCTACATTGCATTTGGTTTGTCATGCATCCTTAGCCTGATCCAGTCTTTGACAGTTCCTCAGTCATTTGTCATCTTTCATTACTGCTTTTGAAGAATACTGGTCAATTATTTTTCAGAATGTTCCTCAACTTATGTTTGTTTGGTATTTTCTGGTGCTTAGACTGAGATATGCATTACTAGGAGAATACCACAGAAGTGATATGTCCATCATCACTGTATCATATCAGGGGGCACGTAATGTGGATATGTATAATTATTGGTCATGATAATCTTGGTAAAGGCTGTGTCTGCCAGATTTCTCCACCACAAATTTACTATTTTTCCCTTTGTAATTAATAAGTATTTATTCACTTCTAAGAGATAGTATGAGATTATGCAAATGTCCTATTTCTCTAAATTTTATCCACTAAACAACTCACTTTTGAAAAAAAAGGCAAACAATCTATAGGTAGGAGAAATCTAACAGTTATGAAAATCCTCAAGTAAAGAATCTTAGAATTGCTAAACACAGGGCATGTAAAACCAAAAGCACCCTCAAAAAGGAATAAAGGCCAGGCGCAGTGGCTCACACCTGTAATCCCAGCACTTTGGGCGGCCAAGGGGGTGGATCACTTGAAGTCAGGAGTTCAAGGCCAGCCTGGCTAACAGGGTGAAACCCCATCTCTACCAAAAATACAAAAATAGCCGGGAGTGGCAGTGCGTGCCTGTACGAGAATCGCTTGAACCCCCGAGTTGCAGGCGACAGTGAGCCGAGATCGCACCACTGCACTCCAGCCTGGGCAACAGAGTGAGACTCCGTCTCAAAAAAAAGTTGGGGAGAGGAGGGGAATAAAGAGTCAAACAATTTTCCATTAGTACTGAAAATTCCCTCCTCTTTTTAATAATTTGAGGGAAGAGCTAAGATAAATGTAGAAGATGCAAAGGGAAACAGAAGTTATTCCAGATGATTCCTCAGTTATCAAAGCTACATTATCATTTGTATTTCTTAACTCATTTTTCTATCAGTAACTTATTATGGTTCACAGATGGCTTAAAATTATATTTCCAGTGTTCCTCAGATCAAGTACATCAAGAACTATAAACTTTACGTTTTTGAGTCACTCCAATTTGACAGCTCTCAATGATGCTTTTTTGATTGGTTTATTAATTTTCCTTCAACAATGAATATTGCAAAATCAATATTCCAGTTACACTATAAATCTTTTTCAGAATTATTTCTATACCAACTGCCTTATCCATAAGAGGTAAAATATTCATGAATCCAATCTTTTCAGAGTTTATTTGACCCTCCAAGAATTCCAATTGAAGTAACTGAAGCATACACATAGTAATATCACTATTAGATAATTTATCACTTGAAAAAAAGCAATTTGAAGTTAATTCATGTAAAATACAAAATTACCTATATTATTAACAGACCATTTATGTCTACTTTTTATCTAGGACAGTACTAGCATCAATATCCAATACATATTTTATACTTTGTACCAACCCTTAAGTAAGTTCTTTACATAAATTATTTCATTTAATTGTCACAGCTATATGAGGTGGCAAGAATTGTGAAGATTCTGAGATTTTACCCTATTTGCAAGCTAACAAGTTATCCTGCTACAGTTTCCTGAATGCTGGCAGAACACCTAAGACTCTTGCGTTAGAGGACGTTACCACAGAAGTAGCAGTGACCAGAGCATCAGCATGTTCTTGCACCAGGTCCTCAAACTCCAATTCCCACAGACAACACAGAGTCAGGTGAGCCCTGCACAAACAGTGGGTTGCATTATAGGAAAGGAACAAATTTAGGGAACCCATATCTTTTTTAATGGACAGTAAGTATGTTGTTATGTACTCCAGAGGGAGACACTGTCAGTATCTTCCAAGGCTATTTACTATACAGACATCAGTAGACAAATAGTCCAGAACCAAGGCAGTTAGTATGAGTGCTTGCAAGACACGCAGAAGTGTGAGACCCATCCACAGAGAATTATCTCCCAACGTGATTAGATACTATCATTACTCCTCTTACGAATGAAGAACTTTAAGCTTAGAGAGAACTATATGAATTTAAGGAGACATTCAAACATAAGGCAAAAGTATTTGCTTTTTCATGGAAATATTTTAGTATTTATGAGTTTAATTTATTACATGAAACATGCTCCCCATAAGGTGTTGCAAATTGCACCCACTTGAGCTTGCAAACTGTAAAGAAGTAAAGTTGGGCATAAAGATACATCCAAGATAAATTTTCCCTAGGTGTTCTGAAAAATATATTGTCCTTTCCTCTCTGTGAGATCATTTTAAATTTTAACTTCCATATATAATTTCATACATACTATGCTCAAGGAGGAAGTAAGCTGCAGTGGAAAAAACATGAGCCCTGAAGTCGGACAATGGTCAAGTTGGGATTCCAGTCTACACTTACTAACCTCTCTCAGAATCAGTTTTCCCATCTGTGAAAAGAGAAACTCTTGTAGGATCAGTGTAGGAATTAAATGAAATCATGGCTATGAAGTTTCCACCACAGTATTTTGGCACATAGTTAGGTGCTCGACAATAGACAGCAATAATAATGACTTACAGGATGGTTATAAGAAAAGTTGCTGTAATATCCATAGCTTTCAAATTTTGAAAAATTCAAGAATAAAACCAGAAGAAGAGTTTTTAAGCCCAGTTTTTCTATGTGAAAGCTTTTTCAGGCATTGGGGTTGTGTTATACTGCATTTAACTTTTTTCTTTCAAAGATTAATTTTAAGTGTGAGATAAAAACTCTTCCAGCTGTCAAAGCATTAGCTTTTAGCAATGGAATGGATGTTGATCTTTTTAAAGCTCTCCTAGTATTTCTTTTAATGACTTAGAGCAGGAAGGCTTGTCATTTTCCCTAACACAATGTGAATAAAACACAAATATATGGTGAGCACCAGAGTCAAGAGGAGCTCAGCAATCTACATTTGCCATAATGTGTGTCCTAGTGATCAATTCAAAGGGCCCTGTGACTTTACATAGGAAATTGTGCTGTGTTAAGAGACAGCTCTGTTGATCTTTTATCCATTCACATGGAGAGGTGTTAGAGATGAAATTGTTTTTTATATTCACTTAAAAGTTACACCACAGCCATTAGATAGAAGCAAGAATAACTGCTTGTTCAGTGGGCAGGCAGCTACAAAGCAAGAAACATGCTCATCAAACAGTTGTGTTTTTCAGCTTCGGCAGATGGAACATCACATTCTTTGGTGAGTTCTTCCACCCTGTAAAACTTAATGATTTGCCCTCCCTGCAGATTGCTGAAAAAATTATTGTCCATGATAGCTTGATGTCGATTTGCTTTGGAAAGCCTCTCAACTTTAACTAATAGTTGCCATCCAAATTAACAATAACCAAGGAAGGATGGAAATTATGGGTGCATTCTGGTAATTCACCACAAACTAAGCTTGTTATCTGCATGAAATACAACTGTGGATCCATGAATAATTCTCAAAAATGTTGAATTTAAAATGAGCACTGGGTAGGATAAACAGTAGTTAAATAATACTTAAATTACACCATCTGGTATTCTAGTATTTTAATGTGAGCTGAATTTCTTTTATTAGGTGTTTATTTGAGATTCTTTCTGTATGGATTCTTTCCTTATGCAGAAAGAACCCTATAAATTGGGAAGTAGTAAGAGTTATGATTCAGGACAGCTTTCTTTTATAGTAATTCTCTTAAAGAGAAACACAAGTGTTAAAATCTCAGCTATTTTCCCAAAGGGGCAACTGAATAATTCCTGAGAGAGTTTGTTTAAATTCAGAGCACTTATTGGTAAGGATCCATAGGTTGGTGCACGTAGAAGAGAATGAGTCACTCAGGTAGTAGGGGAAAAGTGCATGGTAAAGATTAATGACAGGAATCAAACAAAGATGATTAATAATAGGAGCACAGCAAGATATCAAAAAATAATATGATTAATGGTCTTGGGAAGAAAAATAAAAGAAGATAAAGAAGTTTTTAATGAAAGAAGCATCATTAAAAAAAAGATTTAATGGGCTTATCACGCTTGGAAAAAACCATTTCCCCAAAAGTTTTATACCAAGCTATTCCAGTGACTTAATTTGAAATTTGCATGAGAATTGTTTTTTTTTCTTCCTGACCTGAAACATTCAATATGAAGGAAGCAGGAAACAATAATATTGACATTTACATCGTTCCTTACTATTTTCCCAAATATTTTTACATGCATTATACCCTGTGATAGACACAGCATCTGGAGAAGGGAAGTAGAGCTGATCTTATCATTCCCATTCTACACATCATGAAGAAATTCAGCTAGCTGCCTGATGAGTGACAGTACCTTAAGGTCAGTTTTATTTTTCAACGCTCTCAACTTTAATTGTTATATTTCAAATTCATACTAACCAAAGTGGCAAAATATTCTGGGTATATTCCAAGCAAAATTATGATCTACTTGAAGCCTACCTTCCTTCTCACTCCAAATTCAGTACTTACTTAATTACACTGTACCTCCCAAAGAAATCTGGCTCTGCCACTGACTAAAAAAATATACCCCGGAGTCAGCCCCTAACTTCTCTAGGCATCAGTTTCCCGGATTGACATTGCTAGGGCAGTTAAAATTTTACAATGCACTTTGGCATCCATCATCTCATTTAATGTCCACCGAAACTTTAAATATTTTTAAATGGAGTAAATTTGAATTCAGAATTGGTTAATTGCTTGTCCAAGATCATACTGAAAACATTTGTTAGATCCAGATCTCTGGTCTACTGCCTTACTATGAAATCTGGAATTGGGTTAGGTTCTTCTAAGCTATCTTCCAGTTCTATCTTCCGTGACTTCAAAGGCTGGGAGAATATAATGTTATTTACAGGTCAATAGTATTTTACTGATAAATGGTGTAATTCTTGGAACAAAAATAAAATATTTCACTGACTAGTTATTGAAGTACTTCCTGACACCAGAGAAATTGTGCTTTCAAGTGTACTGGGAAGGACAAAAGATGAACCAACACCCATCTCCACCCTTGAAGAGTGCATTCTTCTAGTTTGGGACATAATAACATCCACTTCTAGGAAAGCACCACAGACAACGTGCTCTGAAAGTTAGAGAAAATAGGTGGCCATAAGCCTTAAGCCATATAATGAGTTTAAACATTCAGAGATTGGAGCAAACGAGCAGAAGAATGATAACCCAGAAAAACCCCATGTGCCATCCACCTTGTTAGCGTATCTCTTCAGTACCAAAAAGACATTAGAATGTGTTTTCTTGTAAATGATAATAAAAACAGCATTATTGTCATCTTTTTTTAATCACTATCAATGTAGCCCTCCTAGCAAAATTAAGTTAGGCAACTGCCATTTGATACCTGAAATACGTTAACATATGTCCTCAAATCTACTGAGAATCACAAATCCTAGAACATGGAAGTTTTAGGTCCCAGCTTCACCTTTGTCTTCAAAGCAATATTTTTTTCTGTTTTGTTGTGTGTTTATCAAGATCTGCCAAAAAGTCATCCAGATGACCAGTTCAAATTTTTCTTCCTTTTTGTCTACCTTCCAAAAATACTAAAGAACATTGGAATGAATAAAAGGCAAAGAGAAAGGATGGAAAAACAACAGAAACAAAGGGCCAAGGCCAATTAGTCACTAAATAATTGAGAACTGACAAACTTTTCCATTATCCATAATAACTGTGTGCCCTTATTAAGCTGTACCCTGAGGTGTTATTCCAAAGCCAAAACAACTTACCAGCTTATGCTTAACTTGTAACAATGTCCATAGTGCAGATTTTCTCCATGAAACAAGTAAGACGGATGTCAGGGCAGACCCTGGGATATATTAAAAACTGAAAACTTGATAGTGGATTGCACTGGCAGCAGATTAAATAAGTAATACATGAGCATCAATTCCAAACGCCCTTTCCACTTAAATTTCAGCACTGCATCAAACATGCGGCAACTGTGTAAGATGAAGTAGGACCAAAGCAAAAAGGAAATTATAATAATGTAGCTTGCAATACGACTTCATTTCAAATAACATCTTTCATGTAAACGGGCATCTAAAGTGCTTTACCGAATAAAATAGTACAAGAAAGTGGACAGCATGTGGTATAAATTACAGAAAACAGTGGTGCAAGAATATTATATGTGGAGCAAATTAAAGCATTCCATCATCAAGCCAGGAGCAATGGGAGAAAACACGAAAAGGTACAGCAAAGTGTACAATTTTAGATGAGGTGTAAGAAACTTGGACGTTGATAAGAAAGCCATTTTTCTCCCCACTTGTGTATTTAAAAATGAAGTACTTGCCATTCTTTCAGTAGAAGGCTTTAAGCTGTGTATTTGATAAAGCTGAATTTTAGAGTGCTTTAGCTTGAACACTGCAATCAACCAGAAAGAATGAGGGATTCTGTGTGAATAATCAAACACCCCCCAAAATAGGCTGATTATCTAGAAGTGCCAAGTCTACAGGTAACAAAAATCCTCCTACAGGCATTTACAGCACAAGTAGTTTAGAGCATGGGCATTGCAATCAAACCAATCAGATTCATGCCTTAACTCTGTTACTTAAGAACTGTACGACCCTAGACACTGTATCGCCTCTCTGTGCCTCCGTTTCCACATCTCTAATAGCAGAATTTCAATAGTACCTATGTAATAGGATTGTCTTAGGTTAAACAACAAAATTCATACAAAATATTTAGCGCAGGGTCAGTAGCACAGCCATTTAAAATGTTAGTTACTGTAAATATCAGTCAGGAAGATAAGATCTGAGTCACCATCAGACTCCAGAAGCACCAGTGAGAACCTCCAGATTTGTCAAAGCCCAGTAGTGTTCAGATAAAGTATCCAGGATTCACTTCAGAACACTCCTCCACAAGGGTAAGCTACTCACACACCTACTTCCAGGGGTGCTACAGCAAAGCCCAGGCATTCAAGAGTATGAATTGGCCAGGCACGGTGGCTCATGCCTGTAATCCCAGCACTTTGGGAGGCGGAGGCAGGCGAATCACTTGATGGCAGGACTTTGAGACCAGCCTGGCCAACATGGTGAAACCCTGTCTCTGGTAAAAATACAAAACATTAGCTGGGCATGGTGGCACGTACCTGTAATCTCAGTGAGAGGTGACAGCGTCCTGGCAGCTCGCTCTCGGCGGCGCCTCAGCCTTGGCGCCCACTCTGGCCGCGCTTGAGAAGCCCTTCAGCCCGCCAGCCCGCCGCTGCACTATGGGAGTCCTTCTCTGGGCCGCCCGAGATCGGAGCCGGCTATGGGAGTCCCTCTCTGGGCTGGCCGAGGTCGGAGCCGGCTCCCTCTGCTTGCAGGGAGGTGTGGAGGGAGAGGCGCGGGCGGGAACCGGGGCTGCGCGCCGGACCAGCGCGAGTTCCGGGTGGGCGTGGGCTCGGTGGGCCCCGGGCAGTGAGGGGCTTAGCACCCGGGCCAGCAGCTGCGGAGGGTGCGCCGGGTCCCCCAGCAGTTCCGCCCGCCGGCACTGCGCTGGAATTCTCGCCGGGCCTCAGCTGCCTCCCTGCAGAGCAGGGCACCGGACCTGCAGCCCGCCATGCCGGAGCCTCCCCGCAGCCGTAGGCTCCTGCGCGCGGAGCCTCCGCGACAAGCGCCGCCCCCTGCTCCTCGGCGCCCGGTCCCATCGACGGCCCAAGGGCTGAGGAGTGCGGGCACAAGGCGCGGGACTGGCGGGCAGCTCCGCCTGCGCCCTGGAAGCTAGGTGAAGCCAGATGGGCTCCTGAGTCTAGTGGGGACTTGGAGAACCTTTATGTCTAACTAAGGAATTGTAGCTACACCAATCAGCACTCTGTGTCTCGCTCGAGGTTTGTAAATGCACTAATCAGCACCCTGTGTCTAGCTCAAGGTTTGTGAATGCACCAATCATTGCTCTGTGTCTAGCTGATCTGGTGGGGACTTGGAGAACCTTTATGTCTAGCTAAGGGATTGTGAATGCACCAATCAGCACTCTGTGTCTAGCTCAAGGTTTGTAAATGCACCAATCAGCACCCTGTGTCTAGTTCAGGGTTTGTGAATGCACCAATCAGTGCTCTGTGTCTAGCTAATCTAGTGGGGACTTGGAGAACTTTTGTGTCTAGCTCAGGGATTGTAAACGCACCAATCAGCACCCTGTCAAAACAGACCAATCAGCTCTCTGTGAAATGGACCAATCAGCAGGATGTGAGTGAGGCCAGATAAGGGAATAAAAGCAGGCTGCCCCAGCCAGCAGTGGCAACCCTGTCAGGTCCCCCTCCATACTGTACAAGTTTTGTTATTTTGCTCTTTGCAAAAAATCTTGCTGCTGCTCAGTCTTTGGGTCCGCACTGCCTTTATGAGCTGTAACACTCACTGCGAAGGTCTGCAGCTTCACTCCTGAGCCAGCGAGACCACGAACCCACCAGAAGGAAGAAACTCCGAACACATCCGAACATCAGAAGGAACAAACTCCGGACACGCAGCCTTTAAGAACTGTAACACTCACCACGAGGTCCACGGCTTCATTCTTAAAGTCAGTGAGACCAAGATCCCACCAATTCCGGACACATTAGCTAGTCAGGAGTCTGAGGCAGGAGAATTGCTTGAGGCAGGAGAATCGCTTGAACCCGGGAGGCAGAGGTTGCAATGAGCCAAGACTGTGCCACTGCACTCCAGCCTGGGTGACAGAGCGAGACCCATCTCAAAAATAAAAAATAAAAAAGTATGAATCGCTGATGCCACATGACTTTTAGTTTTGTAATCATGAATCTGAACCAACAGAAAACACACGCTCTTTACATTCTAGTAGAATATCTTGAGTAGATTCTTTGTTAAAAGAGATTTGTGAAGGGAAGTTAGGGCATGTGAGACCAGACGCCCTAGAGTATGACTCTGCTACGTGGCATTCCTTACTCCTCTCTGTCTTAGATGATTTCCCTGAGTGTACTCCCTGCGGGGACCCACAGTGTCCACCATTCTCCGTGGGATTAGTTACGCATCTCTGAGTAACAAATTTGCCCCAAACTCAGCACCTTAAGACAACAAACATTCATCACTTACCTGGCACCATGTGTAAGGTCCAGGAATCCAGGAGTCGCTTGGCTTTGTGGTCTGGCTCAGGGTTCCTCATGAGGTCTCTGCAAAGTCAAGCTGCTGGCAAGGACTGCAGGATCGGTTTCCAAGTTCACTGGTGTGGCTGTTGGCTGGAGTCTTCAGTTCCTCACCATGTGGGCCCCTTCACCGGATAGCTCATATATGCAAGCTAACTTTCCCCAGCACAAGTGATCCAAGAAAGTGAGAGACTGAGGCAAAAGCCACAGTGTAATCCATAACATGATCTCGGAGTGACATACCATTATTTCTGCCATATTCCGTGAGTCACACAGACCAACCCTGGTAGAATGTGAAAGCTGCTACACACGGGTGTGAGTAGGAGGAGGCCAGGCATATTGAGGCTGGCTCCCACACCACCTTGGTGGTTAACTATTCTTCTACCTGGGCCACATCTGGACATTTTTAGTCTATTGATAACTATGCTCCAGTTTATGTCTATTTTTCTGTTCCTTCCAGACTAAGCTATTATTAAACTACTGTCTGATGCTGAAGTTTTCCTTTCTCAAAGTAAAAACCAAAACATTTACCCTATTACATATAACATGAGGACCTGAAGGCCTTTCATCTGGTGTTTCTTCAAGTAAACCTGAATATGTTGATTGAAGTGCATTCGCTTCTAGAACTCAAGGATCACAGGGCTGGAGATGACTATACAGCATGCAGCATGTCATACTGGTTTTGAGAAGTTAAAAATACTTATGATGATCTTCAGTAGATGATGCTCCAGAGAAATGCTTGCCTTGACTTTTTCTTTCCTCTGGGTCTTTGCTCAGGTGTCTCTATTCTTTCAGAATTAGCTTTCGATCCCTTTCCCCCCATGGATACATATCTTTTTACATGGCCTAACTTCAGTGACACCTTCTTCAGGAAGCCTCCCTTGATCTATTATCCATCCCTTCTCTGAGCTGCATTTACATTTTGTCTGCACTATTCTCTTTCCATCACTTACCCTTTACAGGGTAAAAGGCACCAGCCGCTGCTCATATGGTAGAACTGTGTCTAGGCTCATTTCACCAAGGTAAAGGGGTAGTATTGGAAGCCAGTCTGTTTGGCGAGGCATGGTGAAAAACCTCACAGGTGAAGAGCTTCCCAAACCATTTTTTTTCACGTGAATTTTGCCGCAGTCATAGAAAAGTTCATCCCTAGGATCCTAGGATAATGGGTTTCCCTTCCTGGAACCAGTAAATATTTACTTTCCCGCAGTTCCTGACTGCCAGTGCGACAGCATGATCTTTCAAAGCCGCTTGCTCAGTGGCCTCGTGGACGCCATCCAAACTTGGCTTTGAGCCAGGCAGAGCTTAGCATGTTCCTGGAGGCAATGGGGGGTAGTACTGATCCTAGTTTCTGCAGCCTGACCCCAGGTTCCTCAGCCTTTACTTGCTCAGTGCTTCTCAAGGACTGAAACCCTGAACCTGTCTGCTTCTGTGTATAGGGTATTCTTATCTCTCTTTTTATTATAGAAACAATGTAGCCACTTTCAAACACTTAAAAAAAATAGTGGGAGAAAACAAAACTCCAACAGTTCCATTACCCGACTGCACAAGGGGCAGAGCCTGGGAGTTCTAATCCTGTGTTCTACGTGTTTAGCAAATAAGTTCAAGTTCACTAACTTATTTTGCTT